>NC_000023.11:154475606-155675606 GCF_000001405.40 Homo sapiens | reverse complement strand
GCCTCATTTATAATGACCAGAATTGTGGAAAATATTCCAGCTGGGGAACCACCATCTTTGCATCATGTCTCCTGACACTGAAAATCATGTTCCTCCTACCTTTGTGGGGCTCAACGGACTGCTTTACTTAATTTTGACGTTTCTGGCATGCCTTTAAGCTATGTGCTGGCCACTCTCAATTACTTTCATGTATCACACTTCCTCTCATTATATGACCCCCCAAACATTCCTCCTCTCTTTCCATGCAGAGACACAATTCTGGCTTCCCTTGGAGCCTTTCCCCTCAAATAATCCACAGACACATTCCCACAAATTATATTTGTGTACTTATTGGCAAGCTACAGTTAAGCTTGCAACTTATTTTTTCACGCTTATTTAAAGATGTATTGCAGTTCCTTCACAGGGTTAGTAGGTTAGTAGATAAGATGAATGCTGTATACATAGTGCATCTATCTGGATTGAATAAGGCAGGCATTTGACAATGTTTTGTATTGAAACGTTGTCAAACATTATATTGAAACATATTATATTTTTCATCATAAAAAAGTAGACAGCAACAGAATTATATAGGTTCACAATTAATTGAACAATTATACCCAAACATTTCTGCTTACTGGATTAATTATAAGCTCCATAAGGGCAGGAACTACAGGTATTAAGATAATCAAATAGAAAATGGTTAAGAAATAGTTAAGTGAAGGGATAAAAGGTATCAAACATAGAAAGATCTGTAGTCCTTGCCTTGTTCAATATTTTTGTTGATGAGTTGGACATAGATGGAGAGAGCTGAAGTGGACCCAATATTTGTTAAAAATGTATAATGATCAATGGAAAAATCTTTCAAATACACAAGATAAAGCAGGCTTGGCTTAAGGGCTTCATATATGAAAAAAAAAGACTTTGAGGACTTAGTTGACAGCAAGCTTGAGTCAACAGTGTGTAGTTACTGAAAAAGTTGGTAAAATCTCAGTCCTCATTAATTAAAGTATAATATGCAAAGGAAGGAAGGTATAAAATTCATATTTAAATTTGCTCTGACAAAATCTCACCTGAAAGAATGTGGTCTGTTCTGAGAGGCAAATTTTAGTTTGATAATAAATAGAACTGTATAACCATTAGATTTAGCCAACAATGGAATAGACTTCCTTCCTTGAGAGAGGCAGTAGGTTTCCCAACACTGGAAGTATTAAGTAGAGAATGGAAATCTACTTGGAAAGACATTGTACAGGAAATTCATCTTCAATAAGAGAGGATGGTGAGAAAATAAAAGGAAAATCTTAGGGCCAAATTGGTTATTGTCTTTGTCACACTGGTTCCCACAAGCAGACTACAGGTATACAATAAGATATTAATCATTTCAGCACTCATGGCGATCAGGCAGGGCTTTGGGTAGCTGGAACCTCCAGGCTAGTTGCGTTTGGCTGCAAGCAGTCTTAGCTATACGTCCCAGTGAAATATACAAATGCCGTTTTTTATCTGTGTCATAATGTAAAAAGATTGGGAACCACCGTACAAAATTAACTCTGGGTTCCTTTCAGTTATGATGAGTGAATTTTCCAAGTTAATGTCAGAGTTGTCACTAGGAATTAGTCCGTGGTTCTTTCTAAATTACAGAACCCATAATAGAGAGTAAAACACCTATAGAATCTAGAATTAAAGCAAAATAAAGATAGCCACTGTGGAATTTGACTTAGAGAAAAATGGTAAAGAAGACAAATAGAGAGGCTGCAGTTCTAAAGGTTTGGAACCTGGAGGAGGAATCCTATCCTTTGTGCATTGATGGTGGAATCGACTATAGGCAAAGAGGGCTGCCCTCTCTTAAGTGTATCCTGAATCAGTGCCTATATGCAGAGAATTAGCCTTTCCAATTCCAGGGCCTTTTGAAAAAGAGCATAGATAAATTTTGACTAGCAAAAGACTAAATAGAAAAATTCCAAGGAGGTGCCCAAGCAAGGCAGAAATGGATGAGATGCTATAAGAGGGGGGCTTGTAAAGCTTGGAACAGTCTGAAGGCATTGAATATTTGAGAACCAGTAGTCAGGGTGGCTGGAAGGGCACCAAAGAAACCTTGGCTGATTCCACACTTTGGCAGCATTTCTGACAAACTTCAGCCAGAAATCTCTCCCATTGCAATGTCCCCTTTTGAGAACATCAGGCAAAATTTACAAAAACCAACAGATGCATTTCACAGAAGCAATATTAGCACTTTTCAAATCTACTTCATATTTAGTGAACAAAGAAGAAAACAGTGTTCTATACAAATGATAGCTTAAAAGCAAATCATGCTCATTGTCATGTGTTGTTCTCATGACATGAAGACTTTAAAGGCAGAAACTGTCTTAAGGTTTTTTTTTTTAACATGTTATATGTTCTTTTTTTAATTTTTTTTATTATTTTACTTTAAGTTTTAGGGTACATGTGCACAATGTTCAGGTTAGTTACATATGTATACATGTGCCATGCTGGTGTGCTGCACCCATTAACTTGTCATTTAGCATTAGGTATATCTCCTAATGCTATCCCTCCCCCTCACCCCACCCCACAACAGTCCCCAGAGTGTGATGTTCCCCTTCCTGTGTCCATGTGTTCTCATTGTTCAATTCCCACCTATGAGTGAGAACATGCGGTGTTTGGTTTTTTGTCCTTGCGATAGTTTACTACGAATGATGATTTCCAATTTCATCCATGTCCCTACAAAGGACATGAACTCATCATTTTTTATGGCTGCATAGTATTCCATGGTGTATATGTGCCACATTTTCTTAATCCAGTCTATCATTGTTGGACATTTGGGTTGGTTCCAAGTCTTTGCTATTGTGAATAGTGCCACAATAAACATACGTGTGCATGTGTCTTTATAGCAGCATGATTTATAGTCCTTTGGGTATATACCCAGTAATGGGATGGCTGGGTCAAATGGTATTTCTAGTTCTAGATCCTTGAGGAATCACCACACTGACTTCCACAATGGTTGAACTAGTTTACAGTCCCACCAACAGTGTAAAAGTGTTCCTATTTCTCCACATCCTCTCCAGCACCTGTTGTTTCCTGACTTTTTAATGATTGCCATTCTACCTGGCGTGAGATGGTATCTCATTGTGGTTTTGATTTGCATTTCTCTGATGGCCAGGGATGATGAGCATTTTTTCATGTGTCTTTTGGCTGCATAAATGTCTTCTTTTGAGAAATGTCTGTTCATATCCTTTGCCCACTTTTTGATGGGGTTGTTTGTTTTTTTCTTGTAAATTTGTTTGAGTTCATTGTAGATTCTGGATATTAGCCCTTTGTCAGATGAGTAGGTTGCGAAAATTTTCTCGCATTTTGTAGGTTGTCTGTTCACTCTGATGGTAGTTTCTTTTGCTGTGCAGAAGCTCTTTAGTTTAATTAGATCCCATTTGTCCCCATCAAGCTACCAATGACTTTCTTCACAGAATTGGAAAAAAATACTTTAAAGTTCATATGGAACCACAAAAGAACCCGCATTGCCAAGTCAATCCTAAGCCAACAGAACAAAGCTGGAGGCATCATGCTACCTGACTTCAAACTATACTACAAGGCTACAGTAACCAAAACAGCATGGTACTGGTACCAAAACAGAGATATAGATCAATGGAACAGAACACAGCCCTCAGAAATAATGCCACATATCTACAACCATCTGATCTTTGACAAACCTGAGAAAAACAAGCAATGGGGAAAGGATTCCCTATTTAATAAATGGTGCTGGGAAAACTTGCTAGCCATATGTAGAAAGCTGAAACTGGATCCCTTGCTTATACCTTATACAAAAATTAATTCAAGATGGATTAAAGACTTAAATATTAGACCTAAAACCATAAAAACCCTAGAAGAAAACCTAGGCATTACCATTCAGGACATAGGCATGGGCAAGGACTTCATGACTAAAACACCAAAAGCAATGGCAACAAAAGAAACTGTCTTAAGGTTTTATATTTGCATTCTGATGCCTAACAGAGCACAGCATGGATCATTTGATAGATACATACATACATATAAAAATACATACATATATACATACATACAAAATGGAGACACTATGGCTATCTGCTCAAAACAAATGTTTGAATGAAATAGTTGGATAATTATTAGGACTTGGAATGAGACCCATAAAAAGACAGAGAAAGATTTTGCCATAGCCCTTGGCAGGTCATTCCTGCTTCCTCACCAAACCCAAATACCAACTCTCAAGATACCCCCATCCCCTGGACATTGGGAGAAGCAATAACCTTCCTGCAGAAGAAAACTGGTTCCTTGCCTCTGAGATCAGAATGACTCAGAGAGAGAGAGAGAGATTAAAAAAATGTTATCAGGCTAAAAGGTTACTGTTTAAATCATAAGTGTCTTAGATGAAAACCAGTTCAGAATAAGTAACTATTTTACTTTTCACAACCAGTCATTCTCTCACCTCACATAGTTCTACATCCCCAGCCCCCAACTTACTCATCATCTCTAAAATAAAGTATCACACCTCAGTAGATTGTCTCAGCACCTTCTAAAGCCTCACAAGGTGGGATTACAGTGGTCCAGCAGGAGGAAGTTGGAGATAAATGTCACATTGTATGGCAAATGTATTTACATGGAAGAAAAAGTTGCCATGAGCTCACAGCTGTGGATGTGGAAAGATTATGGACTGTAGTAATTGGTACAGATTTCCTCAAGGAATAACGTTTAGGATGATCAGTGTATTTGGCTCCTAGAGGGTTTTTAAAGGCCACTATCGTAGTATGGGAAGAACATTGCAATAAAAGGCTTGTAGCCCTCGTTCTGCCTTATGTGAACTTGGACAAGTCCCCTTTGCCATTCTGGCCTAATTTGTAAAATAGAAAAACAATTTCTGCTTTGCCTACCCCACAGATTGTTATGAAGTCAGATGAAATAGTTATTATAGGATAATTTTAAAACAATAAAGCAGAGGTCAGACAAAAGTTATTATAAAATAATTTTTAAAACAATAAAGAAAAATACAAATAAAAGAAACATTCTACTCTAATGTCTTCATTTTACAGAGGAGACAATTTCGAAGCTAAGATGTTACAGTACTGTTTACAAATACATAGCTAGTTAGTAGCAGAGCCAAAACAAGGACTCATTCTCCTGACTGTTAGTTAAGTGATTTCTCCACTGCCCTAATTTCTCTTCTTCACTAACTCGGTATATGTGAGAACTCAATTGACTTGTCGCTGCAAGACACTGCAAGAAGCTTCCCCAGAGGGAAAGAATTGGACAAGGCCAAACAACTTGAGTGGATACTAAGAAGTACTGATACTGATAGGCTTAGAGAGAAAGAAAGAGCCACATTCCAGAGCATTTATGTGATCTCACTTTTTATAGTGCACTTTTCATAAATAATAGAGGCCACACTGGAATAAAGGCTATGAGCACAAGTTCTAGAACCAGAGATAGACCTGGGTTCAAATCTTGGATATATTATTTACTAGCTGTATGACTTTGAGCAAGTTACTTTATTACTTTTGCTCCCGTAGCCATCAAATGGGGATAGTAAGAAAAACTATTCATTAGGTAGCTGTTAGAAATAAATGAGATAAACGATATCACGTGTTTTAACATGATGCCTAGTACTTAAGTTCTCAATAAATTAGCTATTCTTATTATTCGTTTTGGTGTTGTTCTTATTCTTATTCAGCCCTAAAACTTCAAAGGAATGCCTATTTCACTATGAGAGATGGCCATAGTCATGCCTATCACCACATGGTTCATAGAAGTATCAGTGCCATTTAAAATGCCAGAGACAGAGTGGACAACCTCAGACCAGCCACAAGATTACTTCCTTAAAGAATGAAAATAGACAGTTTCCTTCCAATTCTAAGGTACTAGAAATGTTTATCATGAACAGATATTTAGTTTCACCAAGTGCTTTTTGCTGTTTATTGAGATGATCCTATAATTTTTCACCTTAAATTGGTTAATACAATAAATTACATTCCCTAATTTTGAACATGCCCTACTTGCTCATTATAGCTTATTTTATAATACATCACTTGATTCAATTGTCTAATGTTTTATTAATTTTGAAAAATCTGTTAGTGAGATTAATCTACAGGGTTTTTATTGCTCTGTTTTGTTTTGTTTTATACTAGCTGACTTTGTTATCAAAATTATACTATACTCACAGAATGATTTGGGAAACTCAATGTTTTTTCTCTGTGTTCTAGAAATAAACACTACAAGTTAGGGGAAGGATAAGAAGGAATGATTTATTTGGCAAAATTAATGGTAAAACTAATAAGAGAATTAGTAAGGTGGCTATACAAAAAATAAATATAATTAAAATACACTTAAGTAATATAAAACAGAAAATGTTGAGAACTCTATAACTTCTGAATGGTAACACTTTTAAGGTGGAAGTAATTATACATTTGGAAAATATGAATGTGGTATAGTATTATAATTTTGATTGGTAACCTTGAATGGTTTAGGACTTTATTTACATGATAGTATCAGTTTGGCTGAAGAAACTTCTTAGATATGAATTTCATTATTATTGTAGCATTTTATATCCTCTCTGGTGAACTGGGTGTAGTTACCGTAAGTTTAAAGATGAGCATATAAGCATAGAGTGCCTAATTCATTTAGAATGATAATCTACATATTTGCATTCACATTTCAGTGGAACTTATTGAGGAATGTTAAAGAACAATCTTCAGTAAGTACCCCTGAGCCCTTGAACCTTTATAACATGAACAATTCTAAATCATGGAACAGGGAAGAGGGCAGAAATAGAATATCCTAAGAGCCGATAGTTATGGCTTGGAACATAGTGACTGGAATATTCCTATAAGATTGGCCTAAGCGAAAAAGAAAGTGGAAAAAGGATCAGCAATAGAACAGGAAAGACACAGGGACAATATGGGCCCCAAGGAGAGGAAGTTCCTCTAGGAATCTGAGGATGGTGTTGAATTTCATGGTTTAAAGCAGGCTCAAAACAAAGGAGTTAGGAGAAATGTAATATAAGAATTACCTCAGGAGCTTAAAATTTTTTAATTAAGATATAAGTACATAAAAGTGCATAAAGAACAGTAATCTTAAGTGTAAAGCTAAATAAAATTGGATATATGGATATAAGCCTGTGTAACCCCTATATAGATCAAGATATAGAACACATCTGGCACCCTAGAAAGTTCCCTCTGGCCCTTTCTGATTCTATATTCCATTAATCTCTTCCCAAGAGGTAACCCCTATTCAGACTTTTTCTTATCATAGATTAGATTTGCCTTTTCTATAAATTTATATAAATAGAATAACACGGTATGTACTCTTTTGTCTTACTTTTTCACTCAGTGTAATGTTTTTGAGATTGATTCATATTATTGTACATGTCAGTAGTGTGTAAAGTTTTATTCATTCTACTACTGATGAACATTTGGGTTGTTTCTAGTTTGGGGCTATTATAAATGATGCTTTTTGGATCATTAATATCCACGTTTTTGGGTGAACATGCACATTTGTTTTTGTTGGTTATGCATTTAGGAGTGAACTTGCTAGGTTGTAGGTATTCATACTTTCAGCTGTAGTAGATACTGTCAATTTTTTTTAAAAAGTTGTTCCAATTAATACTCCCACCAGCAACGTATAAGATTCCAAATGTTCAACAACCTTGGCAACACTTGGAGTCTATTGTTTAATTTCAGTCATTATTGTGGATGTAGAGTGGGCACATTGTGGATTTAATGTTCATTTCTTGATGAATAATTATGTTTTGTGTCTTTTCATATGTTAATTGGTCATTTGGATACCATCTTTTGTGAAATATCTGCTCAGGTCTTTGACCCATTTTTAATTAGGCTATTGTCCTTTCTTATTGATTCATAAGAGATCTTTATATATTCTGAACACAAGTCCTTTGTCAAATGTATGTATTGTAATTATCTTCTACTCTGTGACTTGCCTTTTCTCTCTATTAATGGTATGTTTTGATGAAAAGAACTACTACACACACCCACCACCATCACTACCACCATCTCCCTAGCAGTCAAACTTACTTCCTACTTTATAGGTATAACAAAAGGCACCAGATAGGAGTTTCCTCATTTTCTTGCCACCAACCCTACACTTTCTGCCTCTGTGCCTATTCTATCTTCCTTTCAACTTATTATAGTAGAGGGGTTGTCCTTTCTCCTAGTTAAGGCCAATCTCTTCCTCTATGCTTTGAATTCCATTCACTCTTACCATTTGGAGTCCCAGACATTACCAATTTCCCCCTATTTGTCCTGTATCTTCAGACTGTTCCCTGAAATGGCTCCTTCACATCAGCATTTAAGCATTTCCATTTTTCTCCCACTTTTAAGAAAACAACAAACAAAATGCCCCCTTGACTTCTCATCCTCCTACTGTATCCCTTCCCACCCCATTCACAGCCAATTTTTTCAAAAGAATTGTCCTTACTTTGTTTTGTTCATTTTATCTGTTCTTTTCTTTATTTCTACTCACTACTTAACCCTCTCAAGTCTGATTTCCACCCCATCTCTCTACAAAGATCACTAATGACTTCAATATCACTAAATGTATTTTACACTTATAAAATCTCGTTTTGCTGGATTTCGTAGTGGTAGTTGACAGACTTGACCACCACATGCTATACAAAACACTCTATCTTTAAGTATAGTACACCACAGTCTCTTGGTTTTCCTTCTGCTTATCTTGCAGCTCCTTATCAGTATCCTTTGCTGGCTACTCCACTTCCACCAAGCCATTAAATATTGAACCTCCTCAAAGCTCTATTCCAGCCTCTCTCCTAACTTCCATTAGCTCCTAAGTAATTTCACCCACTCCCAAGGCTTTAATCATCCAAATTGCAAAGTCTTCCAGGTCCATATTTCCATTCCAGTCCTCTCTCCTAAGCTTTAAACATGTATAAATCCAAAATAAGCTCATCATTTTCATCCCACACGTTCAACACAAATATATTTTACCTCCGTTGTTACCATTGTTAGCAATATAGATCAATGATCAACTCTCAAGTCGGAAACCTGGGAGTCTTCTTTGATTCTTAGCACTCTCTTTCACTCCTTGCCAAAAATCTGTTTACGCTTCTGCTTCCCCATTGTTATCAACTTGGTCTAAGCCCATATTATCTCTTTTTTGGATTATAGCTCCTAACTGGCCTATAGGACAACTCTCAGCGTTGTAGTCAGAGCAGTGTTTTAAAAACACAACCCAGTTCAAGTCATTATTTCATTTAAAACCCTCAAATGGCTCCATCAAATTCAGGTTAATTCAGTTCTTACCCTGGTTTAAATATTTGCATGATCTATCCCATAAATATACACAATTATTATCAATTAAAAATAAATAAAATATTTTAAAACAACAAAATACTTGCATGACCTGGCTCCCTGCTACTTCTGTGCCCTAATCTCCAATTGTTCATCTCATTGATCAGTCTCCTCCAGTTACATTTCCCTCCTTGATTCTCCTTGAACAGCCCAACCATGTTCATACCTCAGAGCCTTTGCACTTGCTGATCCTTCAGCTGGAAATGGTGTACCCCACCAACCTTCAGATGGATTTTACTCATATTTCAGGATTCAGCTTAAATGTATTTTATTAGGGAAGCCTTCTTCAATTGTCCAAGAATTCACACCACCATATAATCAATTTGCACATCTGTAATATCCCAGTGATTTTTAAATTTTAAAATTGTAATTATGAAATATTTCAAACATACAGAAAATTTAAAAAGCACCTATATATCCACTATTGAGATTAAACGGACACCAAATTTTTGTTAATTTTACTTTATATCACTTAAAAAAATAAAACATTACAGATAGAGATAAACCCTACCTCCATTCCTTCATCCCCCACTTCTCACTGATAGATGACCACTAGCCTGAAGTTGGCATGTATCATCCCAATACTTGTTTTTGTACTTTCACTAAATGTGTACGTATCCATTAAGATGTATTTGATTGATTTCATGCTTAAAATTTGGGGATCAAGTGTTTCATACTGTACATACCTTTTGCATCTTGCTTTTTCCCCCCTCAATGTTATGATTTTAAGATTTATCTATATTGGTACACATTGATCTAGTTCATCCACATAACGACTTCATAGTATTCTATTGAATAAATGAACCATGCTAGCTTTTTTCTTCATTTCTCTGATGATGGGTAGTTAAGTACATTCCAATCTTTATCTATTCAAATCGTTTGCAATGAACATCCTTCACCATATCTCCTAATGCATATGTACAATTTTCAAGACTATAGGCCTAGAAGTGGGTATGTATATCTCTATATTTATTAGATATTGCTAAATTCTTTCTAAAGCAGTTATACCAATTTACAATTAGTAACAATGAAAAGCTCCTATTTCTCCTCATTTCTCCCAAAGTTGGTGTTATCAGAGTAAATTTTGCCAATCCGGTGAATATTAAATAATATCTCATTGTGATGCAACCTCTGTGAGGTTGATTTTCTTTTAACATGTTTACTAGTCATTCAAGATCCTTCCTCTAGTAACTGCTGATTCATATTATATCTATATTTTTGATTTGGTTATTTGTCTTTTTTTGTTTATAGAAATTCTTTATATATTCAGAATTTTAAACGTTTGTCATTTGTGAGTTGTAAATATCTTCTGTCAGTCTGTAACTTGCCTTTACCTTTGCTTATACTGAAATATTTTAAATTTTAATATATTTAAATTTATCTTTCCCTTTATGGCTTGTGTTTTTATGTTTTATTAAAGAACTCCTCCCATCTAGATATCATAAAGACTTCCTACTGTTCTCTTTTTTCTTACTTTCTTCTTACTAATACACAAACACACACACACACGCACCCCACAAACATATGTATTCTACTCTTCTTATTATTTTTACTTAGGGTTTAAACCTGCCAGAAATTAAATTATTAAATTTTTATAAATTGTGTAAAGTATTGATCTAATTTTATCTGTTTCCATAAGGGTAACCAAATATCCTAACACCATTTATTGGAAAGTCCATCATTTCATACACTGATTTATTATATACTCTATATGTCATATACTAATCATTTATTCTTGTATATTTGTAAGTTCATTGTGATTCTCCACCATTTATTTGTCTATTTATGCTATAATATTACACTTTTTAAAAATATTATGGCTTTATGGTAAGTTTCACTATCTAGTAATGTCAGTTCTTCATGCTTATTCCTCAAAATAGTCATGATCATTATTACCTATTTTCAATTTTATATGAATTTTAGTATCAGTATGTCAAGTTCTGTAAGAATAATATCCTTAATCCATATTTATTGTTGATATCTTGATTAAACTTTCATTTAATGTATGGAATAACTTGAGAATAATCATTTATGTTCACAAATCTTTCCCTCAGGAACATAGTATAACTCTACGTTCATTTAGGCCTTTAAAATAGATTGTAATTAAAGTTTTATCATTTTCTTCTTCAAGAGGAAACACTTTTAAATTATTGCATTTTATAAGAGTTATTTCTATACACTTTGTAATTTTTGTTGCCCTTATAAATGCTTGAGGGGATGGATACTCCATCTTCCATGATGTGATTATTATGCATTGCGTGCCTGTATCTAAACATCTTATGTACCCCATAAATATAAATCCCCTACTATGTACCTACAAAAATTAAAAATTAAAAAAATAGTAGCTATGGGAGCAGGGGGTGTCCATTCTTGCATATTGTATGTGTATGTGTCTTATACCCATAAATAATTCACTGTGTTTGCATTGGTTTTTAATTTTGGTCTATCTTTTGCTATTTAGAAAAATTGTATTTTTGCTCTAATGATATCTTGATTCTAGTGGTTTTCAAACTTTTAGCATACCTCAGAATCTCCTAGAGAGCTGTTACAACACATTGCTGGGCCCCAATTCCAAAATTTCTGATTCAACGGTTCTGGAGTAGGGTATGAGAATTTGTATTTCTAACAACTTTCCAAGAGATGCTGATGATAGTGGTCTAGTACAACATTTGAAGAGTTATTATTTCATGCTAATATCTTTATATAATGCTTTTAGCTCCATTTTAAAGAAACTGTCTATTGTTTCCCCTCATGAGTCATAATGAAATTTGCTGGTAACCTCTTTTTGCCTTTCCTCTCTTTCTGACCTAGCCTCTGATTTAAACCTATATCCTTTTACTCCCAGTTAATATTTACAAGGCTATCCTCTTTCTATAGCCATTTTTATTATTTGTAGTATATTTATATTTCAGACCATATAATGTTTAACTCTATTCTGTCATTCCATCCCCATTATTTATTCTTAGCTTTACAGGTAAATATAGTTACTGCTCACCATTAGAAATGTCCCAAGCTTCTCCTATAGTTTCTTGCTTATTTGAAGCTTGTCCTCTATTAAATCCCTTAGGAAGGAATAATGACAATATTTCTTGAGTTCTTGCATATTCATTACAGCTTGTCTTTTAACTTGGTTGGATGTAAAATCTTTGGTATGCTGTTGCTTATCCATCTCATTTATAAGTAGTTTTCCTACATCACAATCTTTGCACATTTCTCTGAGCAGTTTTTTTCTGAAGCTTTTCTTCTGGAAGAACTCTAATACTACATTAAACAAATACACACAAATAGCCTTTTTATGTATACTTAGAAATCTGGTGCTCATAGGTAAGCAGCTCCTTGGCAAAAGAAGTGCAGTAGTGGCCAGCTGAAATGGCCACTTCTATCCAGAGCTTTTCAGAACTGAACATTTCTTGGGGAATTAGGTGATGTCACCAGTGTACCCTGTGCTGAACTTCTTCCACTTTTCCACGTTTATATCCACTTTTGATCTCCCTTACAGGCATTTGAACCCACATCCTAGTTAAGACCTATTTATAGTCCATAGCCAGAAAATTTCTTTGAATGCATAACTATTCTGTTGGTGGTAGAGTTTTTTTTTTTTTTTTTTTTTGCCAAACTACACTTTCACATGGCAAGCAGGTCTTTTAGAAATCCAATTATATGCCTTCCAAAGGTCCAAGGCCTTATTTCTAGTCAACTTGTACAGACCATTACAACTTCAGCTAACACAACTGCACATTGCTCAGCTGGCTTTTATCTGCAAGCACCACCTACTGGCCTGGAAGTAAAGCTGCACAACCCAATACAATGCCTGTTGACAAAATGCTTGTGCCGGAGAATGAGATAAGCTTCCTGAGACCTCCAAGTCCCTATCTCTACAGTAGGCAGTGAGCTTGTTCACATCCCCAGTACACCACTACTATAATCAGATAATCAGCATTTCAGAAAACCACCACATTAAGCCTATTTATATCCCTGGCATTCGTACAGAGTCCTGTTCCCCTGAAAGCACTCAGAAAAATTGCCAAATGACTCTACTGAACATACACTACAGTCACACACTCAAGGGGGTGGGGGGAAACAAAAAGTCTCATCCAAATGAAAATAAATTCAAAAATGAGAAGTGACAGCTTATCCAGATAAGAAGGAACCAGTGTAAGAACTCTGGTAGTATAAAAAATGAAGTGTTTCAACAACCCCAAAGAATCACACTAGCTCTCTAGCAATGGATTCTAGTCAAAATGAAAATTCTGCAATGGCAAATAAAGAATTAAAAGTATGAATTTTAAGGAAACCCAGTGGAAATCAAGAGAAAGTTGAAAAGAACAGAAAGAAATCAGAAAAATAATTCAGGATATAAATAGAAATTTACTAAAGAGACAGAAAATTTTTTTAAAAACCCATACAGAACTACTGGAAATGAAAAATTCATTGGAGAAGTTCCAAAATATAGTTGAAAGCTTTAACAATAGACTAAACAAAGCAGATGAAAGAATTTCAGAGCTTGAAGACAGGTCTTTTGAATTAACCTACTTAGACAGAAATAAAGAAAAAAGTTTTAAAAAAATGAAGAAAGCCTTTGAAATATATGGCATTATGTAAAGTGACCAACCATACAAGGTCATAGATATTCCTGATGGAGAAGAAGAAAAAGTAAAAAGTTTGGAAAACCTATTGAGGAAATAATTCAGAAAAAAAAATGCCTGGTCTTGTTAGAGATTTATACATCCAGATACGATAATCTTAAAGAATTCCTGGAAGACAGACTACAGGATGACCTTCACCAAGCCATATAGTCTTCAGACTAGCCAAAGTCAAAGTGAAAGAAAAAATACTAAAAGCAGCAAGGGAGAAGCATCTAATCACCTATGAAGGAAATCCCATCAGACTAACACCAGACTTCTCAGCAGAACCCTTATAAGCCATAAGAGAATGGGGTCCTATTTTCAGTCTTCTTAAAGAGAAAACTGCCAGTCAAGAATTTTGTGTCCCACTAAACTAAGCTTCATAAATGAAGAAGAAATAAAGTATTTCCCAGACAAGTAAAGGCTAAAGAAATTTGTCACCGCTAGACCAGTCCTACAAGAAATGCTGAAAGGAATTTTCAACAAGGAAACAAAAGAATGATATCCACCATCATAAGAACACACAAAAAGTATAAAACACATAGTTCTTATAAAGCAATTACACAATCGAGACTAAAAAACACCTATATAACAATTAAAATTATTACAGAAACAAAACCTCATATATCAATATTAATCTTGAAAGCAAATGGAATAAATGCTCCACTTAAAAGATATTGACTAGTGGAATGGATTTAAAGAAACAAGATCCAAAAATATGCTGCTTACAAAAGAATCCACCTAACTGGTAAGATATTTACAGACTTGAAGTAAAGAAGTGGAAAAAGATACTCCATGCAAACAGGACCAAAAGCGAGCAGGAGCACCTCTACTTATGTCAGATAAAACAGACTTTTAACTAGCAACAGTAAAAAAAAAAAAGACAAAGAAGGTCAGTATATATATGATAAAGGAATCAAATCAACAAGAAGATATGACAATCCTAGATAGATATGCACACAACACTGGAACACTCAGATTTATAAAAATGAATACTACTAGACCTAAGAAAAGAGATAGACAGCAATGCAATAGACAGCAATTCAACACCTCATTGAAAGCACTAGACAGATCACCGAGGCAGAAAATCAACAAAGAAACTCTGGAATTAAATTGGACTCAAGATAAAATAGACCCAACAGACATTTATAGAACATTCCACCTAACAACAGCAGTATATACATTCTTCTCATCTACATCTAGAACTTTCTCCCAAATAGACCATATGCTAGGCCACAAAGCCAGTCTCAATAAATTTGAAAAATCAAAATCCTGTTAAATATCTTCTCAGACCGCAATGGAATATAACTAGAAATCAACACCAAGAGGAAGTCTCAAAACTATTCAAGTAAATGAAAATTAAACAATCTGCTCCTGAATAATCTGTGGGTAGATGATGATATTATGGTGGAAATTTGAAAATTTTGAAACAAATGAAAATACAGACACAATGAACCAAAGATCCTGGGATACAGCAAAAACACCGCTAAGGGGGAGTTTATAGTATTAAATGCCTACATTCAAAAGATAGAAAGGCCTCTAATTAACAACCTAATGTCACACCTCAAGAAACTAGAAAAACAACAAACCAAATCCAAAGCTAGCAGAAGAAAAGAAATAACAGAGATCATAGCAGAACTAAATGAAATTGAAACCAAAAAATTATACAAAGAATCTATAAAATTAAAAGTTGGTTCTTTAACAAAATAAGCAAAATTGATGGACTGCTAGCTAGATTATCCAGGAAAAAAAGAGAGAAGATACAAATAAGGACAATCAGAAATGATAAAAGTGACATTACAATTGATATCACTTAAATACAAAAGATCATCAGAGACTACTATAAACATCTCTATGCATACAAACTAGAAAACCTAGAGGAAATGGATATATTTCCAGAAACATGCAACCTCCAAAGATTGAACTACAAGGTAGAAAATGTGAACAGACCAACAACCAGTAGTGAAGATGAATCAGTCATAAAAATCTTTCCCTCAAAAAAGGCTGGATTCACAGCTAATTTCTACCAGATGCACAAAGAAGGAATGGCACCAATCTTACTGAAATAGTTTCCAAAAATCAAAGAGGAAGGAATCCTTCCTAATTCATTCTATAAAGCCATCATCACCCTGACACCAAAGCAGAGTAAGGACACAATGAAAAGGGAAAACTACAAGCCAATATCCCTGATGAACATAGGTGCAAAAATCCTCAAAAAATAAAGGCTGGGTGTGGTGGCGCACGTCTGTAATCCCAGCACTTTAGGAGGCCAAGGCGGGCGGATCACGAGGTCATGAGATCGAGACCATCCTGGCTAACATGGTGAAACCCCGTCTCTACTAAAAAATACAAAAAATTAGCCAGGCGTGGTGGCAGACACCTGTAGTCCCAGCTACTTGGGAGGCTGAGGCAGTAGAATGGTGTGAACCCAGGAGGCGGAGCTTGCAGTGAGCCAAGATTGTGCCACTGCACTTCAGCCTGGGCGACAGAGCGAGACTCTGTCTCAAAAAAAGAAAGAAAGAAAGAAAGAAAGAAAGAAAGAAAGAAAGAAAGAAAGAAAGAAGAAAGAAAAAAAGAACCCTAGCAAAAGGAATCCAACAACACTTCAAAAAGATAATACATCACAATCAAGTGCTCCTTATTCCAGGGATACAAGGGTGGTTCAACACATGCAAATTAATAAATGTGATTCACCACATATATAGAATTAAAAACAATAACCATATGATCATCTAGATAGATGCAAAAAAGCATTTGATAAAATTTAGTACCCTTTCATGATAAAACCCTCAACAAGCTAGGCATCAAAGGAACACACCTCAAAATAATTAAAGCCATATATAATAAACCCATAGCCAACATCATACCGAATGGGTAAAAGTTGAAAGTATTCCCCCTAAGAACAGGAAGAAGTCAAGGATGCCCATTTTTACCACTCCCTATTGAGCATACTACTGGAAGTCTTAGCTAGAGCAAAAAGGCAAGAGAAATGAATAAAAGTCATCCAAATTGGAAGAGAGGAAGTCAAATTATCTCTGTTTACTGATCATATGATCTCATACCTAGAAAACACTAAAGACTCTTTCAAGAGACTCCTAGATTTAAAGATGACTTCAGTAAAGTTTAAGGCTACAAAATCAATGTACAAAAATCAGTAGCATTTCTATACACCAAACAGTATCAAGCAGAGCGCTAAATCAAGAACTCAATGTCATTTGCAATAGCTACAAACATTAAAATACCTAGGAATGTATTTAATCAAGGAGGTAAAACATCCTTACAAAGCGAACTACAAAACACTGATGAAAGAAATCATAGATGACACAATTAAATGGAAGATAACTCATGTGCATGAATTGAAAGAATCAATATTGTTAAAATGACTATACTGCCCAATCTACAGAATCAATGTAATTCCTATCAAGTTACCAACGTCATTTTCCACAGAATTAGAAAAAAAAATTATAAAGTACATATGGAACCAAAAAAGAGCCCAAATAGCCAAAGCAATCCTAAGCAAAAAGAACCAAGCTGAAAGTATCACATTACCCAAGTGAAAATTATGCTACAAGGCTATAGCAACCAAAACGGCACAGTAGATTCTGCTGGCAAGAAGGCCAAATAGGAACAGCTCCAGTCTGCAGCTCCCAGTGAGACCAATGCAGAAGGCAGGTGATTTCTGCATTTCCAACTGAGGTACATTATTCATCTCATTGGAACTGGTTAGGCAGCGGGTGCAGCCCACGGAGGGTGAGCAGAACCAGGGTGGGGCATGACCTCACCCAGAAAGTGCAAGGGGTTGGGGAACTCCCTCCCCTAGCCAAGGGAAGCCATGAGGGACTGTGATATCCAGCCCAGATACTATGCTTTTCCCACGGTTTTTGCAATCTGCAGACCAGGCGATTCCCTCATGTGCCTACACCACCAGGGCTCTGGGTTTCAAGCACAAAACTGGGCGGCTGTTCGGGCAGACACTGAGCTAGCTGCAGGAGTTTCCCATCCTCCTCCCCTGCCCAGTGGCGCCTGGAACCCCAGGGAGACAGAACCATTCACTCCCCTGGAAAGGGGGCTGAAGCCAGGGAGCCAAGTGGTCTCACTCAGCGGGTCCCACTTCCGTGGAGCCCAGCAAGCTAAGAACTAATGGCTTGAAATTCTTGCTGCTAGCACAGCAGTCTGAGGTTGACCTGGAAAGATTGAGCTTGGTAGCGGGGGGCATCTGCCATTACTGAGGTTTGAGTAGGCAGTTTTCCCCTGACCACACTAAAAAGGCCTAGAAATTCAGACTAGGCAGAACTCAACACAGCATGGCAAAGCGGCTGTGGCCAGACTGCCTCTCTAGATTCCTCTTCACTAGGCAGGGCATCTCTGAAAGAAAGGTAGCAGCTCCAGTGAGGGGCTTATAGATAAAACTCCCATCTCCCTGAGACAGAGCACCTGGGGGAAGGGGTGGCAGTGGGTGTAGCTTCAGCAGACTTAAACATTCCCGCCTGCCAGCTCTGAAGAGAGCAGCAGATCCTGACAAGGAGGGTTCCCCCAGCACAGTGCTCGAGCTCTGCTAAGGGACAGACTGCCTCCTCATGTGGGTCCCTGACCCACGTGCCTCCTGACTGGGAGAGACCTTCCAAGAGGGGTTGACAGATACCTCATACAGGAGAGCTCTGGCTGGCATCAGGTCGGTGACCCTCTGGGACAAAGCTTCCAGAGGAAGGAACAGGCAGCAATCTTTGCTGTTCTGCAGCCTCCACTGGTGATATCCATGAAAATAGGGTATGGAGTGGACCTCCAGGAAACTGCAGCAGACCTGCAGAAGAGGGGCCTGACTGTTAGAAGAAAAACTAACAAACAGAAAGCAATAACATCAACATCAACAAAAAGAATGCCCACACAGAAACTCCATCCAAAGGTCATCAATCTCAAAGATCAAAGGTAGATAAATCCATGAGGATGAGAAAAAAACCAGCGTAAAAAGGCTGAAAATTCCAAAAACCAGAATGCTTCTTCTCCTCCAAATGACTGCAATTCCTCTCCAGCAAGGGCACAAAACTGGACAGAGAATGAGTTTGACGAATTGACAGAAGTAGGCTTCAGAAGGTCAGTAATAACAAACTCCTCTGAGCTAAAGGAGCATGTTCAAACCCAATGCAAGGAAGCTAAGAACGTTGACAAAAGGTTACAGGAACTGCTAACTAGAATAACCAGTTTAAAGAATATAAATGACCTGATGGAGCTGAAAAACACAGCACAAGAACTTTTGAAGCATACATAAGTATCAACAGCTGAATCAATCAAGCGGAAGAAAGAATATCAGAGATTGAAGATCAACTTACTAAATGAGGCATGAAGACAAGATTAGAGAAAAAAAGATTAAAAAGGAGCAAACAAAGCCTCCAAGAAATATGGGACTATGTGAAAAGACTAAACCTCTGATTGATTGGGGTCCCTGAAAGTGATGGGAAGAATGGAACCAAGTTGGAAAACACCCTTCAGTATATTATCCAGGAGAACTTCCCCAACCTAGCAAGATAGGCCAACATTCAAATTCAGGAAATACAGAGAACACCACTAAGATATTCCTCAAGAAGAGCAACCCCAAGACACATAATTGTCAGATTCCCCAAGGTTGAAACCCAGGAAAAAATGTTAAGGGCAGCCAGAGAGAAAGGTCAGGTTACCTACATAGGGAAGCCCATCAGTGAATGTCTCTGGAGAAATGCAACAAGCCAGAAGAGAGTGGGGGCCAATATTCAACATTCTTAAAGAAAATAATTTTCAACCCAGAATTTCATATCCAGCCAAACTAAGTTTCATAAGTGAAGCAGAAATAAAATCCTTTACAGACAAGGAAATGCTGAGGGATTCTGTCACCACCAGGCCTGCCTTACAAGAGCTCTGGAAGGAAGCACTAAATATGGAAAGGAAAAACCGGTACCAGTCACTGCAAAAACAGCACGGTAGTGGTATAAAAATGGACACATAGGTCAATGGAAGAGAATTGAGAATCCAGAAATAAAGCCACGTATCCACAACCAACAAAAATACACACTGGGGAAAGGTCAGTCTATTCAATATATGGTGCTGGGACTATTTAATCATCATACGCAGAAGAATGAACCTGGACCCATATCTCTCACCATATACAAAAATTAACTCAAAACGGAGTAAATACTTAAATTTAAGACCTTAAACTATAAAAAATCCTAGAAGAACACCTATGAAAACTCTTTAGACTTTGGCATAGACAAAGAATTTATGACTAAGTCCCCAAAATCAAATGAAACAAAACAAAAAATAGACAAATGGGAATGAAACTAAAAAGCTTCTGCACAGCAAAAGAATCAGCAGAGTAAACAGAAAACCTATAGAATGGAAGAAAATATTTTCAAACTATGCATCTAACAAAAGGCTAATATCCAGAATCTACAAGAAACTCAAACAACTCAACAAGAAAAAAATCCCAAATAACCCCATTAAAAATGGCCAAAGGACACAACAGACATTTTTCAAAAGAAGACGTACAGCCAACAAATATATGAAATCATGCTCAACATCACTAATCATCAGAGAAATGCAAATTAAAACCCCAATGAGATATCATTGTATACCAGTCAGAATGGCTATTACTAAAAAGTCAAAAAAACAACAGATGTTGGCAAGGATTTAGAGGAAAGGGTATGCTTATACATTGTTGATGGAAATGTAAATTAATACAACCTCTACAGAAAACAGTGTGGGGATTCTCAAAGAACGAAAAATAGAACTACCATTCAATCTAGCAATCTCACTATTGAGTATCTACCCAATGGAAAAGAAATCATTAATTAAAAGGATACTTGCACTTATATGTTTATTGCAGCACTATTCACAATAGCAAAGTCATGGAATCAACCTAAGTGTGCATAAACAGATGATTAGATAAAGAAGATTTTATATTATACACACACACACACACACACACACACACACACACACACACACACACACCATGGAATACTATGCAGCCATAAGAAAGAATGAAATCATGTCTTTTGCAGTTGCATGGATGGAACTGGAGGTCATTATCCTAAGTGAAGTAGCTCAGAAACAGAAAGTTGAAAACTGCATGTTCTCACTTGTAAGTGGGAAGTAAAAATGAGTACACATGGACATACAGAGTGAAATAGTAGACACTGGAGATTCTAAAAGGTGGGATAGTAGGAGGGGGTGAGGGTTGAAAAATTACCTAAGGATATAAGAGCCACTATTCAGGTGATGAGTAAACCAAAAATCCAGACTTTATCATTATGTAATATATCCACATAACAAAAATATGGCACTTCTATCTCCTAAATCTATAAAAATTTTAAAAATGTAAAAAGCAACAGAAAATAGTTACCAAATATGGTAGATATACATTTTAAAAATCAATAACCACTTTAAATATAAATGATCTAAATGCACCAATTCAAAAAAAGATTGCCAATGTAGGTTTTTAATAAAATCCAACTACATGTTGTCTACAACAAACCCACTTTAAATATATAGACTCAGTTTTATGAGCCATATTAGCAAATTAATCTAAACTGAGGGAAAGGTCAAAGGAATCCTGATTTATAGCTAGTTGTCAGAAGTATAGGTGACAAGCTACTACTTATAACTGGCATCTGAATATACACAGTATTGCAGGGTTGAGCCCTTAACCTGTGGGATCTGACATTGTTTCCAGGCAGATGGTGTCATAATTTAATTTAATTATAGGACACCAAGTGGGTGTCCACAGGAGAATAGATTGTTGGTGTGGAGAAATCCCCATATGTAATTTGGTGACCAGAAGTGGTCTGTGCTAAGCATGAGAGTAGGAAAAACAGTTGGTTTTCCTATTATATGTAAAGTCCCAATAACCTTTTCTATAGATATGGAAATGACAATACTAAAATTCATATGGAATTGCAATGAGTCCAAGTAGCCAAATCAATTTAGAAAACAAAATAAAAAGTTGGAAGACTCACACTTTCCAATTTCAAAACTTATTATAACACTACAGTAATCCAAACAATGTGGCACTAGCATAAGGATAGACAATGGCATCTATAAATCACTGAAATGGAATTGAGAATCCAGAAATAAACCCAAACATCTATGTATAATTGATTTTCAACCAGGATGCCAAGACCATACAATGGGGAAAGAACAGTCTCTTCAACAAATGGTTCTGGGAAAACTGGATATCCACATGCAAAAGAATGAAGTTGGACCTTTACCTAACATTATGTATAAAAATTAACTCAAAATAGTTCAAAGACCTAAATATAAGAGCTAAAACTGTACCAATATTAGAAGAAAACTTGGGAATAAATCATGATGTTGAATCAGGCAATGGTTTCTTAGATATGGCACCAAAAGCACAAGTAACAAAATTTTAAAAACCATAAAATGGACTTCATCAAAATTCAAAACCTTAGTGCATCAAAAGACATTATTAAGAGGTGAAAAGACAGAATGAGAGAACATATTTGCAAATCATATATCTGATAACTAGATAAGGGTCCATATATCTGATAACTAGATAAGGATCTAGTGTTCAGAATATATGAGTAACTCCTACAACTCAATAATAATGAGAAAAGCAACCCAATTTAAAAATGAGCAAATGACTTGAATAGACATTTCTCTAAAGGAGATATGCAAATGGCCAGTAAGCACATGAAAAGAGGCTCAATATTAATCACTGGGGAAATGCAAATCAAAACAACAATTAGATATCACTTCACACCCATTAGGATGCTAATAATAACAATAATGGCAGAAAATAACAAATGTTGGTGAGAATGTAGATAAACTGAACCATCAACGAGAATTTAAAATTGTGCAATCATGGCAAAAAACATTCTGGAAGTTACTCAAAAGCTTACACATAAAGTTACTATATCATCCAGCAATTCCACTCCAAGATATTTACTCAAGAGACTCAAAAACAAATATCCAACCAAAAATATGCTCACAAATGTTCATAGAAACACTATTCACAGTAGCCCAACAGTGGTAACAACCCGAGTGTCCCTTAATAGATAAATGTATAAATGAAATGTGGTATATATACACACAATGGAATACTATTCAGCCATAAAAAGAAATAAAACAGGTCCTGTCATTTGCAACATGAAATAAGGCAGGCAAGAAAGACAAAACATTGTGTGTTCTTACTTATTTGTGGGATCTAAAAGTCAAAACGACTGAATTCATGGAGATAGAGAGTAGAAGGATGGCTACCAGAGACTGGGAAAGGTTGTAATGGGCTGGGGTGAAGGAAGGTGGGGATAGTTAATGGATAAAAAAAAAATAGTTAGAAAGAATGAATCAGACCTAGTATTTGATAGCACAACAGTGTGACTATAGTCAATAATAATTTAATTGTACATTTTAAAATAACTAAAAGAGTGTAATTGGATTGTTTATAACACTGATATGGTTTGGATTTGTGTCCCCGCCCAAATCTAATGTCAAATTGTAATCCCCAATGTTGGAGGAGGGGCCTAGTGGGAGATTATTGGATCATGGGGGCAGATTTCCTCCTCGCTGTTCTCCTGATGGTGAGTTCTCATGAGATCTCGTTGTTTAAAAGTGTGTAGCACCTCTACCTCCCTGTTTGCTCTCTTCCTTCTGCTCCAGCCATGTAGGACGTTCCTGCTTCCCCTCTGCCTTCTGCCATGATTGTAAGTTTCCTGAGGCTTCCCCAGCCATGCTTCCTGTACAGCCTGTGGAAATGTGAGCCAATTTTAAACCTCTTTTCTTTATAAGTTACCCAGTCTCAGGTAGTTCTTTATAACAATGCGAGAATGGACTAATATGAACACAAAGGATAAATGCTTGAGGGAATGGATACCCCATTTTACATGATATGATTATTATGCATTGCATGCCTATATTGAAACATCTCATGTACCCCATAAATATATACATATACTATGTACCCATAAAATTAAAATAAAAAATGTTAAAAGCATGATACATAAAATGAAAATTGGTAAGTTAGACCTCATCAGAATTTTAAAGCCTTTTGCTCTGCAAAAACTCTAAGGATAAAATGACAAGCAACAGACTGGGATATTTGTAAATCTAGGACTAGTATCTAGAACATATTTTTAAAATTCAAAATTCAATAATTAGGAAATGGACAAAAGATATAGACATTTCATTGAAAGGAGTATGCAAATTGCAAATAAGGCCATGAAAAGAGAAAATACATCATTAGCCACCAGGGGGAACTGCAAATTAAAAGCACAATGAGATACCCCTATAAACCTACCAGAATGTCTAAACTTAAAAATACCTGGGCTGGGTGAGCTGGCTCATGCCTGTAATCCCAGCACTTTGGGAGGCTGAGGTGGGCAGATCACTCGAGACCAAGAGTTTAAGACCAGCCTGGTGAAACCCCGTCTCTACTAAAAATACAAAAATTAGCCGGGTGTGGTAGTGTATGCCTGTAATCCCAGGAGGCTGAGGCATGAGGATCTCTTGAACCCAGGAGGTGGAGGCTGCCGTGAGCCAAGATTGCACCACTGCACTCCAGTCTGGAAAACAGAGTAAGACTCTGTTTCAAAAAAAAAAAAAAAGTGATAACATCAATGGTGGTTAGGATGCAGAGAAACTGGATCACTGATACATTGTTGGTGGGAATATAAAATAGTACATTCTCTATGGAAAACAGCTTTGTGTTTTCTTAGAAAAATAAAAATGTAATTACCACATGCCCCTGAAACTGTGCTCTTGAGAATTTATCTCAGAGAAATGAAAAATGATGCTATTGAAGAATTCTGTACTTAAGTGACTGTAGAAGAATGCTGCATTGGGTAGAAATAGCCAAGGTCTAGTATCTTCATAGTGCTCAGTTTTTGTCTGGGAACTTTCCAGCAAGAATTTGGCACTCCATCAAACCGCATGTCAGATCCCCAAACTGCTGCAGCTGAAGGCTTTCAGCTAAATGCACCTACTGTGGAGGTACTTTCCTGAAGGGAGAGCAAGGTGGTACACCACACGGCTGCTGCACAAATGTACAAAAAATTCAATATGTAGAGGACTTGAAAAACCCAATTAATAAACTTGATCTAATTGACATATATAGAACGCTGCATCCAATTACTGCAGAACACGTATAGCTTTCAGATACATATAAAACATCTATAAAAGTTGAGCATATGCTGGGTCATAAATCAATTTATAATTCTATTGAGCTCAAAATTAAAAATCGCTAAAAATCTACATTTGAAATTTAAGCAAGAAGCTTCCAAAGTAATTAAAAAATTAAAGAAGAAATAACCATGAGTACTTAACAACACACTGAACTAAAGGACTATAACAATATATCATAGTTTTGTTTGCTTAGGATTGTCTTGGCTATACGGGCTCTATTTTGATTCCATATGAAATTTAAAATAATTTTTTCTAATTCTGTGAGGAAAGTCAATGGTAGCTTAATGAGGATAGCATTGAATCTATAAATTACTATGAGCAGTATGGCCATTTTCACGATATTGATTCTTCCTATCCATGAGCATGGAATGTTTTTCCATTTGATTGTGTCCTCTCTTATTTCCTCGAGCAGTGATTTGTAGTTCTCCTTGAAGAGGTCCTTCACATCCCCTGTAAGTTGTATTCCTAGGTATTTTATTCTCTTTTTAGCAATTGTGAATGGGAGTTCACTCATGATTTGGCTCTCTATTATTGGTATATAGGAATGCTTGTGATTTTTGCACATTGATTTTGTATCCTGAGCCTGCTGAAGTTGCTTATCAGCTTAAGGAGTTTTTGGGCTGAGACGATGGGGTTTTCTAAATATAAAGTCATGTCATGTGCAAACAGAGATAATTTGACTTCCTCCCTTCCTATTTGAATACCCTTTATTTCCTTCTCTTGTGTGATTACCCTGGCCGGACTTCCAATACTATGTTGAATAGGAGTGGTGAGAGAGGGCATCCTTGTCTTGTGCCGATTTTCAAAGGGAATGCTTCCAGCTCTTGCCCATTTAGTATGATATTGGCTGTGGGTTTGCCATAAATAGGTCTTATTATTTTGAGATATGTTCCATCAATATCTAGTTTATTGAGGGTTTTTAGCATGAAGGGGTGTTGAATTTTATTGAAGGCTTTTTCTGCATCTATTGAGATAATCATGTGGTTTTTGTAATTGGTTCTGTTTATGTGATGGATTACATTTATTGATTTGCGTATGTTGAACTAGTCTTGCATCCCAGGGATGAAGCCTACTTGATTGTGGTGGATAAGCTTTTTGACATGCTGCTGGATTTGGTTTGCCAGTATTTTATTGAGGATTTTTACATTGATGTTCATCAAAGATACTGGCCTGAAATTTTCTTTTTTTGTTGTGTCTCTGCCAAGTTTTGGTATCAGGATGATGCTGGCATCATAAAATGAGTTAGGGAAGAGTCCCTCTTTTTCTATTGTTTGGAATAGTTTCAAAAGGAATGGTACCAGTTCCTCTTTGTACCTCTGGTAGAATTCGGCTGTGAATCTGTCTGGTCCTGGGCTTTTTTTGGTTGGTAGGCTATTTAATTATGCCTCAACTTCAGAACTTGTTATTGGTCTATTCAGTGATTCGACTTCTTCCTGGTTTAGTCTTGGGAAGGTGTATGTGTTCAGGAATGTATCCATTTCTTCTAGATTTTCTAGTTTATTTGCATAGAGGTGTTTATAGTATTCTCTGATGGTAGTTTGTATTTCTGTTGGATCAGTGGTGATCTCCCCTTTATCATTTTTCATTTTGTCTATTTGATTCTTCTCTCTTTTCTTCTTTATTAGTCTGGCTAGTGGTCTATTTTGTTAATCTTTTCAAAAAACCAGCGCCTGGATTCACTGATTTTTTTGAAGGCTTTTTCATGTCTCTATTTCCTTCAGTTCTACTCTGATCTTAGTTACTTCTTATCTTCTAAAGCTGGAGGCATCATGCTATCTGACTTCAAACTATACTAGAAGGCTACAGTAACCAAAATAGCATGGTACTGGTACCAAAACAGATATATAGACCAATGGAGCAGAACAGAGGCCTCAGAAATAACACCACACATCTACAACCATCTGATCTTTGACAAACCTGACAAAAACAAGCAATGGGGAAAGGATTCCCTATTTAATAAATGGTGTTGGGAAAACTGGCTAGCCATATGCAGAAAACTGAAACTGGACCCCTTCCTTACACATTATACAAAAATTAACTCAAGAGGGATTAAAGACTTAAATGTAAGACTAAAACCATAAAAACTCTAGAAGAAAACCTAGGCAATACCATTCAGGACATAGGCATGGGCCAAGACTTCATGACTAAAACACCAAAAGCAACGGTAACAAAAGCCAACATTGACAAATGGGATCTAATTAAACTAAAGAGCTTCTGCATAGCGAAAGAAACTATCATCAGAGTGAACCAGCAACCTACAGAATGAGAGAAAATGTTTGCAATCTATCCATCTGACAAAGGGCTAAAATCCAGAATCTACAAGGAACTTAAACAAATTTGCAAGAAAAAAACAACCCTATCGAAATTGGGCAAAGGATATGAACAGACACTTTTCAAAAGAAGACATTTATGAGGCTAACAAACATATAAAAAAAGCTCATCATCACTACTCATTAGAGAAATACAAATCAAAACCACAATGAGATACCATCTCATGCCAGTTAGAATGGCGATCATTAAAAAGTCAGGAAACAACAGATGCTGGAGAGGATGTGGAGAAATAGGAACACTTTTACACTGTTGGTGGGAGGGTAATTAGTTCGACCATTGTGGAAGACAGTGTGGCAATTTCTCAATGATCTAGAACCAGAAACACCATTTGAACCAGCCATCCTATTACTGGGTATATACCAAAAAATTATAAATCATTCTACTATAAAGACACATGCACACATATGTTTAATGCAGCGCTATTCACAATAGCAAAGACTTGGAACCAACCCAAATACCCATCAATGATAGACTGGATTAAGAAAATGTGGCACACATACACCATGGAATAGTATGCAGCCATAAAAAAGAATGAGTTCATGTCCTTTGCAGGGACATGGATGAAGCTGGAAGCCATCATTCTCAGCAAACTAACACAGGAACAGAAAACCAAACACTGCATGTTCTCACTCATAAGTGGGAGTTGAGCAATGAGACCATATGGGCACAGGGTGGGGAACATCACACACTGGGGCCTGTCAGGGGGTGGGGGCAAGGGGAGGGATAGCATTTGGAGAAATACCTAATGTAGATGACATGTTGATTGGTACAGCAAACCACCATGGCACATGTATACCTATGTAACAAACCTGCACATTCTGCACATGTATACCAGAACTTAAAGTATAATAATAACAAAAAACAAAATACAATGTAAAAAAAAAAGAAAGAAGAAGAAGATATAACAATTGTAAACATATATGCACTCCAAATTGGAGCAACTAAATATACAAACCAGATATTAACAGAACTGAAGGGAGAAATAGAGACAATACAATAAAAGTAGGAGACTTCAATTCCCATATTCAGCAATGGATAAACATCCAGATAGAAAATCAAAAGGGAAACATTGGACTTGAACAAAACTATGTGGACAGCATGAAGGATTAAAAAAATATACGATCATCTCAACAGAGGCAGAAAAAGCACTTGACAAAATTCCACACTCCTTCATGATAACAATGCTCAACACACTAGGTGGAGAAAAAAATGTACCTTCACATAATAAAGGCTATATATGACAAGCTCACAGATGGTATCATACTTAATAGTGAAAGACTGACTTTTTTTCCTCTATGATCAGAAACAAGACAAGGATAATCACTCCCACCACTTGTATCCAAAATAGTGGTGGAAATCTTACCCAGAGCAATTAAGCAAGAAAAAGAATTAAAGGAAATAAAAAGAAGCTGAGTAGGAAAGGAAGAAAAACTATTCCTGTTAGCAGATTACATAGTTCTACATGTAGAAAACCCTGAAGGCATCACAAAAAACTGTTAGAACTAAGAAATTAAGTAAAGTTGCAGGATACAAAATCAATAAACAAAAAAGTTACATTTCTACACACTAAGAACAAACCATCCAAAAAAGGAAACTAAGAAAATAATCCCATTACAATTATGATGGTATTAAAAAGAAAAAAAAGTACTTAGGGATAAATGTAATTAAGGAGGCAAAAGTCTTGTACACTGAAAACTAGAAAACATTGTTGAAAGAAATAAAAGAAGACACAAATAAATGTAAAGACACTTCATGGATTGGAAATTTTAATATTGTTAAAATATCTATACCATGCAAAGCTATCTACAGATTCAATGCTATCCCCATAAAAATCACAATAACATTTTTTACAGAAATAGAACAAACAATCCTAAAGTTTAGATGAGAACACAAAACTATCTGGAATAGCCCAAGAAATCTTCAGAAAGAACAAATCTAGAGGCATCAAACTTTCTGATTTCGAGACATGTTACAAAGCTACAGTAACTAGAGAGTACTGGCATAGGAACAGACATATAGCCCAATGCAACAGGATAAGAAGCCCAGAAATAAACACATGCACATACAGTCGATTAACTGATGTTTGAAAAGTGTGCCAAAATTACCTAATAAGGGAAGAATAGTTTTTTCAACAAATGGTAGTGGGAAAGCTGGATATCCACATACAGAAAAAATAAAATTGGACCCTTATCTTACATGAAACACAAAGGTCAATTAAAAATGGATTGAAAACTTAAACAGAAGAGTGAATCTGGAGAGGGGAGGGACAAGATGGCTAAACAGAAGGCCCCACTAATCATCCCCTCCACAAGGACACCAATTTAACAATTACCTGCACACAAAGAAGCACCTTCATAAGAACCAAAAATCAGGTGAGCACTCAGAGTACTTGCCTTTAACTTCAAATCACTGAAAGAGGCACTAAAGAGAATAGGAAAGACAGTCTTGAGTCACTGATACCACCCTTCCCCCAACCCTCTGGCAGTGGCCATGTGGTGCAGAGAGAGAATCTGTGCATTTGGGAGAAGAAAAGTGCAACAACTGTGAGACATTGCATTGAACTCAGTGCTGCCCTGTCACAGCAGAAAGCAAAACTAGGTTGAATTCAGCTGATGCTCGCCCATGGAGAGAGTAGAGTACTTAAACCAGGCCTAGCTAGAAAGGAATCACCCATCCCAGTAGTCAGAACTTGAGTACTGGAAAGCCTCACCAGCATGGGCTGAAGTGCTCTGGGGAACATAAATAAATCTGAAAGGTCACCTAGGCCACAAGGACTGTAACTCCTAGGTGACTCCTAGTGTTGAAATGGGCTCATAGACACTGTACTTGGTGACACACAGCCTAGTGAGATACCAGCTGCGGCAGCTAAAGGAGTGTTTGTAACCTGAGGCAGTACAGTTTGTGCCTCCAGAGGAGACCCCTTTCATCTACTTGAAAAGAAGAGAGGGAAAGTAAAGAGGATGTTGTCTTGCATCTTGAATACCAGTTCAGCCATAGTAGGATAGTGCACCAGTCAGAGTTGTGAGGCCCTAACTCCCAGATGACATTTCTAGACAAACGCTGGGACAGAAGGGAACTTGCTGCATTGAAGAGAAGGACCCAGTCCTGGCAGGATCCATCACCTGATGACTGAAGAGCCCTTGGGTCCTGAATAACCAGCAGAGATACCTAGGTAGTATATGGGCATTGGGTGAGACTCTGAGACTTGTGGGCTTCAAGTAAGACTCAGCACATTTTCAGCTGTGGTGGCTACGGGAAGTGATTCCTCTGCTTGAGAAAAGTGGAGAGAAAAGTAAAGGGGACTTGTCTTGCACCTTAGGTATCAGTTCAGCCACAGAACGATACAGCACCAAGTGGACTCTTGGGGTCCCTGATTCTAGGCCTTGGCTCTTGGATGTATTTCTGGACCTGCCCTGGGCCAGAGGGGAGCCCACATTCCTGAAGGGTGAATCTAAGGTGAGACAGCACTCACCACAAGCTGACTGAAGAGCCCTTGGTCCTTAAGGGAACATCAGTAGTAGCCTGGCAGTACTCCCTGTGGGCCTGTGCTGGTGGCCATAAGGTGAGGCTCCTCTGCCTATGGAAAGGAGAGGGAAGAGTGGGAAGCATTGTGACTTATGGGTTGAGTGCGGGGTCAGACACAGTACAATAGAACACCAGGTAGAATTGGACAGACTTTGATGCCAATACCTGGCTCCTGGATGGTACCTCGGGACCTGCCTGGGGCCTGGTGGAACGCACTGCCCTGAAAGGAAAAACACAGGGCTGGCTGGCTTTGCCATCTTCTGATTGTGGAGCCCCAGGGTCTTGAACAAACATACACAGTAGCCAGGTAGGTAGTGGTTACAGCAGGCCTTGGGCAAGACCCATTGCTGTGCTGGCTTCAGGTCTGATGCAGTGTAGTCTCTGTGGTGGTAACCACTGGGGTGCTCATGGGATGCCATCCCCAGCTCCAGAAGACTCAGAACAGAAAGAGAGACTCCATTTGTGTGAGAAGGAAAAAATATTTTCACCCTAGAATAGTATATCTGGCAAAAATATCATTCAAGCTTGAAAGAGAAATAATAACTTTCCCAGACAAACAAAAGCTCAGGGATTTCATCCACACCAGACTTGCCCGACAAGAAATGTTAAAGGGAGTACTTCAAGCAGAAAGAAAAGGACGTTAGTGAACAATAAGAAATCATTGGAAGGTTCAAAACTCATTGGTAATAGTAAGTACACAGAAAAAACACAAAATATTACAACACTGTAACTGTGGTATGTAAACAAGTCCTATCTTAAGTAGAAAGATCAAAAGATGAACCAATGGAAAATAATAACTGCAACAACTTTTAAAGGTATAAGGAAGAAAGGAAGAAGATAGAAATAGAAACAACAAAAAATTTAAAAGCAGGGGAATAAAGTTAAAGTGTAGAGCTTTTATTAGTTTTCCTTTCACTTTTTTGTTTATGCAAACAATGTTAAGTTGTTATTAGCTTAAAAAATGGATTATAAGACAGTATTTTCAAGCCTCATGGTAACCTCAAATACAAAACCATACAATGGACACATTAAAAAGTGAGAAATTAAATAATACCAGCAGAAAAAAAAATCACCTTCACTAAAAGAAAGAAAGGAAGGAAGTTAAGACGAGAGAAAAGACTACAAAACAACTAGAAAACAAATAACAATATGGCAGTAGTAAGTCCTTACTTATCAATAATAACAGTAAATGTAGATGGACTAAACTCTCCAATCAAAAGACACAGAGTAGCTGAATGAATAAAAACAACACCCAATAATATGCTGCCTACAAGAAACACGCTTCACTTACAGACACACACAGACTAAAAATAAAGGGATAGAAAAACATTCCATGCCAAAAAAAGAGCAGGAGTAGTTACACTTACATCAGACAAAATTGATTTCAAGACAAAAACTATATGAAGAGACAAGGAAGGTCACTATATAATGATAAAGGGGTCAATTCAGTGAGAGGATATAATGATTGTAAATACATATGCACCCAATACTGGAGCACCCAGATATATAAAGAAAATATTTTAGAGCTAAAGAGAGAGAGATCCCAATACAATAATAGCTGGAGACTTCAACACACAACTTTCAGCATTGGACAGATCTCCCAGACAGAAAATCAACAAAGAAACATTAGACTTAATCTGCACTATAGACCAAATGGACCTAATAGATTTGTACAGAACATTTCATCCAATAGCTGCAGAATACACATTCCTCTCCTCAGCACATGGGACATTATCAAAGATAAACCATATCTTAGATCACAAAATAAATCTTAAAAGATGCAAAAAATTGAAATAATACCAAGCATCTTCCCTGACCACAGTGGAATAAAACTAGATATCAACAACAAGAAGAATTTTGGAAACTATACACATACATGGAAATTTAAAAATATGCTCTTAAATGACCAGTGAGTCAATGAAGAAATTAAGAAGGAAATTGAAAAATTTCTTGAAACAAATGATAATGGAAACACAACATACTAAAACCTATAAGATACAGTAAAAGCAGTCCTAAGTGGGAAGTTTATAGCTATAAGTGCCTACATTAAAAAAGAAGAATTTCAAATAAACAATCTAATAATCAATCTTAAACAACTAGAAAAGCAAGAGTAAACCATACCCCAAATTAGTAGAAGAAAAGAAATAATAAAAATGTGAGGATAAAGAAACAAATTTGAAATGAAGAAAACAATATAAAAAAAGAAACAAAAAATGGTTTTTTGGAAAGATAAACAAAATTCACAAACCTTTAGGCAGACTAATTAAGAAAAAAAGAGAAGACCCAAATAAATAAAATAAGGGATAAAAAGGAGACATTACAACTGATAGACGTTTGAAGGATTTTTAGTGGCTACTATGAGCAACTATATGCCAATAAATTGGAAAATCTTGAAGAAATTGATAAATTTCTAGACATATACAACCTACTAAGATTGAGTGATAAGGATATCCAAAACCTGAACAGACCAATAACAACTCAAACTATTCCAAATAATGGAGGAGGAGGAACTTATTCTCTGAGGCCATATTACCTTGATATCAAAACCAGACAAAGACATTGAGAGGAGGTGCCAGCTGGGCTTCCTGGGTCTAGCAGGGGCTCAGAAAGCTATGAAACTCATTTTCTGCAACAGGACTTACTTTGGTCCTGGATGAATAATATTGAAGATATATGCTTAAAATATTCCTAACATCAGAATTTGTGCATGTGTTTTCTTCCCCAAGAAAGCTATAAACAGCGAAACTTTTGCTGTAAGCTTCCCTGTGTCCTCGCTCCCTCTCTCCCTTCCCCCTCCCCTGAAACTGAAAGGAATGTTAAAAGCCCGTTTTTCTGTGACCAGCAAACCTTATCTATGCTCCCAATTCCGATTCCTTGTAAACACAGTTTGTAAAATCCTGTGAGATCCTGTCTCCTTTGCCATGCCGCTGCAAGGTCATAAAGTAGATAAACCTTAAGTTACAATTCCGGTTTTCCTCAAGATCTGATACATGTTAATTGTCTTTGTTTCTCGCTCTGGTAACATCTTCCCGCCGCACGTATTTCCCGCCTTAAAGGGTTTAAAGGGTGATCAAAAAATCTAACACTGGCTACCGGCCCAGGACCCCTTCCACGCTGTGGAAGCTTTGTACTGCCACTCTGCTCAATAAAGCCTACAGCTTTTTTCTCTCAGTCTGATCCGTGTCTCTCTCTCACCGCGGGCTGCCGCCACATCAATTCTTTGGTGTGGCTAAGGCAAGAATCTTTGGCGTTACAACATCACAAAAGAAAACTATAGGCCAATATCACTAATGAATATTGATGCAAAATTTTTCAACCAAATACTAGAAAACCAAATTCTATAAAACATTAAAAAGATAATTTATCATGACCAAGTGGGATTTATCACACGGATGCAAAGATGGTTTAATATAGGCAAATCAACTAATGCAGTACATCATATCAACAGAAAGACCAAACCATATGGTCATTTCAATTGATATTGAAAAAGCACTTGATAAAATTCAACACTTCATCATAATTAAAATCCTCAAAAAATTGGGTATAGACGGAATATATCTCAACATAATAAAAGCCATATACAACATACCCACAGCTAGTATCATACTGAATGGGTAAAACTGAAAGCCTTTCCTCTAAAATCAGGAACACAAGCATGCCCACTTTAACTACTGGTATTCAATATAGTACTGCAAGTCCTAGCTAGAGCAATCAGACAAGAGAAAGAAATAAAAGGCATCAAAAATGGAAAGGAAGAAGTCAAATTATCCTTGTTTGCAGATGATACGATATTAAACTTGGAAAAACCTAAAGACTTTACTAAAAAAACTATTATAACTGGAAAACAAATTCAGTAAAGTTTCAGGATACAATATCAACATACAAAAATCAGTACCATTTCTATATGCCCAGTGAAAAATCTGAAAAAGAAATTAAGAAAGTAATCCCATTTACAATAGCTACAAATAAAATGAAATACCTAGGAATCAACTTAACCAAAGAAATTAAAGATCTTTACCATGAAAACTATAAAACACTGATGAAAGAAATTTAAGAGGACACAAAAATAGAAAGATATTCCATATTCACAGATTGGAAAAAACAGTATTATTAATATGTTCATACTACCCAAAGCAATCTACAGATTTAATGCAACCCCTATCAAAAAAAGTTGAGTTGCTTGATATTTTCTATAGATTGAGGTCTGCAGCTGTGGTTGCCCACCATTTCAGACAGACAATTAATCTTGCAAATAGATGATGTACACTTATGGTATTGACAAATACAGTAAAGTACTATACATTTATTTTCTCTTTCTTATGATTTTCTTAATAACACTTTTTCTCTAGCTTATTTTATTGTAAGAATACAGTATATAATACATTAACATACAACATAGTGTTAATCAACTCTTTGTTATTGAAAAGGCTTCCAGTCAACAGGGAGCTATTACTGGTTAAGTTTTTGGAGAGTCAAAAGTTACATGTAGATTTTCAACTGTGCAGGGAGTTGGTGCCCCAACTCCTGTGTTGTCTGAAAGTCAACTGTATATAAGAAACTCCTGCAACTCGATAGTGAAAAACAAATAACTCAATTAAAAAGTGGGCAAAGGACTTGAACAGACATTTCTCCAAAGAAGACATACAAATGGCCAACAGATAATGAAAAGATGCCCAACATAATTAATTATCAGTGAAATACAAATCAAAACTACAATGAGATATCACTTCATATTTATTAGGATGGCTATTATCAAAAACCCAAAGATAACAAATGTTAGTGAGGATATGAAGTAACTGGAACCCTTGTATACTGTTAGTGGGAAAATGAAATTATGCAGCAGCTATAGAAAACACTAAAGAGTTTCCTCAAAAACTTAAAAATAAAACTATCATGTGATCCAGCAATCCCACTTCTGAGTATATACCCAAAATAATTGAAATAAGGATCTTGAAAAGATATCTGCACTCACACATTCATTGCAGCAGTATTCATAATAGCCAAAATATGGAAACAATTCAAATGTCCAGATGAATGGATAAATAAAATGTGGTGTATACATACAGCAGAATATTATTCAGCCTTAAAGAGGAAGAAAATCTTGCCATATGTGACAACATGGTTGAACCTGGATGATATTATATTAAATGAAGAAAGCCAGTCACATAAGGACAAATACTCCTATATGAGAAATCTATAATAATCAAACTCACAGAAGCAGAGATTGTTAACTACAACTTCGAAATTTGTTAAGAGGGTAGATCCCATGTTAAGTGTTATTACCACAAACAAACCAAAAAACCCAAAGGGACACAAGGAAACTGAAAGTGTTTGATGCATTTATTACATTGATTGTGGTGATGGCATTATGGATATTTGTATATACTCAAACATCAAATTATACATATTAAATATGTGCAGTTCTTTGTATATCAATTATGTTTTAATAAAGCTGTTGTTAAAATTAGAATAATTCTGGAGGGTTTGTTTTCAAAGTAAGTATTTATAAATGTATGGATATATTGTAGAGGAAACGCAAAGGGTAATATAGGACCTAGGGATAATAGCAGTGGAGTAGCAGTTACCAAGCTTAGTCCAGTAGGGACAAAAGGAGGAAGCAGTTGTCAGAACCCAAAAGGAGTGAGTCCTGTAGAGATAGATGCTTTGAAATAAGCAGTGAGCTTCAGTTGAGGCCAACCCAAGACAATCTTTCAAGGAGAGACCCAGAGAAATAAATACTCTGACCTCACCCTCCTCTCTCATTCTGATTTCCTTCTGGGGTTCTGGCCAAATCTAACCAGAAGCCATATGGCAAGGGATTTCATTAATGTAGTCCATATTCCTGGAACATAGGGTAGGGTGAAAAAGGATGATGGGTCTGGATGAGAAGATATCTAGCACTATCGTATTGATGGGCTTAAAGACATAATATGACAAAGATGTTCTCCCCAAATTGTTCTACAGGTTTAGTCACAACCAAAATTTCCACAGATTTATTTTGCGACTTGACAAGCTGATTCTTTAATGTAGAAATGCACATGGCCAAATCATCCTTGAAGAAGAAGATGTAATACAGAATAGCAGGAAAGATGGTGAAGCTAGTTTAATTAGGACTTGATGTATAGTGCAAGAATAGACCAAAAAAATCCATTAGAATAGGATGGAGAGTTCAGAAACAGGCCCATACACATATGGATACTGGATTTATTACAAAGGTGGCACTGCAGAGCAGTACAGAAAGGGTGACATTTTCTTTCCTCTTTTTTAAAACTTTACATATATATATATATATATATATATATATATATATATATATATATATATATATATATATATATATATATATATATATTAGAGGAGGCAGGGGCTCGCCATGTTGCCCAGGCTGGTCTTGAACATCTGGGCTCAAGCAATCCTCCCGCCTCGGCTTCCCAACATGTTAGGATCACAAGCATGAGCTACTACGCCCAGCTGGGTGATCTTTTCAATAAGTGGTGCTGGCTGGGATACCCACTTGAGAAAAAAAGGCAACCCAATAAGAAACTCAGACACTCCATTAAAAATAAAAAAGTTTCTTGACTTTATAAATATTCTGGAAATTTTAAATTAAAACCCAATGGGGTTACCTTACACACCCATGAAAATGGCTAAATTAAAAAAAAAAAAAAACAACCCTGAGAATTACTAACACTTCCTTCTGTTGTAAGGACTGTGGAACAAAGGACATGCTTTTACACTGCTGGTGTGCCTGTAAATTGCTTGTGTCAATCAAGTTCCAGTCAGGAGACAGAAAACACACCAATTGTTTTAGCAGAGGAAACTAACATAAAGAATTGTTAACTAGGCATTGGAAAAATAAAAATGCAAAAAGAAAACAATAAATTACCATGGATATGGTAACAGCAGGAAGCAGCTACCACTCCTAGGGGGGAACAAAGGGAAGAGTTTGAAATTATTAAATCCCAGAAATTTGGAGGAAAGGCTTTGCAAATGTGAAATGCAGACTTCTTAGGAGGGAGCACAGGCCTGATGATGCTCATCTGAGTGCACTTGAGGAGGGTCTTCCAATGGAACACTTCTGGGGAGGGGGTACTGCCAACTGGTGGTGGAGTATCTGAGGAAGTGCAATAAGGCTAATTCTGGAAATGCTGGGGAAACTGCAAACTGGATTAAGCTGCTGCTACTGGCAGGAACTGACACTGCTCTAGCACCTTCTTTAGGCAAAGACTACCAGGGAGGTAGCAGGCAGAGCATAAATGTGGTTTACAAAATCTGAGCCTCAACATCACAGAGCATAACACACAGTGTGGCCTGAGTCTCAGAGACTATTAATAACCAGTACAGCATACCAATTTGGATACTAAGTATTCATATATATCCTTTTACATGTATCTTCACTTCTATACACCAACAAAAATAACTCTTTGTATTTTAATATTATTAATTTTTTTATTAATTATTATTATACTTTAAGTTTTAAGGTACATGTGCACAATGTGCAGGTTAGTTACATATGTATACATGTGCCATGCTGGTGTGCTGCACCCATTAACTCGTCATCTAGCATTAGGTATATCTCCCAATGCTATCCCTCCCCCCTCCCCCCACCCCACAACAGTCCCCAGAGTGTGATGTTCCCCTTCCTGTGTCCATGTGTTCTCATTGTTCATTTCCCACCTATGAGTGAGAATATGTGGTGTTTGGTTTTTTGTTCTTGCGATAGTTTACTGAGAATGATGATTTCCAATTTCATCCATGTCCCAATATTATTAATTTTAATTAATAAGTTGTCACTATCCTTCACACAAAAACACTCTCACAATCTCCCCAAAATGAGAAGTGACAAAGTCACAATAGTTACTGTATTTGCCTCTGAACTATGTTGATTTCTCTTCAAATTCACTTACAGTCCCATCTGAAAATTTTTACATAAACACTAAACTGTAAAGTTAACTTCCAAAAATGATTTTATATAAAATAATAAGGGGAAAGAAGAGAAATAAAAATAAATTAGTCAATATATGCATACAGTTTATATATAATACGTACATACATACATACATACATACATACATACATACCTACCTACATAAAAACAAGGAAGAGACTGTCTCATTGCTACATATACACCATATGGTTTTGGGTTGTAGTTAATATCTAAAACATCCTTCTTCAACTAATTCATATATCCTTAGCCCATTTTGTGTTACCTGGTAGGGAGACCCACAGCTTTATTCCTGAATGGTCTGAATCCTTAAAAATCTTGCCTATTTCCTGCTTAATGTAGTTTTCTATTAACCTTCACTATTCAGCATAGAAATACAAAGAGGTTCCCCAGAGAATTTCCTAAGTGCAAGCATAGTCCTCTCTGACCCCACTGTGGGACAGCAACCTAATTTCTTTGGAGATCTGGATCAATCACTCCAGCCTGTAGAGTAGCCTTTCCTGATTTTTGGTTCACTGGCATAAGAACTTCCAAATAGCTAATAGCGGGTGGCAGTCTCAACTTCCAATTCAATGGAATCATTGTGTCCCCGATTAAAGCATTCCTCCCCTGGTAAGTAAAACCTGTAAGCCAGCAGTGCTCAAATTTACCAGAACAAGAACCAAAATTCTTTAAGTGAGTTATTGAGGAGCCACTTCCACTTTGATTTCTTGGTTCTTAAAAGCAAAATTTAAGTGTTTTCTCCCAACTCATGTCACAGTGGATCTTCAGCAGTCTATCCATTGTTCAGTCAGTCCAGATGCTTCTGGGTGATGTGGTATATGGTAAGTCAAATTAATTCCATGGTATGGAGCCACTTCCACTTTGATTTCTACTTCTAGATCCCTGAGGAATCGCCACACCTATTTCCACAATGGTTGAACTAGTTTACAGTCCCACCGACAGTGTAAAAGTGTTCCTATTTCTCCACATCCTCTCCAGCATCTGTTGTTTCCTGACTTTTTAATGATCTCCATTCTATCTGGTGTGAGATGATATCTCATTATGGTTTTGATTTGCATTTCTCTGATGACCAGTGATAATGAGCTTTTTTCATACGTTTGTTGGCTGCATAAATGTCTTCTTTGGGGAAGGGTCTGTTCATATCCTTTGCCCACTTTTTGATGGGGTTGTTTGTTTTTTTCATGTAAATTTGTTTAAGTTCTTTGCAGATTCTGGATATTTAGCCCTTTGTCAGATGAATAGAGTCCTCAAGGATCTAGAACTGGAAATACCATTTGACCCAGCAATCCCATTACTGGGTATATACCCAATGGAATATAAATCATTCTACTATAAAGACACATGCACATGTATGTCTATTGTGGCACTGTTCACAATAGCAAAGACTTGGAAGCAGCCCAAATGCCCATCAATGATAGACTGGATAAAGAAAATGTGGCACATACACACCATGGAATACTATGCAGCCATAAAAAAGGATGAGTTCATGTCCTTTGCAGGGAGATGGATGAAGCTGGAAACCATCATTCTCAGCAAACTAACACAAAAACAAAAAACCAAACACAACATGTTCTCACTCATAAGTGGGAGTTGAACAATGAGAACACATGGACATGGGAGGGGGGCATCACACGCTGGGGCCTGTTGGGAGGTGGGGAGCTGGGGAAGGGAGAGCATTAGGAGAAATACCTAATGGAGATGAAGGGTTGATGGGTGCAGCAAAGCACCATGGCACATGTATACCTATGTAACAAACCTGCATGTTCTGCACATGTACCCCAGAACTCTTTATATACTTTATACATATACTATATATATTATATATATAAAGTGTACATATATAATATATATATATAACTTAGGCCCAGGAGCCCTAAGTTATCTTGCGACCTCAAGAGGAGAGGAGTTTACCCAACTCACAGGTATTTGATAATACAAATCCATGGCTGGGCTCAGCTTTAAAAAAGTATTGTTTGAGGATCCTTCTATGGAACAAAGTTCCATCAAAGCTAATTTAAAACACCTATGTAAAAAATAATTATTTTTGCTGCACTTTACACAAATAATCTGGCCAAGTATAATGCAACAAAACAAAACCCTACAAAATTTAGGAGTTGTCTCCCAACTCATGTCACAACTGGATCTTCAGCAGCCTAACCATTGTTCAGTCAGTCCAGCTGCCTTTGGGTGATTTGGTATATGGTGAGTCAAATGAATTCCATGGTATAAGCCCATTTCTGTGCTTCATTTGCTGTGAATTGAGTTTCTTATTAAGAATCAATGTCATTAGAATATCATGATGGTGCATAAGACATTTCACAAGTCCACACATGATAAAGGTAGCAGAAATATTATGGTAAATCCATACTCAGAGCCAGTGTCTATTTCAGTGAGGAAAAATCATTTACTACTCCTTAATAGAGGCTATCCTACGCAGTCAACTTGTCACCAGGTGGATGGCTTGCTCTCTCCAAGTGTTCCTCTCCTATCTTGGCAGGCTAGGCACTCAACAGTAACAATATCCAGGTAAGGCATGTGAGAAGATATATCAAAATGCTCCTGTCCTTTGGATCCCAAGAAAACTTCACCGAAGCGATAGATTCTGATTTTTTTTTTTTTTGATGGAGTCTCGCTCTGTCGCCAGGCTGGATTGCAGTGGCGTGACCTCGGCTCACTGCAACCTCCGCCTCCTGGGTTTGAGCAATTCTCCTGCCTCAGCCTCCCGAGTAGCTGGAACTACGGGCGCATGCCACCACGCCCAGCTAATTTTTGTATTTTCAGTAGAGACAGGGTTTCACCATGGTGGTTTACTATTCTGTTACTAATGGGAAGTTCTTGAGGCTTATACTTGCCTCCTCCTACAATAATAACTCTCATTTCATGGATCAGAGAGCAAATGTGAAGATTCTGCCACTGTCTGAATGTGTCTACTCCAATTATATATTCAAGAGCTTGGGGGAATAACCATAGGGTGGGTAATCTGATTTACTTGTCACAAACATAGGTCAAAACTCCACTATCATCTTACCTCCATAAGCCCACATTTAAGCTCGTGAACCAGTGTAATAATGTGGGTTCTCAGAAATTAACATCAATTCAGAGCTAGTGTCTAATATCCCCCAAAAGATCTGGCTATTTCCTTTTCCCTATGCTGTCACCACGGTAAATGGCTATAGGTCCCTTTGGAGAAGGTTTGGGATAAGGTTTACAGTATATATTTATGGCAGTGCTCCGGGGTGTTTCATCAAGGGGACCTATCCTCTCCTTTGATCACAGAGCTCTAGGTCTATGAACTTTTTTTTTTTTTTTTTTTTTTTTTTTAGTAGAGACGGGGTTTCACCTTGTTAGCCAGGATGGTCTCGATCTCCTGACCTTGTGATCCGCCCGCCTCGGCCTCCCAAAGTGCTGGAATTACAGGCGTGAGCCACCGTGCCCGGCCTGGTCTATGAACTTTTTAGGTGTTTTAGAACTGGGTTTGAGGAGCCATGAATTTCCATTTTAGTGATTCAAGTCAAGTTTCTATCAAACCTAGATTCTTGTTGTTTAGATCAAATATCATTTTAGTAATCTACCCATCTATTTCATTCCAAAGGACACTGTGATGAATTAGCTGCCATCAAAAATTGTTGAGGACCAAAACATTGTGATAATCACTTTGTCCTTATTTCCAGTTAAAGTACTTACTCTCATCTCTTGTAGTTAAGGGCTGACAGTTGGCCTCTGCTACTCAGGGATACCAACATACTGACTGATATCAGGGCACTCATCTCAGTGTTGTAACTTTCCACTGTCATACCTGGCCTACGTAAGACAACCATCACAGAACTTTACAAGGGCACTGATTGTAGTAGATTGAATAGATGGCCACAATTCTTTACTCCTCCCTGTATCCATGCTCCTTTGCTCTGTGGCGAATAACCTCCTATCAAGAGGTAGAATATATTTCCCCATGCCTTGAATCTAGTCTAGCCTTGTAACATGCTTTGACCAATAGAATGTGACAGAAGTGACATTGCACTAGTTTTGAGCTCACGCCTCAAGAGCCTTGTACACTTTCACTTTCTCTTTTGGAACCTTATTCACAGTCATATAAACAACCCTAAGCTAGCCTGCTGGAGGATGAGAAAACAATGGGGAATAGAGATGAGCCATTTAAGCTGAGTTCTTTCAAGACCAGCCAGCCCTCAGATGACCTGCTGGCTGATGTCACAAGCATGAGTGAGTCTTGTCAAGGTAAGCTGAGCCTGGCACAGGACAGCAGAACCACTAGGTCAATCTGTAAACTTGTGATCTAAATAAATGTTTTTTTTAATCTTCCAAGTTTGAGGATGGTTTGTTAATGTAGCACTAGGCGACTAATACAGTGGTGCTCTTCTCACTAATATATTTCTCAAAACCTTAGTGAAAGGAATATTTTCTGGGCCATCTTGGGGGATACAGTGTGTGTGTGCGTGTGTGTGTGTGTGTGTGTGTGTGTGGTGGCTGTGGAAATCACATATGATGAATTCACTCCATCATTCCTATCTCCCTAAGCTTTCATATTCCTTCCTCTACATTATGTCACGAAAGTTCTAACATCTCAACTGATTTAAATGTAGGCTGCCATTCAGTCCAAATTTTAGTCAACTAGCCAAAGAAGCTGTTAGAGTTACTTCCTTCTGTACAAGCTAATGCACTAAATCCATAATCTCTAATAAGTGTACCTATATTAATAACTTTGTCAATAATAATTAAATTGAACATTTAAAAATAAGTAAAAGAGTGTAGTTGTATTGTTTATAACACAAAGGATAAATGCTTGAGAAGATGGATATCCCATTTACCCTGTTGTGATTATTACACATTACATGCCTGTATCAAGATATCTCACGTACCCCATAAATATATACACCAACTATGTACCCACAAAAATTAAAATTAACAATAAAAAATAAATCCTATAACTAAAAATGCAATTAATAAAATAAAAAATGCAATAGAGAGAATCAACAGCTGAATTGATCAAACAGAAGAAAGAATGTGAATTTGAAGAAAGATTATTCAAAAATATACAGTCAGAATGGCTATTATTAAAAAGTCAAAAAAACAGCAGATGCTAGTAAGGCTGCAGAGAAAAGGGAATGCTTATACACCATTGATGGGAATGTAAATTAGTCCAGCCCTGTGGAAAGCAGTCTGGAGACTTCTCAAAAAACTTAAAAAACAGAGCTACCATTTGATCCAGCAATTCCATTACTGGGTATATATCCAGAGGAAAATAAATCATAAACCAAAAAGACACATGCACTCATATATTCATCACAGCACTATTCACAATAGCCAAGACATGGAATCAACCCTGGTGCCCATCAATGGCAGATTGGATAAAAAAAATACAGTACATATACAACATGGAATACTATGCAGCCATATTGAAGAATGAAATTATGTCCTTTGGAGAAATATGGATACAGTTGGAGGCCACAATCTTAAGTGAATTAACACAGAAACAGAAATCCAAATACTGCATATTCTCACTTAAAAGTGGGAGCCAAACACTGAGCACACATGGACATAAATATGACAGCAATAGACCCTGTGGACTACTGGAGCAGGGAGAGAAGGAGGGGTGAGGGTTGAAAAGGTACGTACTGGGTACTATGCTCACTACCTGAGTGATAGGATCTGTACCCCAAGCCTCAGCATCACACAAATCCCCATGTGACAAGCCTGCACATGTACCCCCGTATCTAAAATAAAAGTTGAAATAAAAAAAAATACAATCAAAGGAGAAAAAAGAAAAGGAATAAAAAGGAATAAAGAAAGCTTCTGAGATTTATGGGATAGCATCAAAAGAGCAAATGTTCAGATTATAGGGGTTCATGAAGGGGAAGAGAAAGAGAAAGGGATCTAAGCTTATTCAAAGAAATAATAGAAAAATTTCCAAATCTGGAGAAAGATATAAATCTCCAGGTACAGGAAGGTGAAAAGTCTCCAATCAGATTCAATCCAAATAAGAATACTATGACCAAACTATTAAAAATCAAAGACAAAAAAAGGATCCTGAAATCAGCAGCAAGAAAAATAAAGCAAATATTATATAAGGGAGTTCCAATATGCCTAGCAGTGAACTTCTCAGAAGAAACCTTGTAGGCCAGCATAGAATGGGATGATATATTCAAAATGCTGAAAAGAAAAAACACCACTGTCAACCAATAATACTATACCAGCAAAACTATCCTTCAGAAATGAAGGAAATATAAAGACTTTCTCAGACAAACAAAATCTGAGGGAGTTTAACACCATCAGACCTGTCATACAAGAAATGTTAACGGGAATTATTCAAGCTGCAAAAGAAAGAACTCTAATGAGTAACATGAAAACATTTGAAAGTATGAAATTCTCTAGTAAAAGTGAGGACATAGTCAAATTCAGAATAATATGGTAATGGTGGCATGTAAATCACTCATATGTTTAGTATGGCGATTGAAGGACTAAATTATCAAATATAATAACTATGATAACTTGTTAAGGGATATGCAATATTAAAATATGTAAATGGTGACATCAAAAAATTCAAAATGTGGGAGTGAAGAATGGGGTAAAACTGTAGGTTTCTGTTTGTTTGTTTGTTTTTTGGCTATCAAAGTTAAGTTGCTGTCAGCTTAAAACAACCTGTTATAACTATATGATGTTTTTTGTAAGCCTAACAGAATGAAACTATGAAACTACTAGAAGAAAACATATGGGAAAAGCTACACAGTGGCCTCAAAAGCACAGGCAACAAAAGTGAAAATAAACAAATGGGATTACATCAAACTAAAAAGTTGCTGTATAGCAAAGGAAATAAACAGAGTGGAGAGAATGAGAGAAAATATTTGCAAACTATGTATCTAATAAGGAAGTAAGGAACTCACACAAGTCAATAGCAAGAGAACAAATAACCTGATTTAAAAATGGGCAAAACATCAGAGAAATGCAAATCAAAACCACAATGAGATACCACCTCACACCAGTTAGAATGGCGATCATTAAAAAGTCAGGAAACAACAGGTGCTGGAGAGGATGTGGAGAAATAGGAACGCTTTTACACTGTTGGTGGGACTGTAAACTAGTTCAACCATTGTGGAAGACAGTGTGGTGATTCCTCAAGGATCTAGAACTAGAAATACCATTTGACCCAGTGATCCCATTACTGGGTATACACCCAAAGGATTATAAATCATGCTACTATAAAGACACATGCACACGTATGTTTATTGCAGCACTATTCACAATAGCAAAGACGTGGAACCAACCCAAATGTCCATCAATGAGAGACTGGATTAAGAAAATGTGGCACATATACACCATGGAATACTATGCAGCCATAAAAAAGGATGAGTTCATGTCCTTTGTGGCGACATGGATGGAGCTGTAAACCATCATTCTCAGCAAAGTATCACAAGGACAGAAAACCAAACACTGCATGTTCTCACTCATAGGTGGGAATTGAACAATGAGAACACTTGGACACAGGATGGGGAACATCACACACCGGCGTCTGTCATGGGGTGGGGGGAGGGGGGAGGGATAGCATTAGGAGGAATACCTAATGTAAATGACGAGTTAATGGGTGCAGCACACCAACATAGCACATGTAACAAACCTGCACATTGTGCACATGTACCCTAGAACTTAAAGTATAATAACAAAAAAGAAACAATAACAAAAAAACAAAAAAGAAAACAGAAAAAAGAAAAAAAATGGGCAAAAGACCTGAATCAGTGTTTCTCAAAAAAAGACATACAAATGGTCAACAGGTATGTGAAAAAATACTCAACATCATTACCATCAGGGAAATGCAAAGCAAAACCACAATGAGATATTGCCTCATTCCTATTAGGATGGCTATTACCAAAAAGACAAAAGATAACAAGTGTTGGTGAGGATGTGGAAAAAAGGAAACCCTGGCACACTGTTGGTGGGAAGGTAAATTAGTATACTAACTATGGAAAATAATACAGAGGTTCCTCAAAAAATTTAAAAAAGCCTTGCCAGCATCTGTTGTTTCTTGACCCTTTAATAATCACCATTCTGACTGGTGTGGGATGGTATTTCATTGTGGTTTTGATTTGCATTTCTCTAATGATCAGTGATGTTGAGATTTTTTTCATATGTTTGTTGGCCACGTAAATATCTCCTTTTGAGAAGTGTCTGTTCATGTCCTTTGACCACTTTTTTATTTTTTTCTTGTAAATTTGTTTAAGTTCCTTGTAAATTCTGGATATTAGACCTTTGTCAGATGGGTAGATTGCAAAAGTTTTCTCACATTCTTAGGTTGCCTGTTCGCTCTGATGATAGTTTCTTTTCCTGTGCAGAAGCTCTTTAGTTTAATTAGACCCCACTTGTTAATTTTTGCCTTTGTTGCAATTGCTTGGAGAAATAGGAACACTTTTACACTGTTGGCGGGAATGTAAATTAGTTCAACCATTGTGGGAGACGGTGTGGCAATTCCTCAAGGAGCTAGAACCAGAAATACCATTTGACCCAATAATCCCATTACTGGGTATATACTCAAAGGAATACAAATCATTCTGTTATAAAGATACGTGTACGTGTATGTTCAGTGCAGCACTATTCACAATAGCAAACACATAGAATCAACCCAAATGCCCATCAATGATAGACCGTATAAAGAAAATGTGGTACATATACACCATGGAATACTATGCAGCCATAAAAAGGAATGAGATCATGTCCTTTGCAGGGACATGGATGAAGCTGGAAGTCATCATCTTCAGCAAACTAACACAGGAACAGAAAATCAAACACTGCATGTTCTCAATCACGGTGGGAGCTGAACAATGAGAACACATGGACACAGGGAAGGGAACAATACATAACGGGCCTGTTGGGGGGTGGGAGGGAGAGCATCAGGATAAATAGATAATACATGTGGGGCTTAATACCTAGATGATGGGTTGATAGGTGCAGCAAACCACCATGGCACACATTTACCTATGTAACAAACCTGCACGTTCTGCACATGTATCTCAGAACTTAAAATTAAATTAAATTAAAAAAATTAAAAAAGAACTAGCTTATGATCCAGCAATCCCACTATTGGGTATATATCCAAAGAAAATGTAATCAGTATGTCAAAGAGATATCTGCATACCCATGTTTATCGCAGCACTATTCACAATAGCCAAGATATGGAATAAAACTAAGTGTCCATCAATGAGTGCATGGATTTAAAAAGTGGCATATATACCACTTGAAATATTATTCCAGTACCACTTTGGAATATTATTTAGCCATAAAAAAGGAAATCATGTTATTTGTCACAGCATGGATGAACCTGGAGGACATTATGTTAGGTGAAATAAGCCAGGCACAGAAAGACAAATACTGCATGATCTCATGCGTGTGAAATCCACAAGTTAATCTCATTAAAGTAGAATAGAATGGTGGCTACCTAGAGGGCAGGGTGGTTGGTTACAGGGGGCAGGTGGAGAGATGTTGGTTAAAGAATAGAAAATTACAGTTAAATAGGAGGAATAAGTTCTATCGTACAGTATGGTGACTATAGTTAATAACAATATGTTGTATTCTTGAAAAATAGCTAAGAGATTGGATGTTGCATTCTCACTACGAATATGATAACTATGTGTGATAATGCACTTTTGTTAATTATGTAGATTTTACCATTCCACAATGTATATATCCTTCAAAACATCATACTATACACAATAAATACATATAATTTTATCTGTCATTTTAACAAAAGAAAGATATACCAGCTCTGGCTTCAGATGAAGGAGCTTTGGGGTAGAATGATTTGAAACCTCTGCTCCCTATCAAATTCTAATGCTTTCTCAGGTCATATTGAGTTGAGATAATTGAACTGAGGGAACACTTACTTACGTGGTAATTTTTGGCTAAAAAAACAGGACACTGAAAACATGCCGACAGTATAAAAGAATGAAGTTGAACCCTTACATCTCATCATATATAAAAATTAACTAAAAATGTATCAAAGATATAAATGTAAGAGCTAAAATATAAAACTCTTAGAAGAAACATAGATGTAACTCCTTATGACTATAGTTTGGGTAGTAGTTTCTTAGATATAACACCAAAAGTACAAGCAACAAAAGGCGAAAATAGATAAATTCAACAACATCAAAATTAAAAACTAGTATGCTTCAAAAGACACCATCAGGACAGTGAAAAGACTACTCACAGATGGGAAAAAATTTTGCAAATCATATATCTGACAAGATCTTGTATCTAGAATATGTAAAATGCTCTTACAACTCAACAATAAAATGAAAAATAAGCCAATTTAAAACTGGGCTAAGGATTTGCATAGGTATTCCTCCAAATAACATATTCAAATGAACAATAAGCAAATAAAAAGAAGCTCAACATCATTAGTCCCTAGAGAAATAAAAATCTAAACTATAATGTGATACCACTTCACCTCCTCTAGGATAGTTACAATAATAATAAGGAAATCAACTAAAATGAGTGTTGGAGAGGATGTGGATAAATTGGAGACCTCATACGTTGCCAGTAAGAATGTAAAATTGTGTAGCCATTGTGGAAAATAGTGTGGCAGTTCCTCAATTGGTTAAACATAGAATTACCATATAATCCAGCAATTCCATCCCTAGAAAAATGAGAATGTATTTACACAAAATATCTTGTATATGAATGTTCATAGTGGAATTACTCACAAAAGCCAAAAGTAGAAACAACACAAATGCATATCAACCAATAAAAAGAAACAAAATGTGGTTTATCCATATAATGAAATACTCTTCAGCCATGAAAAGAAATGAAATGAAACATGAATTGACCTTAAAAACATTATGCTCAGTGAAATAATACAGTTACAAAGGACCACATTGTATTATTTGATTTATATAAAATGTCTGGAATAATAGACAGAAAATGAATTAGTGGTTGCCAGTGGTAGGGAGTGATGTTGGGGTGTCATGGCTAAGGGATGCAGGGTTTGTTTTTGGGGTAATGAAAATTTTCTAAACTTGATTGTGATGGTGGATACACAACTCTGTGGATATACTGGATTTACTATAAGTGAATTATATCTCAACAAAGTTGTTTAAAAACATTTTCACAGGCAAAACTGACTGTGGGAAACAAAAAAACCCTTCAACAAATAAATAACAAGAAAAAAAGTAAGGAAGGAGAGGAAATATCTATTCAAAGAGATTTAAAAAACATAATGACCAATTAAGATACTGACTATATATTTGATATCAGGGGAAAATTGTTGTAATAATTGCATGTGGTTATATTGAATAAAACAGTTTTTATCTTTTATAGGTACATCCTAAACATTTACAGATGAAAAGATAAAATATAAGGGACTTGCTTCAAAATAATCTAGATGAAACAAAATTTGCCATTAATTGAATAGTTGAAGCTGAATGATAGGTATATGGGGATCAGTGTATCATTCTCTCTAGTACAGGTTTAGAATTTTCCATTTTAATTAGCTTGATTGAATCTTTCTACAATGTATACATAAATCAAAGCATCACATTGTACCTCATAAATATACACAATTATTTGTCAATTAAAATTAAAAAAATTGATCAAAAAAGTGTTTTAAAAAGATGCCTCAAAGCTGTGAAATGTGGAATAAAGTTAATAGCTCCTTTTATTTTCCTGTTTCCTTTTATAGTTTAGTGACTTAGATGAATTGACTCAACTATTCTGTGTTTCATTTTTGCATTGCATCACATTGTATTAAGAGAAGAAATTTACGTTTGTACTAGAATGTAACTTTCTTGCCAGTAGCCATTTCTATCTGTTATTCCGTGTTCTATTCTCAGAATAGGCATATAGTAGGTGTTTAATAAACATTTGTTGAATGAACAAAACAAAAAGGAAGAAATACTCTGCTGTAGTCTATTAAGTTCATTATCCTGGACTATGAAATTACTGTCAATGCACAATTTAAATTGTCTACTTCATTAAAATTTATTTGCTATTATACACTGTTATCAGGCCTGCTAAATAACATATGAAACTAATCAGTGAAAATACTACATTATGAAGTCTCTTGCCAGAGGGAAACTGATCATTTTAAAAGGGATTTTGTAGTGTTGCTATGGCCACAAATAGATGTATAGATGATAGATGATAGATAGATAGATAGATAGATAGATAGATAGATAGATAGATGATAGATAAATAGATGATAGATGCAAATATAGATTATATAGATACAGATAGGTAAATAATGTATTTCTGTAAGAAAGTGGTAAAAGTATAAATATTTAACTTTTCTTCATTTGTGTTTTTCTGTAATTTCTAGTTTTTCATCTAAAACATACATTATTTGTATAACAATTTTGTTAAAAGATTTGTAGATATGCTCAGGTTACCTGGTGTATGGTAGTTAGTTGAAAAGGAAACTCATTGTAAATAAATGCCAGATGAATCCCTGGAGAGAAGAGGCGCATTAATTGAATTGCTAAAGTAGCTGAGGAACTCTCTTAAACAGGCAAATGCCAAAAATAAACCATTTTGCTGCACATTTTCCCACATTTTTATTTGCACTGAAGATTCAAAAAGGAAAAAAGCAGCCTCCTATCTAACAAGGAATGTTTTTTAAAAAGCCATATAATGCTTTTCCCAATATTGTGTTTAATAGATAAGAAAAACTGCAATGATTTATTACACTCTAAATCTGAGCCAGGTGCTTTACATTCACTATCTCACTTAATTCACACGTTAATCCTGCAAGGTATGTGTCATTAACCTTATCTCCCAGATGCAAAAACTAAGACACAGAGAGGTTAAGTAACTTGCCTAAGCTTACACAGCTATTAATTAAACCAAATTTTGTTTCACTTAGAGTGAGAGCTTTTGATCTTCTTCATGAAATGTCTGGTACTAGACAGGTTTTGAAATGCAGAAATCAGCAAAGCTGTCTCTTCAAGAGCAAGTGGAAAGAAAATAAACCACCTGCAAGTTCTTCTGATGCATATTGGACTAGCGTCTGGACCCACGAGTAAGCAATGACAAGTTCTAACTAAAACATGAAAAATTCAGGGCGAGTCAGTTCTACTGAAGACAAAAACAGCATCAGATAGAGCAGTAACTGGTAACAGGTGAATACAGGGGCAAAATTGTTCATAATATTTTGGAGTATGAGTTTCCACATCTGTAAAATGAGAGAGCTTAACTAAATCAAAACAAGTTCAATAAAAAGTGCATAAAGTTCCTTTTTCTCTAAAATTCTATAATTCTAAGAAATGATTTAAATAAGGTATCTTCACATATTTTGTGTAACTGTATTTCAATATGATATGGCTTATTTTCAGAAAAGTGCCCATTCCTCTGTTGAAAAAAATGTGGACTTTCATTTTGGACACTGTAATTCAGGAAAATGATTCTAAGAAGCAATGAAGTTCATGGATAAATAGAGTCATAGAGGACAATAGCCATAAAGAAAAGAAGATCCTAGGTAATCTGAATATATTATTTACTTTTATATACTCAATCCCTGAAATGGGCCATTAATTTGTGAAATTTGGCCCAGTATCCTTTAAGTTGCTAGAGGTCTGTGAGGCCACAAACATATAGGTAAGGATGTGACAGCAATCAATCAGCTGCACATCAGAAGTCAGCCCCACTGTGAGGTTCAGTGATGGGAATCAGGATATAGGATTCTGTTTGGCCTAGCTGGGGATTCCAAAACAATTGGTTGATATTTCTCTTAGCTCTTGATTTCATATACTTGGGGAAAGCAATCCTAATATATGATGAAAAATGCAATATCATATGTATGGAGTTCTAGCAAAGGCAGTGGTTTAATTGAGACCCCTTAATGAATGCTGGATATCTGTTATAAATGTTTCTTTATGGTCCCACTTGGGTCTTTGCTTCCAAATTTACAGACCCATCTGTTGGTCTGCTTGACTCAAGAAGTTACTGATAAAAGTATCATCTTCAGATAATTTAACATTTTGAGAGACTGCTATCTTTTAAATATGAAGAAACTTGGAGGGGGAACCTTCCAGGACACTGTGATGATCCACATTATTATTTTCTCCTCTTCTAATTCTTGATTTGTAGAAATTTGTACAAGTACTGCTTTCTGCACAAACTGCAGCATTTTCAGCCTGTAGTGCAAAGTCATGCCCTAGGTATCTCCATTTTTATTTTTACTTAGCAGACATGGCTCCAATAGATAGGATCCTATTTGGGTTCCACTACAGAATGAAGGTGGGGTTGGCTGTGCAAACTTGAGGGATACAGCCAGAATAAGCCGCTGAGACAGTGAATTATGGAGCTCAAACTCTAATTAAGACAAATCACATAAGTGTAGGATGTCTGGTTAACACTGATTTTACAGCATGGAGTTCTCACTTTAACTGCAGGTAGTGGTTTGTTTTCAATACCCACAATCCTTCAGGGATGAAACATGCCCTAGGGCCACTAGAACCTATTTTCCAAAAGCAGTGATATTATAATTTCTTGTTAGTCCTCTGAAAGTTACTATACTTTGCATCACATATATTTTATAGCCCCAACAGTCTGACTTTAGAGTGTGAAAAGTGCAGAGTGAGGGTTTTTCTGAATGCCCATCATGCTCTGACAAGCACAGGTGTTGGTTTGAAATTGCTTCTACATGAAGCCTGTTGACCTTAATGCCTGTACAGGAGGTGGCCCTATACTCCAGAGATACTGACTTGATAGTGAGGACCACCCACCTGCCCTTTGCGGGTAGCCTTTGGCTTCTGTGAGTTTGTAGTAAAAGCAGGGCAGGGAACCCATGTCGGGGTCTTCTGCACTGCTCTGTTGGTGAAGTTCCTTTCTCAGATGCATAGACGTTGTGTAATAAGATACGGTATAAATGAAGAGACCCTTGAATACCTTTGGCTGCTCTGGAGCCCCAGATATATTGAGTCTCTTGCTCAGGAAGTCAGTCATACTAGAGAAGTTGGGCCAAGCATTGCTGGTAATACACTGAATTTCAAATAAATCTTTGACCATACTGAAATGAGGGGACCTTTGCTGATATCACCCTGACTACCAGAGTGGAGAGGACATCATTTGGTAACTTGGCCTACAGACCCTTGAAGACACATTTTTTCCTGTTGGCATATGATGATAGCCCAACTCATTTTATGAGAAATAGTTGAAACAAAAAGGAATGTTTAGGGAGAAGAAAACTCATGGAAGTGGGAGAGTGGTAGAACAAAGGAAAATCCAGGAAGGATGGAGTAGACAATGTGAGTAGACCAGGATTAAAACCTATGTTTGTCTGACTCCAGAGCCCAGGGTTCTTGCCTCACCAACAGTAAGACTGGAAAAAATGTAATAGGTAATATGAGAAAAAATTAATATGGTTTGATGACTAGAATATACTTCATTGTTGTATGCATTTCTTGACTTAAATCCAAAATGGATTTAAGCTATTTATAGTACAAGACGTGCATAGAATGTCTGCTAAAACAAAAGTTAAAAACAATTCAGAATCACATAAGCAGAATAAACTGAAGATAATGATAGTGACAGAGTTTGATCACAAAACTTAGCTGTTCTTGCATATTCTTGCACTCATACTGACTCTGTGAACAATAATAGTTGGTAAATCGGGTTTCCAGCATAGAAGCGGCAGCCATTGGCATTACTGGCTGCAGTAAAGTTGATTTTCTGTTGTAGAAATAGCACTGGTATATATAGTAGCATCTAGTCCTTTGTGGTAGTAAAAGAGGTTTCCTCGTCACACCAGTTGTGCAGTGAATTTTTGGTTGGTGGTCCTAGACACCCAGCCCATGCCTGGTTCTCCACGATTCATGATAATTCTGTTAGCCACCAAATATCTGTTTTTTCTAACTTAATTTTTATTGAAGTATAGTTTATATATAGTTAAATGTACAGATCTTAACTATACAAGTCAACGAGTTTTGACAAATGTATACACTGTGTAACCAACAACACAATCAAGATACAGAACATTATCATCACTCCGAAGGGTTTTGTCATTACTCCTTCCAGTAAATACACAACTCCTCTGCTCCAGGAAACCATTATTCTACTTTCTACCAGCATAATTTAATTTTGGAATTTCTAGAATTTTATATAAATTGTCATACAGTATGTATTCTTTTGTGTCTAGCTTCTTTAGCTGAGTATAATGTTTTTGAGGTTCATCTACGTTTGTTGCTTTCGAGTAATTATTTTATATGGGTGAGTAGTATTCCATTTTATGGATGTATAGTTAATTATCAATTTGCATGTTTTGAATTATTTGCAGTTTGGAGCTATTACAAATAAAACTGCTGTAAAAATTTGTGCAGAAGACTGTATGAGTATATATTTCCATTTCTCTTGGGTAAATACTTAGGAGTGGTATTACTGAGTCATAGGGAAAGTGTGTTTAACTTTATAAGAATCTGCTAAAGTGTGTTTAACTAAGAATCTTATAAAGTGTGTTTAACTAAGAATCTTATAAAGTGTGTTTAACTTTATAAGAATCTGCTAAAGTGTGTTTAACTAAGAATCTTATAAAGTGTGTTTAACTAAGAATCTTATAAAGTGTGTTTAACTTTATAAGAATCTGCTAACCAGTTTTCTAAAGCAATTGTGCCATTTTATTTTGCCATCAGCAATGTATGAGAACTCAAAATGCTCCACATCATCATCAACACTTGGTAGTATCATTCTTTTTTAAATGTTATAGCTTGTGTGAAGTGTTGTGTCTTTGTGATTTAACTTTTCCTTCAGTTCAAGAGTAAATGATGTTGAACATCTTTTCATATGTTTATTGGCCATTCGTACATCTTCTTTTGTAAGTATATGTTTAAATCTTTTTCCCATTTCTAATTGGGTTTGTTTGTGTTTTTATGTTTGATTTTAAGAGTTCTATATGTATTATAGATACCTTACTTTTGTAAGATATAGGTATTATAAATATTTTGTATTTAGTCCATGGCTTATATTTTCATTTTCATAACAATGTCTTTGGCATGCAGAAGTTTTTAATGTTAATGAAGTTTATCACTTTAAACTTTTATGGTTAATGATTTTTTTTCTATTTTGAGAAACAATTGCCTAACACAAGATCATGAAGATATTCTCCCATGTTTTCTTCCTTATGCTTAACAATTTCAGCATTTACGTTTAGGTCTATGATTAATTCTAAGTTGAGTTTTTTTTATGGTATGAGGTAGAGTTTGAGGTTCATTTTCTTCAACTTTCAGTGGTTTAAGAGAATTTCCCTGTTCAAAGGCATTGGTAATGATATAAAAAAATTAAAGTAATAAGACAGCATTGTATTGGCTGAAGGATAGACACTTAGATCAATGGAACCAAATACAAAAAAACAGAAACAGACCCTCACAAATTTGCCCAACTGACTTTTGACAAATGTGCAAAAGCAAGTTAAAAAAAAAGTAAGGATAGCCTTTCAAGCAATAGTCCTGGAGCAACTGAACATCTATAGGCAAAAGTATGAACTTCAACCTAAATTTCATACTTTACCAAAAAAAGTCACTGAAAATGGATAATGGACTTAAATGTAAGCCACAAAACTATAAAACTTTTTTTAAAAACATGATAAAATCTTTGGATATAGGTTTCAGTAAAGACTTGACATCTAAAGCGCAATCCATAAAAAAACTTGGTAGATTGGATTCCTCAAAATTCAAAACTTTTACTCTGCAGAATATTGTCTTAAGAGGATGAAAAGACAAGCAACAGAGTGGGAGAAAATACTTGTAAACCACATATCTAACAAAGAATTAGTATGTTAAATATATAAAGTTCTCAAAACTCAACCATAAAAAATGCTGAACAATCCAAGTAGAAAATGGGCAAAAGACATGAAGAAACCTTTCACCAAAGATTATATACAGATAGAAAATAAGCACATGAAAATATGTTCAATATCATTCATCATCAGAGAAAGGCAAATTAAAATCACAATTAGATATCACCACAGACCTGTCAGAATACCTGACATAAAAAATAGCTAAGATAAAAAATACAGTACAAAATGCTGGAAAGGTTGCATGGAAGCTGGATCTTTCATACATTGACAGTGAGAATATAAAATGGTACAGCCACTCTGGAAGACGGTGTTGTAGTTTCTTAAAGTATTAAATATGCAAATAGCATATAACCCAGGAAACATACTTTTGGACATTTAGGCCAGAAAAATTAAAACTGGTATTCCCAAAAAAAACACATGTGTACAAGAATGCTCATAGAAGCTTCACTGATAATAGAAAAATACTGAAAACAGCTCAAATGTTCTTCAGTGGGTTATTGGTTGAACAAACTCTGATACATACATACCATGAAACACCACTCAACAATAAAAAAGAATCAACTATTGACACACACAACTTAGATGGATCTAAAGGGAGTTAAGCTGAGTAGAAAAAAAGCCAATCCCAAAAGGTTACATATTGCCTGACTCCATTAATATAGCATTCTTGAAATGACAAAGTTATAGAGATGGAGAACATATTAATGGTTGCCAGGTGTTGAGGAGGAGAAAGGGAAGTGAGTGTGGCTATAAAGGGGCAGCATGAGAAAGCTTGTGGCAATGGAAATGTTCTACATTTTAATTGTGGTCGTCATTATACAAAGTTACACATAGAATATTTTATACAACTACACACACACACATATGCATGTGTAACTGGTAAAATTCAAATATGCTCTGTGGATTTTACCAATGTAAATTTCCTGGATTGATATTGTACCAGAGTTAGGCAAGATTTTACCATCAGAGGAAATTGTGTAAAGGGTACACGAGGTCTCCCTGTATTTTTTGGAAACTTCCTGTGAATTGACAATTATTTCCAAATAGAAGGTTAAAACCAAAGAAATATATGACCATAATATATGTCGGCCTATTACTGGATTCTGAGCTATTTTATTGACTTATTTGTTATTTCTTACTCTAATACCACACTGTTTTGATAAGTGTAGTTTTATAGTTAGTCTTGAAACCAAGAAGTTCTATAACTCCTCCTCTTTTTAAAGTTTTGCTGGAAACCCCAAGACATATGTTTACCCGTCCCAACATCTGCACAGATTGTCTTCTCTAATGCCTTGCTCCATAGATTTCAGATGCTTCTGCTACCCTGAGCTCTGATCTTTTCCTCCTTCGTTCAATGAGACTGCAAGCTCAGCTTGGAATCTAGCTCTTGATGCTGGGATCAGAAAATAGTCACCAGGCAAAGAGCTAAGGCAGTCTTGGGGCTTGATTTGTGAGTTTCTCTTTTCCTGGGGATCATAATCATGGGCTGACTATTGCTCAATATCTTTAAACAGTTTCCTTGCATATTTTATGCAGTTTTATGATGTTTCTAACGGCAAGAGTGCTGATCCAGTGTCATTCCCAACATAACTTTTTTTCCTGCTTAAATCAGTCAGCTTCAGCTTCTGTTGCATGCAACTAAGAACCTTGACTGATACAAGCCCCTATTTTATGCCATGTCCTATGATATGTGCTTGGCATTTATTATGTGATTTAATCTTAATTTAGAGAAATAATTCCATGTGGAAACTAGAGAAATGGGCAAGAAGCATTTCTAACAGTGAGGACAAGGTTGAGGAGAGGGAGGTTGCAGTGAGAGGAGCATTCTAGATGGAGGAAGAATGTATAAATGCACAAGGGAACCAGCATGCAAGAATTAAAGTATGAAATTTTTGTCATCTTCAAGGGAATTCTTCTGAGACCTTTATAAATTATCCTAATCCAATAAAACCACTATACATAGAATTTCCTCCATAAATACAGTAAAGTACAATTGTTTATATAGTAGGATATTACTGGACGGTTTTAACTTTCCCACCCCTATTAACATGGGTACTAATAAAATAACTAAGCATCCTAGTTTGCCCTGAACTGTTGTGGTTTTAGCACATTACAGGGAATTCCTCAGCCCCAGGAAAACTGAGAAAATTATCCTTTGGTATATGTGACATCGCTCACCTAGCTACAGTTGATTGGTCTTAGGTGGCCACCAGTCTCAAACTTGGCCAATAAATCCCTCATAGATTTATGGAGATAGGACCATAAAGGTCTATGGTAACCAGGGAGTGCCTCTCAGATCTTTCAAGGGAAAACCTACTATGAGGAGTGGAGTCAGCTAACAGTCTCCAGCTGGAGCACTTTTGGGATTATTTTTGCATCATTTGATCCAAGGCCATTCCCTTCCCAGGCATCTCCAGCCAATCTCTGAGCACAAGAGGTGTACTAGGGCTGTTTCTGTCTAACGCAGGATTCCTCTAATTAGCAGTCTCTGTTGGGGTGGTTGAGACTTCCATAGAGCTGTACTGTAATCTCCTCTTTATCTTGCCAGCCATTACCCACGATAGATCTGTAGATTTGCTTTTCAGAGGACCTGATATGGCTTAGTGTCTCTCTTCAGTGGTTGAATCTGTAATATGAAAATCTAGGAAGGTGTCCGTAACCGTATCTACTGTTACATGGACTTGGGAAACAAAAAGAGCTTGAGAGGAGTGGGGAGGAAAGCAAGGAAGGGAACGAGGGGATGAGAGAGAGAGAAGAGAGAGAGAAGAGAGAGAGAGAGAGAGAGGAGAGAGAGAGAGAGAGAGAGAGAGAGAGACCCCAGATAAATGTGCAGGGAAAAATAGGGGTAAAAGAATGATAGAGTCAATGTCACTGGAATCCTTGTTTTTGACGATTCTTGAGGCCTAACTATACCTTGCCTTTTTAAAAGTTTTGATTGTTCTAATCCTTCTTGAGTTCTGTGAAACACCTTATTATCTTCCCATAAATTTCTCTCTTTTGCTTGTTAGTTTCAGGTAGGTTTTGATAACTTTTAACTAATGAGTCCTAATTAATACTTCTTCACTGCAAAATTAATTGTATAGGTTACTACGTTTATGCTGAATCACATTTCTGTTGAGAGTCAGAAATGTTCATATCCCCAGAGTCAGAAATGTTCATAAACCGAAACACAAATTAATATACCCTTCAGCTTTACCAAATTTTTGTCCATGAATAGGTGAGGAAAATTTTGTATGGTCTAGATGATTTCTGAAAAGTTTTAGCATTTATTTGTTTCTCTATAGAATACCTAGCAGGATTCTTGTCATAGACCAAAGCTTCAGCCAAATTCAACATTGCACTGTGTCCAGAATATTTATTTTCTGGCTAAAAGTCACTACTTTTATAATAAATCTTCCTTCTTTAATTTTTTAACTCTTTCAAAGATCACTAGTAGTTCTTTTAAAGACCATCTTTGATAAATCGAAGTTCACAATCACAATTAACACATAGTTTTAACCACCTTTCAAGAACTCAAGGTTATGAATATGATTAGAGATCACTAAAGCTTCACTGAGAGGCTGATAAAACAAAGGTGTAGATGTTAGTCAAAGATGATGGCTCTCAGACATCATTTAATACAGTAGTCCATGCAAGAGATGGTGATAATTTGGCCTAGAGCAAGAGTCTAAAAATTATTGCCCACAGGGCAAATCCTGCCTCTTGCCTGTTTTTGTAAATAAACTTTTATTGGAACATACCTACACGCATTCATTTATGTATTGTCTGTGAATTCTTTCACTCTATGAAAGCAGAATTTAATACCTGGAGACAAAGACTGTATGTGACTCAAAAAGCCTAAAATATTTACCAGCTGACCCTTCACAGATAAAAAAAAAAAGCCAAACTCTGGTCCGGAATGTTAGCAGTACAGTGAGGGACAAATGCATGAGCAGATTATATTTTGGAAGCAGAACAAGAACAAGTTTGGTGTGTTCTAGGAACAGCTGGTGTGGCGGGAACATAAAAAGACCCAGATACTATTGTTTTTTTCTATTTTGTTTTCTAGCACATTTGTACCTATTGCTTTTATTCAGCTATTCATTCATTCCAAAAATATTAAGAAGTTCCACTCTGTGCCATACACCATGTGACCTGCTACACACACACACACAGAGAGAGGAAACAGTAAAATATCTGACTTTTATTTTATTACAAGTAAAATTTATATTTTATTAAAAGTAAAATATCCAGGCTCCCTAGAGTCTGGAGCCAAATTACCTAGGTTTGAATCTCAGCTCTGAAATTTATCTGCCATGTGATCCTGGTGAAAATTGCTTAACCTATCTGTGCCTCAGTTGCCTTATCCTTAAAGTAGAAATAATATCATCTACCTTAAGTGTTTGATATAAAACAAACACTTAGCCCAGTGTTTAGCATATAGTGCACATTTTATAAATGTTGGTTACTATTATTAAGGAAACTTGCTTCTTTTACTGACTCAAACAAACAGGTATTGTCTATCAACCTGTTGCCTTTTCTGAGTACTTTGTGTTGATTTCAGCTTAGCTTTAAGTGAGCTCATTCACTCTAATTGCTACAGTTATGATCTTCCTGTTACAGGACATTGGATCATGCTGTTCTTTCTGCCCAAAACTTTTTTTGTTTTCCCATTTGCCTGGCCAACTCCAATTTGTTCTTTAAACATAAGGGCATAAGGGCATGGACTATATCTGGGCTTTGTTTATCATTTTACACCCAGATCTTAGTACAGTGCCTGGCATACAGTAGGCACTCATTAATGTTTATTGCATGAATGAATACCAGCCAGACTAAATCTAGATTCTCATTGTACTTAGTTTTTCCTCTTTATGTTACATTCACACTCTGGATATGTCCTTTTGTTTACACACTGGTTCTAGAAATTTTTTAACAAATATTTATTAAATATATAGACATTTTAGACTCTGTGCTTGGAGAACAAATATGAAAAACACAAGTTTTCTGCTCTCAAGAAGCTACTTATTCATTAGAGGACAAAGACATGCAGAAAGAGAAATTATAATCTAGAGTAAGTGGTACTCTTGAGGCCTGTACGAGATCCATTGGGCATACTGGACCTAGGGAAAAAAAATATACAAACTTATCTGGGAAAGACAGGGAAGGCTTCACAGAGGAGGTGCTATCTAAATTGAGTCAAAAATAACGAGTAGCCGTTTTCCAAATAAACAAGTGCCGGGTAAGAGCATTCATGGCAGAAGGAATTCCAGGGCAAAGATGTGGAGGCTTTTTCTTCTTTTGTTGATCCTGACTTCTACAAACCAATTCCTTTATTGCTTTTTTGACATTAGATTAACACTTTTAATCTCGAATAAATATAATACTGCACAATTTCCCATTTTCAGTATATATGCATTTGATTTTTTTTGTTGTTCTTACTCTCATTTTTTAAATCTGCCTTGGATTTCCATTGCATATACTATTTCAGTATACTTTTTGGTCCTTCTTTGTAATATGTATCGTTCTTAAATTTTTACCTGCATAAGGTGTTCATTCCTAATGGGTATTCCCTTCTAGTGCTCACTGTATGTAGCACTGTATCTGGACCCTGGGTTCAAGATGCTCAGCTGAATCGATGGGAGTAATGAGCGGTATATGACTTCCATAAACTCAAGAAAATGGTGGAAAGGTAGTAGAATTTTACTTCTAGTAAACCTGGATAAACTACCATAAATAGAAGCGTAGTGGGAGGACTCGGGAGGAGCACTGAAATGGCAGGCAGGGGACCCAGGTTTTATAGCTTTATGGGCCTGTTTTTTCTCATCCCTGCACCTATAGCTTCAAGTATGTTCACTAAAGGCGATTGAATAGAGTGCCCCGGCCCAGTCCTTCCGAATGGGAGACTGACGCCCTAGCACCGGGCGAAGTCCCGGGCGCCAGAGGCACCCACCCTGCACGGCCGGAAGGAGTGGGGCGGGGCCTACAGGCTCTCCGCTGGGCCCGAGCGGGCTGGGGGAGGGGAGCGTGGGGCCGACAGTTTTGGGGGTGAAAAGGCAAAAGGCGGGTGAAAGGCTGCCTCCCGAGACTCTCCTTGCTTGGAATTCTGCCCACTCTGCGGAGTTAGCAGTCACGACCTCCAGCACAGGTGGGTTCCGTCCCGTGGGTCAGGGAAGGGGTGTCCCCATGGGTGCTACGGGTGGGTTTACCCAGGCGCTCGCTTTCAGGCCTGTCGCAGTGGGCGGCGGAGGCTCTCACCCGGGCTGCTGGGCCCAAGGGCGGTGGTACTCACCTTAACCCTGGCGGAGAGGAAGGCCACTCCTGCCTTGCCGCAGGGTTGTCGTCACGATCTGTGCCAGTTGCGCGACAGAGTCTGCCCGGAGATCAGCGTGAGGCCGGATGGGCCTAGCGCTCAGGAAGAGCTGGAAGAGCTGGAGCAAGCTCGCGTTGGGACTGACGCCCAGTGTACATTGTTTCAATCTCGGTCGGACTTTACAGCCCTGGATCTGTCACTGACTTGGTGTTTAGCTTTCAGCGAGTCCCTACCCTCTTCCTGCCTCACTTTGTTCGGCAGTAGAGTGGAAGGTGGAACTCAGCTGTCTGCAAGATCTTGCAGCACTTTCTTTCGTTCTCATATCCACTAATGTTCTCTGCCCAGATTTTACCCTTTGTCTGCCCCCTCTGGAGCAAGGCTCTGGGTAAGTAAGTTAGGCTAGGAAGTTTTCTTTCTCTTCCGAAAACAATGGAAAAGCCTTTAAATACTCCTGACTGCCCTGGAAACGACATTCAAACCATTAATTGAATGTCAACTCTGAAGAATGGGTTTGTGAATGCCATACTATTAAACGTTTTAACCAGATGATTGCCTAAAATGATGTGTGTTGAGTGGACATAGTACACTGCCTAGCAAAAGTCTCATGATAAATGAGTTGCGTGCTTTAACTCAGTCGCTGAAAGAAAAACTTGAGCTCTCATATTTAAGAAACACTTTCATAATCCACTCCCATACAGTAGTAGTCTTTTAGAGTTGCTTGTAGCTTGGTTTGCCCTTTCAGGACACACTGTAGTAAAAATTACATACAGTTTATTTTACATTAACTATAAAGACAAAGAAGGACTATAAACATTATGGATCAACATTTTGGTGTCAACTTCTGGTTTCTCCTCATTAAGGAACTGGTGGTAATGATAATGGTGAACATATATTTTGCAAAATACTATAATTTTCACAACAACCAGAAGACGTTAAGTAAGGTTATTTATAATAAGGCTTAAAAAACTTATACTTTATCTCATAACCAGTGTGATGAAGGGAATGTTTACTGGGGTGGTTGAGTCTGGGGGCTTGTTTAGTGTGCCCCACCTAGTTCTTTATTTCTTGGAAGCTTGGACTGGAACAGATCACTTCCTTGTTTTGGCCTCTGTTTCAGGAACCACCATTTGTTCTGTATTTCTGCTTGTCAACCCTGGGAACAACAGTAAAACCAGCCAAGTGGATCACTGGGTGTTTACAATGTTTCTGACAGCTGTATCTGATGCCTCCAGGGGCTGGGAGGGGGACCCCAGGATTAACAAACCTCTTTGGTGGGAAGAGTCTCTTCCTGCAAACTGAACACGGATCCATCAGTTGGGCACCACTGTGATCCCCTTTCTATAATACCAAGCATCCCCTGGGCTCATATGGGCTGTACATGCACCTGCCATTGCCCTGTGTAAAGATTTACAGGATAAGAGGCTCTTGAAAAAACCCAGCCTGCTCCATACCTGTAGGTTCTAGGGAAGGAGTGGCTGATATGTAGGTGAGTGTTCTTCTGGATGAGGAAAATACCTCATGATTTCCCAAATGGTTTGAAAGGTGAGAAAAAAATTATGCTGGATATCTGCTGAGCCAACCTGAAGGGTGAGTTTTGCATTGGCTATTTGGCAGGACCTGGTGTCTGCCTTGTTTAGCTATATTTTCACTCTATTCATCATACTCTGTTCATTCACTCCAAAGGCAATCAATGAATGTCAACTCTGTGCCAGGATGCTGATCCATTCACTGAGATTGGCAGCACAGGACAGCCAGTTCGGGAGGACAACAGGAATTCAACTTTAAGCATACTCAGTCTGAGGCCTCCTCACCTTTCCCCACTCCCTATATCTAACTGCTACAAAATCTTGTCACTTCTACATCCTGAATATTTTAAAAAATCCATCCACTTCTCTTTGTCCCATGACTACTCCAAATTTCAAGCCAGCAATATTCTTTTTTAATTGATTTAAAAATTTTTATTTTAAAAGACCAAATGGTTGCATGACCCTCGACTCTCATGGGAAAACCACAACCCACCACCACCACAGCAACAACAACAAACAGCCTAATGACCTCTGTATGATCCCTAATAAATTGTCAAAGTAAGGAGATGAAAGTTCTCTTTTTTTCTTGATGCTCACAGTGTTTAAATATTGTATTTAGGATAATTTACATGCCATAAAATTTGCATATTTAAAGTGATTTTATAAATTTATTGGGTGGTGCAACCATCACTACAATCTAATTTTAAAACATTTGCATCACGTCAGTGACATCTTCCTTGCCCATCTGCAGTCAGTCTTCATTACTACTCCCAGCATCAGACAACCACTAATCTACTTTCTGTGCCTATGGATTTGCCTATCCTGAAAATTTCATCTAAATAATGTCTCCAAAGTTTATTAATGTTGTGGCATATATAAATACTTCATTCCTTTTTATAGCTGAGTAATATTCCATTGCATCAGTATACTACATTTTGTCTATCTAGTCATCAGTTGATGAACACTTGGATTGTTTCTATCTTTTGGCTATTATGAATAAAGCTGCTATGAACGTTTGTGTGCAAGTTTTTGGGTGGACATTCGTTTTCAATTCTCTTGGTTAAACACCTATGAGTGGAATTACTTGGTCATATTATAACTGTATGTTTAATTTTCTGCCAAACTGTTTTCCCAAGGGGCTGTACTATTTTACAGTTACTAGATTTATATGAACCACCAGCAATGTATTTCTTCACATCATCACCATATTTGTTATTTCCCCGTTTTGTTTTGTTTTTTTCAAATGTGTAGCTATTCTTGAGGGTGTGGAGAAGTATCTCATTGTGATTTAGATTTGCATTTCCTTAATGGCTAATTGAGCATCTTTTTATTTGCTTGTTAGATATTTGTATATGTTCTTTGGAGAAATGTCTCCTCACATATTTTGCCCATTTCTGATTAGGTTGTTTGCTTCCTTACTATTGAGATGTAAGAGTTGCTTATATACAAGTCCTTTATCAGATATGTAGTTTGAAAATATTTTCTCCAAGTCTGTGGTTTGTCTTTTCATTTTCTTACTACTGTATGTTGAAGGGCAAAGGTTTTTATTTATTTTACTTTTATTTTAGTTTCAGAGGTATAGGGGCAGGTTGGTTCTATAGATAAATTGTGTGTCACAGGGGTGTGGCGTACATATTATTTCATCACACAGGCAATAAGCATAGTACCCAATAGATAGTTTTTTGATCCTCACCCTCCTCCCAATCTCCATCCTCAAGTAGGCCCCCGTGTCTATTGTCCCCTTCTTTGTGTCCATGTGTACTCAATATTAGCTCCCATTTATAAATGAGAACATGTGGTGTTTGGTTTTCTGTTCCTGTGTTACTTTGCTTAGAATAATGGCCTCCAACTCCATCCATGTTGTTGCCAAGGACATGATCTCATTCTTTTTGTGGCTGCATAGTATTCCATGGTGTATATGTACCAAATTTTCTTTATTCCATATACCACTGATGGGCATTTAGGTTGACTCCATGTCATTGCTGTTGTGAATAGTGTTGTAAGGAACATATGCATGCATGTGTCTTTATGGCAGAACGATTTATATTTCTTTGGGTATATACCCAATAATGGATGGCTGGGTCAAATGGTAGTTCTGTCTTAAGTTCTTTGAGGAATTGTCAAACTGCTTCCCACAGTGGCTGAACTAACTGACATTCCCACCAACAGTGTATAAGTGTTCCCTTTTCTTTGCACCATCGCCAACATCTGTTATTTTTGACTTTTTAGTAATAGCCATCCTGACTGGTGTAAGATGGTATTTCATTGTGGTTTTCATTGATTAGTGATGTTGAGCATTTTTTCATATGCTTGTTGACCACATGTATGTCTTCTTTTGAAAAGTGTCTGTTCATATCCTTTGCCCACTTTTTAATGAGGTTGTTTGGTTTTTGCTTGTTAATTTAAGTGCCTTATAGATTCTAGATATTAGAACTTTGTCAGATGCCTAGTTTGCAAATATTTTCTCCCATTCTGTGTGTTGTCTATTTACTCTATTGATAGGTTATTTTGCTGTACAGAAGCTCTTCAGTTTAACTAGGTGCTATTTATCAGTTTTTATTATTATTGCCATTGCTTTTGATGTCTTTGTCATGAAATATTTGACAGGGCCCATGTCTAGAATGGTATTGCCTAGGTCTTCTTCAAGGGTTTTTATGGTTTTAGTTGTTACATTTAAGTCTAATCCATTTTGGGTTGATTTTTGTATATGGTGTAAAGAAGGCAGACGCCTTCTGGTTTCTATCTTCTGCACACAGCAACCAGCAATCCTAGCACCATTTATTGAATAGGGAGTATCTATCCCATTACTTGTTTTCATCAGCGTCAAAGATCAGATGGCTGTAGGCACACAACCTTATTTCTGGGCTCTCCATTTTGTTCCATTGGTCTATATGTCTGTTTTTGTACCAGTACCATGCTCTTTTGGTTACTGTAGACTTCTATAGTTTGATATCAAGTAATGTGATGCTTCCAAGTTTGTATTTTTGCTTAAGATTTCTTTGGCTATTTGGGCTCCTTTTTGGTTCCATAAGAATTTTAGAATAATTTTTTTTAATTATGTGAAGAATGCCATTGGTAGTTTGATAAGAATAGCATTGAATCTATAAAATGCTTTGAGCAGTATGGCTATTTTAACAATATTGATTCTTCCTATCCGTGAGCATGGAATGATTTTTCATTTGTTTGTATCATCTCCGATTTCTTTCAGCAGTGTCTTGTAATTCTCATTGCAGATATCTTTCATCTCCCAGGTTAGCTGTATTCTCAGGTATTTTATTTTTTTTATGTCTATTGTGAATGGGATTGCATTTTTTATTTGGTTCTCAGCTTGGACATTATTGATGTATAGAAATGCTACTGATTTTTGTACATTGATTTGGTAGCCTGAAACTTTGCTGAAGTTGTTGATATGATCTAGGAGATTTTTGTCAGAGACAAAGGGGTTTTCTATGTATAAAATAATATTGTCTGCAAACATAGATAGTTTGACTTCCTTTCTTCCTATTTGGATGCCTTTTTTTTCTTTCTTTTGCCTGATTGCTCTGGCCAAGACTTCCAGTAGTATGTTGAGAGTGGGCATCCTTGTCTTGTTCCAGTTCTCAAGGAGAATGCTTCCAGTTTTGCTCATTCAGTATATGTTGGCTGTGGGTTTGTCATAGATAGCTCTTATTATTTTGAGGTATGTTCCTTCAGTGCCTAGTTTTTTGAGGGTTTTTAATATGAATAGATGCTGCAATTTATCAAAAGGCTTTTCTGCATCTATTGAAATGAACATGTGATTTTTGTTTTTAGTTTTGTTTATGTGATTAATAACATTTATTGATTTGCATACATTGAACCAACCTTGCATCCCAGGGATAAAGCCTGCTTGATCTTGGTGAATTAGCTTTTTGACATGCTACTTTCTTCACGGATATTGGCCTGAAGTTTTCCTTTTTTGTTGTGTCCTTGCCAGGTTTTGGTATCAGCATGATACTGGCCTCAAAGAAGGAGTTAGGGAGGAGTCCCTCCTCAATTCTTTGGAATAGTTTCAATAGGAATGGTACCAGCTCTTCTTTATATGTCTGGTAGAATTCAGCTATGAATCCTTCTGGACCTGTGTTTTTTTCTGGTTGGTAGGCTTTTCATTACTGATTCAATTTTGGAACTCGTTATTGGTCTGCTCAGGGTTTGTATTTCTTCTTGGTTCAGTCTTAGGAGGTTATATGTCTCCAGGAATTTATCAGTTTATTCTAGGTTTTCTAGTTTGTGTGCAGAAAGATGTTCATAATAGTCTCTGATGGGGTTTTTTTTTTTTTTTTGTATTTCTGTGGGGTTGGTGATGATGTCCCCTTTATCATTTCTGTTTTTGGTTACTTGTGTCTTCTCTTTTTTTCTTTGTTAGTCTAGCTAGCAGTCCATCTGTCTTATTTATTCTTTCAAGGAACCAGCCTCATTGATTTCATTCATTTTTTTTATCATTGAATGCTATAATCTTTCCTCTTGATGCTGTTTTAGCTATGTCTTTGAGATTCTGACATGTTGTATCTTTGTTGTCATTAGTTTCCAAGAATTTATTGATGTCTGACTTAATTTCACTGTTTACTCAAAAGTCATTCAGGAGCAGGTTGTTTAATTTCCATGTAATTTTATAGTTTTGACCAATCTTCTTGGTATAGATTTCTATTTTTATTGTGCTGTGGTCTGAGAATGTGGCTGGTATGATTTTTGTTTTTGTTGGTTTTAAAAATTTTTAATTTGCTGAGAATTGTCTTATGGCTGACTGTGTGGTCAGTAGAGTATGTGTTATCTGCAGATGAGAAGAATGTATAGTCTGTTGTTTTTGGGTGGATTGTTGTGTAGATGTCTGTTAGCTCCACTTGATCAAATGCTGAGTTCAGGTCCCAAATATCTTTGTTAGTTTTCTGCCTCGAGGATCTGTCTAATACTGTCAGTGGGGTATTGAAATCTCCCACTATTATTGTATAGTTATCTAAGTTTCTTCATAGGTCTCTGAAAACTGGTTTTATGAATCCGGGTGCTCCTGTGTTGGGTGCATATATATTTAGGATAGTTAAGTCTTCTTGTTGACTCTTTACCATTTGTAATGTCCTTCTTTGCCTTTTTTCATCATTGTTGGTTTAATGTCTATTTTGTCTGAAATTAAAATAGTAATCCCTGCTTTTTTTTGTTCTTTGTTTGCTTTGTAGGTTTTTCTCCATCCATTTACTTTGAGTCTATGGGTGTCATTGTATGTGATGTATGTGAGATGGGACTCTTGAAGACAGCATACCACCGGGTCTTGCTTCTTTATCCAATTTGCCGTTGGATACCTTTTAATTTTGGCATTTAGCCCATTTACACTTAAGATTAATATTGATATGTGCAGATTTGATCCTGGCATCATGTTGTTAGCTAGTTATTATGTACACTTGATCACGTGGTTGCTTTATAGTGTCAGTGGCCTATGTCTTTAAGTGTGTTTTTGTGGTGGCCAGTAATAGTCTTTTGTTTCCATATTTAGCATTCCCTTAAGGACCTCTTGTAAGGCAGGCCTGATGGTAATGAATTCCCTTAGCATTTGCTTGTCTAAAAAAAAGATCTTATTTCTCCTTTGCTTATGAAGCTTAGTTTGGCTGGATATGAAATTCTTGGTTGGAGTTTCTTTTCTTTAAGAATGCTGAATCTAGGCCCCCAATCTCTTTTGACTTGCAAGATTTCTGCTGAAAGGTCGCTGTTAGCTTGATGGAGCATCTGATGACTATGTGTCTTGGGGATGGTCCTTTTGTATAGTTCTTGCAGAGGTTCTCTGAATTTCCTGAATTTGAATGTTGTCCTTTCTAGTGATGTTTGGGAAATTTTCATGGACAGTATTATGTTTTTCAGCTCTATCATATTAGTTTGGTTCTTTCTTAAAATGGCCATTTCATCTTTCAGCTCCTGTATTGTTTTATTATAATCCTTAAATTCCTTGGATTCAGTTTCAACTTTCTCATGGATCTCAAATGATCTTAATTCCTATCCACATTCTGAATTCTATATCTGCCATTTTAGCCATTTCAGCCTGGTTAAGAATCCTTGCTGGGGAACTAGTGTTGTTTGGAGGAAAAAAGACACTCTGGCTTTGTGGGTTGCCAGAGTTCTTGTGCTGGTTCTTTCTCCTGTGTGTGGGCTAATGTTTCTTTAACTGTGGTGTGATTTGAGTATAGTCAGTTGACCTCATTTCTGGACATTGTCAGAGTGCTGGAGCTTTGTGCGGGGTCTTTATTTGTAGCTGAATTCTTGTTCTTCGTTTCACAGAGGGATATATTAGGTAAGTATTTTTGGTGTCAAAATTTGGGCTGTGATCCAGTAGATGGTGCTTAAGTGTAATGGCCATTAGGTAGGCTCTTGCTCAGCCACATGACTCCTCTATTTCCTTGTGTTTGCGGCCATGCTCCCTCTTGGTGCTCTGAGGGTGTGGGCTCCTCTCCCACTTGAGTGCTGGCTGCAGAGCTTGGCTTGACACTCTTGGGCTTCACATGCAGCCTTCAGATGAGCTCAGGCTTTGTGTTCCCTCCCCAGCTTGGGAGCAGCAGGGGCAGGGACCTTGGCAGTGGCAATTGCAGAGGGCCTTTCACTTGTCTTTTGGGTCTCCACTCCAGAGAAATGCAGAACTACTATCATTTGGAGCATTCATCCTGGGGTGGAGTGGCTGCATTGTGGGCCCGAGCCAGGGAGCCCTGCCTGGTGATGAATGGGGAGGGGGAGAAGGGAGCTCACAGGGAAGACAGACTAGCCTCTTCTTAGGTTGGCTGTGGCATGATGGAGGTATGAGTACAGCACTCAGGGTCTTTGTTCCTTCCCCAATCCAAGGGCAGCAAAGGCAGTACCACTGCAGTGGCAGTCTCAGAGGGCATTTCATTTGCCTCTGGGAGCTCCACCCCAGAGCAACACAGAGCCACTGACAATGGGTATGTTCAGCCACGAGGTAGGGCAGCTGTTCTGTGGGCCCAAGCCAGGGGCCCTGCTTGGTGAAGACCAGGGGGTTGGAGGCTCACAGAGATGAGAGACTTGGCTCTATTCTGTATGGCAACTGTGGCATGTTGGAGGTGCAAGTAAATCCCTCAGGCTCTTTATTCCTTCCCCAGTCTTAGGGCAGCAAGGACAGAGCTGCTGCAATGGCAGTGGCAGAGGGGCTCTCGGTTCTTTATTTTTGATAAAGTCCAAGTTATTTTTTTTCTTTTGTCAATTGTGTTTTTTGATGTTGTATCTAATAATTCTTTGCCCAATCCAATATCATGAAGGTTTTCCTATGTTTCTAAAAGTTTTATACTTTTACGTCTTTCGTTTATGACTCTGATTCATTCTGTGTTATTTTGTGTATGGTGTAAGGTGAAGGTCTTCATTAATCTTTTTGCATATGGATATCCAACTGTACTATCATCATTTGTTGAAAAACTAACCTTTTCCTGTTGAATTGACTTGGAACCTTTTTTGAAAACCAATTGACCATAAATATAAGGGTTTATATCCGACCTCTCAATTGTGTTCCATTAGTTTATATTTCTATTCTTATGCCAGTCCCTACTGTCTTGACTATTGTGGCATTGTAATATGTATTTAAATTGAGAAAGGTGAATCCTAAAATTTTGTTCTTCTTTTTCAACATTGTTTTGGGTATTCTGGGTTCTTTCCATTTCCATATAAATATTAGGATCATCTTGTCACTCTTTCTTTCTTTCTTTCTTTCTTTCTTTCTTTCTTTCTTTCATTCTTTCTTTTCTTTTCTTCTTTCTTTTCTTTCTTTCTTTCGACAGGGTCTTGCTCTGTTGCTCAGGCTGGAGTGCAGTGACACAGTTGCAGCTCATTGCATCCTCAACCTCCCAGGCTCAAACGATCCTCCCACCTCAGTCTCCTGAGTGCCTGGGACTACAGATGTGCATCACTATGCCTGGCTATTTTAACAATATTTTTGTAGAGATGTGGTCTCCCTATTTTGCCCAGGCTGGTCTCAAACTCTTGGGCTTAAGCTATCCTCCTGCCTTGGCCTCCCAAAGTACTGGGATTATAGGCATGAACCATCATGCCCAGCCTCTGCTTTGATTTTGGTAGCGATTGCACTGAATCTATACATCAGTTTGGGGAGAACTGCCAACTAACAGTATTGGATTTTTCAATCCATGAACTTGAAATACCTCTCCATTTATTCAGATCTTCTTTAATTTTCCTCAACAATGTTTTGTAGTTTTCAGTGTAAAAATCTTTTACTTTTTTGTTACATTTATTCCCAAGTATTTAATTTTTGGTACTATTGTGAATTATTTTTTATAATATCACTTTATGATTTTTTGCAAGTGTATAGAAATACAAATTGACTTTGTGCATGTTGATTTGGTATCCTGTGACTTTGTTGAGTAGAATTATTAGTTTTAATATTGTGTGTGTGTGTGTCCATGTGTATGTGTGCATGTGAGTGTGTGGGTATATTCCTTAGGGTTTTCTCATTCAGGATTATGTCAAGGACAGTTTGACTTATTTTTTTTCCCCAGCCTGGATACCTTTTACTTGTTTTCCTTGCCTAATTCCCCTGGCTAGCATCTCCAGTATAATGTTGAATAGGAATGACAGGAGTGAACATCTTTGTTTTTTTTCTGGTCTTAGGGGAAATATTCAATCCTTCATCACTAAATGTGATGTTAGCTGTGCATTTTTCGTAGATGTTCTTTATCAGGTTGAGGAAGTTTTACTAATTGGTTAAGTTTTTATGTTTGATCATGAATGACTGTTAGATTTTGTCAGATGGCTTATCTGCATCTATTGAAATGATCATGTGGTTTTTGTCCTTTATTCTACACAATACATTATTAACTAATGTAACATAGGGTATTACCTTAATTTGGGGGTGTTAAACGAACCTTACCTTCCTGGAATAAATCTCTCTTTGTCATGATATATAATCCTTTTTGAAATACTGGTGGATTTGATTTGCTAACATCTTGTTAAGGAATTTTGCATTTGTATTCATAAGGGAAGTTGAATTGTAGGCTTCTTTTCTTATAATGTATTTGTTTTGTTTGATGTCAGAGACCAGCCTCATAGAATTAGTTGGGGAGAGTTTTGTTGTCAGATGTGTATATGTTTATAGTTACATATCTTCCTGATGAATAGAACCTTTCATCATTATAAAATGTCCTTCTTTTTCTATAACATTTTTTTCTTAAAGTCCATTTTGTCTGATACTAGATATCAGTTTAACCACTCCAGCTCTTTTATGGTTGCTCTTTTTTTTAATACAATTTTTTCATTCTTTTATTCTTTTAACCTGTTTATGTCTTCACATTTAAAGTGTGTCTTTCCATTATTGTAGATGGCATATCCTTGGAGTGTGTTTTTCATCCAGTCTCACAATGTTTGTTTTGATTGGACTGTTTAACCCATTTATACTTATAGATGTACATCTGGCTTTATTCATTTATTTCATTAATGTTTCTTGACTTCTTTGTTCCTCCGTTTCTCCTTTATTACCTTCTTTTATGTTATATAGCTAATTTCTTGCATACCATTTAAATCCTTTTTTGATGTTTTTACTGTAATTTCTAGAGCTTTTTTATTGAATGCTCTGGGGATTGCAATATGTATGTCAACTTGAAATAACCTACTTTAGATTAATAATAATTTAATTTCAGCAACACAGGGAAGTTTTCTCCACCCATCCTTTGTGCTATTAATGCAGTATATTTTACATCTTAATATGTTATAAGCCCAACAACACAGTTTTAAAAATACTGTTTTATGTAGTTTTCCTTTAAAAGAAAGTAAGAAAAGTATGTATTTTCTCTTTTATGTTTACTTACATAATTACCTTTACTAATCCTCTTTATTTCTTCCTATGGATTCAAGTTACCATCTGGTGTCATTTCCTTTTAGCTCAAGGACTTTAGTATTTTTTGTAGGGTAGGTCTGTTAGCAATGAATTCTCTGTCTTTGTGTATTGTGGAATTTATTTATTTCACATTGATTTTTGAAGGATAATTTTGCTGGATATAGAATTCTTACTTGAAAATTTTGGGTATTTTTCTTTCAGCATTTTGCTATTCCACTGCCTTCTGGCCTCCCCCACAGGGTGTGGCCTCTGATGCTTTTACTCAGTTTTTTTGGTTGTTGTTGTTATTATGCTAGCTTCCAGGGGGTCACTGCTGGGCCATATTTTAGTGGTCATCCAGTGATTGTTCATATGTTATGCTTAAACACCTTCTGCCAGTGAGGGTTCCACAATTTGCTGAAAGTATCCATGTGTGGGCTGGGGCGTACATTCCAGATTCACGCAGTTTAGAAATCTACCTTTGCTATTACTTGCTACTGTATAACACCACACATTTAGGCAAAGACTAGTAGATAAGTGAGGCACTGTTCAGTTTCTCCCGAGCATGTGCACAGACTTGGAGACCCCTAGGGATATGTAGGACCTTATTTAAAGCCCAGTATAGCTGTCTCGTGCAGTAGATTACTCTGTTAAATTTTAGGCTGGTCTCATTTGCTTCAACTAGTATTGCAACTTTTGTCAGCTGTGATGTTGGTCGTTCCCAGTTGATTGGTTCTTCTTTGTGGAGGAGTCAAGTGTCTTGTGCCTCTAGTCAGCCATCTTGAAAGACTCTACCAATTCCCTTTTTGTAACAAATATTTTGTACCAATTTCTTTATTAACCAGAAGTGAAATTCATAGATAGCATAACCTACCTATACACATATTTAAAATATGAGCACAATGTCCTAACTAGAATTTAAAGGAAAAATTAAATGCGAGTGATTTATAATAATGTATTTAAATATGTAAATGCTGAAACATGACTACCTGAAGTAGCCAAATATTTACACCTATACATTGATCGCCATGAATGTGACGGCTACAAATATAATACCACAAAGTGTAATTATCATTGGTGACATGATTTTCTAAAAAAATTATTTTGGATAAATTTCTGAACAAAAGAAAATATACTGTTCTCTCAATTTACTTGGTAGATTTACTCCTAGAAAATTCAGTATATAGTAAATTCATGCAAAAATACCATGTTTATATGTAACAAAAGGAGGTAGGTTCTGGCCTCTGGTAATTATAAACAGGTTTTTCATTTGTAGGCATGTCAAGGTTAATATTAAAAAGTTTAGGCAGGATTCTCCATTGCCTGGGACTGTCCTGAACATTTCAGGATGCCTAATATCTCTGATGCCACTAAATGTCAATAATTCCCCTCCAATCATTGTGATAACCAACCTGCCCCATACACATTTCCAACACACTCCCTAGACATGGCAAGATGCCGGTTGATGGTGGCAAGATGCCTGTTGAAAACCACTACTTTAGGATAAAGTGTATGCATATCCTCAACTCTACTAGATAAAAAACGTCAAACTCATTTTCAACATGGTTGTATCAATTTTTGTCTCACTATCAATAAATAAATGGAAATGCTTTTATATCTTACTGTTAAGTATGTTTGTTATGTTTTAGTACCCCTTAACAGGCTAAGGAAGTTCCATTCTATGCCTAATTTACTGAGAGACTTTTAAAATATTGTGAATGGATATATTATCTATTTTTTTCTGAACATGTTGAAGTGAGTGTATTTTGCTTCTATCACCTATTAATTTGTTGAATTCTATAATATACTTTCTAAAATTTAAGCAACCTTGAACATGATTCATGTCTTTACTTTTTTTCTTGGATTTGTTCTGCTAATATATTTTGTTTGTGTTCTTGACAAGCATGTTTGTGAGTGAGATTGGTCTGTAAGTGTGTTGTCTTGGTTTGATTTTGATATAAAGATTATACTTGCCTTAAACATGAGTATGGGAGTATTTTCTCTTTATTTGTTCTCAGGAAGAGTTTGTATAATATGGAAGTACAGTTGACACTTGAACAATGTGGGGGTTAGGGCTTCTGACTCTTGCACAGTCGAAAATCCATGTGTAATTTTTTATTCCCCCAAACTTAACTACTAATAGCCTACTATTGACCAGAAGCTTCACTGATAACATAAACAGTCAATTAACACATACTTTTTATGTTATACATATTATATACTGTATTCTTATGTGAAGATGAGTAGGCTGAGAAGGAGGAGGACTAGGAGGGGTTGACCTCACTGTCTCAGGAGTGGCAGAGGTGGAAGGGGTGGAGGAGGTGGAACGGGAGGCAGGAGAGGCAGGAACACTCGTTGTAACTACAGAAGAACATCATAATTTCTGTCTGTATTTTTTGCTTTATCATTTCTCTAAAAATGTTCCTATATGGTACCAATTATTCCACCATTTGCTTTAGTTTCAGTGCCCATATCATAGAAAAGTCCATATTGTAAAAGAAGTAAAAAAGCAGTCTTGAATAATCAGAACCCTTCTTCTGTATTGTCTAGTGTCAATTTCTTTATTATTATTATTATTATACTTTAAGTTTTAGGGTACATGTGCACAGCGTGCAGGTTTGTTACATATGTATACATGTGCCATGTTGGTGTGCTGCACCCATTAACTTGTCATTTAGTGTTAGGTATATCTCCTAATGCTATCCCTCCCCCCTCCCCCCACCCCACAACAGACCCCGGTGTGTGATGTTCCCCTTCCTACGTCCATGTGTTCTCATTGTTCAATTCCTACCTATGAGTGAGAACATGCGGTGTTTGGTTTTTTGTCCTTGCGATAGTTTGCTGAGAATGATAGTTTCCAGCTTCATCCATGTCCCTACAAAGGACATGAACTCATCATTTTTTATGGCTGCATAGTATTCCATGGTGTATATGTGCCACATTTTCTTAATCCAGTCTGTCATTGTTGGACATTTGGGTTGGTTCCAACTCTTTGCTATTGTGAATAGTGCCGCAATAAACATACGTGTGCATGTGTCTTTATAGCTGGCACTGCTTCATCTACATCTTCTTTCTCATAATCTGGCACTGGTTCGGAAGCACTCATCTCCATCAAGTCGTCATTTTAAAATTTTAAAATTCCTGTGGCATGGTATCTATTAGCTCTTGGACTTTTCCAATATTCCTATCTTGAAACCCTTCACCCTTCCACCTGCTTTTGCCATATGTGCAATCTACTTCATGATTAACTTAATTGGCTCTGTCATAAGTCTATGAAGTCATGTACAACATCTGGACACAGTTTTCTCCAACAGAAATTTATTGTTTGGGGCTTTATGGCTTTCATGCCTTGTTCTATAACAATGATGGCATCTTTTTTTTTTTTTGAAAAGGATTTTATTTTGAAGAATGTACAGGTTGAGTATTCCTTATCTGAAATGCTTGGGACTAGAAGCATTTCAGATTGTTTTTTTTGGAATATTTGCATTACATGCTTACCAGTTGAGCATCTTTAATCCCCAAATCCAAATTCCAAAATTCTCCAGTGAGTATTTCCTTTGAGCTCATGTCAGTGCTCAAAATGTTTCAGATTTTGGATTTTTGAATTTGGAATACTCAACTTGTATTAGCTTAGGTAAAAAAATGCTTAAGAAACACTAAGCCTGTCATTGTTGGACATTTGGGCTGGTTCCACGTCCTTGCTATTGTGAATAGTGCCACAATAAACATACGTGTGCATGTGTCTTTATAGCAGCATGATTTATAATCCTTTGGGTATATACCCAGTAATGGGATGGCTGAGTCAAATGGCATTTCTAGTTCTAGATCCCTGAGGAATCGCCACACTGACTTCCACAATGGTTGAACTAGTTTACAATCCCACCAACAGTGTAAAAGCGTTCCTATTTCTCCACATCCTCTCCAGCACCTGTTGTTTCCTGACTTTTTAATGATCGCCATTCTAACTAGTGTGAGATGGTATCTCATTGTGGTTTTGATTTGCATTTCTCTGATGGCCAGTGATGATGAGCATTTTTTCATGTGTACTATGCAGCCATAAAAAATGATGAGTTCATGTCCTTTGTAGGGACATGGATGAAGCTGGAAACCATCATTCTCAGCAAACTATCGCAAGGACAAAAAACCAAACACTGCATGTTCTCACTCATAGGTGGGAATTGAACAATGAGAACACATGGACACAGGAAGGGGAACATCACACACTGGGGACTGTTGTGGGGTGGGGGGAGGGGGGAGGGATAGCATTAGGAGATATACCTAACGCTAAATGACGAGTTAATGGGTGCAGCACGCCAACATGGCACATGTATACATATGTAACAAACCTGCACATTATGCACATGTACCCTAAAACTTAAAGTATAATAATAATAGAATTTAAAAAAAAAGAAACACTGAGCCTATTTCAATGAGTTCGTATACTTAGAAGAAATGTATTCCTGAGTATAGTCACTGTCAGGAATTATGGAAACTACAGAAAACATAAGAGGCGCCAAAAGATTGGGGAACTGACAAACATATATTTTGAAGAGTAAATTCTGAGAAGTTGGACAACAACCCTTGAAAGTATTAGATAATGTTAGCATTTAGGGGACAGTGTATTGGGCAACTGACTGAGGTTCCTAAGAATAAGTCATGTCAAAATAGCCTCATTTCTTTCTTTTGATACACATGGGGGAATTCTTTAATGTTGTAATCCTTCCAGACTTTCATGATGTTCTCTTTATTGGGGTTCTCTTTCATAGCATTGACAATTCTTTCTATAGAGTACTGGGTGTAATGAGCCTTAAAGGCCCTTATGACCCTCTGATCTAGGGACTGAATTAGAGACATTGTATTTGGAGGCAAGTAGACCCCTTAAACGCCTTTGGTGTTGAACTCATGGGGGTTCTGGGTGTCCAGGGACATTGTCCAATATCAAAAGAACTTTAAAAGTCAGTATCTTACTGATAAGGTACTTTCTGACTGCAAGGACAAAGCATCAATGGCACCAATCCAGAAAAAGGTTTCTTGTTGTCCAGGCTTTGTTGTACAATCAAAATACTGACAACTGGTGTTTATCTTTTCCCTTCAAAGCTCGGAGATTAGCAGTTTTATAGATAAGGAAAATCCTGATCATAAACCTGACTGCATTTGCACAAAGCGGTAGAGTTAGCCTATCCATTCCTGCCTTAAATCTTGATATTCACTTCTCTTCCTTACTAATAAATGTCCTTCATGGTATCTTTCTTTCAGTATAGGGCACATTTATTAACATTAAAACCTTGTTCATATAGATAGCCTTTCTCTTGGGTGATTTTCTTAATGGTATCTCAGAAATCATCTGCTGCCTCTTAGTCAGTAGAAGCTGCTTCTCTTAACATTTTTAATGCCAAACCTCTGTCTGAAATTGTCAAACCATCCTTTGCTGGCATTAAATTTTCCAGCTTTAGATCCTTCACCTTTTCGTTTGCCTTATCTTGTCATATAATCACTTCAGTTTTCCTCAAATCATATTAGAATCTATAGGTATGCCTTTCTCATAGAAATCCTGTACCCATATAAAAACTACATTTTCAAAATGAGATAAAAAGGTATTTCACAAAAGGTACAAGGTTTTTGTGCCTGCTGGCATAGCTGCAGCCACAGCTTCATGAATTTTCTTTATTTACAATGGTCCTTAACTGGGTTTATTTATCTTGAAATGGTGGACAACCACAGTTGCAGACCTCAATCTACATACAGTACATATCAAGTAACTAAACATTTCCTTGTAATGTCATGACTTTTCTCTGCTTCTTGGAAGCACTTCCAACATCACAAGTGGCACTTTGTATGGATCCCATGATGTTTAAGGTTTATGGCATTGCACTAAATACAATGAAAAATATGTGAGAATCATGAGAGATCACTTCTTACTATGATATGCAATTTACTGCAGACATGAACTGCTCTTGTGGAGATGATTAGCATCACACAGCTTTTTAGGTGGATACTCATAATACCTAAGCCCACCCACAATGGCAACAAGAGGTGTCTATGAAATTATTATAGTAGTATAACTACAGTAAATTTTATGCAGTTATGATTTAATACTGCATCTTTATATTTGTTTACATTTATCTTGACCGTGAATGGCATCATGTACAGTCTGTGTTTGTAAATTTTGACAAATTTTAACTTTTTATAACATATTTGTATATATTTTGTGGTAGTAAATGATAAAATGGACTAGCATCTAAATATATTTTATGCATTCGTGACATACCCTTTTCTTAAATTTTTATATTTCTAGGCCACATGGTTTGTAAGTTTTTGTAGATTGTTGCAAATTTCAAAAAATTTTTCAAATATGTTGAAAAAATTCTGTGTATAAGTGGACCCATGCAGTTCAAACCATGTTGCTCAAGAGTCAGCTGTACTATAGATTTTTCACTTTGTTGTTATCATAAGGCTTACATAAAACATCTTATAATAGGTGAATTTAAGCTGATAAGAACTTAACTTTTATCACATATAGCTCTACACTTTTATTCCCCTGAACACACACATTTTGGTTTTGGTGTCAAAATTTACAGCATTTTGTAATTTATATCCCTTGATAATTTATTTTAATTATAGTTATTTTTCATAGTTTTGACTTTTAGCCATTGTACTTGAGGTAAAATTGCTTTACACACCATCATTATACTCCTATTCTATATGTAACTGTATTACTTATACCATTAAGTTTTGCATTTTCATATGTTTTATGTTATTAATTAGTGGCCTTCTGTTTTAGCTTAAATAACTCCCTTTAGTAATTCCTGCAGGGCAGGCCTAGTGGTGATGAACTCTCTTAGCTTTTGTTTGTCTGAGAAAGCTTTTCCTTCTCCCTCATTTTTTTCTTTTTTTTAAAAATTGCTTCCTCATTTTTGAAGGACAGATTTGCCAGTTAAAGTAATCTTGGTTGCTGGGTTTCCCCCTCCCCACTTTGGCACTTTGAATTTATCATCCCATTTTCTCCTGACCTGCAGAGTTTCTGCTAAAACATCTGATATGCTGATAGCCATATTGATATTCCCTTGTATGTGATGTGTTTCTTATATCTTGATGCTTTCAGAACTTTTTATTTGTCTTCGAATTTTGACAGTTTGATTATTGTGTCTTGGTGAGCTCCTCTTTGGGTTTAATTTGATTGCAGGTCTGTATGCTTCCTTTGCCAGACTTTTGGCATCTTCCCCCAGATTTGGAAAGGTTTTAGCCATTATTTCCTTAAATAGCCTTTCTGGCTCTTTTCCTCTCTGTTCTTCTTCATGTATTATTATTATGCAAATGTTAAGTCTCTTGATGGTGTTCCATAATTCTCATAGGCTTTCTGCATTCTTTTTTCTTTTTGCTCTCTGACTGCATTATTTCAAATGTTCTGTCTTTGAGCTCACTGATTGTTTTTTTTTTCTTGGATTTATAGAGCCTGCTGCTGATATATTCTATTGAAATTTTCAGTTCATTCATTGAGTTCTTCATCTCTAAGATTTTTATTTTTAAAAAATTGTTTCTATTTCTTCGTCAGCCTTCTTATTTTGTTCATGTATTGTTTTCCAAATTTCATTTAATTTTTTATCCATATATTATTGTAGTTCACTGAACTTTTTAAAGAGGATTATTCTGAATTCTTTGTCAGTCATTATATAGATCTCCATTTCTGTAGGACCCATTGTTGGAGTTTTATTAGTTTCTTTTGGAGATGTAATGATTCCTTGATTCTTCTTAATTCTTGTTTCTTTATGTTGGTGTCTTTACATTTGAGGAGGCAACCACCTCTTCCAACCTTTACAGGAGTTCTTTGGCAGGGATGGACCTTCACTATTGTCTAGCCTGTGATACTGGACGGGGCCATCTGGTAACAAGCCTGGGAAGTCAGAGCTTGCTGTTGTATTTTCTAGCTTGGTGGGCTGCTGCCTTTGCTCTGAGGTCATATGAGGCTGCTGGCTGGGCTTCAATATCTTATGGCATCACTGGCTGAGCTCTGAAATCAGGCAGAGTTGTTGGCTGGGCTTTACAATCACCTCTGATCAGGCTGGATCACAGGGTGTATTCCTTGGCTGGGCATTACCACCATTTGATTTCTGTGGTTGGGCCAGGGGTGCAGGCTGGTCTCCAAGATTAGGCAGAGTTGCTGCTTGGGATGGTTGGGAGTATCTTCTATGCTCAGTAGAAATGCATAGTTGAGGTTTGCCTCCCTGTCTGGGTGGGGTTTTCAGATGGGGTTTGTGGCTGAGCCAAGCTGCTGTTTGTTCTCCCAGATGGGGGCAGGCCTAGCCCCTGTGCTTTGCCAAAATGTGCTGTGATGGGCAACTCTCTCCCTGGAAGGGGCCTTGGGGAGTCTGAGGCTGGGCATGGAGGCTGGCCATCCTAGAGACTTAAGCCAGATTGAACTTCCCACTGTGCTTCTGGGAGCAATCAGCTCTACTTTGTGGGTGGGCTATGCCATTGGCTGGTACATCTGACAGGGCACCACTGCTAGCAGGAGCCCAGAGCTATCACCAAGATTCACACACTGGTGGTTATGAGCTCTGCCTCCTTTCTTTGTTTCTACTTGACCCAAGGCAGTCTAGCTGTGTCATTATTCTTTCTGTTCCCCATGAGGTGAGACTAGAGTGGGCTTCCTGGGGAGCATCTTGGAATGCTAGAAATCTAGTTGTCTGCCTCTGGTTCTCTTTTCCCACTGTAGAAACTGTAAGCCCAGGAGAACTGTCTCTGTATGGCACTGTGCCAACTTAGGGGAGTAGGAGATGCCTTGAAGTCAAAGTGGGATCATTCCTCTTATCCTTCTAATGGGTTTTTATTTAGTTCTGTGGTCCACATGGGTGTCTCAGGCTTTTCCCAAGTTTTGGGGTTTTCACAAAGATGTTTTGGTCTGTTGATAGTTGCTAGTTGCACTTTCTATGGAGAGAAGTAAAGCCTGGAATCTCCTATTTTGACATCTTGCTAATAACAGTACATTGTTATCAAATATAGTCACCATGTGTCTTGAACTCCTTTCTCCTGTCAAATTGAAATTGTTTATCATTTGACCAACATCTCCCCAGTCCCCTCCCCTGCACCCAGCCCCTCAGAAGCACCAGTTTATTCTCTGCTTCTATGAGTTCAAGTTATTTAGTTTACACATATAAGTCAGATAAGGTGGTATTTGTCATTTTGTGCCTGGCTTAGTTCCCTTAACATAACATCCTCCAGGTTCATCCATGTTGTTGCAAATGACAAGATTTTCCTCTTTCTTAAGGCTGAATAGTATCCCATTGTGTATACATACCACATTTTCTTTACACTTTCACCTATTGATGGATACTTAGGTTGATTTCATATCTTGATTATAGTAAATAGTGTTGCAGTGAGCATGGGGGTGCAGATGTCTCTTCAACAGACTGATTTTATATGTTTTGGCTATACCAGTAAGTGAGATTGCTGGATCAAATGGTAATTCCATTTTTAATTTTTTTAGGAACCATTACAATGTTTTCCATAATGGCTATCCTAATTGACATTCCCACCAAAAGTGTACAAGGGTTCCCTTTTCTCCACATCCTTACCACACTTGTTATCTTTAGTCTTTTTGATAATAGCCATTCTAATAGGTGTGAAGTGTTCCATAAATTTTGGTATATTAGTTTTATTTTCATTCAGTTCAAAAAAAATTTCCCCTTGGTTTCTTCTTTAGCTCATGGATTATTTATATGTTTTTCTTAATTTTTAAATATTTGTGGATTTCCCAAATTTCTTTCTACTATTGATTCTAATTTAATTCCATTGTGATTAGAGAACATGCTTTATGATTTCAGTCTTTTAAATTTATGGGGAATTATTTTATGACCTTGCATATTGTCTTTTCTGTATAAAGTTACATGTGTGCTTAAAAGAATGTGCGTTTTGGAGTGAAGTGTTCTATTGATGTCAGGTAGTCCATAAGTATATAGTGTTGTCTAAGTCTTTTATTTCTTCACTGATTTTCTTTTTGTTATATCCATTATTAAGAGTGGGATTTTGAGGTTTTCATCTATTATTGTTGCATTATTTCTTTCTTTCTTTAATTCTATCAGTTTCTTTCTTCTTCATGTACCATGGGGCTCTATTTGTTAGATGCATGTATCATTTTACTTTTCACATTTCCCTGAGGAATTGAATTACTGAATTATAAAATTTTTCTCTTTTAAAAAGTCTATTTAGTATAATAACAGTGTAGTCACTCTAGCTCTCTTTAAGGCTTACCTGGTATATCTTTCCCCATCCTTTCCCTTTAGCTTGTTTCTTTGACTGTAAAGCGTGTCTCTCATAGTATAGTTAGATATATATTTTTTCATCTAGTGTTTAAAATCCAGCCTGATAGTTTCTCCCTTTTGATTTGAATGTTTAATTATTTTATACTTAATGTAACTGTTTACATTTAGTCTGTTTCAATTTCTGCCTGCCAGTTTACTATTTTTCATCTACATATACCCTGTCTTTTTGTTCCTCTGTTCTTCCTGCTCTAGTTTTTTGTGTTAAATAGCTATATTCTAATATACTGTTATAATTAATTTTTGATGTCTTTATCATATACATGTATATTTTTAATTATTTTCCTACTGGTTTCTCTAGGGTTTATAATGTGCATCTTATTTTACCACAGTTTACAGAAGATTAATGCTGACTTCATTTCAGTAGCACGTAGAAACTTCAGAAGAGCTCCATTTTCTACCTTCTTTTATGTTATTAAAGTAATGTATATTATGTCTATATGTGATATAAACCCCCAAATACAGTTATAATTATGAATTTGTAAAATTATGTTTTTAAAGAAGAGATGGAAGAAAGGAGAAAATACATTTATAAAGTCTTTTAGATTAATTTATATATTTATCATTTATGGTTGTCTTCAATTCTTTCTGAGGATGCATGTTATCAATGGCATCATTTTCTTGCTCCAATATAGGTCTATTTTATCCACACATATTTTGGTAAGTATGATGTATCTTGTAGCTTTATATGTTGTAAGACCAACCATACACTTTCATAAATTATTGTTTTATACAATTGTCTTTTAGATCAGTTAAGCAAAGGAAACAGAAGTACATGTGTATGTACACGTATGTACCATGTTTTATATTTACCCATGTAATAATCTTTACCTTTATTACTTTGTGATTATTTTATTACCATCTGGTGTCATTTCCTTTCAGCCCAAGGAACTTTCTTTAGTATTTTTGTACAGGAGTTCTACTAGTAATAAATTCTCTCAATTTTTATCCATTTGGGAATGTCTTTATATTACCTTCATTTGAAGTACAGTCTTGCTGCAAATAGAATTTTCGGTTGACATTTTCTTCTTTTTCTTACCGATACAAAATATTTTACATATTTTTGGGGTGCATATGAGTATTTGTTACATGCATAGGATGGATAAAGATCAAGTCAGGGTATTTGGGGTATCCATCACCTTGAATATTTATCATTTCTATGTGTTGGTAACATTTCAAGTCCTCTCTTTTAGCTACTTTGGAATATATAATACATTGTTGCTAACTGTAGTCACTCTGGTATAGATTATTGGAACTTATTTATTCTATTCAACTGTATGTTGGTACCCACTAACCAATCTTTCTATATCACTTCTCCCATCCACACATCCTTCTCGACCTCTAATATCTATCATTCTGGTCTCTATCTTCATGAAATCAGTGATTTTACCTTTCATAAATTAGTGAGAACATGCAGTATCTGTCTTTCTGTTCCTGGCTTATTTCACTTAACTCCAGTTCCATCCATGTTGCTGCAAATGACATGATTTCATTGTTTTTTTGTTTGTTTGTTTGAGAGAGTCTCACTCTGTCACCCAGGCTGGAGTGCAGTGGTGTGATCTTGGCTCACTGCAACCTCCGCCTCCCGGGTTCAAGCAATTCTCCTGCCTTAGCCTCCCGAGAGTAGCTGGAATTATAGGTGTCCACCACCACACCCAGCTAATTTTTGTATTTTTAGTAGAGACAGGGTTTCTCCATGTTGGCCAGGCAGGTCTCAAACTCCTGACCTCAGGTGATCTCCCCTCCTCGGCCTCCCAAAGTGCTGGGATTACAGGCGTGAGCCACCACACCCAGCCGATTTCATTCTTTTTTATGGTGAATAGTATTCCATTATGTATATATACCAAATTTTTCTTTATCTATTCTTCAATAGACACTTAGGTTTATTCTATATCTTTGCTATTATGAATAGTGCTGTTATAAACATGTAAGTGCAGGTATTCTTTTGATATACAGATTTTGTTTCCTTTAGATAAATACCCAGTACTATTATAGGATTGCTAGATCATATGGTAATTCTATTTTTAGTTTTTTGAAACATCCTCCATACTGTTTCCATAGTTGTGCTAATTTACATTCCACCAGCAGATGAGAGTTCCCTTTTATCCACATCCTCATCAACATTTGTTCATTTGTTGTTTTTTAAATAATAGGCTTCCTAGCTGGGGTATGATTATATCTCATTGTGGTTTTAATTTGCATTTCCCTGATGATTAGGGATGTTGAGCATTTTTTTCCTACAGCTGATGGCAATTTGTATGTATTTTAAAAAGAAATGTCTATTCATATCCTTTGTTCACTTTTTAACGGGATTTTTTTTTTTATTGTTGAGTTCTTTGAGTTCCTTCTAGATTCTGGATATTAGTCCCTTGTTGGATGAATAATTTGCAAATATTTTCTCCCATTCAATGGGTTGTCTCTTCACTCTGTTGATTGTTTCTTTTGCTGTACAAAAGCTCTTTAGTTTAATAAAGTCTCATTTGTATGTTTTTATTATAATTGTGCCTTTGATGTCTTAGCCATGAAATCTTTACCTAGACCAATGTTTTCTCTGTGTTTTGTTCTACTGCTTAAACGGTTTGGGTCATGCTTAAGACTTTAATCCTTCTTGACTTAATTTTTTATATGGAGAGAGAAAGAGGTCCAGTTTTATTCTTCTGCATACAGGTCTCCCATTTTCTCAGAATCATCTATTGAAGAGGGTTTCCTTTCACCAGTATATGTTCTTGGTATCTTTGTCAAAAATCAGTTGGATATAAGTACATGGATTTATTTCTAGACTCTCTATTCTGTTCCATTTGTCTATGTGTCATCTGTTTTTATACCAATGCCATGCTGTTTTAGACACTATAGCCTTGTAATATAATTTGAAGTCAGGTAATGTGATGCCTCCATCTTTGTTCTTTTTGCTTAGTATTGCTTTGGCTACTCGGGCTCTGTTTTAGTTCCATACAAATTTTAAGATTGTTTTCACTAATTCTGTGTAAAATAACATTGGTTCTTAGATAGGGATCACATTGAATCTGTAGATTGGTTTGGGTAATTTGGTCATTTTAATAATATTAATTATTCCAATACTTAAGCATGGGATGTTTTCCAGTTGTTCTGTTCTCTTAAATTTCTTTTGTCAGTATTTTTTAGTTTTTCTGTAAAGATTTTTCACCTCGATTAAATTTATTCCCAAGTATTTTATTTTTTGTAGCTATTGTCAATGGGATTGCCTGCTTTCTTTCTTGGCTAGATCATTGTTGGCATATATAAACACTACTGATTTTTGTATGTTGACTTTGTATCCTAAAATGTTACTTTATTTATCAAATGTAGGAGTTTTTTAGTAGAGTCTCTAGATTTTTTTAGATATAAGATCATATCATCAGCAAAGAGAGTGACTTGACTTCCTTGTTTCCAATTTGGATGCGTTTTATTTCTTTCTCTTGCTTGGTTGCTCTGGCTAGCACTTCCAGTATTATGTTGAACAGGAGTGGTGAAAGTGGGCATCCTTGTCTTTTTCCATTTCTTAGAGGTAAGGCTTTTAGCTTTTTTCCATTTGGTATGATGTTAACTGTGGGTTTGTTATATATGACCTTTATGTTTTTGAGGTATATTCCTTCTATACTAGTTTGTTGAGAGTTTTTATCATGAAAGGACGTTGAATTTTATCAAATTCTTTTTCTGCATCTATTAAGATGACCATATAATTTTTGTCCTTCATTCTGTTGATGGGTTGTAGCACATATATTGGTTTACATATGTTGAACCATCCTTCCATCCCTGGGATAAATCTCACTTGATTGTGGTGTATTATCTTTTTGATGTGCTGTTGGATTTTGTTTGCTAGTATTTTGTTGAGGATTTTTGCATCTGTGTTCATCAGGAATATCAGCCTTTACTTTTCTTTTTCTGTTGTGTCTTTGCCAGATTTTGGTATGAAGGTAATTCTGGCCTCATTAAATGAGTTAGGGATAGTTCTCTCTTCTTCAATTTTTTAGAATAGTTTCAGGAGGGTTAATATTAGTTGTTCTTTATACACTTGATAGAATTCATCTGTGAATCCATCTGGTCCTGAGCTTTCTTCTTTGGGAGACTGTTTATTACTGGTTCAATCTCACTACTTGTTATTGATCTGTTCAGCTTTTCTATTTCCTCCTGACTCAACTTTGACACATTGTGTATGTCAAGGGATTTATCCATTTCCCGTAGGTTTTCCACTTTGTTAGTGTATAGATGTTCATAATAGTCTCTGATGATCTTTTGTATTTCTGTTTGGTATCAGTTGTAATATCTCCTTTTTCATTTCTAATTTTGTTTATTTGGGTCTTCTCTCTTTTTTGATTTGCTTAGTGAGTTGTTTATAAAACTTGTTTATCTTTTCAAAAAACCAAATTTTCATTTTGTTGATCTTTGTATTTTTTGAGTCTCTATTTTGTTTAATTCTGCTCTTATCTTTATTATTTTTTCTCTTTCTGCTAATTTTGGGTTTTGTTCATATTTTTCTAGTTCCTTCAAGTGCGTTGTTATGTTGCTTATTTGAAATATTTGTACTTTCTTCATGTAGCCATTTATTGCTATAAACTTTCCTCTGAGCACTGCTTTTGCTGTACCCTGTACTTTTGCGTATGTGTTGTTTTCATTTTCACTTGTTTCAGGAAATTTTTTGCTCTCCCTAATTTATTTCTTGACTCAATGCCATCTAGGAGCTTTTTGTTTAATAACCATGGATTTTTTTTTTTTTTTTGAGACGGAGCTTTGCTCTTGTTGCCCAGGCTGGAGTGCAATGGCATGATCTCACTCACTGCAACCTCTGCCTCCCAGGTTCAAGCAATTCTCCTGCCTCAGGCTCCCGAGTAGCTGGGATTACAGGCATGCACCACCATGCTTGGCTAATTTTTTTGTATTTTTAGTAGAGACGGGGTTTCTCCATGTTGGTCAGGCTGGTCTTGAACTCACAACCTCAGGTGATCCGCCCGCCTCGGCCTCCCCAAAGTGCTGGGATTAAAGGCATGAGCCACCGTGCCTGGCCCAATAACGATGGATTTTTACAGTTTCTAAAGTTCTTCTTGCTATTGATTTCTAATTTTATTCCATTTTGGTCTGAAATACTTGATATGACTTCAGTTTTTAAAAAGTTGTTGAGACTTGTTTTGTAGCCAGCATATGGTCTATCCTGAAGAGTGTCTCATGTGCCTGTGGGAAGAATGTGCATTCTGTAATTGTTGGATGAAATTTTCTTTAATATCTGTTAGGTCCATTTGGTCTAAGGATCAGTTTACCAGTTTAAATCCAATGTTTCTGTGTTGATTTTCTGTCTAGATGATCTGTCTAATGCTGAGAGTGGGCTGTTAAAGTTCCCCATTATTATTGTGTTGGAATCTTTCTCTCCCTTTATATCTAGCAATATTTGCTTTACAAATCTGTGTGCTCCAGGATTGAGTGCATATATGTACTCCAAACATACAAAACATTTTGTTTATTTTCATGGAGCACACAGATTCATAAAGCATATATATATGTGTGTGTGTGTGTGTGTGTGTGTGTGTGTGTGTGTTTGTGTGTGTGTATAATTTATATCCTCTTGCTTGATTAATTTACCATTATGTAATGACCTTGTCTTTTTACTGTTTTTCACCTAAAGTCTGTTTTATCTAAGTATAGCTACTCCTGTTTACTTTTAGTTTCCATTTGCATGTAATGTCTTCATTATCCCCCTTTGTCTATATGTATCCTTGCAGGTAAAGTGCTCTTCTTGGAGGCAGCATACAGTTGGACCATGTTTTTAAAATCCATTCAGCCAGTCTATATGTTTAAGTGGAGAATTTAGTCCATTTGCATTCAGGGTTATCACTGCTATGTGAGGTTTTGTTCTTATCATATTGTTAATTGTTTTCTGGTTGTTTTGTATATTTTTTGTTCCTTTTGTTTTCTCTTATTGTTTGTTATTTTGGTGTGGTGATTTTCTGTAGTGGTATCATTTGAGTCCATTCTCTTCCTCATTTGTGTGTAGGGTTTACTAGTGGGTTTTATACTTTTGTTTGTTTTCATGGTGGTAAATACTGTCATTTTGCTTTCAGGTTTAAGACTCGAGCATTTCTTGTAGGACTCATCTAGTGGTGAAAATTCTCTCAGCATTTGCTTCTCTGAAAAAGACTTCATTTATGAGGGAAATCATAAATTTCCCTTCATTTATGAGTGAAAACGTTGCTGGGGATAGTATCCTTGGCTGGCAGTTTTTTTTTCTTTCAGGACATTGAATACATCATCTCATTCTTTCCTGTCCTGTAAGACTTCTGCTGAGAAATCTGCTGTTAGTCTGATGAGAGTTCTTTTATTGGTGGCTAGACATTTTTCTCTTGCTATTTTTAGAATCCTGTTTTATCTTTGACTTTAGAGAGACTGACTATAATGTGGTGGGGAGAAAACCTTTATGCATTGTATTTCTGGGGATGTTTGAGCCCCATATAGACATATGGATGTCGAAGTCTCTTGCTAGACTTGGGAATTTTTCACCTATTATTTCATTAAATAGGATTCCATCATTTTGTTCTCTCTTCAGCCTTGAGAACACTGATAATTCAAAGATTTGATCACTTTATGGTATCCCAAATGTCATGAAGGTTTTGCTCATTCTATTTAATTCTTTTTTATTTATTTTTTTTTCTGACTGGATTATTTCAAAAGACCTGTCTTCAAGTTCTGAAATTCTTTCTTCTGCTTGACCTAATCTATTGTTGTAACTTTCAAATGTATTTTATATTTTATTCAATGAATTCTTCAGTTTCAGAATTTTTGTTGGGTTCTTTTTTAAAAAAATATCTATTTGAAAAATTTCTAATTCATATCTTGAATTGTTTTTCTGATTTATTTTTGTTTTTCAGATTTCTCATTTATCTTGCTGAGCTTCTTTAAAATTTGTATTTTCAATTTGTTATCTGGGATTTTGTGAATATCTTTTTGATTGGGATCTGTTGCTGGAAAGTCATTGTGAATTTTTTTCTTTTCCTCTTTTTATTTGTATAAATATATGAGGTACAAGTGTAGTTTTGTTATGTGGATATATTGCCTAGTAATGAAGTCTGGGATTTTAGGGTAACCATCACCTGAATAATGTGCATTGTACTCATTAAATAATTTCTCATCCCTCACTCCCCTCCTACCCTTCCAAGTCTCTGATATTTATCATTCCTCACTCTATGTCCATGTGTGCACATTACTTAGTTCCCACTTATAAGTGAGAACATGTGGCATTTTCTTTTCTGTTTCTCTGTTGTTTCACTTAAGATAATGGCATTCAGTTACATCCATGTTGCTGCAAAAGACAATTTTATTATTTTTTATGGCTGAATAGTATTCCATTTTGCATATGTACTACATTTTATTTAGTCATCCATTAACGGACATTCAGGTTAATTCCATACCTTTGCCTTTGTGAATAGTGCTTGATATGGTTTGGCTGTGTCCACACCCAAATCTCATCTTGAATTCCTACATGTTGTGGGAGGGTGGGAGGGACCTGGTGGGAGGTAACTGAATCATGGGGGTGGGTCTTTCCCATGCTGTTCTCATGATAGTGAATAAGTCTCACGAGAGCTGATGGTTTTATTTATTTTATTTTTTTGATGGTCTTTCTTCTTTTCTTTTTTTTTATTATACTTTAAGTTCTAGGGTACATGTGCACAACGTGCATGTTTGTTACATATGTATACATGTGCCATGTTGGTGTGCTGCGCCCATTAACTCATCATTTACATTAGGTATATCTCCTAATACTATCCCTCCCCCATCCCCCAACCCCACGACAGGCCCCAGTGTGTGATGTTCCCCACCCTGTGTCCAAGTGTTCTCATTGTTCAGTTCCCACCTATGAGTGAGAACATGTGGTGTTTGGTTTTCTGTCCTTGCAATAGTTTGCTCAGAATGATGGTTTCCAGCTTCATCCAGGTCCCTACAAAGGACATGAACTCATCATTTTTTATGGCTGCATAGTATTCCATGGTGTATATGTGCCAAATTTTCTTAATCCAGTCTATCATTGATGGACATTTGGGTTGGTTCCAAGTCTTTGCTATTGTGAATAGTTTCGCAATAAACATACATGTGCATGTGTCTTTATAGCAGCATGATTTATAATCCTTTGGGTATATACCCAGTAATGGGATGGCTGGGTCAAATGGTATTTCTAGTTCTAGATCCTTGAGGAATCGCCACACTGTCTTCCACAATGGTTGAACTAGCTTACAGTCCCACCAACAATGTAAAACTGTTCCTATTTCTCTGCATCCTCTCCAGCACCTGTTGTTTCCTGACTTTTTAATGATCGCCATTCTAACTGGTGTGAAATGGTATCTCATTGTGGTTTTGATTTGCATTTCTCTGATGGCCAGTGATGATGAGCATTTTTTCATGTGTCTGTTGGCTGCATAGATGTCTTCTTTTGAGAAGTGTCTTCATATCTGTTGCCCAATTTTTGATGGAGTTGTTTGATTTTTTCTTGTAAATTTGTTTAAGTTCTTTGTAGATACTGGATATTAGCCCTTTTTCAGATGGGTAGATTGCAAAAATTTTCTCCCATTCTGTAGGTTGTCTGTTCACTCTGATGGTAGTTTCTTTTGCTGTGCAGAAGCTCTTTAGTTTAATTAGATCCATTTGTCAGTTTTGGCTTTTGTTGCCATTGCTTTTGGTGTTTTAGTCATGAAGTCCTTGCCCATGCCTATGTCCTGAATGGTATTGCCTAGGTTTTCTTCTAGGGTTTTTGTGGTTTCAGGTCTAACATTTAAGTCTTTAATCCATCTTGAATTAATTTTTGTATAAGGTGTAAGGAAGGGATCCAGTTTCAGCTTTCTCCATATGGCTAGCCAGTTTTCCAAGCACCATTTATTAAATAGGGAATCCTTGCCCCATTTCTTGTATTTGTCACGTTTGTCAAAGATCAGATGGTTGTAGATGTGTGGTATTATTTCTGAGGGCTCTGTTCTGTTCCCTTGGTCTATATCTCTGTTTTGGTACCAGTACCATGCTGTTTTGGTTACTGTAGTCTTGTAGTATAGTTTGAAGTCAGGTAGCATGATGCCTCCAGCTTTGTTCTTTTTGCTTAGGATTGTATTGGCAATGCAGGCTCTATTTTGGTTCCATATGGACTTTAAAGTAGTTTTTTCAATTTCTGTGAAGAAAGTCATTGGTAGCTTGATGGGGATGGCATTGAATCTATAAATTACCTTGGGCAGTATGGCCATTTTCATGATATTCATTCTTCCTGTCCATGAGCATGGAATGTTCTTCCATTTGTTTGTGTCCTCTTTTATTTTATTGAGCAGTGGTTTGTAGTTCTCCTTGAAGAGGTCCTTCATATTCCTTGTAAGTTGGATTCCTAGGTATTTTATTCTCTTTGAAGCAATTATGAATGGGAGTTCACTCATGATTTGGCTCTCTGTTTGTCTGTAATTGGTGTATAGGAATGTTTGTGATTTTTGCACATTGATTTTGTATCCTGAGACTTTGCTGAAGTTGCTTATCAGCTTAAGGAGATTTGGGGCTGAGACAATGGGGTTTTCTAAATATACATCATGTTGTCTGCAAACAGGGACAATTTCACTTCCTCTTTTCCTAATCAAATACCTTTTATTTCTTTCTCCTGCCTGATTGCCCTGGCCAGAACTTCCAACACTATGTTGAATAGGAGTGGTGAGAGAGGGCATCCCTGTCTTGTGCCAGTTTTCAAAGGGAATGCTTCCAGTTTTTGCCCATTCAGTATGATATTGGCTGTGGGTTTGTCATAAATAGCTCTTATTATTTTGAGATACGTTCCATCACTACCTAGTTTATTGAGAGTTTTTAGCATGAAGGGCTGTTGAATTTTGTTGAAGGCCTTTTCTGCTTCTATTGAGATAATCATGTGGTTTTTGTCTTTGGTTCTGTTTAAATGATGGATTACATGTATTAATTTGCATATGTCGAACCAGCCTTGCATCCCAGGGATGAAGCCCACTTGATCATGGTGGATAAGCTTTTTGATGTGCTGATAGATTTGGTTTGCTAGTATTTTATTGAGGATTTTTGCATCGATGTTCATTAGGGATATTGGTCTAGAATTCTCTTTTTTTGTTGTGTCTCTGCCAGGCTTTGGTATCAGGATGATGCTTGCCTCATAAAATGAGTTAGGGAGGATTCCTTCTTTTTCTATTGATTGGAATAGTTTCAGAAGAAATGGTACCAGGAGAGCTGATGGTTTTATAAAGAGTAGTTTCCCTGCACAAGCCCTCTTCTCTTGTCTGCTGCCACATGAGATGTGTCTTTCACCTTCTGCTATCGTTGTGAGGCCTCCCCAGCCACGTGGAACTGTAAGTCCATTAAACCTATTTCTTTTGTAAATTGTTGAGTCTCAGGTATGTCTTTATCAGCAGTGTGAAAACGGACTAATATAGTGCTGCAATAAACATACAAGTACATGTATCCTTTTTATATAATGGCTTTTTTACTTTTGGGTAGATACCTATTAGTGGGATTGCTGGATCAAACGGTAGTTCTATTTTTACTTATTTGAGAAATCTCCATACTGTAGAGGTTATATTAATTTACATTCCCATCAACAGTGTATAAGCATTCCCTTTTAGCATCCTCACCAACATCTGTTTTTTTTTACTTTTTAGTAATAGCCATTCTGACTGGTGTAAGATGATATCTCATTGTGGTTTTAATTTTCATTTCTCCAGTGATTAGTGATGCTGAGCATTTTTTCATATGTCTATTGGTCATTTGTATGTCTTCTTTTGAAAAATGTCTATTTATGTTCTTCACCCACTTTTTAATGGAGTTATTTGTTTTCTTTGTTGTTGTTGAGTTGTTCATGTTCCTTGTGAATTTGAGTGCTGGCTGCTGAGAACTAGGTTCATGTTGGATGCATCGTTTGCAAATATTTTTCTCCCATTCTCCAGGTTGTCTGTGCACCTGGTTGATTAATTATTTTGCTGTATAAGAGCTTTTTAATGAAGTCCCATTTTTCTATTTTTTTTTTTTTGTTGCTTGCGATTTTGAGGTCTTAGTTGTGAATTCTTTGCCTAGACCAATATCCAGCAGTTTCCCTGGGTTTTCTGCCAGTATTTGTATAGTTTCTGGTTTTATATTGAAGTATTTACTCCATCTTAAGTTGATTTTTTTATGTGGTGAGAGATAGGAGTCCAGTTTCATTCCTCTGCATGTGGCAATCCAATTTTCCCAAGACCATTTATTGAAAATGATGTCCTATAAAGATGGGAACAATAGACAGACACTGGGGACTGCTAGAGGTGGGAGAGAAAGAGGGGGCTAAAGGCTGAGAAACTACCTATTGGGTACTATGTTCACTACCAGAGTGACAGATTTAGTCATACCCCAAACTTCAGCATTATGTAATATACCTTTGTAACAAACCTGCACGTGTAACCTCTAATTCTAAAACAAAAGTTGAAAAAGAAAAATAAAGGGTGTCTTTTCCCCATTGTGTGTTTTTGTCACCTTTGTCAAAGACCAGTTGGTTGTAGATATGTGGTTTTATTTCTGTGTTCTCTATTCTGTTCCATTGATTTGTGTGCCTGTTTTTATACCAGTACCATGCTGTTTGGTTCCTATAGCTTTGTAGTATAATTTGAAGTCAGGTAATGAGATACCTCCGTCTTTGTTCTTTTTGCTTAGGATTCCTTTGGCTATTCAGGCTCTTTTTTGTTTACATATGAATTTTATAATTTTTTTCTAATTCTGTGAAAAATGATGTGGGTACCTTGATAGGGATTGCAATTTAATCTGTAGGTTACTTTGAGCAGTATGGTCATTTTAACAATATTGATTCTTTTGACCCATGAGTATGGGATGTTTTTCCCCATTTTTGTCATGTACAATTTCTTTCACCAGTGTTTTGTAGTTTTCCTTGTAGAGATTCTTGGTTAAATATATTCCTTACTATTTTATTTTTTGTAGCTATTGTAAATGGGATTTCCTTCTTAATTTGTTTCTCAGCTGGATAATTACTGGCATATAGAAATGCTACTAATTTATGTATATTGATTTTGTTTCCTGAAAGTTTACTGAAATCAACTCTACAAGTTTTTTGGAGAAAGTCTTTAGGGTTTTCTAGGGCAAAGTTTTTCTGGGGCTGTGATGTGAAGTGTGCCAGTTTTGGGGCCCCAGTGGTGGCAGCAGTGGGCTGAGCTTGCCTGTCCTTGAACCCCAGAGCCATGTATTCTGGCTCTGGTGTTAACAGGTGAAGGCAGGCCAATTCTTGGGCCTCCGGGTGGCTTGTTCAGATGTCAGCAGTGACAATGTTTGGCCGGGTTTATGGGCAGGTTCTCAGGCCCCTGTGCAGTGGGCATGATGTGGGCAATGGCAATAGCATTGATGGGGCATCCTCCTACAACCTATGTGGTTGAAGCTCGTCTTTGCCGTGGCAGCAATGGGTTGGGTGGGCCAATCTCCTGGCACACAGGTGATATGTGTTGGTGTTTGCCAGCAGTGGTGGTATTGGTATGTTGGGTCAGCCCAACTTCAGACCCTGGGAAGAGTACTCAGGTTCCACTGGTATGGACTGGGCTGAGAGATCCCCAGGCCTCTGGATAGCATACTTGAGTACTGGGGGCATAGGACTGGGTTAGTGTACTTGCCCTCAGGGACCCTGGTTAGTGTATTCAGGCTATAGCTGTGATAGGCAGGGGCAGGGTTGTCTCCAGGCTGCCGGCAGGATATTCAGGTGGGGGCAGTGGTGGCTGCACTGTGGGCCTGCCATCTGGGAGGATGGGGCCATTGTCATTGTCAGCAGTGCAAGCAGGCACTTGTGGGGCACACAGCCTGCTCATACCTTGGTCCTACAGCCTACAGCAGCACTAGTACAACTTTTCCTTGGGGCATGTAAAAGTGCCAGGCCTCCCCCATCTCCCTCCTGGGCCTGATGGTGGCAGTGGCAGCATTAGCCCCAGGGCAGGATGCAGTTCTTTGGGGACTGGGCTCTCAATGGTAGCAGCTGTAGTCCTGTCACCATATAGGGTGGGACCACTATCAGTGGGAGCAACATAGGCAGGCACCTGTGTGTTACATGGTTTTCTTTCTCTTTCGTTTCACAGCAGCCTGCAGCAGCAGCAGGGATGGGATTCGTCCTCAGAGTGTGTGAAAGTGCCTGATCTCTTCTTTCCCTCCTTGGCCAGTGGTGGCAGCAGTGGCAGTGGCACCAGGGCTGGATGTGTTAAGGCAAAAACTGCAATTACTTTTGCACCAACCTAATAGTTCTTTGAGAGCTGGGCTGTTAGTATTATCTCCATGGAAGGGGCATATACTAGCTACATCTAATCAGCCACTATGAACCTGACTGGTGTGAGATGGTATCTCATTGTGGTTTTAATTTACATTTTTCTATTTTTTTTTTTTTTGAGACAGAGTCTCGCTTTGTTGCCCAGGTTGGAGCACCGTGGTGTGATCTCAGCTCACTGCAGTCTCTGCCTCCTTGGTTTAAGCAACTCTCATGCCTCAGCCTCCCTGAGTATCTGGGACTACAAGTGCACACCACCATGGCCAACTAATTTTTTTTATTTTTAGTAGAGATGGGGTTTCACCATATTGCCCAGCCTGGTCTCAAACTCCTGAGCTCAGGCAATCCACCCGCCTTGGCCTCCCAAAAGTGCTAGGATTACAGGTGTGAGCCAACTGCACCAGGCCTTAATTTACATTTTTCTAATGATTTGGTGATGTTTAGCACTTTTTTATGTGCTTGTTGGCCATGTGTATGTCTTCTTTTGAAAAGTATCTGTTCATGTGTTTTGCCCACTCTTTAATGGGGTTGTTTGGTTTTTGCTTGTTAATTTAAGTGCCTTATAGCTTCCAGATATTAGACCTTTGTCAGATGCATAGCTTGCAAATATTTGCCCCATTCTGTGTGTTGTCTATTTACTCTGTTGATAGTTTCTTTTGCTGTGCAAAAGCTCTTTAGTTTAATTAGGTCTCATTTGTCAATTTTTGTTGTCATTGCAATTGCTTTTGATATCTTCGTTATGAAATCTTTCACTGGGCCTGTGTCCAGAATGGTATTTCTTAGGTTATCTTCCAGGGGTTTTGTAGTTTTAGGCTTTACATTTATAAGTCTTGAAACCATCTTGAGTTGATTTTTGTATATGGTATAAGGAAGGGGTCCAGTTTTAATCTTCTGCATATGGCTAGCAGTTATCCCAGCACCATTTATTGAATAGGGAATCCTTTCTTCATTGCTTGCTTTTGTCAACTTCATTGAAGATCAGATGGTTATAGGTGCACAACTTTATTTCTGGGCTCTCCATTCTGTTCCATTGGTCTATATCTTTGTTTTTGTACCAGTACCATGCTCCTTTGCTTACAGTAGCCTTGTAGTGTAGTTTAAAGTCAAGTAATGTGATTCCTCCAGCTTTGATCTTTTTCCTTACGATTGTTTTGGCTAGTCAGGCTACTTTTTGGTTTCATATGAATTTTAGATTTTTTTTCTAATTATGTGAAGAATGTCATTGGTAGTTTGATAGGAATAGCATTGAATCTGTAAAATGCTTTGGGTAGTATGGCCATTTTAACAATATTGACTCTTCTTATCCATGAACATGGAATGTTTTCCCATTTGTTGGTGTCATCTATGATTTCTTTGAGCAGTGTTTTGTAATTCTCATTGTAGATATTTTTTACCTTCCTGGTTAGCTGTATTCCCAGGTATTTTATTCTTCTTGTGGCTGTTGTGAATGCGATTGCACTCTTGATGTGGCTCTCAGCTTAGATGTTGTTGGTGTATAGAAATGCTACTGATTTTTGTGCATTGAGTTTTGTATCCTGAAACTTTGCTGAAGTGCTGATTTTTTTTTAAATCAGATCTAGGAGGTTTTGGCAGAGACTATGGGGTTTTCTAGGTATAGAATTATATAATCTGCAAACAGAGATAGTTTGACTTCCTCTCTTCCTATTTGGATGCCTTTTATCTCTTACTCTTGCCTGACTGCTCTGGCCAAGACTCCCAGTACTATGTTGAATAGGAGTGGTGAAACTGGACATCCTTGTTTTGTTCTGGTTCTTAAGGGGAATGCTTCCAGCTTTTGCTCATTCAGTATGATGTTGGCTGTGGGTTTGTTATAGATGGCTGTTAACTATTTTGAGGCATCTTCCTCCAGTGCCTAATTTGTTTTAACATGAACAGATGCTGAATTTTATCAAAAGCCTTTTCTGCTTCTATTGAAATAATCATGTAGTTTTTGTTTTTAGTTCTGTTTATGTGATGAATCACATTTATTGATTTGCATATTTTGAACCAAACTTGCATCCCAGGGGTAAAGTCTATTTGATTGCGGTGGATTAGCTTTTTATTGTGCTGCTGGATTTGGTTTGCTCATTTTTTCTTTTGTTTCTTTGAAACTTGCTTATTTTCTTTGGCTTTCAACAGCCTATTGTGATTTTTCAGTATGTAGATTTCTTTGTGTTTATCATCCTTGGCGTTGAGATCCTTGGATGTGTAGATTAATATTTTTCATCAAGTTTGGGAAATTTCTGACAATTATATTTTCAAATATTTTGTCTGTCCCTTTTTGTCTCTCTGCTTTTTCTTGGACTCCAATGACTCATATGTTACGATATGCATTGAATTTTGTCCCTCCAAAATTCGTATGTTAAAGTCATAACCCTCTATATCTGAGAATGCAACCTTATTTGAAGATAAGGTCTTTACAGAGGTAATCAAATTAAAATGAAATTATTTAACTTATATTCTTATAAAAAGGGAAAATTTGGAGACAGATACATGCAGAGGGGAAATGATGTGAAGACAGGGAGAAGATGGCTATCCACAAGCCAAGGAAAGTGGTCTGGAACATATCTTTCCCTCATAGCCCTTAGAAGGAACCAACATTACCAACACATGGTCTCAGACTTCTGGCCTCCAGAACTGTGAGATAATATGTTTCTGATGGTTAAGCCACCCAGTTCGTGGCACTTTTTTATGGTAGTCTTAGTAAACTAATACAGGTTGTTGTGTTCGGTGCTATCCCACAGGTCTCTGTAGCTCTGTTCATTTTTCTTAAATTTTTTCTTTCTGTTCTACAGATCAAGTTATCTCTATTAATCTATCTTTAAGCTTGTTGATTCCTTCTTCTGTCAGAGCAATCTGTGTAGTCTCCCTAGTGAATTTTTCATTTCAGTTATTATACCCTTCAATTCCAGAGTTTCCATTTTTCTTTTTTTATAATTTCTGTCTCTTTGTTGATGTTCTGTGTGCTAAGTAATTGTTCTCCTAATTTCCTTTAATTCATTAAACATGGTTTATTTTGTTCTTTTGTTCTTTGAGTACATTTTTTGTCCTTGTCTGTTGCGTGCAACATCTGAGCCCCTAGAAATGGTTTTTGTTGACTGCTGTTTTCACCCCATGTATGGAATACACACTCATGTCTAATATTTTTTAAGGAAAACTGGACGTTTTAGACAATATTACCTCTGTATCAGCATAGCTTAGTGGTCAGTTAATGGTTGGTCAGAGATTGCAATTAAAATCTTTAACCAGTAAGGCTAAGTTTCTACCCTTTGAAAAGTGGATCTGCATGTGGGATGGGAAACAAATTCAAAGTTCAGGCTGTTTACAAGCCTGTCTCACTCTTACTTTCTGTGTGGACAAGGACTCATGTTCTCCCAGGGACAAGTGCATATCTAGGATCCACTCTGACCTTTCATAAGCAAGTGTGCAGTTTGTAAATATACGTAGTCTGCCAAACCCCCAGTGATATGTCAGAACTTTTCAAGGCCTACTTTGGCTGTCTCATTACCTGGATATCCCTGTTAAATTTCTTGCTGGCAGGCCTTCTGGCCTGTGGCTCTCTACAACCATTATGGAGGCTTTAGGCTAGCTGTCATATTGGCCTTCCTTGATTGCTTGCCACTGATTTTGCTATTGTTTTCAGCAATGCCACTGGATATGAGTTTCGTGTGTGTGTGTGCTCTGTTGTATTATTTTATTTTATTTTATTTTATTATTATTATACTTTAAGTTTTAGGGTACATGTGCACAATGTGCAGATTTGTTACATATGTATACATGTGCCATGCTGGTGTGCTGCACCCATTAACTCGTCATTTAGCATTAGTTATATCTCCTAATGCTATCCCTCCCCCCTCCCCCCACCCCACAACAGTCCCCAGAGTGTGATGTTCCCCTTCCTGTGTCCATGTGTTCTCATTGTTCAATTCCCACCTATGAGTGAGAATATGCAGTGTTTGGTTTTTTGTTCTTGTGATAGTTTACTGAGAATGATGATTTCCAATTTCATCCATGTCCCTACAAAGGACGTGAACTCATCATTTTTTATGGCTGCATGGTATTTCATTGTGTATATGTGCCACATTTTCTTAATCCAGTCTATCATTGTTGGACATTTGGGTTGGTTCCAAGTCTTCGCTATTGTGAATAGTGCCGCAATAAACATACGTGTGCATGGGTCCTTATAGCAGCATGATTTATAATCCTTTGGGTATATACCCAGTAATGGGATGGCTGGGTCAAATGGTATTTCTAGTTCTAGATCCCTGAGGAATCGCCACACTGACTTCCACAATGGTTGAACTAGTTTACAGTCCCACCAACGGTGTAAAAGTGTTCCTATTTCTCCACATCCTCTCCAGCACCTGTTGTTTCCTGACTTTTTAATGATTGCCATTCTACCTGGTGTGAGATGGTATCTCATTGTGGTTTTGATTTGCATTTCTCTGATGGCTAGTGATGGTGAGCATTTTTTCATGTGTCTGTTGGCTGCATAAATGTCTTCTTTTGAGAAGTGTCTGTTCATATCCTTCGCCCACTTTTTGATGGGGTTGTTTGTTTTTTTCTTGTAAATTTGTTTGAGTTCATTGTAGATTCTGGATATTAGCCCTTTGTCAGATGAGTAGGTTGTGAGAATTTTCTCCCATTTTGTAGGTTGTCTGTTCACTCTGATGGTAGTTTCTTTTGCTGTGCAGAAGCTCTTTAGTTTAGATCCCATTTGTCAATTTTGTCTTTTGTTGCCATTGCTTTTGGTGTTTTAGACATGAAGTCCGTGCCCATGCCTATGTCCTGAATGGTAATGCCTAGGTTTTCTTATAGGGTTTTTATGGTTTTAGGTCTAACGTTTAAGTCTTTAATCCATCTTGAATTAATTTTTGTATAAGGTGTAAGGAAGGGATCCAGTTTCAGCTTTCTACATATGGCTAGCCAGTTTTCCCAGCACCATTTATTAAATAGGGAATCCTTTCCCCATTGCTTGTTTTTCTCAGGTTTGTCAAAGATCAGATAGTTATAGATATGCGGCGTTATTTCTGAGGGCTGTGTTCTGTTCCATTGATCTATATCTCTGTTTTGGTACCAGTACCATGCTGTTTTGGTTACTGTAGCCTTGCGGTATAGTTTGAAGTCAGGTAGCGTGATGCCTCCAGCTTTGTTCTTTTGGCTTAGGATTGACTTGGCAATGCGGGCTCTTTTTTGGTTCCATATGAACTTTAAAGTAGTTTTTTCTAATTCTATGAAGAAAGTCATTGGTAGCTTGATGGGGATGGCATTGAATCTATAAATTACCTTGGGCAGTATGGCCATTTTCACGATATTGATTCTTCCTACCCATGAGCACGGAATGTTCTTCCATTTCTTTGTATCCTGTTTTATTTCATTGAGCAGTGGTTTGTAGTTCTCCTTGAAGAGGTCCTTCACGTCCCTTGTAAGTTGGATTCCTAGGTATTTTATTCTCTTTGAAGCAATTGTGAATGGGAGTTCACTTATGATTTGGCTCTCAGTTTGTCTGTTATTGGTGTATAAGAATGCTTGTGATTTTTGCACATTGATTTTGTATCCTGAGACTTTGCTGAAGTTGCTTATCAGCTTAAGGAGATTTTGGGCTGAGACAATGGGGTTTTCTAGATATATGATCATGTCGTCTGCAAACAGGGACAATTTGACTTCCTCTTTTCCTAATTGAATAGCCTTTATTTCCTTCTCCTGCTTAATTGCCCTGGCCAGAACTTACAACACTATGTTGAATAGGAGTGGTGAGAGAGGGCATCCCTGTCTTGTGCCAGTTTTCAAAGGGAATGCTTCCAGTTTTTGCCCATTCAGTATGATATTGGCTGTGAGTTTGTCATAGATAGCTCTTATTATTTTGAGATACGTCCCATCAATACCTAATTTATTGAGAGTTTTTAGCCTGAAGGGTTGTTGAATTTTGTCAAAGGCCTTTTCTGCATCTATTGAGATAATCATGTGGTTTTTGTCTTTGGTTCTGTTTATATGCTGGATTACATTTATTGATTTGCGTATATTGAACCAGCCTTGCATCCCAGGGATGAAGCCCACTTGATCATGGTGGATAAGCTTTTTGATGTGCTGCTGGATTCGGTTTGCCAGTATTTTATTGAGGATTTTTGCATCAATGTTCATCAAGGATATTGGTCTAAAATTCTCTTTTTTGGTTGTGTCTCTGCCCGGCTTTGGTATCAGGATGATGCTGGCCTCATAAAATGAGTTAGGGAGGATTCCCTCTTTTTTTGTTGATTGGAATAGTTTCAGAAGGAATAGTACCAGTTCCTCCTTGTACCTCTGGTAGAATTCGGCTGTGAATCCATCTGGTCCTGGACTCTTTTTGGTTGGTAAGCTATTGATTATTGCCACAATTTCAGAGCCTGTTATTGGTCTATTCAGAGATTCAACTTCTTCCTGGTTTAGTTTTGGGAGGGTGTATGTGTCAAGGAATGTATCCATTTCTTCTAGATTTTCTAGTTTATTTGTGTAGAGGTGTTTGTAGTATTCTCTGATGGTAGTTTGTATTTCTGTGGGAGTGGTGGTGCTATCCCCTTTATCATTTTTTATTGCGTCTATTTGATTCTTCTCTCTTTTCTTCTTTATTAGTCTTGCTAGCGGTCTATCAGTTTTGTTGATCCTTTCAAAAAACCAGCTCCTGGATTCATTAATTTTTTGAAGAGTCTTTTTGTGTCTCTATTTCCTTCAGTTCTGCTCTGATTTTAGTTATTTCTTGCCTTCTGCTAGCTTTTGAATGTGTTTGCTCTTGCTTTTCTAGTTCTTTTAATTGTGATGTTAGGGTGTCAATTTTGGATCTTTCCTGCTTCTCTTGTGGGTATTTAGTGCTATAAATTTCCCTCTAGACACTTTGAATGTGTCCCAGAGATTCTGGTATGTTGTGTCTTTGTTCTCATTGGTTTCAAAGAATATCTTTATTTCTGCCTTCATTTCGTTATGTACCCAGTAGTCATTCAGGAGCAGGTTGTTCAGTCTCCATGTAGTTGAGCGGTTTTGAGTGAGTTTCTTAATCCTGAGTTCTAGTTTGATTGCACTGTGGTCTGAGAGACAGTTTGTTATAATTTCTGTTGTTTTACATTTGCTGAGGAGAGCTTTACTTCCAACTATGTGGTCAATTTTGGAATAGATGTGGTGTGGTGCTGAAAAAAAATGTATATTCTGTTGATTTGGGGTGGAGAGTTCTGTAGATGTCTATTAGGTCTGCTTGGTGCAGAGCTGAGTTCAATTCCTGGGTATCCTTGTTAACTTTCTGTCTCATTGATCTGTCTAATGTTGACAGTGGGGTGTTAAAGTCTCCCATTATTATTGTGTGGGAGTCTAAGTCTCTTTGTAGGTCACTCAGGACTTGCTTTATGAATCTGGGTGCTCCTGTATTGGGTGCATATATATTTAGCATAGTTAGCTCTTCTTGTTGAATTGATCCCTTTACCATTATGTAATGGCCTTCTTTGTCTCTTTTGATCTTTGTTGGTTTAAAGTCTGTTTTATCAGAGACTAGGATTGCAACCCCTGCCTTTTTTTGTTTTCCATTTGCTTGGTAGATCTTCTCCGTCCTTTTATTTTGAGCCTATGTGTGTCTCTGCACGTGAGATGGGTTTCCTGAATACAGCACACTGATGGGTCTTGACTCTTTATCCAATTTGCCAGTCTGTGTCTTTTAATTGGAGCATTTAGTCCATTTACATTTAAAGTTAATATTGTTGTGTGTGAATTTGATCCTGTCATTATGATGTTAGCTGGTTATTTTGCTCGTTAGTTGATGCAGTTTCTTCCTAGCCTCGATGGTATTTACAATTTGGCATGATTTTGCAGTGGCTGGTATCAGTTGTTCCTTTCCATGTTTAGTGCTTCCTTCAGGAGCTGTTTTAGGGCAGGCCTGGTGGTGACAAAATCTCTCAGCATTTGCTTGTCTGTAAAGTATTTTATTTCTCCTTCACTTATGAAGCTTAGTTTGGCTGGATATGAAATTCTGGGTTGAAAATTCTTTTCTTTAAGAATGTTGAATATTGGCCCCCACTCTCTTCTGGCTTGTAGGGTTTCTGCCGAGAGATCCACTGTTAGTCTGATGGGCTTCCCTTTGCGGGTAACCCAACCTTTCTCTCTGGCTGCCCTTAACATTTTTTCCTTCATTTCAACTTTGGTGAATCTGACAATTATGTGTCTTGGAGTTGCTCTTCTCAAGGAGTATCTTTGTGGCGTTCTCTGTATTTCCTGAACCTGAATGTTGGCCTGCCTTGCTAGACTGGGGAAGTTCTCCTGGATAATATCCTGCAGAATGTTTTCCAACTTGGTTCCATTCTCCCCATCACTTTCAGGTATACCAATACGATGTAGATTTGGTCTTTTCACATAGTCCCATATTTCTTGGAGGCTTTGTTCATTTCTTTTTATTCTTTTTTCTCTAAACTTCCCTTCTCGCTTCATTTCATTCATTTCATCTTCTATCACTGATACCCTTTCTTCCAGGTGATCGCATCGGCTCCTGAGGCTTCTGCATTCTTCACGTAGTTCTCGAGCCTTGGCTTTCAGCTCCATCAGCTCCTTTAAGCACTTCTCTGTATTGGTTATTCTAGTTATACATTCATCTAAATTTTTTTCAAAGTTTTTAACTTCTTTGCCTTTGGTTTGAATTTCCTCCTGTAGCTCAGAGTAGTTTGATCATCTGAAGCCTTCTTCTCTCAACTCGTCAAAGTCATTCTCTATCCAGCTTTGTTCCGTTGCTGGTGAGGAACTGTGTTCCTTTGGAGGAGGAGAGGTGCTCTGCTTTTTAGAGTTTCCAGTTTTTCTGCTCTGTTTTTTCCCCATCTTTGTGGTTTTATCTACTTTTGGTCTTTGATGATGGTGATGTACAGATGGGTTTTTGGTGTGGATATCCTTTCTGTTTGTTAGTTTTCCTTCTAACAGACAGGACCCTCAGCTGCAGGTCTGTTGGAGTTTGTTAGAGGTCCACTCCAGACCCTGTTTGCCTGGGTATCAGCAGCGGTGTCTGCAGAACAGCGGATTTTCATGAACCGCGAATGCTGCTGTCTGATCGTTCCTCTGGAAGTTTTGTCTCAGAGGAGTACCCAGCCGTGTGAGGTGTCAGTCTGCCCCTACTGGGGGGTGCCTCCCAGTTAGGCTGCTCGGGGGTCAGGGGTCAGGGACCCACTTGAGGAGGCAGTCTGCCTGTTCTCAGATCTCCAGCTGCATGCTGGGAGAATCACTGCTCTCTTCAAAGCTGTCAGACAGGGACATTTAAGTCTGCAGAGGTTACTGCTGTCTTTTTGTCTGTGCCCTGCCCCCAGAGGTGGAGCCTACAGAGGCAGGCAGGCCTCCTTGAACTGTGGTGGGCTCCACCCAGTTCGAGCTTCCCGGCTGCTTTTTTTACCTAAGGAAGCCTGGGCAATGGTGGGCGCCCCTCCCCCAGCCTCGCTGCTGCCTTGCAGTTTGATCTCAGACTGCTGTGGTAGCAATCAGCGAGACTCCGTGGGCGTAGGACCCTCTGAGCCATGTGGGGGATATAATCTCCTGGTGCGCCGTTTTTTCAGCCTGTCGGAAAAGCGCAGTATTAGGGTGGGAGTGACCCGATTTTCCAGGTGCCATCTGTCACCCCTTTCTTTGACTAGGAAAGGGAACTCCCTGACCCCTTGCGCTTCCTGAGTGAGGCAATGCCTCGCCCTGCTTCGGCTTGTGCACAGTGTGCTGCACCCACTGTCCTGCGCCCACTGTCTGGCACTCCCTAATGAGATGAACCCAGTACCTCAGATGGAAATGGAGAAATCGCCCATCTTTTGCGTTGCTCACGCTGGGAGCTGTAGACTGGAGCTGTTCCTATTCGGCCATCTTGGCTGCCTGACCTCTGAAGTGGATATGGGTTTTATTGTGATCTTCTACAAATGATGGCAGCACCCTCCATCAGTGGAGCTTTCAGTTCTTCGGTCTTCCACTGTACATTTAAAATGACCATGCCACAGGGCTGGTGGAAGGAATGGGAATGACCCCAGGTTAAAATGCCATAGATTTCTACCATTTGTACTCAAGATTCAATAGTTTTTCTTGAATTAATACTTCTCAATTTGTTGTATGATTTTGTCGGTTTCCAGAGTCATGATGTGGTTGTTTTTGACAACTTTGTCCAGTTTATTTTTGCATTTTGAATAACTTTATTGAACTCCTCACTCAGCTATTCCTGTGTCCCCTGTATTTATTTTAGGTATCTATTATGGGTGATTTATTTTTTTTAATTGGATAGCTTGTTTCGTTTTATTTTGTAACTTGAGATAAATAGACATTTGGGATTTCAAGTTCTTAGATTGCTTCTTGTACTGCACAAAAAGTATAGGAAAAATTGTTTTTATTTCAATTCCTAATGCAGTCATTATGTTCAGATGTAACTGCCAGTCATTCAGGAAGTCAAATGCTCTAGCTGTTGGCTTGCAGCCTTTCAGGAGATGCTGTTTCTTTCTTTGTAGTAACCATAAAGATATCGAAGTTGGCCCATATGCAGTTGCTGCTCTGACTAGAGTTTCCAACTGCGGCCATTCCCCAGACATTTCTGATTATTCTGCAACCAATGATTGTTGGATCTTGATTTGTTAATTCACATAAAAATGTATTAAGTTCTTAGTATATGTTTGACACTGTGGAGGTTACAAGTAAATTTACTCTCCAAACTCATGGGATTTGCAGCTTAGCTAGAGAATCAAAGCTTACATACTTGATGAACCAATTAGGAGGACAGTTAAAATCAAGATAACACCAGCACGTTTGGTTCAAATAGTATGCATCACTGGCCATCAGGAAAGATAGAAATCTGTGTAGTCCAAATGAAGTGAGGAAGACTTCTTTGAATGAACAGATTTTGAAATGGTCTTTGAAGAATGAAGAGAGATTTTATATAGAGTGAAGAGAGCATCCCAGGTTGAAGTATTATGAGCAACACCATGAACAGGACCATTGACATCTCCTGAGTAGGTTAGTGTGTCTCTTTTAGTCACATATACCTACTCTCTCAGCGTGTACCTCAACCCATAAAAAGGGAGTTCTGGTACCTTAAGTGGCCATTCACAGGGAAATAATGAACCATTCAATCTAACATTGGCCCATCTCTTACTTTACTCTCCCAGGAACCAACTTTGCTGTCTGTTCTTCTGTTGTATATCTGCCTTATCCTTCATGTTGAACACTCATTGTTACCTTCTGTCCCCCTGACTACAATCTTATATTGCCATGTTAGTAGGTCATCCTTGGACAGTCCTTGATGGTTTATTTCCTGGTTTTAGCATTGCTCACAACCTTCCTGCTTAGACTGGAAGAAATCCTTCTTGGATTGTGACATCTGCCTCCTAGAAAAATATATCTTTGATACAATGATTCTAGTGGCAACATAGTATACCCTTGGAGGAGATAATGGTGCCCCAGTAGACAATATAGCTGCAAAGTATGGCCCAGAGATAAGAAACTGTGTTTCTTCAAATTAAGAATGCTAACTGGCCAGATAACAGAATCCAGGAGTATAATCACTAACCTTGAAGTCACTTTGCTGCATCTACTGTCCCTGGAAAACACACAGATGCACATAGCCTTGGTTCAGGCTTTACTTTAAAGGTGTTAACCATACAGCATTGCTTCTGTTGGAACATTTTTTTTCTAGCTATTCATCATAGTGTCTCAGATTCATAATGGTCCCTAGGTTTTCAAAGCAACCTAAGGCATTTAGGGGGCTCTTCATTTATACCGTATCTTATCCCACAACATCTATGCATCTGAGAAAGGGACTTCTCCAACAGAGCAATGCAGGAGACCCCCACGGGGTGATGGGGTGCCTTGCCTATACTTTTACTACAAACTCACAGCAGCCAAAGGCTACCCCCCAAAGGGCAAGTGGGTGGTCCCCATTTTCAAGTCAGTATCTCCAGAGTATCGAGGCACCTCTTCCACCTAGCAGTAGAGTCAATAGATTTCATTCAGAAGCAACAGTATACCAACACCTGTGCTCAGCAGAGCATGGTGGACATTCAGAAAAACCTTACTTGGCACCTGGCAAATAAATGTGTGGATGAGGTGTGTGTGTGTGACTGTGGATTGGAGGAACTGAACTTTCACTGCCATTTGTAAGTCTTGATGGGCTAAGTCCAAGCCCTACTTTTCTGCCCATATTATAATGCCACCCCAGTGTGCCTCTGCAGCCCCTAGAAGTCCTTTTAAGACCTTTCATGGCAGTGCATCTGACATAATGTCTTTTGGTACATGGAAACATGAAGTCCATGCATTGGAATCAAGGACATACCAGGAAACTCAAGGGGTAGTTTCACCTACTCTTGACCCTAGACCACCTTTGTTTGACCTAAACTTTACTTCAACCTTGTCCTGCCCTGCTTTTCAGTACCACAAGCCATACCCATTATGGTAGATACACTGATGTAATTGGCTATGCCCTGCCTGATATTATTGTCTCTCACCAAAGGCCACAGTTGTCACTGCCTTTCAGACTCCAAATTCTTTAAGGTCTTCCCTTTCCTCTCACAGCATATTGTTGACAGTAAATACATATAACAGTGCTTATTCTCCTTTCACAGACAAAAGATCTGAAATGCTCTGCTTAGTCAATTATTATAAACTATTTCTGCTTTTTGACTTCACTGTTTATGTTCGTATAATGCTTGTAGACACTTTGCTTTAACTCATACCTTTTCCTTTTGGATTGTAGTTTTTGCTCCTTCATACTCTGAAACTACCTCTATTCTGGCAGCACATTTTAAACCCACTTTGGCTAATGCTTTTCATGTTCTCACCTGGTAACTTAAACTCTACTACCTAGATGCTATTGGCAATCCATTTTGGCCTATGTTAGGATCTATACATAACTAGCCCATTGATGGTAAAGTATATGTTAGTGACTAGAGCAGAGGTTGACAACTGTCCACATTGGGGCTGAATATGGCTTGAAGATGTGTTTTTGGCTCATACTGTTGTGGCATTGTTGAATTTAGTCATTGTGATGCCCACCACAATGTGCCACTCATATCTCCTACTAAAGGGAGTATAGCTGACTGAGGGCCCAGCTGCTGTGTTCTATCATCCATCATTGTTTCTTTCTTCCAAGGCTACACTTCCCATCAACTGTTCCAAACTACTGAATGACCATGGCAAGAATACTAATGAGAGCCCATTCCTTGGAGACCCAGACTCCTTTAATGGCCACCTTTGGCTTGAGTATTCCCCAACAGCCTTCCTGAAACTTTCTTAGATCTGCATTGCAGTCTGAGACTGTGCTTCCTTCTTTCTGTCTTCCACAGGGATAGGACCTGTACCATGGTCTGATGACCCTCCAAGTCTAGACACTCTTCCCACTTCCCCTCACATATCTTTTCCCCAGTAAATTACTTGCACATCTATTTTTATCATGGCATCTGCTTTTTTAGAAGACCTGAACTAATACAGTTGTTGGCATTACAATTTGGGAGATTTCATATATAATCTGTATATCTGGCTCATTTCAAAAATTCTGAAGATTACAACACTAGGCCTATCTGTCCATAATCAGCTGGAACTAAGTAGTGGCTATGATTTTTGGACACTTCAGTTCACCCCTCTCTCTACAACACATTGTCTCTTATACTCGACTTATTTATGTTACTTGCCTAGCCCTTGTGAGCATTTAATTTTGAGTCCTTGAAAAAAAGGAACATTCTTTTAATTCATGCAATCCAACATATTATTTTGCTGATTGTGATGGAGAAAATGGCATAGACCCTGCTCTCATTGGAACATTTTCTTGTAATAAGGCAACCAGACATTAGCCAAACAATCACAGAAATAAAAACAAATAAACAAATAATTACAAGTTGTAATAAGTGCATTGAAGAATAAAAGGATCTATGAGAAACTAACAAATGTTAATCTTCTTTTCTCTGTCTATACCAATTCCTTTGGTAGTCTCATCCAGTCTCCTGACTTTAAATACCAACTATGGAACAACTGCCAAATTTGTATCTGCAGCTCATATCTCTCCCCTGAACTCAAGACTCATGTATCCAACTGCCTCTCTGATATTTCCACCTAAAAATCTAATAGACATCTCAAATTTAACAGATCCAAAACTAAAATTCTAATCTGTTTTTCCAAACATCCTCCAGCAGTCTTCCCCATCCTTTCAGTTTTTCAGTCCAAATACCTTGGGTTATCATTCATTCCTTGATATGGTTTGGCTCTGTTCCCCACTCCTGCTATCTCATCTCAAATTGTAATCCCCACATGTCAGAGGAGGGGCCTGATGGAAAGTGATTGAATCATGGGGGTGGACTTTCTCCTTGTTGTTCTCATGATTGTGAGTGAATTCTCAGGAGATCTGATGGCCTAAAAGTGTGGAACTTCCCCTTTTGCTCTGTCTGTCTCCTGCTACCATGTAAGGTGTGCATTGCTTCCCCTTTACCTTCTGCCATAATTTTAAGTTTCATGAGGCCTTGCAGCCATGCAGAACTGTGAGTCAATTAAACCTCTTTGTTTTACAAATCACCCAGTCTCAGGTAGTTCTTTATAGCAGTGTGAAAATGGACGAATACAGAAAATGGGTACCAGGAGAGTGGGACATTGCTATAAAGATAACTGAAAATGTGGAAGTGACTTTGGAACTGGATAGTGGGCACAGGTTGGAACAGTTTGGAGGGTTCAGAAACAAGAAGATGTGGGAAAGTTTGGAACTTCCTAGAGACTTGTTGAAGGGTTTTGACCAAAATGCTGATAGTGATTTGGACAGTGAAATCCAGGCTGAGATGATCTCAGATGGAACTGAGGAACTTAATGGGAACTGGAGTGAAGGCCACTCTTGCTATGCTTTAGCAAAGAGACTGGCAGCATTGTGCTCCTGCCCTAGAGATCTGTGGAACTTTGAACTTGAGGGAGATGATTTAGGGTATCTGGTGGAAGAAATTTCTAAGCAGCAAAGTGTTCAAGAAGTAACCTGGCTGTTCCTAACAGCATAGTGTTATATGCACCTGGGTGTTCCTAACAGCATACTGTCATGTGCATTCACAAAGAAATGGTCTGAAATTGGAACTTATATGTAAAAGGGAAGCAGAGCATAGAAGTTTGGCAAATTTGCAGCCTGAATATATGATAGAAAGGAAAAAACCAAAAAACCCATTTTCTGGGGAGAAATTCAAGCCTGCTGCAGAAATTTCCATAAGTAAAGAGAAGCCAAATGTTAATGGTCAAAACAATGAAGAAAATGTCTCCAGGGCATGTCAGAGACCTTTGCGGCAGCCCCTCCCATCACAGGCCCAGATGCCTAGGAGAAAAAAAAAAGGTTTCATGGGCCAGGCCCAGGGCCTCCCTGCTCTGTGCAGCCTTGGGAAATGGTGCCCTGCATCCCAGCCACTCCAGCTCCAACTGTGGCTTAAAGGGGCCATGGTACATTGCTTCAGAGGATGCAAGCCCCAAGCCCTGGTAATTGCCATGTGGTGTTGGGCCTGTGGGTGCACAGAAGGCAAGAATTGAGGTTTGGGAACCTCTGCCTAGATTTCAGAGCATGTATGGAAACACCTGGATGTCCAGGCAGAAGTCTGTTGCAGGGGCAGAACCATCATGGAGAACCTCTACTAGGGCAATGCAGAGGGGAAATATGGGGTTAGAGGCCCCACACAGAGTCCACACTGGGCACTGCCTAGTGGAGCCATGAGAAGAGGGCCACCATCCTCCAGACCCCAGAATGGTAGATCCACCAACAGCTTGCACTGTACACCTGGAAAAGCCACAGGCACTCAATGCCAGCTCGTGAATGCAGCCTCAGTGGCTGTACCCTGCTAAGCCACAGGGGCAGAACTGCTCAAGGCTGTGGGAGCACAACCCTTGCATCAGCATGCCCTGGATATGAGAAATGGAGTCAAAGGAGATTATTTTGGAGCTTTAAGATTTAATGGCTGCCCTGTTGGGTTTTGAACGTGTGTGGGGCCTGTGGCCCCTTTGTTTTGGCCAATTTCTCCCATTTGGAATGGGAGCATTTACCCAATGCTTGTACCCCCATTGTATCTTGGAAGTGACTAACTTGTTTTTGATTTTATGGGATCATAGCAGAAGGAACTTGCCTTGTGTCCGATAAGACTTTGGACTTGGACTTTTTAGTGCTGAAATGAGTTAAGACTTTGGGGGCTGTTGGGAAGGCATGATTGGGTTTGAAATGTGAAAAGGACATGAGATTTGTGAGGGGCCAGGGGTGGGATAATATGGTTTGGCTGTATGTCCCCACCCAAGTCTCATGTCTAATTGTAATCCCCAATGTTAGAGGAGGGGCCTGGTGGGAAGTGATTGAATCATGGCAGTGGATTTCCCCTTGCTGTTCTCATTATTGTGAGTGAGTTCTCATGAGATCTGATGGTTTAAAAGTGTGGCAATTCCCCCCACTCCTGCCATCATGTAAGACGTGCCTTGCTTTCCCTTCACCTTCTGCTGTGATTGTAAGATTCCTGAGGTCTCTCCAACCATGTAGAACTGTGAGTCAATTAAATGTCTTTTCTTTATAAATTACCCAGTTTCAGGTAGTCCTTTATAACAGTGTGAAAATGGACTAATACATTCCTCTTTATCTCACACCCCATTTTCAATTCATCAGCAAATCCTGTCGTTTTTGCCTTCAAAAAAACAGACTCTGACCCTTTTTCACCACTTTCACTGCTACTGCCTTAGTCTAAGTCACTATCATTTCTTGCCTGGATTACTTCAATAAATCCAGTACTGTAATAGCCTACTAACAGGTATCCCTCCTTTCCTTGGCCTGTTTACAGTTTATTCTCAATACAACAGCCAGAACAGTTCATTTAAAATGTGTCATCATGTTACCTATTAGTTTTAAAACCCTACAATGGTTCATCATTTCTATCAGAGTAAAAACTAAAGTTTTTATATATTAGCTTATAAGGCCCTACATGATCTGACCTGACCTATTTATTCCTACCTTTCTCACTTCATCTATTATTTTACTTCTTGCTTAGTGAGCTCCAGCTACAATGTTTTTTCTTTCTTTTTTTTTTCTTTTGGCCACAACAGATATAATCACAACTTAGAGCCTTTGCATTGGCTATCCCCTCTGCCTAGTCTACTTTACCCCAGATATCCTTATGACTAACTCCTCCTTTGATCAAATGTCATCTTTCTTAATGAGGCCTACCCTGACCACCATGTTTCAAAGTCCAACTTCCAGCACACTGCTTTATCCTGCTATTTTTTATAGCTTACTATATATAACTTATTATGTTTATACTTAATTATCTACCTTCTCCCACTAGAAGATAAACTTGAAAGCAAGACTTTTTGTCTTCTTTGTTCACTGGTATATCCCTAGTGCCTAAAACAATGTCTAGCACAAAGTAGACACCCGACAAATATTTGTTCAAATGATTAACTAATTAATTAGTTAATAAGAGTGTCAGCGAAGGTTTCTCAATGAATTGATATTTAATCTGAGACCTAAGGAACGAGCAGGAAGAATGAAGGGGAGAGCATGGTAAGCAGAGAAGGCAGTATATGTGATGGTCCTGACATGGGTGGGGCAAGATAGATTATGTAACGCCCTGAGTGCAATTGTAAAGAGATGGCTCAAACCTTTGCCTCTCCTCAAGGAGCTCATAGCAATTGAGGTAAGAAAAATAATTAAAGAAATGATTGTCATACATGTTTTAAGTGCACTAATAAGGTTATGCACAGAGACCTGTGAAAACACTGAGTAGGCAGTTGCTAACTCTTCCTAAGGGAGCTGGGAATATTTTACGAAGAAGGTGACATTTGAGCTAAGTCTTAGGCAGGAGAATGGCATGATGAAAGTGTTTTAAGAAGATTAATCTGGCAATAGTGTATGGACAATGGATTGGAATATGGATGGACTGAAGGCAAGGAAACCATCTAGTCTATGGCAATAGGCCAGGTATGAGGTGATGAAGGAATCTATAGGAATGGAAAGAGAAGGACAAATCTGAAAGACATTTGGAAGGAAAAATTGACAGGAGCTAAATGCACTCTTGGCTTTAAGCCTTTCAGGAGGTAATGCTTCTTCCTTAGTAATAACCATGAAAAGATTCAGATTGACCTATTATGTAATTGCCTACTCTGACTAGAATTTCTAGCTATGGCTGATCTCCAAAAGTTTCTGTTATTATGATTGATACTTTTTGGACCTTAATTTACATTACGATGGCTTTAGACTCTAAAGGTTGGGAAGCTCTCAAAAACATAATTTTGACAATGAAACAGCAAATTATTCTATTAAAGGAGAAAAGAGGAAAACCATGGGGCCACATAGGAAGTTTTACAATGAGTTCATACTTTCTTTTTTTTAAAAGATAATATATAAGAAATAGGAAAAAGGGCACAAACACAAGGATAAATATAACTGGTGACATGTGCCTAAAGGGTTAGTATTTGGAAGGATAAGGTCCAAAATTACCTCAGGCTTGTAGAAATGCATATTTGTAAAGACAACAAGAACAATATTTTAACTATACTCTCAGAAAGAAAAAGTACATGTGTCCTGGAATGGGTAAATTGTAACTCAGTTGATATTACTAAACTACTCTCAGTAATCGAAGGCATTAAGGAAAATAGGAAAGGTGCTTTAAGATTGGATTTATATAAATATATTACTGAGGCTAACAAAGAAAAAGGGGGAGTCTTCAATCTTCTAATCAGTGAGCTAAATGTCTCTTAAGTTAGCTTCTAAAACAAATTTTCAAATAAGCGAGTACTTAAAAAATTACAGTTATCAACAAAGCCATTCAACACAAACCTGGTTCTTATTTCTGACAAGGCTATTAGAGGTAGTTTATGGAAATATGGCAGACATAATTACATATCTTAAATGAATGAATGAAATTTCAGCAAGACTAATAAGTCATTTATGATAACCTTCTGGACAAGATAATATGGGTTATAAAAGTAATATAATTATGTATTAATTAATTAAATCACCATATTCAAAGAGTGCTGATTAACATATCATAGGCAAAGGATGAATTTTTTGATGATCTGCTGTATACCCTACCTTTGGATTGACCCAGTCAATATTATTTACTTAAGCAAAATATCTTAAGCAGACATTAAGATTAAGCAAACATTTTAGATTTAAAGGGGCTATGATGCTGGAAGAATAATAATTCAATTCAATTTTCACAAACATTTATGGAGTTCTGCTAAGTACTAGGAACCATGCTAGATGTTAGGGTATCAAAATGAATGAGACAGATAGGCCTTCCTATTGAGGAACATCCAGCATTATTAGGGGGAAAGACATATAAACATATCATTTCAACATAATGTATTAAGAAGAAACACATAAAGACTATTATGAGAGAACAAAAGAAAGCTACTGGTTTATTCTGGGAGTTTAGAGAAGACTTCTTAGATGAGATGATATCTAGACTGATTCTTAAAAGATGAATAAAAGGCAGAATAGGAAGGGAAGGGCTTCCAGTTTGAACAAAGAGCATGAACATGAGTTTCTTCAAATATGAAAGAACATGGTAAATCTGGGGTTAAGCAATAAAGTACAAGGAGGTAAGTAGCAGGAAGTTAGGCTGAGAGGTAGCTCAGAACCAGGTAGTAGAAGGCATTACATTAAGGACATTGGATTTTACATTGAAAAGCCTAGGGAGATATTCAAATGGAGTGACACACTGACATATTTTAGTTAACTCTTCCTACCATGTGCAAAAAGTTTGAAGGGAGGGCAAGAGTGGATAGGTCAATTAGAAGGCTGTTGCAGTCTTTAAGTGAGAAATAATGATGGGCCTGGACAGGCATGTTGGCAAGTAGAGATACACTACGGTGGGTGAAGTTTGAGAATCATTTAGGGGATAAAAGTTATCATGACTTGATAATTGACTGGGGGGAAAACTTTTTTTAATGAAGTATTGAGTTTGAAGCACTGATTTTTGAGTTACGCAACTGGTTGAATGAGACTAGAATTTACTGTGAGGAGGAACTCTGTGGGAGGAAACAGTTTAGGTGTAGGGGGGATCAGGATGTCATTAAAAGGTGCTTCATGAGGATAGGAATATTTTTGGTTGCTGATATATTTTCAGCACCTTTAACAGTGTCTGGCACCTAATATGTGTAAAGATCTGATATATGTGCAATAGGAGTCCTAGAAAAAAAGGAGAGAGAATGGTACAGAAACAATATTTGAAGACGTGATGATGAGGAATTTTTGAAAAGTAATACAGCATTGCATTATTTTTCTATAGCTGCATATCAAATTACCACAAACTTAGTGGTTTAAAACAACATCCATTTAGTAGCTAACAGTTCTATAGGTTGTTGCGGGAAGTGAGGGGCCCCAAACGGAGGGACCGGCTGAAGCCATGACAGAAGAACGTGGATTGTGAAGATTTTATAGACATTTATTAGTTCCCCAAATTAATACTTTTGTAATTTCTTATGCCTGTCTTTACTGCAATCTCTAAACATAAATTGTAAAGATTTCATGGACACTTATCACTTCCCCAATCAATACCCTTGTGATTTCCTAGGCCTGTCTTTGCTTTAATCTCTTAATCCTGTCAGCCGAGAAGGATGTATATCGTCTCAGGACCCTGTAATAATTGCGTTAACTACACAAATTGTACAGCATGTGTGTTTGAGCAATATGAAATGTGGGCACCCTGAAAAAAGAACAGGATAACAGCAGTTGTTCAGGGAATAAGAGAGATAACCTTAAACTCTGACTGCCGGTGAGCTGGGCAGAACAGAACCATATTTCTCTTCTTTCAAAAGCAAATGGGAGAAATATCGCTGAATTCTTTTTCTCAGCATGGAACATCCCTGAGAAAGAGAATGCGCACCTAGGGGTAGGTCTCTGAACTGGCCCCCCCGGGGCGTACCTGTCTCTTATGGTCGAGATTGCAGAGGTGAAATAAACTCCAGTCTCCCATAGCGCTCCCAGGCTTATTAGGAAGAGGAAATTCCTGCCTAATAAATTTTGGTCAGACCGGTTGATCTCAAAACCCTGTCCCCTGATAAGATGTTATCAACGACAGTGGTGCCCAAAACTTCATTAGCAATTTTAATTTCGCTTCCGTCCTGTGGTCCTGTGATCTCGCCCTGCCTCCACTTGCCTTGTGATATTCTATTACCCTGTTAAGTACTTGATGTCTGTCACCCACACGTAGTCATATACTCCCTCCCCTTTTGAAACTCCCTAATAAAAACTTGCTGGTTTTTGTGGCTTGTGGGGCATCACGGATCCTACCAATGTGTGATGTCTCCCCAGGACGCCCAGCTTTAAAATTTCTCTCTTTCGTACTCTGTCCTTTTATTTCTCAAGCCAGCCGATGCTTAGGAAACTAGAAAAGAACCCACGTGATTATCGGGGCAGGTCCCCCGATAATAGGACAGAAGTCCAGGTGTGGCATGACTGAGTTCTCTGGTCACAGTATTAAAGGCTGAAATCACAATGTTGGCCAGGCTACATTCCTTTCTGGTTGGCTGAATTCAGTTCCTTGTAACCATAGGACTGAAGTCCCTGTTTCATTGCTGCATGTCAGCTGTAACTCACTCTCATCTTCTAGAGACTGCCTGCCTTACTTGCCACGTAGTTATCTCCATCTTCAAAGCCAATGAAAAATCTTCCTGGCATCAACTCCCTTTCTTGCTTCAAGTCTCTTTCACTAAGAAGAGACCAATTCAAGATGGATTAAAGACTTAAATGTTAGACCTAAAACCATAAAAACCCTAGAAGAAAACCTAGGCAATACCATTCAGGACATAGGCATGGGCAAGGACTTCATGACTAAAACACCAAAAGCAATGGCAACAAAAGCCAAAATTGACAAATGGGATCTAATTAAACTAAAGAGCTTCTGCACAGCAAAAGAAACTACCATCAGAGTGAACAGGCAACCTACAGAATGGGAGAAAATTTTTGCAGTCTACCCATCTGACAAAGGGCTAATATCCAGAATCTACAAAGAACTCAAACAAACTTACAAGAAAAAAACAACCCCATCAAAAAGCGGGCAAAGGATATAACAGACACTTCTCAAAAGACATTTATGCAGCCAACAGACACATGAAAAAATGCTCATCATCACTGGTCATCAGAGAAATGCAAATCAAAACCACAATGAGATACCATCTCACGCCAGTTAGAATGGCGATCATTAAAAAGTCAGGAAACAACAGGTGCTGGAGAGGATGTGGAGAAATAGGAACACTTTTACGCTGTTGGTGGGACTGTAAACTAGTTCAACCATTGTGGAAGACAGTGTGGTGATTCCTCAAGGATCTACAACTAGAATTACCATTTGACCCAGTGATTCCATTACTAGGTATATACCCAAAGGATTATAAATCATGCTGCTATAAAGACACATGCACACATATGTTTATTGCAGCACAGTTCCTAATAGCAAAGACTTGGAACCAACCCAAATGTCCATCAATGATAGACTGGATTAAGAAAATTTGGTACATATACACCATGGAATACTATGCAGCCATAAACAATGATGAGTTCATGTCCTTTGCAGGGACGTGGATGAAGCTGGAAACCATTCTCAGCAAACTATCAAAAGGACAGAAAACCAACACCGCATGTTCTCACTCATAGGTGGGAATTGAACAATGAGATCACTTGGACACAGGGTGGGGAACATCACACACTGGGGCCTGTCAGGGGGTGGGGAGCTGGGGAAGGGATAGCATTAGGAGAAATACCTAATGTAAATGATGAGTTGACAGATGCAGCAAACCAACATGGCACATGTATACCTATGTATCAAACCTGCACATGGTGCACGTGTACCCTAGAACTTAAAGTATAATTAAAAAAAGGAAAAAAAAAAGAAGAGACCAGTCTCTTTCAAAGGATTGCTGCATTAGGTAATCCCAACCAAGGGCCATTCCCCTTTCTTAAAGTCAGCTGTCCCATATACATAATGTAATAATGCAAGTGAAACCTTATCATATTCATAATCCCTCTCACACTCCAGGGGAAAAGATTTTACAACAGCAAGGGTAACTGGAGGTCATCTTAGAAATCTGCCTGTCACAAGCATCAGTTCGTGGATTCAAAAAGTACCATAACCCGAAGCAGAATAAATAAATAAAAAACCCTCATCTAGGTGTATTTAGTAAGAACTGCCAAAAAAATAAAGAAAAAAAAGTCTTAAAAGCATTTGGAGAAAAAAAAAGTATTACCTTTCAAGGAATAGCAATTAGATTGGCTTTGACTTTTCAAAAAAACAACATGAAGACGATAGAACTACATTTTCAAAATGCTGACAAAATTAACTGTCAACCTAAAATTTTATCTGGTAAATTCTATATCCAGCCTTTTAAAATGGAAGTAAAATAGATGTTTTTAGATGGTCCATAACTTAGGGAACCTGTCACCAAAAACCAAAGGAAATATTAAGGATCTTCAGGCAGAATTAAACTGATCCTAAATGAAATCTTGGAAATATATAATGAATGAAGTGCAGGGGGGAGGTTAAATATGTGGGTAGATCTGAATGTTCATTGATCATATTTAAAAAAATAGTAATGTCTTGGCAAAGCAAGGTAGTGCATGCCTGTAGTCCCAGCTACTCAAGAGGCTGAGGTGAGGATCTTGAGCCCAGGAGTTTGAAGCTGCAGTTTGCCATGATCATGCCACTGCACTCCAGCCTGGGTGACAGAGCGAGGCTCTGAATCTATAAATGAATGAATGAATGAATGAATGAATGAATGAATGAATAAAAATAGTAATGTCATGTGGCGTGCATGTGTATGCAATTAAAATACACAATAATAGCACTTGAGGGAGGAAGATAAATGGAGTTAACATAAACCCTCTAATTTGTGCTACACTTTAATATGTCATATATATATGTTATTATTCATAGAATAATCACTAAAAACAGTAAAAGAATGTATAAGAATTAAACAAGGAGTAAATTGAATAATACAAATTACCATATTAGTACAAAACAAAGCAAGGAGAGAAAAGATAACAGAATAGGCAAGACAAACAGAAAGTAAATAGTGATATAGTAGAGTTAAATATATCAGTAATTATAATAAATGTAAATGGACTGAATACCTCAGTTAAATGACAAAGATTATTAGAATGGTTAAAAAATACAAAATCTACATCTTGTTTATAAGAGATATATAAAATGGAAAGATATAGGAAGATTGAAAGTAAAAGGATGGAAGAAGTATAGAATGCAGATACTACCCAAAAGAAAGCTGATATAGCTATATTAATACCAGACAAAGGTGACTTTAAGGTAGAAATATTTACTAAGTATAGAGCTATTTTATAATGATAACAGGGGCAATCCACCAAGAAGATACAATTATTCTGATTTGTATGCACTTAACACTCAAAATAGGCAAAGCAAAAATTTACTGATGCCCAATAAATTCACAATCATAATCAGAGATCTTAAAATATATCCCTTAGTAACTGATAGAATATCAGACAAAAAAGAGAAAACCAATAATTATATAGAAGAGTTGGACAGTAATATTAACAAACTTGACCTAATTGACATATATAGACAACCACATGCAACAATTGCAGAATACATATTCTTTTCTGCACATAGAAAAATACGTGATGTGTTGAGCCATAAAGCAAATCTCAAAAACTTTAAACAATTATAGTATTTTTTGGCCACACTGACATTAAGTTAGAAAACAAGAAATAAATTAGAAAATCTCCCTAAAATTCGTAGTATACTTTAAAATAACCTGTGGGCCAAATTTTTAAAAATTGCAATGTAAAATAGAAAATATTTTGAGCTGACTGAGAAATGGAAATATAGCATCTTAAAATTTAAAGGGATACTGTTTAACCATTACTGTAAGGGAAATTTGTGTCCTTAAAATGCATATTCCACAAAAGAGGAAAGGCTAAAAAATCAATGACATATGGATCCATCTCAGGGAATTGGAAAAACAATAGAAAATTAATCCTAAAGAATGTAGAAGGAAGCAAAGATAAGAACAGAATTTCCTGTAAGAAAGACATATTTGACAGACAGCATTATTGAAACCGAAAGTTTCTTTTATGAAAAGACTAATAAAATTGATAATACCACTAGAAATATGGATAAAGAAACAAAAGAAGAGAGAGAAAGCATAAATAACCAATATTAGGAATGAGACAGGAGCTACCATTATATATCATAAAACAGAACAGTTACAATTGGATATTGTAAATAATTTTAAGTCAGTATACTAAAAATTTAAATAAAATACATAGATTCCTAGGAAACATAACTTACCAAAAAGAACACAAGAAGATAAATTTCTGCACTGACCTATAACTATTAAGTAACTCAAACCCATCTCACAAAGTAAAGCCAAGACTCAGATGCCTTCACTGAGTAATTCTATCAAAATTTAAGAAAGAAATAATATCAATCTCACATGACATTTTCCAGAGAACAGAAGAAAATAGATGTCTTTACAACTCTTTTTATAAAGTTAGAATAATACTGTAACTAAAATATTATAAGGAAAATATGAGAAAGGAAAATTTGGGTTAATTTTACACATCAATATAGATGCAAAATTTCGAACAAACTATTAGAAAATTGTAAACAGTGATGTATTAAAAGGATAATATACCCTATTGTAGTTTGGTTTATGCCAGCGTTGCAAAGTTGGTTTACATTTTGAAAGTGAATCAAGGTAACTCACCACAGAAACAAAGGAGAAAAATCATACAGTCAAATCAATAAATGCAAAAAAAACCCTAAAATTCAACATCCATTTATGAGAGAAAAAGTCTTTTAGCAAACTAGGAATAAAAAGTAACTTCTGATAAAGGTTATTTACAAAACCATCTAAAACACGCCATCCACAATATCCAACATTCCAAAAAATACTACATATATAACAAAATGAATAAATAGTCATAATAAGGAGGGAGGACAATAGTCAATAAAGGCAGACTCACAGATAACCCAGATACTGGTGTTTTCTGACCAGGACATTAAAACTGTTATTGTAAATATGTTAGAGAACTTACAGGAGCAAATAAGTGGAATGAATGAACAGATGGAAAACTTCAGAGGATAAACAGAATTTCTAAATAAGGACCAAGTGGAAATACTAGAACTGAAAAGTGAAGTGGAGGTAACATTCTCTAACTTATTTTGTGATCATTAAAAAGTCAGGAAACAACAGATGCTGGAGAGGCTGTGGAGAAATAGGAACGCTTTTACACTGTTGGTGGGAATGTAAATTAATTCAACCATTGTGGAAGACAGTGTGGCAATTCCTCAAGGATCTAGAACTAGAATTACGATTTGACCCAGCAATCCCATTACTGGGTATATACCCAAAGGATTTGGGGTGGGGGGAGGGGGGAGGGATAGCATTAGGAAGAATACCTAATGTTAAATGACGGGTTAATGGGTGCGACACACCAAATGGCACATGTATACACATGTAACAAACCTGCATGTTGTGCACATGTACCCTAAAACTTTTAGTATAATAAAAAAAAAGAAAATACATGAGCTGCTGGAAACTTGTATGCAGTTACATTAGAATATGTAGACAAGCTGATATAGTGCATGTTGGAACAGTCCAGAATGAGACAATATTAAAAATATTTATTTTGGGACCCGAGGTAGGTGTTGAAATGGTTATGAAGGGCATGCAGCCTCACCCAACTGTCTTTCTGTGCATTGCCATGCCGTTTAAAGGGCCAAGCACCTTTTGAGAGTTGATGCGCTTTATTTACTAAAAGTAAAAATATCTTTGGTCCCATTTTTCTTTTCTTTTGGGGTTAAAAAATAATTTGTTAGTTGTCAAGATAGCCAGGCTGAAGAAAAAAATGGCTTTTCCCCTCGTTTTTAACCTGCTTTGATGACATAGTAACCAAATAACCAAGTGGTTCATATACACTCAAAATATTTAATCACAGTCTCTAGGGGCAGGGCCGGATCATCAGAACTTTTCTAAAGTTCCCCACATCACTCTATTGTGCCATCAGGATTGAGAAACCACTTGTCTGAAGTCTCACCAGTTTGAACTGACATTAGTAAGGAGAAAACTTAGTCCAAAAGAGAAGGCTAGCAAAAGGAAACATGTAAATCAGCTATGAGATGTGAATGTGTTGCTTCAGGAATTGCTTCATTGAATTAAGGGCGTGAAAAGAACTTTGAGAGTTCAATTATTTCATTCGTGTGCATCCAGATAGAAACATACTCCAGGAATTGATATTCTGTTTTTAACAGCTTTCAGTGCTACTTATCCAAGTATCTTTTTGTAATCCATTCCCAAATATTGCAATGGATGGAAAAGCAAGCAAGCAAGTAGACCAATAGTACAAAACATTATAGAAAGAACTTATTTTCACACATAATAAAAATGGAAGTAAAATTAGTTACTTTAGGATTAGTTTAATTAGGACAAGTTAAATTAGGATTGCGACTATGCATCATGGGTAAATTTTCATATATGCATATTACAATAAAACTGATTTTGCAAGACCAAAAAAAAATCATTCTACGATAAAGACACATGCACACGTATGTTGACTGCAGCACTGTTCACAATAGCAAAGACTTGGAAACAACCGAAATGCCCATCAATTTGAGACTGGATAAAGAAAATGTGGCACATATACGCCACGGAATACTATGCAGCCATAAAAAGGATGAGTTCATGTCCTTTGCAGGGACATGGATGTAGCTGGAAACCATCATTCTCAGCAAACTAACACAGGAAGAGAAAACCAAACACCACGTGTTCTCACTCATAAGTGGGAGTTGAACAATGAGAACATATGGGCACAGGGAGGGGAAGAGCACACACTGGGGCCTCTCGGGGAGTGGGGGCTAGGGGAGGGATAGCATTAGGAGAAATACCTAGTGTAGGTGACGGGTTTATGGGTGCAGCAAACCACCATGGTTTGTATACCTATGTAACAAACCTGCACGTTCTGCACATGTATCCCAGAACTTAAAGTACAATTTTAAAAACCCAGCATAAATCTGATAAAATACCTGATAAAGATGACACACACACATACACACACCAGACCATGTATTCCTCATGTATCTAGATGCAAAATACTGAAACAAAATTTCAGCATATTGAATCCAACAATGTATAAAAAGGATAATATATCATAATCAAATGGGGTTTATTCCAGAAATGCAAGGTTGTTTTAACATAGGAAGTCAATTAGAATAATTAACCACTTTACTAGAATAAAGCAACAAGCCATAAAATAATAGATGTAGAAAGTACATTTACTAAAATTCAAGTCATATTCCTGATAAATACTCTCAGAAAACTAGGAATTGAAGGAAACTTCCCCAACCAGAAAAAGGCCATTAATAACAATAACAAAAAAATCCAAAAACATGGCTAACAACATACTTAATCATGAAACTAGAATGTTTTCCCCTAAGATCAGGAACAAGGCAAGGTTGTCCATGCTTACTCCTCCTAACTAGTGAGCACAATGCAGCAAAAAAACAAACAAAAGGTATAAAGTTTGCAAAAGAAGATGTAGAACTCTATTCATATATGACATTCCTTATATAGAAAATGCTGAGAAATTTCCAAAGCGCTTACTGGAAGTAATAACTGTTTTTATTAAGATTACAGCATTCCAGGTCAGAATATAAAAGTCAGTTGCATTGTGTATACTGTTAGCAATTACAAATTGAAATTTTAAAATGCTGCTTGTAATAGCACAAGAAATCACTTAGGAATGAATTCAATGAAAGATGTGCAAGACCTCTATACTTGCTATTGTCAGACATCTTAATTTTTGCCGATCAGATGGTTATATCATATCTCACTGTGACTAGATTACAATTCCCTAATCATTAATGAGGTTGAACATCTCTTCATGAATTGATTGACCATATTGACCATATGTGTTTTCTCTTAGAAATGTCTGTTCATACTATTTGCTCACATATTGTTTGCTTTTCCTATTGACTTGTAGGATGTCTTTTTTTTTTTTGAGACAGAGTCTCACTCTGTCGCCCAGGCTGGAGTGCAGTGGCACAATCTCAGCTCACTGCAACCTTTGCCTCCTGGGTTCAAGCGATTCTCCTGCCTCAGCCTCCTGAGTAGCTGGGAATACAGGTGTGTGCCACCACACCCGGCTAATTTTTGTATTTTTTAGTAGAGACAGGGTTTCACCATGTTAGTCAGGCTGGCCTCATACTGCTGACCTTGTGATCCGCCCGCCTTGACCTCCCAAAGTGCTGGGATTTCAGGCATGAGCCACCGTGCCCAGCCTGTAGGATGTCTTTAAATATTCTTGATATTAATACTTTGTCAGTTGTGTGAATTTCAGATACCTGCTGCCAGTTTGCAAATTGCTTGATTATTAATCCCTTGTCAGATGGGTGGTTGGCAAATTATTTTCTCCCATTCTCCAGGTTGTCCCTTCACTTTGTTGGTTGTATCCTTTGATGTACAGTAGCTTTTTAATTTGATGTGATCCCATTTGTCCATTTTTGCTTAGCTTGCCTGTGCTTTTGAAGTCTTACTCCAGAAATTTTTGCCCAGACCAACGTCCTGGTATGTTTCCCCAATGTTTTCTTGTAGTAGTTTCATAGTTTGCGGTCTTAGATTTAAGTCTTTAATTCACTTAGATTGTATTTTTTGTATATGGCAAGAGGTAGGGGTCTCATTCTTCTGCATATGGATATCCAGTTTTGCTTGGGCTGATTTCTAAAAATTGAAACTGGTAACATTTGAGTAGTGAGATTATGGGAAATGGGGGAGGAGAGACTTTGTTTTCTACCATTCTTTATGGTTTAAATACATATGTATTTCTGTATGTGTCTATAGCAGGTGTGGAGATTTTAATTATATGTGTCATTGTATATGCCAAACCTCATCAACAGTTTCCTTGAAAGAATGGGGTGGTAAATAATGAAAGAAAGAGGCTTTTACTTATTATTTTATATATTTCAGGGTTGTGTGGATTATTTCCAACACCTCCAACAATCCCATCTTTTTTTTTTTTTACAATCAGTTTTATTTTTAAGTTAATATAAAACAATGAAACCTTCTTCAAAGAACACTAGTCATGTGGAGCTCCACCACTTTCCTCAGGCATGGTTAACTTCTTACTCCTTTGCACCTTTCACTGTGTTGTATGCTTAAAACTATTATAAATAGTAGTAGTTATCACCCTGTACTTGTCTTTCTTCCCTGCTAGTTTGTGAACATCTTGAATGGTGGCTAGGACTGCTGATTTATTTATGTTTGTATCTTAATACTTAAGAAAGTACCTATTATAGCTGGTCGTGGTGGCTCACGCCTGTAATCCCAGCACTTTGGGAGGCTGAGGCGGCGGATCACGAGGTCAGGAGATCGAGACCATCCTGGCTAACACGGTGAAACCCCGTCTCTACTAAAAATACAAAAAATTAGCCGGGCGTGGTGGCAGGTGCCTGTAGTCCCAGCTACTCGGGAGGCTGAGGCAGGAGAATGGCGTGAACCCGGGAGGCGGAGCTTGCAGTGAGCCGAGATAGCGCCACTGCACTCCAGCCTGGGCGACAGAGCAAGACTCCGTCTCAAAAAAAAAAAAAGTACCTATTAGTAATATTTATTTTGTGAAATAATGAAGTGAGTGAATATACTTAAGAGTAGATTTTTGGGAGATTTTTCGATGTAGTGGGAGAAGAGTATTTGATTAAGAATTTAATATTTGACTAGGAGTTGGAAATTTTTTTTCTTTGAAGATCCAGATAGCACATATTGTAGACTTCATAGACTACAAAGAAGAAATTCTAGTCTGGTCTTGGTCTGGAGTCTTGGTGTCATACTCATCTTTGTTTTTCTTTACAACTCCTTAAAAAATATAAAATCCATTTTTAGTTTGTGGGGCACAGATTGCCAGCCCCTGTTTCAGACAGTATCTGTAGGTAGGAGGTTGGAAACAAGAGACAGTGAAGAAATAAATGTAACCCAGATTATCAGCAGAGGAGTTTCTGTGCTCTCCTCTTTGCCCTCAGCCACAAAATCTCAATAAATTTGACTTTAGCCTTCCATTCTCTATCCTGTAATTACAGACTGCTCCCTAGTGATTAGTAAATTCTATTATATCTCTAGCTATGGCTTTAATTTATGTGATTGGTTTCATCCCATATCAGCATGAAGTTCAGTCCTTTCATCAGCTTACAACTCACATACCCACACATACGCATGCGCGCACACACACACAGGCACTCACCAGTCCACTCAACATAAGCATTTTGTGGGTTTAATTACACTACTGCATATTTGAGGGTGTAATTGAGAAGGTTCACATTGAGAACCACACAGCCTATCTGCAATCACATAGCTCTCTCAGTCTTCTGCCACAGGACAAATTAATTCCTTTTAAGACCTTATGCAAATGGTGTTGTTTTATTAATTTTTCTAAAACTATGCTACTCAGCATCACCAACTCCAAGCAGGTTTATCAAGGCATTTTCCCAACATAAAGTTTATGCCTAACAACAGCCGTAATAACGATAGTAATAGCAGTGATACATATGTAGGGCTTAGTATGGAACATATAATTCTAAGTATTTTAGTCCTCACAGTAAAGCCATGAGATAAATACTATTATCAACCTCATTTTACAAAGGAAGAAATGGAGTCACTGAGGGTTTAAGTAACTTGCCCACAGCACACATAACCAGCGGAGAAGAAAGTTTCACATAGTCGGAATAGGGGTGATTAGTAGTGTCACAAGCAGAGAGACCCAGAAGGATGAGACATGAAAAATAATCCTTTTACAATTATGGGTCAGTTGACAGGATAACGACAGGGATACATTCTGAGAAATGCCTCATTCAGCAATTTCATGGTTGTATGAACATCCTAGAGTGTTAACAAACCCAGATGGTATAGCCTACTACACGTCCAGGCTATATGATATATATAGCCTGTTGCTCCTAGGGTACAAACCTGTATAGCATGTGACTGTACTGAATACTGTAGGCAATTGTAACATAACGCTGAGCATTTGTGTATGTAAACACATCTAAACATAGAAAAGGTAATGCATTGTGCTACATTACCATGTCACTAGGTAATAGGATTTTTCGGCTCCATTATAATCTTATGGGACCACCATCATATATGTGGTCTGTTACTGACAGAAATGTCATTATGCAGATGACTGTATGTATTTGGAAGGTTAAGATTAGTGAATTTTTTAAAGCACTGCTTCAGTTAGGTAGTAGGCCAAAAGGAAGATTGTATGACATAAAATAAGAGTGGCTAATGAGAAAATGTAAGTAATGGTTATAGATCACTTATGCTTAACTTTTCACAATTTCTCCTTTGTTTAATCCTCTGTATTGAGATCATTAAATCTATCATTTTACATAATTATATCTGTAGTGTTATTCCTATAGCCTCATAAAAGTTGTTGTATATTACTACTAACTTGTTATTATCCAATCTTCTAGGATGTGGTACCACAGATTGTCCCACCTACACAGCAGGCTTCAGGACTTGCTGAAGGGAGGAGTCATATATCCGGCCCTTCCACAGCCCAACTTCAAAAGCTTACTTCCTTTAGCTGTCCATTGGCACCATACAGCCTCCAAGTCTCTGACTTGTGCTTGGCAGCAACATGAAGATCATTTTGGTAAGAGATGTGTGAAGACAGATACTTTTTAAAACTTGTGGTAAGAAATGTTTGCTTTGGCAGCACATATATCAAAAATTGGAATGATAAAATCGTGGTAAGAAAACACATAGTACAAAATTTACTATCTTAACCATTTTAAGTGTACAATTCACATTGTTATGCAATGATAAATACCTTTTGTGTGGTCTGAAAATACTTTTTGTGGAGTTGACAGGACCTCTAGCCATTTATTTTTAAGATTAGCCTACAAGTTGGGAGAAAGACAAAAATAACAGAGGGCAATAGTGAAATCCCTTCTCAACTAGGGGAAGGCAACTCAGCCTGCTCCAGCCCCACTCCATCTCCCTGTCTTACCTAAGGGAAAAAAAAATAAAGAAAAGAAAGCCTTAATATACAAGGGAGAGGGTTTCAAAGATATAGACTAGGAATGTTAGAACCACAGAAAGTATTAGTTGGCAGGAGGGAATACTTTACCTATGTGTATGAGTCTTCTAAGGCTGCCATAACAAATTACACAAACTAGGTGATTTAAAACAACAGTGTATTTTCTCATAGTCTTGGAGGGTTGGTAAGGCCATGCTCCCTTTGGGAGAGAGTTTTTCCTTGCCTTTTCTAGTTTCTTATGGTTGCTGGCAATCCTTGGCTTTACTTTGCTTGTGCCAGCATGACTCCAATCTCTGCTTTCATATTCACATGGCCTTCTTCTCAATATCTAATCTCTGTCTTCAAATATTTCTCTTTATAAAGATAGCAGTCATTGGATTTAGAACACACCCTAATCCAGTGTGACCTCATTTTAACTTGATTACATCTGCAAAGAGGCTTTCTAAATAAGGTCACATTCACAGGTACCAGGGATTAGGACTTCAACATATCTTTTTGAGGGTTACAGTTCAATCTACCACACCCTGGAAGAGAAACAAAAACAATTGTTAAAGTCACACTTCCAAGACACAGGCCCACTATGCACTCCAAAGACTGAGAATCTGAAGATTGTAGAATGCCCTCATCCCCCCACATCCTACAACAAGCTAATAAGCCTCCAGTTAAAATGACAGTGGATTACAGCTGGAAGAGCTGCAAGAGACAGCCTGTCTCTGAGGTACAGCACAAAGGGAAGGGCCAAGGCCAAGAGAGAAGACAAAAGCAAAATCACTAGAGAAATTTAATGCTTCTGGTACCCACAGAGACAACAAACATCAAACACAACCTAACTCCAGGCCAGATTAATATAAATATTCATGGTAAAATCCTATTTACCTCAGTAGCTATTGCTCTATACAAGATGTCTGGCTTTTAACAATAACAACATTACAAAACTTGCTAAGGCAAGAAATAACACAATTTGAAGAGACAAAGCAAGATCAGAACCAGACTTACATATGACACAGGTGTTGAAATTATCAGTCAGAATTTTAGGATTTTTTCTATTTCTGTGAAAAATGTAATTGAAATTTTGACAGGAGCTGCATTGAATCTGTAGATCACTTTGAATAGTATAGATATTTTAACAATATTAATTCTTCCAATCCACGAAGATGGAATTTTTTTCATTTATTTGTGTGTTCTCCAATTTATTTAATCAATGTTTTATAGTTTTGAGTGTAGAGATTATTAATCTCCTTGGTTAAATTTATTCCTAAGTATTTTTTTGCAACTATTACAAATAGCATTGTTTTCTTGATTTCTTTTTCAGTTAGTTCATTGTTAGGGTTTAGAAGCATTAATGATTTTTGTATGTTGATTTTACTGAATTCATTAAGTCTAACAGTTTTTTGGTAGTCTCTTTAGGGTTTTCTATATATAAGATTATTTCATCAGTGAACAGAGACAATTTCATCTCTTTCTTTCCTATTTGCATGTCTTTTATTTCTTTTTCTTGCCTAATTACTCTGGCTACGACTTCCAGTACTATGTGGAGTAAGAGTAGGAAGAGTGAACATCATTGTCTTGTTCCTGATCTGAAAGGAAAAGTTTTCAACTTAAGACCCTGAATGGCTAAAGCAATCTTGAGCAAAAAGAACAAAGCTGGAGGCATCATACTACCTGATATCAAAATATATTACAAAGCAATAGTAATCAAAACAATATGATACTGGCATAAAAATAGACACATTAACAAATGCATTATAAATAAACACACACACACACACACACCCCTTAAAATAAACAAGCAGGACCTCACACATGGGCATATTATATTAAAACTGCAGAAAACCAAAGACAAAGAGATATTCTTGAAGGCAGCCTAGTGGGGAGAAAAACACCTTACCTACAGAGAAACAAAGATAAGAATTGCAGTGGACTTCTCATCAGGAACTGTGCAAGCAAGAACACAATGGAATGACAACCTTAAAGTGTTAAAGGGGGGACAACTACCAATGTAGAATTATATATCCAGCAAAATGATCCTTCAAAAGTGAGAGATAAAGACTTTTTCATACATCAATACTATTTTGATTACTGTTGCTTTGTTGCATGTTTTGAAATTGGGAAGTGCGAGGCCTCCAATTTTGGTCTCATTTTTCAAGATTATTTTGACTATTCAGGGTCCCTTGAGATTCCGTATGACTTTTAGGAAGGTTTTTTTCTGTTTCTACAACAAATTCCATTGGAGTTTTGATAGGCATTGCATTTAATCTGTAGATCACTTTGGGTAGTATGGACATTTTAACAACATTAAGCCTTCCAATCCATAAGCAGGAGATGCCTTTTCATTTATTTGTACCTTTCTTTGATTTATCTTAGCAACATTTTGTAGTTTTCACTGTAGAAGTGTTTCACTAACTTGGTTAAGTTTATTCCTAAGTATTTCATCCTTTTTGATGCCATATGCAGAAGGCTGAAACTGGATCCCTTCCTTATACCTTACACAAAAATTAACTCAAGATGGATTAAAGACTTAAACATAAGACCTAAAACCATAAAAACCCTAGAAGAAAACCTAGGCAATACCATTCAGGACATAGGCTTGGGCAAAGACTTCATGACTAAAGCACCAAAAGCAATGGCAACAAAAGCCAAAATAGACAAATGGGATCTGATTAAACTAAAGAGCTTCTCCACAGCAAAAGAAACTACCATCAGAGTGAACAGGCAACCTACAGAATGGGAGAAAATTTTTGCAATCTATCCATCTGACAAAGGGCTAATATTCAGAATCTACAAAGAACTTAGACAAATTTACATGAAAAAAAAAACAACCCCATCAAAAAGTGGGCAAAGGATATGAACAGACACTTCTCAAAAGCAGACATTTATGCAGCCAACAAACATATGAAAAAAGCTCATCATCACTGGTCATCAGAAAAATGCAAATCAAAACCATAATGAGATATCATCTCACATCAGTTAGATTGGCAATCATTAAAAAGTCAGGAAACAACAGATGCTGGAGAGGATGTGGAGAAATAGGAACGCTTTTACAGTGTTGGTGGGAGTGTAAATTAGTTCAACCATTGTGGAAGACAGTGTGGAGATTCTTCAAGGATCTAGAACTGGAATTACCATTTGACTCAGCAATCTCATTACTGGGTATATACCCAGAGGATTATAAATCATTCTACTATAAAGACATATGCACACATATGTTTATTGCAGCACTGTTCACAATAACAAAGACTTGGAAACAACCCAAATGCCCATCAGTGTGAAACTGGATAAAGAAATTGTGGCACATATACACCATGGAATACTATAGAGCCATAAAAAAGGATGAGTTCATGTCCTTTGCAGGGACATGGATGACACTGGAGACCATCATTCTCAGCAAACTAACACAAGAATAGAAAACCAAACATCGCATGTTCTCACTCATAAGTGGGAGTTGAACAATGAGGACACATGGACACAGGGAAGGGAACATCACACACTGGGGCCTGTCAGGGAGTGGGGTCTAGGGGAGGGATAGCATTAGGAGAAATACCTAATGTAGATGACAGGTTGATGGGTGCAGCAAACCACCATGGCTCATGTATACTTATGTAACAAACCTGCATGTTCTGCACATGTACCCCAGAACTTAAAGTATAATAAAAAATAAAATAAAATAAATAAAGGGAATTTTTTCTTAATTTTTCTTCTTAGATCGGTCACCATTAATATATAGAAATGCAATGCATTTTATGTATTGCTTTTGTATCCTGCAAATTTTCTGACATCATTTATTAGTTATAATACTTTTTATTGCATATGGAATATTTAGGGTTTTCTACATATAAGATCATGTCATCTGTGAATACAGACAATTTTACTTCATCTTTTCCAATTTAGATTTCTGTTACTTCTCTTTCTTGTCTAATTTTTCTAGCTAGGAATCCCAGTACTTCAACAATAGTAATATTGAGGGTGGGCATCCTTTCCTTATAATGTGCATCCATTAACATAGATCTATAATTATTTGTTACTTTTGTTTTTAAAATTTATACCATATTTAAAAGTGATTTACACACTTATATTACAATTCTACACAATAAACCTTTATCAGAAGGTTTATATTTTCATATGGTTTTGTGTTGCTATTTATCATCCTTTTTCTTCAACTTGAAGGATCCCTTTAGCATTTCTTGTGGGGCAGATTGAGTGGTGATCAACTTCCTCTCCTTTTGTTTATCTGGGAAGTCTTAATCTCTCCTTCATTTTAGAAGGACAGTTTTACAAAATATAATGTTCTTGGTGGGCAGGTTTTGTTCTTCAGTAATTGAATATATTATTTCACTCCTTTCTAGCCTGCAAGGTTTTGCTGAGAAACCAGCTGATAGTTTAATAGAAGCTCCCTTATATGTGATGAGTCATTTTTTCTTGCCACTTTCAAGATTCTGTCTTTGTGACTTTTGACAGTTGGATTTTGATGGGTCTCAGTGTAGGTCTCTTTAGATTTATTCCAACTGGAGTTGTTTGTTTATTCAAATTGTGTGTCCTTTTCTCTCATCAAATTTGGAGAGTTTTCAGCCATCATTTCTTCAGATAAGCTCTCTACTCATTTCTCTTTTCCCCTTTTGTGATTTGCATCATGCGTATGTTGTTCTGCTTGTTGGTGCCCCATAAATCCCTTAGGCTCTCCTCATTTTTCTTCATTCTTTGTTGTTTTTTTCTTCTCTTTCTCAATAATTTCAAAGCCCTATCGATGAGTTTACTAATTCTTTTTTCTGCCTGGTCAATTCTGCTATCGAATCCCTCCAGTGAATTTCTCCAATTCGATTATTAGATACTTCAGTTCCAGAATTTCTGTTTGATTCTTCTTTATACTTTTATTTATTTGTTGATATTCTTATTTTGTTTATATGTCAGTTTCCTAATTTTGTTTAGTTGCCTATCTATGTTCTTGTTTAATTCTTTAATTATTCTGGTGATGCTTATTTTGAGTTTTTGGTAATTTATATTTCTCTATGTCTGTAGGGGTGCTTTCTGGAGGTTTAAATTATTCCTTTGAATAGTCCACATTTCTTTGTTTCTTCGTATGTCTTACTATATCTTGTTGAGACTTTAACATTTGAAAGCTCAGCTACCTTTCTCAGTCTTTGTGGTCTGGTTGCATACAAGGAGGACATTCTCCAATTAGCCCAGTTAAAGAATCCAGAGACCTCCTAATCCTTTCCTGGGAAGGCATACTCTTCTGGGATTGTGCATATAATCATCTAGTTGAAGAGATTTATCAGTTTCTATTCAGGAGTTCCCCTTGATGTCTGTCTGTGATACTGCCATCTCTCTGTTTCTGTAGTAAACTAGGGTATTGGAGCTCCACATAATGTCTGTCTGTGGTCTACAGACTCTGGTGCCAGGCCAAGCCACATTGATCACCTTTGTTCTCAGCAGGCCCCCAACCTGGCATCCCATTGCTGTCAGTTCTTAGATTCAGGCAAGACAGAAACCAATCTTTTAGATAACACCCTGAAAAGTTAGAATGTTGGACATTCAACTTCTTTTCCCCCCTAGGATAAGTCAGGAGGTAGGGGTTTCCTCTCAGTTACAATGCACCAAGCTGGGAGAAGAGTCTCTGGTGAAGAAATGCCATGAATTTTCCTACTGGGTTTTGGTGAGGTTGGCTTTGCACTTGCCTGGGGTGCAGCAACCTTTTAACTCATTTCTGAATTTGTCATAAAGGCAATTGTTCCATAAATTGTTATTCAAACCATGGGGGAAGGAGGGTCTTTTTTTTCTATTCTGCCATCTTGCTGATGGCACTCCTGGAATATTATTTTAATATGGGAGATATTACATGTTTGCTAATGAGGATGATCCAATAGGGAAGGAAAATTTGGTGATGCAAAAGAGAGGAATAGAACTGCTTCAGGAGCATAGTCTCTGAGTATGAAAAAGAGATAGAATCTAGTTCATAAATGGAAGTATTGACCTTGATTAGATGCACAGATATTTCAACGATTGTAACAGAAAGAAAGGTGGAATATATGGGCACAGATGCAGGTAAGTGATTGGATATGGGGCATCAGTTTGTGAAGATTCTCTTATTGCTTCTACATTTTCTTTGAAGGAAGAAGCAAGGTCATCAGTTGAAAGTGTGAAGGGTGAGGAGGTGTTGGCAGTTTGAGGATGGGGAGATGGTATGACACAGTCTTCTTAGAGAGTGAGTGATTTTACTAGGAAATTATGCAAGAATTATTTGGCTATATTGAGTACTAATTTGAGATTTTTCATGATGAGTTTAAAATGATACTAGCCAGTGCAGTTTTTAAAATTTTCTCCATCATAAGCGTCCATCAATGGATGAGTGGATGAAAAAAGTGAGGTATACATACACAATGTAATACTACTCAGCCATAAAAAGAGTCAGATCCTGTCATTTGCAGCAACGTGAATGAACCTGGAGGAATTTATGTTAAAGGAAATAAGCCAGGCATAGGAAGACAAATACTGCATTATCTCACTCATACGTGGAATCTAAAAAATTTGATCTCATAGAAGTGAGTATAATGGTAGTTATCAGAGGCTAGGGTGATTGAGGGGAGGGAAGATGGAGACATGTTGGTCAGAGGATACATAATTAGAGTTAGATAGGAGGAATACATTTCAAGAGATCTATCATACAGCAAAATGACTATAGTTAATGATGATATTGTATTCTTGAAAAACAGAGTTGACGTTACATACTAGCACCACAAAAATAATAACTATGTGAAGTAATCCATTTATTAATTGGTTAGGTTTAGCCATTCCAAAATGTATATATACTTCAAAACATCATGTTTACAAGATAACAAAACACAGTATTTGTCAATTAAAAAAATAAAACATAAAAGAAAAATTTTTCTCCAGCAATTTTCAGCTGCTTGGCTGCACAGGAGGTAGGAACTTGAGTTTACCATGGTTGGGGCTTTGTCAGAGAAGTATGGCACAGAGAGAGGGGACAAGGAAGTTAAGAATGTTTGCAGGGAATTGATTAAAATGATGGACCATGGAATATGGGCTCTGTAAGGAGGGAAGTGAGGACATTAAGGAGGTAAGTGAGGACATTAAAGGAAACAAGATGACAGAGAGTGAAAAGGAGCTTAGGGTCAATGAATTGGAGCTCTTTATGGGGTTGAAGGATTATCGGGGTGAGGAGTGCCAGAATAATTGAACTGGAATGGTAATAAGAGGTGGCTAGAGTATGGAATGTTTTAAATGAAAATTTTGAGAGTACTGTCATTAATGATGATGAAGTTGCCAAGGATGACAGGGAAAGGATAAAGTGGACAACAGTAAACTGGTCTTCATTAAAAATGGAGAGTGACTCAAGAGGTACTTGATTAGAATAATTAAGAAAGCATGATCTTCAAAGAAGCTTGGGTTTTAGAGGAAGGAGGGAGAAAAAGTGGTCCAAAAACAACATTGAGAAGCGAGGAGGTAACTATCCTAACAGGATTACTGCAGCCTTGTCTTGCTCTCCTGATGATCCATTATCCATCCTGAAACTAGAGTGCTCTTTCTAAACTCCAATCTGATTTTACTGCCTTGATTTTTAAAATCCTTTTATAGTGTCCCAGTGTCTATAGATGATGAATACCTGAATGTGGCAGGAGAAAGGAGTGTAAATGGAGAGGTTATATGGATTTCAGAAAGATTTAGGAAGTGGAATCAACAGACCTTGGTGATTGATTAAATGTGGGTTATAAAAGAGATGAATCAAGGTGAGTTTCAAATTTCTTTTCTGTATTAAAATTTTGATAAGATCTAATTAATAAGCATTTGCTGAGTGTTAATTTTATTAACTGAGCTAAGAACTGTTAGAGAACCAAAGATGGAAGATTCCCTTTCTCAATGTAAGATGTAGAGTCCCTGAAATGAATAAAATAAGTAAATAAATATAAGAAGCATAATTAGCTTATGCCAGACACAAATGTAAATTGAGTTGATACCTATCAAATATTTAATTTCAAAGAGGAAATACATTATTCAAAGAAGCTGCCTTGAATAAATGAATTTTTAGCTATATTTTGAAGGAGAAGGTGGTCATTTAATCAGAAAGTCCTTTAATTAATTTCTCCTGTGATTTCAAGGAGAAAAGTTACAAGTGAAAAGGCAAGAATGGATTCCAGTCAGCAAAAGGACAGTAAGCATACCAACTTAACTAAAATGAGGGGATATATTGAAGCCTACTAAAAGGCAAGTCTAGCCACACAGTAGTTTATTCCACTACTACACTGCTTATATAACTAGCAACTCTTAACCTGAAAATGGAATATAGCATATAGTCAGGATTACTAGCTATCTAGTAGAGCAGGAGAAGATCATTTGTAGATATGTGGCCTGTATTGGAGTTACCAGTAAGGCAGCTGCACCACTGCTTGATTTACCATTGATTTATTCAACAAACATTTAATGAATACCTACCAGGATTCAGGCATTGTCCTAAGTGCAAAGCATGCAGAGAGGAAGAAGACACATTCCCTATCCTCAAGATACTCACAGTCTTGTGGCAATGATAAACAAGCATAAGACAAGATGAGAAATTCTTTTAGGAAATACATAGGGTGCTGTAAGAACAAAGAGGAAAGGTACTTAATCCAACCTGGAGAGTTATGAATGACTGCCTGCTGAGTCATGAGTATTGAATATGAACTAGGCAGGGGAAGAGGGTTGAGGCAGTGAAGAAGAATGTTTCAGTTAGAGCAAACTATATGTACAAGAGTTAGGCTACAGAGAATATGTCATATTGGCCTATATGGACTGCTACATCAAGTGCAAGGAAGGGTTGACAAAAGATGCTACAGAGGTTAGCCGGGGCCACATTGTGCAGACCCTTGTAGGCAATCTTGAGGAGATTGGTCTTTATTGTAATGGGAAACTACTTAAGGGATTCTAAGCTAAATTTCATTGGAAAGAGTATTCTGACTGATGTGTGGAGCTTAAATGGAGACAGGGGTTAGTTAGGTTTCAAATGCTATTAAGGTGGTAGTATTAGCTACTCTTGCCAACTCACTAGAAGTGAAGGAGAGGATGAAAAAAAGAGTTTCTGCTACAGATTATCTCAGAGGTCAGCAGACTTTTATCTGTAAAGGGCCAGTGCTATGGACTGAATGTGTTTTCTCCAAATTCATATGTTGAAGCCTAACTCCCAATGTGATGGTACTTGAAGATGGAACCTTTGAGAGCTAATTAGATTATTAGGGTGGAGTCCTCATGATGGAATTAGTGCCATTATAAGAGAGAGCACATTCTATCTCTATCATTTGAGGATATAGCAACAAGGTAGCCATCTGCACAGCAAGAAGAGTGTCCTCACCAGGAATCAAATGGCCTGGAACCCTCATCTTAGACTTCCTAGCTTCCAGACAGTGAGAAATAAATATCTGTTGTTTAAGCTACCCAGTCTATTATAATTTTGTTATAGCAGCCTGAACTGACTAACACAGCCAGACAGTAAATATTTTAGGCTTTTTTTGGGCCATGTACAATCTCTGTCCCATGGTTGTCTTAGTTGGCTCAGGCTGCTTTAACAAAAGACCATAGCCCAGGTGGCTTAAACAACAGACATTTATTTCTCACAGTTCTGGAGGCTACAAAATCCAACATCAGGGCACCAGCATAGTCAAGTTCTGGTGAGGACTCTCTTCCTGGCTTGCAGAAGGCTGCCCTCTGCCTTCTTGCTGTATCTTCACATGGTGGAGAGATAAAGGGCTCCATCTCCTGTCCCTTGTTATAAGAGCACTAATACCATCATGAGGAATCTACCTTCATGGCCTAATTATCTCCCAAAGTCTCCATCTCCAGATACCATCACATTGGGGATTAGAGCTTTAACATATGGACTTAGGGGAGACTCAATTCAGTCTATTACATTCCACCCATAGATTCCCCAAATTCATATTCTTCTCACATAAAATACATACCTTCCATCCCAACAACCCCGTCTTAACTCATTCCAGCATCCACTCTAAAGATGAAAATTCCAAAGTCTCAACTAAATCTCACCTAAATTTGATATGGGTGAGACTTGAGGTACAATTTATCCTGAGGCAAAATTTCTTCTCCTGTGAAACCAGATAAGTATGTGCTTCCAAAATAGGAAGGTGGGACAGGTACAATAGAGACAGTCCCATTCCAAAAAGAGAGAAATAAGGCCGGGTGCCAGGTGGCTCATGTCTGTAATACCAGCACTTTGGAAGGCTAAGGCAGGCAGATCACTTGAGGTCAGGAGTTCAAGACCAGCCTGACCAACACAGCAAAACCTTGTTTCTACTAAAAATACAAAAATTAGCTGGGCATGGTGGCGGGCACCTATAGTCCCAGCTACCAGGGAGACGAAGGCAGGAGAATCGCTTGAACCCAGGAGGCAGAGGCTGCAGTAAGCCGAGATCGCACCACTGCACTCTAGCCTGAGGAAGAACTAGCCCTGCCCCTTGGGCCTGTGGTGGGAGTGGCAGCCCCGATGATCTCTAAATTGCCTTTAGCCTCACTCTTCCCTTTTTTTGAGGAATAAATAGCACATGCACAACTCTTTCAATTTTGTCCCATTTTCTCTGTTCTTTTTGGTCCCAGCTGGCAGTTTTTCTGCTGGTATAATCCCATCTCTGTTTATGGCTTCTGTTGAGATGGCTGACTAGGACCATGGTTCATGCACACACTTATCTCCTTATCAAATGTGGATCAGCCACACCCTTAGTATTCTCTTTCAAACATACTTTCTCATTCTTTGCAATATGGATAAGCTGAGAATTTTCTAAATCTTTTAAGTCCTGGTTCCTTTTTGTTTAACAGTTCCTTCTTCAATTCATTTATCTCTTCTCGCATTTTACTGTAAGCAGTCAGAAGGAACCAACTGCTCTCTCATCACTTTGCAGCTAAGTTTTTTGCCACTTTATAAAAAGTGTCACTTTTTTTTCCTTTGTCCAGTAGCATGTTCCTCTTTTCCATCTGAGACCTCATCAGAATGGCCTTTACCATTCACATTTCTACCAGCATTCTGTTTACAATTATTTATATTCTCTAGGAACATGGAGGCTTTCCCTCTAGCTGTCCTCTTTTTTTTTCTGACCTCTTACCAGAAACACCATTAGCAATCCCTTCACAGTAATCTAGGCTTTTTTCTAGCATGTACCTGAAAACTCTTTCAGCCTCTACCCCATTACCCATTTCCAAAGCTGCTTCCACAATTTTAGGTATTTGTTACAGCAGTACCCTACTTCTCAGTACCAATATCTATATTAGTCAGTGTTCTCCAGAGAAACAGAACAGAACCAATAGGGGGATATATATGTGTGTGTGTGTGTGTGTGCGTGTGCACGTGTGTGTGCATGTGTATGTGTGTGTGTAAAGGAATCAGCTCACACAATTATGGAAACTAAAAAGTACCAGTCTTCCATCCATAAGCTTGAGACCCAGGAAACCTGGTGATATGATTCCAGTTTAGTCTGAAGGCCTAAGAACCAGGAGAACCTTTCTAAGTTCTAGTCGAAGTTCAAAGGCCTAAAATGGAAGGCTGATATGTAAGTTTCAGTCCAAGAACAGGAAAAGACCAATATCCCAGTTCAAGCAGGCAGATAGAATTATTCCCGCATTGCAGAAGGCAATGTACTCTACTCAGTCTATTGATTTAAATGCTAATTTCCTCCAGAAACACTCTCACAGAATTAATGTTTAGCCACTTATCTGGGCACCCCATGGTCCAGTCAAATTGACATATAGAGTTAACCATTACAGTGATTTTCTTTGTTTTGTTTTTGTTTTATTACACTTTAAAAGTGTAAAAACCATTTTTTATCTTGCAAGCCAAACAAAATAGGTCACATACTATATTTGACCCACAAGCTGTAGTTTGTTGAACTGTGCATCATCTCACTGCAATGACCAAACTGAATAAGGGTTAGTGGTACTCAAACACTTTTGTCACTCTAGGGAAAGGGTTCTCAATATTTTTAGGTTATAGACCCCATAGAAATTCTACACACACACACACACACACACACACACACACACACACACACACGAATTTTGCATATTATTCCACACACCCTAGGACAAGAACTCCAACTGTAGGGCACCACCAAATGAATAGCCCTATTTCAGAGTATCAGCAGTTGTATCAGACAGTCTTTCAATTAAGTTCAGTATCTATACATTTTCAAGCATCCAGTTGGGGTATACCTTGAAAGCACTTGTATAAGGCATGCCTGCTGTCACAGACAAAATGACTCAGTAAAGACCAAGTGTTGGCTTATAATGAGGAAATAATATAGGTACATGGAGGTGATGCCCCAATAGTCCATTCTGCTTCTCTCCTGTAAAGCTCAAGACTATTAGAAGGGAAAGACATTTTCTGCAGGACGTAAGTTGCCTTCTATCTGCATGTTTGACTTAGGCAATAGGATTTTCTGTAATATTCTCAGAGGGTTTCTGATGCCTGCTTTTTTTCTGTGTGTAGGTAACCCTTCTGTTTCTATACATATCTCATGATCTTTTCTTGTTGTTGAAAATCTGGACATTTTAGATAATATTTTATGGAAACTGAGTTCTCATGTCCCCAGAGGAATTGTTGCATATTTTTGTGTATTTGTTTGTATTTTGTGTATTTGTTTGTTTTGTGTATTTTTTTGTTGTCTGGGGTAATTCTGTGGAGTCTTTGTGCCCTGCAGTGTGTAGCCACTGATGTCTCTGCTCAGGTTTTATTTTTACTTCTTGTTTTTATTTTTAACTGTGGTTTCCTAAGCATTGCACTGGGGTCACCATAGCCCAGAGGCTCTCAATTGGGGTCTATTTTGCCCCCCAGAGGACCTTTGGCATTGTCTGGAGACATTTTTTGTCGTCACAACTGGAGAGGAAGATGCTGCTGACACCTGTCCCTATGACAAAAGGACTATCTGGCCCAGATGTCCATAGGCCTAGTTGAGGCATCAGGTTGGGAATTCCTGATATAGTTTAGAGGCCAGCCAAGTATTGATCAGAGGTTATGCTTAAAAAACTTAATGTAATAAGGCTTCCACCCTTTGCCAGAGGATCTGTGTGTTGTTTGAGGCATACACTTGAAGTTTGAGCTATTTACAAGTGATATGGTTTGGATGTTTGTCTCCTCCAAATCTCATGTTGAAATGTGATCTGCAATGTTAGAAATGGGGCCTGATGGGAGGTATTTGGGTCATGAGGGCAAATCCCTCATGAATGGCTTGGTGCCTGCCCCTCAGTAATGAATTCAGACAAGATCCAGTTGTTTAAAAGAGCCTGGCACTTCTTCACTCTCTCTTGCTCTCTCTCTCACTATGTGTCATGTTAGCTCCCCTTCACCTTCTGCCATGATTATAAGCTTCCTGAGGCCCTCACCAGAAGCAGATGCCAGCACTATGCTTTCTGTACAACCTGCAGAACCATGAGCCAAATAAATCTCTTTTCTTTACAAGTTACCTAGCCCCAGGTATTTCTCTATAATGATGCAAACAGACTAACCATAGAAGTTTGTCCTGGTTTTTACTTTCTGTCATTCTCATGTCTCCTACAAAAAGCCTCATTTTCATCCAGAGACATGTAAATAACTGGAGCCATTTCCAGTCTCTCTTCAGTGTGCATACAGCACTGCATGCATGTGCAACCTTCCAAATACTAGGGATGTGTGGGAGCTTTTCAAGGCCCATTATAGCTTTCTCACTCCCTATATAGCCTGGTTAGATTTCTGCCTGTTCTTCTGGTCTGTTGTTTGCTCCAACCAGTATGGCTTCCCTAATTGTTTTTGATAACACCCAGATGCATGGGGGTTTTATGCATGCTCTGCTCCAAATCAAGTTAGTCATATTTGACAGCAAAGCTGCCGGTTTTCTTGGTTTAGCCCACCTTCGTGGAACTACTGCTGATTGGAGCTAGAGGTGGAGGAATAGGAGTGGGAGCACCCCATGCTAAAATACACCACAGATTCCCACTGTTTTTACCCAAGGTTCAGTAGTTTTTTTGTAAATAAATGCTTCCTTTTTAAAAGAAATTGCATTGTGTATGTTTAAAGTATATGACATGATATTATGAGATACATATAGACAGTATAATGGTTACTATAGTGAAGCAAATTAACATATCAATCATCTCACATAGTTACCCATTTTTTTGTGGCAAGAACAGCTACCATTGACTCATTTAGCAAAAATCCAAAACATAATGCACTATTATAAACTATAGTCTTCATGTTGTTATATAACAGACATCTAGATCTGATCATTCTACATATCTGCTACTTTGTGTCCTTAGCCTCATGCCCCTACCCTTGGCCCTGGTAACCACTGTTTTATTCTCTCTGTATATTTATTTGACTTTTTTTTTAAGATTCCGGATACAAATGAGATCATGCAAATTTTTTTTCTGTATCTGGTTTATTTCACTTAGCATAATGTCCTCCAGGTTCATCCATATTATGGCAAATGGCAAGATCTCCTTTTTAAAAGGCTGAATAATATTCCATTGTCTATATATACCACAGTTTTTTATACATTCGTCCATCAACAGACATTTAGGTTCTTTCCATATCTTGGCTTTCATGAATAATGCTGCAATGAACATGGAAGTGCAGGTATCTTTATGAGGTAGTACTTTCATTTCCTTTGGGCATATACTCAGAAGGTAAAAGAATGAAATTGGACCTTTGTCATCCTACACACAAATCAGCTCAAAATGGATAAAAGACTTAAACAAGAATAAGACCTGAAACCATAAAACTCCTAGAAGAAAACAGGTGGTAAAGCTCCTTGACATTGGCCTTGGCAATGATTTTTTTGGATATCACACCAACTGCTTAGGATACAAAAACCAAAATAAATAAATGAGACAACATCAAACTAACCAGGTTATGCACAGCAAAGGAAACAGTCAACAAAATGAAAAGATATCCTAGAGATTAGGAAAAATATTTGCAAACTGTATTTGTGATAAGGGGTTCATATCCAAAATTTATAAAGAATTCATACAACTCAATAGCAACAAAACATATAACCCAATTAAAAAATGGTCAATGGATCTGAATAGACATTTCCCCAAAGAAGACATACAAATGACCAACACGTATATGAAAAGATGCTCAACATCACTAATTATAAGAGAAATACAAATCAAAACTACTCTGATATACCACCTGACACCCATTAGAATACCTATTATCAAAAAGACAAGAGATAACAAGTGTTGGCAAGGGTGTGGAGAAAAAGGAACTCTTGTACACTGTTGGTGGGAATGTAGATTGGTGTACCAATTATGGAAAACAGTATGAAGGTTACTAAAGAAATTAAAAATATAATAAATACTTCTCAATTTGCTGTATACCTTTGGACAATTTCCAGAGTCTTAAAATGGTTCTTTTTTAGTTTGGCCAGTTTTATCAATACTTTTGGGGGAGAAAATTTGCCAAGCTCCTCTCTGTGTTTTTCTAAAAGAAGTATCACCTCCAGATTCCCAAGGCTGTACTTTGAGACACATTAGTGTACTAGGCTGTGGGGTTGCATGACTTGGGTTCATGTCTTAGCTCTACCACCTAATGATTATATTCTTACAAAGTTACTTAGCATCTCTGAGCTTTAGTTAGTTGTCCTTAAAATGAGAATGATAATACCAATGAAAGTGAATGTGAGAGGTACAGGTATAGCAGTTTTTAAAAACTATTGCTTAATATCTTAAAATGTGGATAAACCACAGTTTATTCAGCGATTCTTCCACTTCCCCACTGATAGACATTTAGTCTTTTTTCTAATTATTTTTACTATTATAACCATCACTATTATGAATAACCTTATATGCAGCTCCACATGTGTGACACTTTCTATACGATAAATACTGAGAGGTGCACTACTATTTGTCCAAAGGAAAAGAAGTCATTATATCAAAAAGACACCTGTTTGTGTATGTTCATCACAGCACAATTTACAATGGCAAAGATATGGAACCAATCTCAGTACCCATCAACCAATAAGTGGATAAAGAAAATGTATATATACACCATGGAATACTACTCAGCCATAAAAAAGAATGAAATAATGTATTTTGCAGCAACTTGGATGGAGCTGAAGGCCATTATTCTAAGTGAAGTAACTCAGGAATGAAAAACCAAATACTGTATGTTCTTACTTACAAGTGGGAGCTAAGCTATGTTATGCAAAGGCATACAGAGTGGTATAATGGACACTGGAGACTCAGAAGGGGAGAGGGAAGGAGGGGGATAAAGAATAAAAAACTACATATCAGTTTCAGTGTACACTACTCGGGTGATGGGTGCACTGAAATCTCTGACTTCACCAATATACAATTCATCCATGTAACCAAAAACCACTTGAGCCCCAGAAGCTACTGACATAAAAAAAAATATTAAAAGATAAAATAAATAAATAAAGTACAAGAGAAAAAAATAAATACTGAGAGGTGAATATCTAGGTCAAATATGCACATTTTAAATTATTTTCATAGAAACTTGCTGATTGCCATCTAGTATAACTTTAACAATATATACTCCTACTACCAATGTTTGCAAGTATGCATTTTTCCCCACATCCTTTAAAACACATTTTAATCAGCCTTTAAAATTTTTATTGCTCTGATGGGTATAAAATGGTATCACATTTTGGTTTAAATACCCATTTCTTTGATTATTACCAAGGCTGGGGGCAGTTCATACGTTTGCCCGTCACTTCTGGTGACTTTCCTTATTGATATCCTTCACCTATTTTTCTGTTGGGTTTTTATCTTTAATGATCACAGAGGTTTATTCTGTATGCTGGATATTAATCCTTTTATGCTACAAATATTTTTCCTGTTACTTCTCTTTTAACTTTGCTTTTATATTGTTTGCAGAACAGAAGGTATTTATTTTAATATAGATTAATTTATCTCTGTGCCTTTTGTGTCATATTAAAACAGCCTTTCCTACCTCAAGGTTGTCAACATTTAATGTTTTACAGTTTTAATTTTTTGTACTTTAATCCATCAGAAATTTATTTTTTTTGAATTATATGAAGGCATAACTTATTTTTTTCTTTTCTTTTGTAAATTGGGTCACACACTTTATTTACCTTTTCTAAATGAGTAACCTGATGTATAGAAAGTCTTTGTTTTTTTTGTAATTTTTTTATTTTGCTATAACTTCAAATTAACAGAAGGTTAGTTGCTAAAATAGTACAAGGACCTCCTGTATTAGCCTGTTCTCACACTGCCATAAAGAACTCCCAGAGAATGGTTAATTTATGAAGAAAAGAAGTTTAATTGACTCACAGTTCCATAGGCTGTACAGGAAGCATGGCTAGGAGGCCTCAGGAAACTTACAATCTTGGTAGAAGGTAAAGGGCAAGCAAGCATGTCTTACCATGGTGGAGAAGGAGAGAGAGACAGCAAAGGGGGAAGTGCTACACACTTTTAAACAACCAGATCTCATGAGAACTCACTATCATTAGAGCAGCAAGGGGGGAATTTGCCCCCATGATCCAATCACCTCCCACCAGGTCCCTCCCCCAACATTGGGGATTACAATTCAACATGAGATTTGGGTGGGGACACAGAGACAAACCATATCATTCCATCATTCCACTCCTAGCCCCTCCCAAATCTCATGTCTTTTCACATTTCAAAACCAATCACGCCTTCCAACGGTCTCCTAAAGTCTTAACTCACTCCAGCACTAACTCAGAAGTTCAAGTCCAAAGTCTCATCTGAGACAAGGCAAGTCTCTTCCACCTATGAGCTTGTAAAATCAAAAACAAGTTTGTTACTTCCAAGATACAATGGGGGTACAGGCATTCGGTAAATGCTCCCATTCCAAATGGGAGAAATTGGCCAAAGCCAAGGGGCTACAGGCCCCATGCAAGTTCAAAACCCAACAGGGCAGTCGTTAAATCTTAAAGCTCCAAAATAATCTCCTTTGATTCCATGTCTCACATCCAGGGTATGCTGATTCAAGGGGTGGGTTCCCACGGCCTTGGGCAGCTCTGCCCCTGTGGCTTTGCAGGATACAGCCCTGGGGGTGCTTTCACAGGCTGGCATTGAGTGGCTGTGGCTTTTCCAGGTGCACAGTGCAAGTTGTTGGTGGATCTACCATTCTGGGGTCTGGAGGATGGTGGCCCTCTTCTCATAGTTCCACTAGGCAGTGCCCTAGTGGGGACTCTGTGTGGGGCTTCCAACCCCACATTTCTCCTCCACACTGCCCTAGTAGAGGTTCTTCATGAGGGCTCTGCCCCTGCAATAGACTTCTGCCTGGATATCCAGGCATTTCCAGCCATCCTGTGAAATCTAGGCGGAGGTTCCCAAGCCTCAACTCCTGCCTTCTGGGCACCCATAGGCCCAACAACACATGGAAGCCACCACTTGGGGCCTGCATCCTCTGAAGCAATGGCCCAAGCTGTTCTTTGGTCCCTTTTAGCCATGGCTAGAGCTGGAGCTGCTGAGACACAGAGCCAAAGGACATGGGGGCCATGTCCCAAGGCTGCACAGAGCAGTAGGGCCCTGGGCCTGGCCCACAAAACTCTTTTTTCCCTCTTGGCCTCAGGGCCTGTAATGGGATGGGCTCCTGCAAAGGTCTCTGACATGCCCTGGAGACATTTCCCCCCCATTGTCTTGGATATTAACATTTGGCTTCTCTTTGCTTATGGAAATTTCTGCAGCCTTGAATTCCTCCCAGAAAATGGTTTGTTTTCCACCACATGGTTTCACTGCACATTTTACAACCTTTCATACTGTTTCCCTTTTAAATATAAGTTCCAATTTCATACCATCTCTTTGCAAATGCATATGAGCATACACTGTTAGAAGCAGCCAGGCCACATCTTGAACACTTTGCTACTTAGACATTTCTTCTGCCAGATACCCTAAATCATCTCTCTGAAGTTGAAAGTTCCATAAATCCCTAGAGCAGGGGCACAATGCTGCCAGTCTCTGATAAAGCATAGCAAGAGTGACCATTACTCCAGTTCCCAATAAGTTCCTCATCTCTATCTGAGACCACCTCAGTATGGACTTCACAGTTTGCATCGCTATCAGCATTTTGGTCAAAACTATTCAAGAAGTCTCTAGGAAGTTCCTAAATTTCCCTCGCCTTTCTGTCTTCTTCTGAGCCCTCCAAACTGTTCCAATCCCTGCCTGTTACCCAGTTCCAAAGTTGCTTCGACATTTTCAGGTATCTTTATAGCAATGCCCCACTTCTCTGGTAACAATTTTCTGTGTTTGTTTGTTCTCACATGGCTATAAAGAACAACCTGAAACTGGGTACTTTATGAAGAAAAGAGGTTTAATTGACTCACAGTTCTGCAGGCTGTACAGTAAGCATGGCTGGGAGGCCTCAGGAAACTTACAATCATGGTGGAAGGTGAGGGGAAGCAAGCACACCTTACCATGGCAAAGCAGGAGAAAGTGAAGGCAGAAGTGTACACACTTTAAAGCAACCAGATCTCGTGAGAGCTCCGTCACATTCAGGAGAACAGCAAGGGGGAAATTTGCCCCCATGATCCAATCACCTCCCACCAGGTCCCTCCCCCAACACTGGGGATTACAATTCAACATGAGATTTGGGTGGGGACACAGAGCCAAACCATATCACCTCATATATATATCCTCTACGCACCTATGCTTCCTTCTTTTGATCCTTGAATGGTTTCATTTTCTAAATTTAGTACTCCTATATATTTTGAGTTTATCTTGATAACCTTGTGACAACATGACATACAGACACAAATTTATCTTTTCCCAAGTTCTATCAGTTGTCCCAACACCATTTATTTAAAAAATTCATTTTTTCCTCAATGACTTTTGCTGTCACTTTATTACATACCAGATTTCCATATGCATTTGGGTATATTTCTGGGCTTTTTATACTCTTCCATCATTTTATCTATTTAAATACAACATTACACCATTTTAATTATAGAAGTTCTACAGTATATTTTAATATCTGGTAAGGGGCAAGTCCCTCCCCTCAACCCTTATTGCTTATTGGTAGAAGACTTTTAGAAGGAAGTTTTCTGGATGCTGATTTTTTAAAGTTATCTCAATAAATAGTTCTGATAAATGTGATCTTTTCCCTAGAGCTGAAATATGCTAATACCGTGATGCGCTTTGATTACGTCTGGCTTCGAGACCACTGCCGCTCAGCATCGTGCTACAACTCTAAGACTCACCAGCGCAGCCTGGATACTGCCAGTGTGGATTTATGTATCAAGCCAAAGACCATTCGTCTGGATGAGACCACACTCTTTTTCACTTGTGAGTGGACAGGAGACTTGATCTTCTTTGGGGGTACTCTTCTGAAGGACAGTTATTTTGTGGAAAATGGTTTGTTCCTTTCAAAAATAGGTTATTACTTACTTTTCTTTTTTTCTTGTTTTGGAAGGATTTTTTGAAACATTTTATTTTTCTCTTCAAATAAAATTGTTACAATCCACAGCTAACATTATACTTAATAGTGAGACTTAATGCTTTCCCTCTAAGACAGGGAACATGGCAAGGATGCCCATTCTTACCACTATTATTTAACATCCACTCTCACCACTCTTATTTATCATAGTACTGAAAATTCTATTATAGTAAGTCAAGAAAAATTAATAAAATTCATACATAAAACTCTTTATTTGCAGATACATGACATCCTAACATAGACTACCTCAAGTAATCTATAATAAAACCGTGAAAACTAATAAATGAGTTCAGTAAGGTCAGAGGACACAAGATCAACACACAAAAATCAATCATATTTCTATATACTTAAACATGCAGAAACTGAAATGAAAAATGACCATTTCAAAAATAGCTTCAAATAAATTTAAATATTTAGGTATAATCTAACAAAATATGTATAGGATCTGTATGATAAAAATTATTAAATGCTGATGAAAGAAATCAAAGAAGACATAAATACATGGAGAAACAAATCATGTTCATGGATTGGAAGACTCAACATAGTAATGATGTCAGTTTTCTCCAAATTGATCTATAGTTTTAATGCAATTCCTGTCAAAATATAAGCAAGATTTTTTTTATAATTATAAACAAGCTTGCTCTAAAATTTAAATGGAAATATACAGGCCCTAGGAGAGGCAAAACAATTTTGAAAATGAAGAATTAAGTGGGAAGAAATCACTTCCAGACTGCAGTAATCAAGACAATGTGGTATTGGTGGAGGGACAGATACATAGATCAATGGAATAGAATAGAGAACCCAGAAATAGATCCACAGAAATATAGTCAACTTATCTTTGGCAAAAGTGCAAAAGTCATTCAATAGAGGAAGGATAATCTTTTCAGTAATTGGTACCAGAGCAATTGGACATCCATAATGAAAAAATAAAAGAACCTCAACTCAAGTCTCACACCTTATATAAAAAAAAAATCATAGTAGATTGCGGACTTAAACGTAAAACATAAAACTATAAAACTTCAAGAAAAGAACATATGAGAACATCTTAAGGTCCTGACTGGCGCTAGGACTAAATAACTCTTAAAACTCAGCAGAAAAACAAGCAATACAATTTAAAAATGGATAAAAGATATGCTCAGACATTTTCCTGAATAGGATATACAGATGGCGAATAAACACATGAAAAGATGTTCAACATTATTAGCTGTTACAGAAATGAAAGTTAGTATCACAATGAGATTGCACTACATACCTATCAGAATGACTACATTAAAAAACAGTGACTACACCAAATACTAGAGAAGATGCAGAGAAATTCTATCACTCATACATTGCTTATGGGAATGTAAAATGGTACACTCTGGAAAACAGTTTGGTAATTTCTTAAAAAAAAAAAACTAAACATGCAACCCAGAAATCACACTTCTGGGCATTTATCCCGAAGAAATGAAAACTTATGTTCACATAAAACCCTGTACATTAATGTTCACATCAGCCTTATTTGTAATAGCCAAGAATTGGAAACTACCCAATGGGTTAATGGTTAAACAAACCATCCATACAATAAAATCCTACTCAGCAACTTTATTGGAACTAGTTCGATACATAACTTGGAAGAACCTCAATTACATTATGCTGAAGTGAAAAAGCCAATCTGCATGATTTCATGTTTGTAACAGTCATGAAATAACATAATTATAGAGGTAGAGAACAGATTATTGGTGTCCAGGAGTTAGGGATTCGGGGGTAGGAGGTGGCGGATGTAGCTGTAAAAGGGTAACACGAAGGAGTCATATGGTTGAGTATCTTGATTTTGGTGGTGGTTACACAAAGTTACACATGTAATTACACTGCATAGAGCTATGCACACAAATGAATATATGTTTAACTGGTTAAATCTGAATAAGCCCAATGGATTGTACCAATACCACTTTCTTGGTTTGGGTATTGTAGTGTGGTTATATAACAAGTTAACATCAAGGAAGGGGAAGAGCTCATGGGACTTTCCTACACATTTCTTTTCAACATCCTGTGAATCTATTATCTCCAAATAAAAAAGTTAAAAGAAAAAGCATTGGAGGAAAAAACATGCTTATGATGCATACATTGACTACTAATTTCTCTACAATAGAAAAAAAATGCCATAGAAAGGTTTATTTAAAAACAGGCAAAATATTAGCAAAATGTATGCCGAAGACTAAATATCCTTAATATGTAAGGTGCTTTTGCTAAATTGTAAGAAAAGTACAATTGTTGGGGGGAGGAGCCAAGATGGCCGAATAGGAACAGCTCCGGTGTACAGCTCCCAGCGTGAGCGACGCAGAAGACGGGTGATTTCTGCATTTCCATCTGAGGTACCGGGTTCATCTCACTAGGGAGTGCCAGACAGTGGGCGCAGGCCAGTGTGTGTGCGCACCGTGCGCGAGCCGAAGCAGGGCGAGGCATTGCCTCACCTGGGAAGCGCAAGGGGTCAGGGAGTTCCCTTTCCGAGTCAAAGAAAGGGGTGACGGACGCACCTGGAAAATCGGGTCACTCCCACCCGAATATTGCGCTTTTCAGACCGGCTTAAGAAACGGCGCACCACGAGACTATATCCCACACCTGGCTCAGAGGGTCCTACGCCCACGGAATCTCGCTGATTGCTAGCACAGCAGTCTGAGATCAAACTGCAAGGCGGCAACCAGGCTGGGGGAGGGGCGCCCGCCATTGCCCAGGCTTGCTTAGGTAAACAAAGCAGCCGGGAAGCTCGAACTGGGTGGAGCCCACCACAGCTCAAGGAGGCCTGCCTGCCTCTGTAGGCTCCACCTCTGGGGGCAGGGCACAGACAAACAAAAAGACAGCAGTAACCTCTGCAGACTTAAGTGTCCCTGTCTGACAGCTTTGAAGAGAGCAGTGGTTCTCCCAGCACGCAGCTGGAGATCTGAGAACGGGCAGACTGCCTCCTCAAGTGGGTCCCTGACCCCTGACCCCCGAGCAGCCTAACTGGGAGGCACCCCCCAGCAGGGGCACACTGACACCTCACACGGCAGGGTATTCCAACAGACCTGCAGCTGAGGGTCCTGTCTGTTAGAAGGAAAACTAACAACCAGAAAGGACATCTACACCGAAAACCCATCTGTACATCACCATCATCAAAGACCAAAAGTAGATAAAACCACAAAGATGGGGAAAAAACAGAACAGAAAAACTGGAAACTCTAAAACGCAGAGCGCCTCTCCTCCTCCAAAGGAACGCAGTTCCTCACCAGCAACAGAACAAAGCTGGATGGAGAATGATTTTGACGAGCTGAGAGAAGAAGGCTTCAGACGATCAAATTACTCTGAGCTACGGGAGGACATTCAAACCAAAGGCAAAGAAGTTGAAAACTTTGAAAAAAATTTAGAAGAATGTATAACTAGAATAACCAATACAGAGAAGTGCTTAAAGGAGCTGATGGAGCTGAAAACCAAGGCTCGAGAACTACGTGAAGAATGCAGAAGCCTCAGGAGCCGATGCGATCAACTGGAAGAAAGGGTATCAGCAATGGAAGATGAAATGAATGAAATGAAGCGAGAAGGGAAGTTTAGAGAAAAAAGAATAAAAAGAAATGAGCAAAGCCTCCAAGAAATATGGGACTATGTGAAAAGACCAAATCTACGTCTGATTGGTGTACCTGAAAGTGATGTGGAGAATGGAACCAAGTTGGAAAACACTCTGCAGGATATTATCCAGGAGAACTTCCCCAATCTAGCAAGGCAGGCCAACGTTCAGATTCAGGAAATACAGAGAACGCCACAAAGATACTCCTCGAGAAGAGCAACTCCAAGACACATAATTGTCAGATTCACCAAAGTTGAAATGAAGGAAAAAATGTTAAGGGCAGCCAGAGAGAAAGGTCGGGTTACCCTCAAAGGAAAGCCCATCAGACTAACAGCGGATCTGTCGGCAGAAACCCTACAAGCCAGAAGAGAGTGGGGGCCAATATTCAACATTCTTAAAGAAAAGAATTTTCAACCCAGAATTTCATATCCAGCCAAACTAAGCTTCATAAGTGAAGGAGAAATAAAATACTTTATAGACAAGCAAATGCTGAGAGATTTTGTCACCACCAGGCCTGCCCTAAAAGAGCTCCTGAAGGAAGTGCTCAACATGGAAAGGAACAACCGGTACCAGCCGCTGCAAAATCATGCCAAAATGTAAAGACCATCGAGACTAGGAAGAAACTGCATCAACTAATGAGCAAAATCACCAGCTAACATCATAATGACAGGATCAAATTCACACATAACAATATTAACTTTAAATATAAATGGACTAAATTCTGCAATTAAAAGACACAGACTGGCAAGTTGGATAAAGAGTCAAGACCCATCAGTGTGCTGTATTCAGGAAACCCATCTCACGTGCAGAGACACACATAGGCTCAAAATAAAAGGATGGAGGAAGATCTACCAAGCCAATGGAAAACAAAAAAAGGCAGGGGTTGCAATCCTAGTCTCTGATAAAACAGACTTTAAACCAACAAAGATCAAAAGAGACAAAGAAGGCCATTACATAATGGTAAAGGGATCAATTCAACAAGAGGAGCTAACTATCCTACATATTTATGCACCCAATACAGGAGCACCCAGATTCATAAAGCAAGTCCTCAGTGACCTACAAAGAGACTTAGACTCCCACACATTAATAATGGGAGACTTTAACACCCCACTGTCAACATTAGACAGATCAACGAGACAGAAAGTCAACAAGGATACCCAGGAATTGAACTCAGCTCTGCACCAAGCAGACCTAATAGACATCTACAGAACTCTCCACCCCAAATCAACAGAATATACATTTTTTTCAGCACCACACCACACCTATTCCAAAATTGACCACATAGTTGGAAGTAAAGCTCTCCTCAGCAAATGTAAAAGAACAGAAATTATAACAAACTATCTCTCAGACCACAGTGCAATCAAACTAGAACGCAGGATTAAGAATCTCACTCAAAGCCGCTCAACTACATGGAAACTGAACAACCTGCTCCTGAATGACTACTGGGTACATAACGAAATGAAGGCAGAAATAAAGATGTTCTTTGAAACCAACGAGAACAAAGACATCACATACCAGAATCTCTGGGACGCATTCAAAGCAGTGTGTAGAGGGAAATTTATAGCACTAAATGCCTACAAGAGAAAGCAGGAAAGATCCAAAATTGACACCCTAACATCACAATTAAAAGAACTAGAAAAGCAAGAGCAAACACATTCAAAAGCTAGCAGAAGGCAAGAAATAACTAAAATCAGAGCAGAACTCAAGGAAATAGAGACACAAAAAACCCTTCAAAAAATCAATGAATCCAGGAGCTGGTTTTTTGAAAAGATCAACAAAATTGATAGACCGCTAGCAAGACTAATAAAGAAAAAAAGAGAGAAGAATCAAATAGACACAATAAAAAATGATAAAGGGGATATCACCACCAATCCCACAGAAATACAAACTACCATCAGAGAATACTACAAACACCTCTACGCAAATAAACTAGAAAATCTAGAAGAAATGGATACATTCCTCGACACATACACTCTCCCAAGACTAAACCAGGAAGAAGTTGAATCTCTGAATAGACCAATAACAGGCTCTGAAATTGTGGCAATAATCAATAGCTTACCAACCGAAAAGAGTCCAGGACCAGATGGATTCACAGCAGAATTCTACCAGAGGTACAAGGAGGAACTGGTACCATTCCTTCTGAAACTATTCCAATCAATAGAAAAAGAGGGAGTCCTCCCTAACTCATTTTATGAAGCCAGCATCATCCTGATACCAAAGCCGGGCAGAGACACAACCAAAAAAGAGAATTTTAGACCAATATCCTTGATGAACATTGATGCAAAAATCCTCAATAAAATACTGGCAAACCGAATCCAGCAGCACATCAAAAAGCTTTTCCACCATGAGCAAGTGGGCTTCATCCCTGGGATGCAAGGCTGGTTCAATATACACAAATCAATAAATGTAATCCAGCATATAAACAGAGCCAAAGACAAAAACCACATGATTATCTCAATAGATGCAGAAAAAGCCTTTGACAAAATTCAACAACCCTTCATGCTAAAAACTCTCAATAAATTAGGTATTGATGGGACGTATTTCAAAATAATAAGAGCTATCTATGACAAACCCACAGCCAATATCATACTGAATGGGCAAAAACTGGAAGCATTCCCTTTGAAAACTGGCACAAGACAGGGATGCCCTCTCTCACCGCTCCTATTCAACATAGTGTTGGAAGTTCTGGCCAGGGCAATCAGGCAGGAGAAGGAAATAAAGGGTATTCAATTAGGAAAAGAGGAAGTCAAATTGTCCCTGTTTGCAGACGACATGATTGTTTATCTAGAAAACCCCATCGTCTCAGCCCAAAATCTCCTTAAGCTGATAAGCAACTTCAGCAAAGTCTCAGGATACAAAATCAATGTACAAAAATCACAAGCATTCTTATACACCAACAACAGACAAACAGAGAGCCAAATCATGGGTGAACTCCCATTCACAATTGCTTCAAAGAGAATAAAATACCTAGGAATCCAACTTACAAGGGATGTGAAGGACCTCTTCAAGGAGAACTACAAACCACCGCTCAAGGAAATAAAAGAGGACACAAACAAATGGAAGAACATTCCATGCTCATGGGTAGGAAGAATCAATATCGTGAAAATGGCCATACTGCCCAAGGTAATTTACAGATTCAATGCCATCCCCATCAAGCTACCAATGACTTTCTTCACAGAATTGGAAAAAACTACTTTAAAGTTCATATGGAACCAAAAAAGAGCCCGCATTGCCAAGTCAATCCTAAGCCAAAAGAACAAAGCTGGAGGCATCACACTACCTGACTTCAAACTATACTACAAGGCTACAGTAACCAAAACAGCATGGTACTGGTACCAAAACAGAGATATAGATCAATGGAACAGAACAGAGCCCTCAGAAATAATGCCGCATATCTACAACTATCTGATCTTTGACAAACCTGAGAAAAACAAGCAATGGGGAAAGGATTCCCTATTTAATAAATGGTGCTGGGAAAACTGGCTAGCCATATGTAGAAAGCTGAAACTGGATCCCTTCCTTACACCTTATACAAAAATCAATTCAAGATGGATTAAAGATTTAAATGTTAGACCTAAAACCATAAAAACCCTAGAAGAAAACCTAGGCATTACCATTCAGGACATAGGCATGGGCAAGGACTTCATGTCCAAAACACCAAAAGCAATGGCAACCAAAGCCAAAATTGACAAATGGGATCTAATTCAACTAAAGAGCTTCTGCACAGCAAAAGAAACTACCATCAGAGTGAACAGGCAACCTACAACATGGGAGAAAATTTTCGCAACCTACTCATCTGACAAAGGGCTAATATCCAGAATCTACAATGAACTCCAACAAATTTACAAGAAAAAAACAAACAACCCCATCAAAAAGTGGGCAAAGGACATGAACAGACACTTCTCAAAAGAAGACATTTATGCAGCCAAAAAACACATGAAGAAATGCTCATCATCACTGGCCATCAGAGAAATGCAAATCAAAACCACTATGAGATATCATCTCACACCAGTTAGAATGGCAATCATTAAAAAGTCAGGAAACAACAGGTGCTGGAGAGGATGTGGAGAAATAGGAACACTTTTACACTGTTGGTGGGACTGTAAACTAGTTCAACCATTGTGGAAGTCAGTGTGGCGATTCCTCAGGGATCTAGAACTAGAAATACCATTTGACCCAGCCATCCCATTACTGGGTATATACCCAAAGGGCTATAAATCATGCTGCTATAAAGACACATGCACACGTATGTTTATTGCGGCACTATTCACAATAGCAAAGACTTGGAACCAACCCAAATGTCCAACAATGATAGACTGGATTAAGAAAATGTGGCACATATACACCATGGAATACTATGCAGCCATAAAAAATGATGAGTTCATATCCTTTGTAGGGACATGGATGAAATTGGAAACCATCATTCTCAGTAAACTATCGCAAGAACAAAAAACCAAACACCGCATATTCTCACTCATAGGTGGGAATTGAACAATGAGATCACATGGACACAGGAAGGGGAATATCACACTCTGGGGACTGTGGTGGGGTCGGGGGAGGGGGGAGGGATAGCATTGGGAGATATACCTAATGCTAGATGACACATTAGTGGGTGCAGCGCACCAGCATGGCACATGTATACATAGGTAACTAACCTGCACAATGTGCACATGTACCCTAAAACTTAGAGTATAATAAAAAAAAAAAAAAAAGAAGAAAAGTACAATTGTTCCAATAGAAAAATGTGAGAAAGGACTGAACAGACAAATCATTAAAGCAGGAGTCAGCAAACATTTTCTATAAAGAGCCAGATGGTAAATATTTTCAAACTTTGTGGGCTATATGAGTGAATGGAGCTATAGACAATATGTAACAACATGGACAGCATGTGTTCTGAAACAGGCATTACAAAACCAAGCACCAGATTTGACTCATCAACCATAGTTTGGTAGTCCCTGCATTAAAGAAACATAGATGTCTAACAAATATAGAAAGTATTCTTATTAGCCTTAGTAAGCAAATAAGTTAAAATTATTACAAGATAGCAGTTCCACTTTAGTTACCAAATTAGAAAAAAATATATTTTAAAAATAAGAATACTCCATTTTGATGGACACATATGTACTGTTGGAGGGAATGAAGATAAGTAGACTTTCTAAAAAGTAATTTGATTATGTATATCAGAACTCTTAAAAGTTTATATCTTTGAAATTTCTAAATACAAAGATACGAACTTTTAAGAAATGTAATATACATTCTATTTCTAAATTATAGAAATATGGTTAAAGATGATCACTAATAAATAATAGGAAATTTTTTAAAAATAAATGTACATACCCAGAATAACAGATGGGTTAGGTAAATCTTGGTAATGTATATTTTGTAAGCTTTAAAAATTAATTTTAATGAAGGTTGAATTTTTAAAATGATAAAATTTAATTTTAAAAATTGTTAAAATGTTAAGTGACAATGGCAGAGTCCCAAATTTTATATATATAAATTACATAAACTATATTTATATACATAAATTACATAAAATAAGAGAATGTACAGAAAAACTGGAAGGAATGATGCCAGGCTGTCAATCATAGTTTCATCTGGGTGATAGAATGATAAACATGGTGACTTTTAATTTCCTCATACTTTTTTATGCTTTCCAAATTATCCAAAGTGTGATACTTTTTTACCAAGGGGAGGGAGGAAAAGAGAGAGAAGTAAAAAGGAGAGACAAGTTGTCAACATAGTCTTTCACTCCTTCTGCTGCTTCCTTTGCTTATCCTGAAGATTTTCTAAAGCATTTCAGGGTTGGTTTTCAACTTTTTTTGGGTGGGGTGTGCACAGCAGGTGAAGCCACTTACAAAGTAATTTTATTGTATTGTGTTGATGTCATATAATTAGACAGCAATGTCCTACATCATGTAGAAGAGGAAGGCAGCATTGAATAGTACTGAACTTGTAGCAGCAAGAAGGTGGGGTTCTAGTTCCACCTATAGTACTTAGTTGTGTGATCTTGAGTGAGTCACTGACTTTTTCTCCATCTGTAAAATAAAGATTAGCCCCTTCTAGCTCAAACATTCTGAGTTCCTATATAGATGGAAGACAGGGATGGGGGCAAGGGGAGAGAGTGCCAAGTAGGCTTGTAAAAGCCTACTTGGATTATCATTCTTTGATGACTTGATGAATTTTCCAGAAGATCTTTTACTATATAACTATAATTCTGTAAACTTATTTAGCCTCTGGGAAGATTTATTTGTTCATTCATTTATTCATGCATACCACTCAAACCACACATATTTCTTTCTCAGAAACATTCTAGGCATTCATTTTAATTTGGTTTCATAAACAATACAGTACTGGATAACTGATTGCTAGGAAAAAGATTCTTAACTAGTTGTAACCAATTACAAATATTGACATTATTTGTAATTATTATAGTGCCTTTTATTTTTCCCCTTAAAAGGGCCAGATGGTCATGTGACTAAATATGATTTGAATTGGCTGGTGAAAAACAGCTATGAAGGGCAGAAACAAAAAGTCATCCAGCCTAGAATACTATGGAATGCTGAAATCTACCAGCAAGCCCAAGTTCCATCGGTAGATTGCCAGAGCTTCTTAGAAACCAACGAGGGACTGAAGAAGTTTCTGCAAAACTTTCTGCTCTATGGAATTGCATTCGTAGAAAATGTCCCTCCCACTCAAGAGCACACAGAGAAGTTGGCAGAAAGGATCAGCTTAATCAGGTAATTCATTTGTTTCCTAAAATCCACAGTATTATAATTAATTTCCAGAGCATGAACACCAATAAATAAATGTAACAGGTATGGTCACCCTCGTTTTCAATCCAGAATATTTTGTAGCATGAATAAGGGACTCTCACTTGCAGTACTTTATTTGAGGTCTGGATTTCTAATCTCTAAATACACTTATGTGTAAAATATAATGATGACTGCAGAGTCATTGGTAATATGTTTCTAGCCCAGTGATCCCAAGTGACAGGTATTATTGTACACTGGAAAAAAACACTGACTGTAAGGAGAACTGGATAGTAGTCTGAGTTCTACCATCAAGTAGTTGTGTGACCATAGGCATGTCCATTACACACACACACACACACACACACCCCCTCGACCCCCACTGTCCTCTATTTTCCCATCTGTTCAATTTGACCTTCTGTGATTCCTGTGGCTTGATTCAGAGACTGATTGTTAATAACACTGCCTTAAAAGGCTATATAGCATTCAGCCAGCACATTCCCACCCATTATTTTCTTTTAATTATTATAGGAACCCTGATCAGTGTGTGTTTTGTCCCCGTTTTACTGCTGAGGCACTGACACTCAAATATACCAAGTGTCTTGCCCAGGAGTGCTCTACTAGTAAACAATAGAACTTGAATTCAAATAGCCCAGGTTTCCTAATCCTAAATACATTGTTTTTTTCATTACCATTACGCACTTTTGGGTGGTATATAGATTGATCTTCTATAGTATTAAGTGTGATGTCAACCTACTTTATTATAATTAGTACTTTCCTTTTACTTAATAAGATCCAGATATAGCTCATTTTGTAGTAGATAGTATGCTGGGTCTTCTTCCCTGTGCTGGTAGAGCATAATCAACAGCATCTGTGAGCCATTCAGTTTGAATCACAGTTTGAGAACTTTCAAGTGAAAGAAACTGTGCTGGTAAGTGATAAATTGAGACAGTTTTAGGGATGATAGTTCAAAAGGAAGAGCATTTCCTATTTGAACTTCAAGGGTTCAGAAAATAAGATGAACTTTGAAAGCTAAAGAATTAAAGTGACCTTTAGTCAGATTTGAGCCGAACAGGAAAATAATTACAAAATCAAAATATATGATGTATACTTCAAGGAGAGACACAACAACAATGGTACAGCAAGTCTCACTAAATACTTGCTAACACAAACTATCCTTTTCTCTTTTCTTTATTCCTCCATGTCCAAAAGATGAGTGAGGATCTACATTAATCACTTCTGTGTCTTATAAATAATATGAGAACTCTTCAGTCATCCTTGCAAATTGGATTATCCAAAATATTAGGAAATGACCACCATTATTGAAAAAATGGTACTAATAAAAGACAACAGCTATAAAAATAGTAAATAAAGTTAGACTTGGAACCAACCCAAATGTCCAACAATGATAGACTGGATTAAGAAAATGTGGCACATATACACCATGGAATACTATGCAGCCATAAAAAATGATGAGTTCATGTCCTTTGTAGGGACATGGATGAAATTGGAAATCCTCATTCTCAGTAAACTATCGCAAGGACAAAAAACCAAACACCGCATATTCTCACTCATAGGTGGGAATTGAACAATGAGAACACATGGACACAGGAAGGGGAACATCACACTCTGGGGACTGTTGTGGGGTGGGGGGAAGGGGGGAGGGATAGCATTGGGAGATATACCTAATGCTAGATGATGAGTTAGTGGGTGCAGCGCACCAGCATGGCACATGTATACATATGTAACAAACCTGCACATTGTGCACATGTACCCTAAAACTTAAAGTATAATAATAATTAATAAAATAAAATAAAAAAATCACTTCCAGAAGCAGCTATATCTTTTTCTGTGAAAGAAAGGTGAGCATAGAAAAGAACCTTGAATTTATGAAGGCTATGAAAACTGGGCACATAATCAGAGTGGGATGATTCTCCAAGCTTTCATAATACAATATTATACTTCCACAGTTTTCTCCCCAACTTTCTAGAATGTTAATAAGTGACAGAATTGTCAAGACTAGCATGTTCAACTGTCATTTTCACCTTATGGATTAAATTCTGGAACCAAAAAAATCTACTGTTATTTGTGAGTAACTAAAGAAGGTATTGGAAGGAGTTTTGAAAGACAAGAATGAACATTTCAAATAGCTAACAGGTCTTTCTTTATTTCAACTAACAGAGAAACCATTTATGGGAGGATGTGGTATTTCACTTCAGACTTCTCCAGAGGTGACACTGCGTACACCAAGCTAGCTCTGGATCGGCACACTGACACTACCTATTTTCAAGAGCCCTGTGGGTAGGTGGATTAGACTTTTACAGTGTAAAGTCTTTATATGTGATAGTCTTGAGTGGTTTCTTAATTATTTTCCATTCTGTTCGAACCAAGATCATATCTGCTCCTGCAGATTTGTATGACTTTCTCTTCCCCTAGAAACATGATCATTTTGAAATACCTTAACTCAGTTTTTAGATTCTGTATTAGGCCATTCTTGCATTGCTATAAATAAATACCTGAGACTGGGTAATTTATAAAAAAAAAAAAGAGAGATTTAATTGTCTCATGGTTCTGCAGGCTATACAGAAAGCATAGCAGCATCTTCTTCTGGGGAGGCCTCAGGGAGCTTCCAATCATGGTGGAAGGTGAGCGGGGAGCAAACAGTTCACATGGCAAAAACAGGAGCAAGTGAGAGAGAGTCAGGGAGGAGGTGCCACACACTTTTAAACAGCTAGCTGTCACAGGAACTCACTCACTATCTGAAGACAGCACCAAGCCATCAGTTATCCACCTCCATGAGCTAAACACTTCCACCAGGCCCTACCTCCAGCACTGGAGATTACAATTCAACATGAGATTTTGGTGGGGATAAATATCCAAACTATATCAGACTCCTAGGAATAAAATATTTTTAAGTTCTCAAAAGAAGACATTTATGCAGCCAAAAAACACATGAGAAAATGCTCATCATTACTGGCCATCAGAGAAATGCAAATCAAAACCACAATGAGATACCATCTCACACCAGTTAGAATGGCAATCATTAAAAAGTCAGGAAACAACAGGTGCTGGAGAGGATGTGAAGAAATAGGAACACTTTTACACTGTTGGTGGGACTGTAAACTAGTTCAACCATTGTGGAAGTCAGTGTGGCGATTCCTCAGGGATCTAGAACTAGAAATACCATTTGACCCAGCCATCCCATTACTGGGTATATACCCAAAGGATTATAAATCATGCTGCTATAAAGACACATGCACACGTATGTTTACTGTGGCACTATTCACAATAGCAAAGACTTGGAACCAACCCAAATGTCCAACAACGATAGACTGGATAAAGAAAATGTGGCACATATACACCATGGAATACTATGCAGCCATAAAAAATGATGAGTTCATGTCCTTTGTAGGGACATGGATGGAGCTGGAAACCATCATTCTCAGCAAACTATCACAAGAACAACAAACCAAACACCGCATGTTCTCACTCATAGGTGGGAATTGAACAATGAGAACACATGGACACAGGAAGGGGAACATCACACTCTGGGGACTGTTGTGGGGTGGGGGGAGGGGGGAGGGATAGCATCGGGAGATATACCTAATGCTAGATGATGAGTTAGTGGGTGCAGCACACCAGCATGGCACATGTATACATATGTAACAAACCTGCACATTGTGCACATGTACCCTAAAACTTAAAGTATAATAAAATAAAATAAAATAAAATAAAATAAAAAGAAAACTCATCTTACTATATAAATGGAGTCCTAATTTTGTTAATTATTAAAATGTAATTTTACATTTTTCAAAGTAATTATAAATTATCCCCCAAAAAAGTATTGCCTAACCATTAGTTTTGGAATTTGTACAGATTTCTTGCATTTAGTTATTAACATATTGCAAAAGGGTCGTCATGCAAACACAGCTGCTTTGAGTATGGCATTAAGAAGAATTTGAATCTGATTTACAAGAAGTTGGAGAGGAGGAATGATGGAAGAATAACTTCTTCACACGGAATAAGATGCTTTTGAACCAAAGATGATACATACTATACTCAATTTTCCTACCATTTGCTCTTCAGTAGAGGCACCTCTGTGGTTATTCCGTGTTCTTGATCTTGCTTCTGCATTTAGATGGTGAGCCTGAGACACAAAGATATGAGTAAAATGAGTGCACATAGATTTATGGAGACTATATGAGAGGATGATAATATGCAATTGCTCATGGTTACACTGATTTCCTTTAAGGGTTTATAACTTAAGAATGTTTGATTCAGGGAAGGAAGAACAAAGCAGCTTTTAGATATCCTGATAAATGTTATCAATATATGGAGAGATCAACAACCCTGCATCCTCATTCTAGTGGATACAGAAGGAAAAAAGAGGAAATGAGATAAGAAGCAGCTGTACAGGGGTTGAGGTTCAAATACTGACTAGCTCTTCCCTTTATGACCAACACCAGAGATAAACAACTGTTTGTGGCTTTAGTTTAATTGTTTGTAATCAATGGCAAGGACCAAGTAAATTAGCAGTATGGTAATAGCACTTAAGAGTTCAGGCTATGGCATCAACCAGACCCAGATTTGCATTCCAGCCTCAACATGTATTAGATTTGTGATCTTGGACAAGTAACTTAATTTCTCTGTACTTCAGTTTCCTCATCTGTAAAATGGGACTAGTAATATAAAACCTATCCATTAGCATTGCTAAGGAATTAAATTATATGATCATATTGCCTGACACAAACTAACCTATCCATTAGCATTGCTAAGGAATTAAATTATATGATCATACTGCCTGACACAAACTAAGTGTTCAATAAATATTAGCTATAATTTTCATCATTTTATTCATTTTAATCACTATCTTCATTGTTATATGCTTTACTCTCTCTAAAGCTATCTTTGCTCTGGATCTCATCCTTTCCAGCTTCCTTGGGGATTTCTCTCTCCTCTATCTTCAGCCTTTCCATACCTATTGACTCCTTCTTATCAGCCTCCCATATCTTAATTCTCTATTTTTGTACTTCCTTGGACTCTATCTCCGTTTAGCTACAGCCATGTTTTTTTCTTCCACTTCATGGCTAAGATTATTAAAAGAATAATAGCTACATTCAATATATTTTCATTCTCACTTCCCATTTACTCCTCAAACCCATAGGCATCTAGTTTTCCCAACCCACCCCTCACCGCAATTAAAGTTACTCTCTCTAACGTCACCAGCAACTAATTGTCATATCCAGTGTGTACTGTCATCTTACTTGATCCCTGAGACATACCATTAACCACTACTAAATTTCTTAAATATTCCTTCTTTCCTAGTTTTCTTCCTATATATCTGACCATTTTTCCTCAGCCTCCTTTGCTGGCTTCTTTTGTCTATTTCCTAAATATTATTCTTCCTCAAGGTTTTCTCCTTATCCCTCTTTTCTTACTTGAAATGATCTCTCCAAACGACCTCTTCCATGCTCTTGGCTTTAGCTATCACTTGTAACAAAATCCACCTCTCTTCCTTAAACATCTTTAACTGGTAACTAAATAACCCTGACCTAGAAGTTTCACAGAAATTTCAATATGGCCAGGCTTACCTTTCTCTTTTTAATTGTATTTATATTATATTAGATTGTCCTTGATTTTACTCCATATTTTTGTTTATTTCTTATTTTAATTTGCTTTTTACTTTTTCTTAGTTTTGCATATTTGATTAAATTACTATTAATTTTATTTTCCCTCATAAGTTTGAAAATTCTACCTTAGTTTTCCAGTCAATTAATAGTCACCTTACCTTTCCCTGTTAACATATTCAGAAACTGTATATGATTAGCTGTTCTAACATGCCTCTAAACTGAACTCCTTCCTCAACCTCTCATACTTCCTCATTATCATTCAACAGCATATCTGTCTGTAATCTCGGTCTTAGTAAATAGCATTATCATTTTTCAGGTGCCCAAGTGAGAAACCTGGAGTTATTCTAGATTCTTGCCTATCCTTCAGTTATCAAATTCTGCTACTTCTATCTCGGTATCTCTCAGGTGTGTCTTCTTCTCTATAACGCCCCTTTCTGAGTTCAAGCTCTCAATATTTTTCTTTACTATTTCAGTTGTTCAAGTTGGTTTCCAAGTTTTTTGTCACGTTGCTTCTCACCAGTCCATGTTCCACACTATCAACATAATGGACTCTTTAAAATATTGATATGGCCGTAGAGTTTCACAGTTTAAAATCATTTTGTGGTTCTCTGTGCTATGCCAATAGGAACTTCTTACTCCTTGTTGTTTTACATTGGTATCTTTGGTCATGCTTTCTCTCCGCCTAGAATGCCTTCTCCTCATCTCAATCTCCTTCTACTCCAATTCTTGCTCATTCTTTAAGATTAGTCAAAACAATTTTCATTCTTCTCCAAAACATTTCTTTATACAACACCCCGCTAGAACAGATCATTCCTTTGTTTATGACCCCACTATATCTTGTATGCAACTTTATTATAGTACCTATCATATTTTATTTGGTATTTATTTGCTTTAGTTCTTCTTACTAGACTATGAGCTTCTTGAAAATATAGGTTATATATTATTCATGCCTGTATTCCCAGGGCCCAGCACATATAAGCTTCAATATATGTTAGATATGTTTAGAAGAAACCTCTAGTGGCATTAATATTTCAAAACACAAAAAAGTACAACTGCCTATGAGAGAAAAACAATTAAGAAATGAGATTTCCAATTAGGAAATGAAAAGAAAATGACAAGTAGTTTCAGTAATCATTTTATATATAATTTCTAGAATTTTGATATGTTCTCTCTTCCACTGAACAGAAGAATTTTCTTTTCTCTCTTTAGCATTCAAGTGTTTCATTGTCTTAAACATGAAGGAACTGGTGGCAGGACACTGCTAGTAGATGGATTCTATGCAGCAGAACAGGTACTTCAAAAGGCACCTGAGGAATTTGAACTCCTCAGTAAAGTGCCATTGAAGCATGAATATATTGAAGATGTTGGAGAATGTCACAACCACATGATTGGGATTGGGCCAGTCTTAAATATCTACCCATGGAATAAAGAGCTGTATTTGATCAGGTGAGTATCAAAGAACTATCCCCAACTGTAATATATTTGCCAAAGATTAGCCTTCTAATGTAACAAAAATCCCTAAGATTCTTATATCTGCTACATTTTAATCTTGCTATTCTATAGCTTTTTATTATCAAACAGTTTGTATTCTTCTTATAATTCCCATGGAATAGTAAATAGCCACCAACCAAAGAATACTAGGTTTATTTTAGGGGTGGGGTCAAATATTAGAGGTAGTATTTTTTAAATGAAAACATTATTAAATGAAAAAGAGTTATTAAATTATCCTCAGTGACCAAACAGCTAGGTTACCCAACAACATTTATGTATCCAGCCCAGATTTATGCAAAGCTCTTGACCTGTGTATTCAATTGACTACTGATATCACAACTTAGATATTTTGTAGAATATAAAACATATCATATTCAAACGTGAACTCATCACTTCTACTCATTTTAAACCTACTTCTCCACTTGTTTTCCCATTTTCATTGAATGGTACCACCATCCACTAAGTTTCCCAAGCCATAAACCAAACATCATATTTAATTTTTCCCTCTCCCTTATATTACACAACCAGTCTTATCAACTCAATCTCCTATATTTTTCTCAAACTATCCCCTGCTTTCTATCTACAATGCCTCTTCTTGCAGTGAGAACACTTTTCTTTCCCATGGCTAAAGTTGTAACTGATGTCCTTGCTTCCATTGTGAGCCCTCTTCCATTAATTTTTCATGCTGAGTCTTATCTTCTGCTCCCATGTTAAGATCCTTCTAAACCTCCCCAGTGTCTTTCAGAGAAAGACTAGAGTCCTTCCTTATGGCTTTTAAGGTTCTGTATGATCTGATCCCTTCTTACTCTTCTAGCATGTAATTCATGTTTTCCATACATTCTTCCCTAGCTATTCCAAACTGCTTTGGGTTTCTGGAGCCCATTATTTTGCATCTTGCAGCCAAGCTTTTTACTATGCATTTTTGCAGATGGATTACCGCTCCTGCTTCTGCTTATTCCAAGCAAACTGTTACTGTGCATTAATTCAGTTTACTCAGCAAATATTTCATGAGCATCTACCAAGAGTCATGCTCTGTTCTTGACACTGCAGATGAAACTGTAGGCACAATAGACAAAAATTCCTGGCCATCTTGGAATTCTCATTATAGTGACGACAGAGTAATTAAAAATAAATAAGCAAATATATAATATATCAAATTGTGATAAGTACTAGGGAAAAACAAAAAAGCAGGGAAGGAGATATGGGGTGAAGAGGCAGGGTGAAGATAGCTGCAAAACTTGACATACTACAAAGAGTACAGGCTTTGTAATCAGAAGGAGTTCAGTGTGAAATCCTGTCTGCCATTTATTGATTTTTGGCCTTGGACAAGTTACTTAACCTGCTAGTCATGAGTTTCCAGTTACAATAATAATACCTTCTGTGCCCACTTGTTGTGAAGTTAAAAATAAATTGTTATCCTTACCTTTACCCCTGGCTTGTAGGAGGAACTGTGTAAATATTAATTTACTTCCCTTGGATAAGTTCCTCTGGGAAACTCTCCCTCTGTTATCTCTCATATATCTAAGTGCCTAAAACAATGAGTAGTAACTCTATTTTCCCAACATTTTATTATGAACATTTCTAAACATATAGAAAAGTTGAAAACATTTAACACAGAAAAGCCATAGACTTACATCTAGATTCTACCATTAAGATATTTCTATACTTGCTTTATCACCTATCTTCCCATCTATTCATTCATCAGTTAATCTTATTTTCAGTGAATTTTAAAGTATAATACATTGCAGATATCAGTACATATCTCCCTAATACTTCAACATTTATATCATTAAGTAGAGTTCAATATTTGCTTACAGCTTTTTAAAGTTACAATGTATATGCAATGATGTTTAAAATATTAAATATACACTCACTGAGTTTTGACCAATGCATATACCTATTTAACCCAAACCCTTATCAAGATATAAAATATTACTATCACTACAGGAAGTACTCTCATACTTCTGCACATACATCTCAGAGGAACCCACAGTTTGATTTTCTTTTACCACTATAGATTAGATTTTTGCCTGTTCTGTTTATCTCTTCTTTTATGAATACACATCTGGACTCTTTCCAGTTTCAGGTTATTATGAATAAAGTTGCTGTGAACATTCATGTAAAAGTGTTTTTTTTAATATGTTTTCATTTTCATTTCACTAAGGTAAATACCTAGGAGTGGAACTGCTGGGTCATAGAGTAGGTGAATGCTTAGTTTCATAAATAACTGCAACAAGTTTTACCAAAGTACTTGTACCATTTTACACTGTCATCAACAATGTATGAATTGTAGCTGTTCCAAGGACATGCCACACTCTTTTAAACGACCAACTCTTGCAATGAATTCAGAGGGAGAACTCACTCATTACTATGAGAGTGGTACCAAGCCACCCATGAAGGACCTGCCCCCATGATGAAAACACCTCCCACCAGGCCCTACCAAAACTTGTTTGCTCTTTGCTTTGTTTGCTTATAATAGTCATTCCAGTGGCTGTGAAGCGGTATCTTACGGTGATATTTTTCGATTTTAAAAATGGATTTAGAGGGTACAAGTGCAGATTTCTTACATGCATATATCGCATCGTGGTGGAGTCTGGGCTTTTAGTGTACCCATCACCTGAAGAGGGAACATTGTACCCAAGAGGTAATTTTTCAACCCTTGTCAACTTCCCACCCTTTTGTAGTCTCCAATATCTATTATGCTACTCTATATGTCCATGTGTACCCATTGTTAAGCTCTCACTTACAAGTGAGAATATGTGATATTTGACTTTCTGTTTCTGAATTATTTTACTTAAGATAACGTACTCCAGTTCCACTCATGTTACTGCAAAACACACGACTTCATTATTTTTTTATGGCTGCATAGTATTCCACGTATATGTAAAATGCAGATGGGTAGATACCCAGTAGTGAGATTGCTGGATCAAATGGTATTTCATTTTTTACCATGTTTAGTTCTTTGAGAAATCTATTTTTAGTTCTTTGAGAAATCTCCATACTGTTTTCCATAAATGTGATAATTTACATTCCCACTAACAGTGCATAAGCATTACTTTTTTCTCCACATCCTCACCAACATCTGTTGTTTTTTGATTTTTAAATAATAGCTATTCTGACTGGTGTAAGATAGTATTGTTTGGTTTTAATTTGCATTTCTCTGATAATTAGTGATATTGAGCATCTTTCATATGTTTGTTGGCCACTTGTATGTCTTTCAAAAAACACCCATTCATGCCCTTTGCCTACTTTTTAATGGCGTTACTTGTTTTTTGTTTTTGTTTTTGTCGTTGTTGTTGTTGTTGAGTTGTTGGAGTTTCTTGTAGATTCTGGATATTAGCCTTTGTTAGATACATAATTTGCAAATATTTTTTCTCATTAGGTAGGTTTACTCTGTTGATTGTTTCTTTTGCTGTGTGGAAGGTTTTTAGCTTAACTGAGTCCCGTCTGTTTATTTTTGTTTGTGTTGCATTTGCTTTTGAGGACCTGGTCAAAAATTCTTTGCCTAAGCCAGGCCAATGTCCAGAAGAATTTTTCCTACATTTTCTCACAGGATTTTTACAGTTTCATGTCTAAAGTATAAATCTTTAATCCATCTCGAGTTAATTCATGTATATGGTGAGAGACAGGGGTCCAGTTTCATTCTTCCGCATATGGCTAGCCAGTTTTCCTAGCACCGTATATTGAAGAGGGTGTTCTTTCTCTATTGTTTAATTTTGTCAATATTGCAGAAGATCAGTTGTTAATAGGTACTTTATTTCTGGGTTCACTATTCTGTTCCGTTGGTCTATATGTCTATTTTTATACCAATATCATGACGTTTTGGTTACTATAGCCTTGTAGTATAATTCAAAGTCAGAATGTAATACTTCAAGCTTTGTTCTTTTTGCTTAGGATTGGTTTGGCTATTCAGACTCTTCTTTCGGTTTCATATGAATTTTAAGTTTTTTTAATTATGTGAAAAATTGTGTTGGTAATTTGATAGAGACTGCACTGAATCTGTAAATTGCTTTGAGCAGTGTGGTCATTTTTAATAATATTGGTTCTTTTGATCCATGAGCATGGGATGTGTTTTCATTTATTTGTGTCATACACAATTTTTTCATCAGTGTTTTGTAGTTCCTCTTGTAGAGATCTTTCACCTCCTTGATTAAATGTATTCCTAGGTGTTTTATTTTTTGTGGCTATTGTAAATGGGTTCTTCATTTGGTTCTTAGCTTGAATGATATTGGTGTAGAGAAATGCTACTGTGTTTTGTACATTGATTTTGTATCCTGAAACTTTACTGAAGTTCTTTATCAAGTCTAGGAGTCTTCTGGAAGAGTCTTTTGGAGTTTTATTGTACATTATTTGGGGTTTTCAACATAATGGGGTATATTTTTCTCCTTTATAATATGTATGCCTTTCATTTCTCTCTCTCTCTCCCTCTCTCTCTCTCTCTGTGTGTGTGTGTGTGTGCGCGTGTGCGTGTGTGTGTGCATGTGTTATCGCACTAGCTGGGACTTCCAGGACTAACAGTGAATAGTAGTGGTGAGAAAGGACATCCTTGACTTATTTCTGATTTTAGGGGAAAATTACTCAGTGGTTCACTGTAGGTTTTCCATGGATAGCCTTTATTAGAATAAGGAAATTTCCTTCTATTCCTAACTTGTTGGGAATTTTATCATTAATTAATATTGAATTTTGTTGAATGCCTTTTCTGCATTTATTTATATGATCATTCGATGTTGCGTATTTAGTATGACAATATGATAAAATACATTGATTGATTTTTGAATGTTGAACCAACTTTGAATACCTGGGATAAACTCCACTTGATCTTGATGCATTATCTTTTTTATACATTGCTAGAGTTGATTGGCTAATATCTTAGTAAGAATATTTGTACCTATGTTTATGTGAGATATTGCTATTTTGTTTTTTGCTCGTAATATCTCTGTCTGAGTTTGGTATTAGGATGATGCTATCCTCATAATATGAGTGGGGTCATTTTCTCTCCTTAATTTTCTGAAAGAGACTGTAAAATTTGTATTACATCTTACTTAAATGTTTGATAGAATTCATGAGTGAAATTGTCTGGCCCGGAGTTCTCTTTCTTGAAAAGTTTTAAATTACAGATTCAGTTTCTTTAATGCATGCCAGGCTATTCAGATTATCTACTTTTCTTTGAATTAGTTTGTTTTTTTTTACCATGTGGGTTTAAGAAATTGGTTCATATAAGTTATCAAATATATAGGCATAGATTGATTGTAGTATTCCCCCTCTTATTCTTTTAGTGAGAACATTCAAAATCATCTCTTCTAGCTATTTTGAACTATACAACATATTATCGTCGACTATTGTCACCCTATTGTGCAATAGAACACCAGAACTTAATCCTCCTATCTAACCATAACTGTAACTTTGTACCCAGTGACCAACCTCTTCCCATCTCTCCTTCCCTCCTCGCCTCCCCTGCCTCTGGTAACCACTGTTCTACTCTCTACCTCTATAACATCAACTTTTAAATTTATATTTATCTTATTTTTATTTATTATTTTTGTGGTTACATAGTAGGTGTATATATTTATGGGTTAGATGAGATGTTCTAATATAGGTATGCAGTACATAATCACATCAGGGTAAAAATGGAGTATCCATCTCCTCAAGCATTTATCTTTGTATTACAAACAACCAAATTATACTCTTTTGGTTATTTTACTTTATTTTATGTTTTATGATTATTATACTTTAAGTTTTAGGGTACATGTGCACAACGTGCAGGTTTGTTACATATGTATACATGTGCCATGTTGGTGTGCTGCACCCATTAACTCGTCATTTAGCATTAGGTATATCTCCTAATGCTATCCCTCCCCCCTCCCCCCACCCCACAACAGTCCCCGGTGTGTGATGTTCCCCTTCCTGTGTCCATGTGTTTTCATTGTTCAATTCCCACCTATGAGTGAGAACATGCGGTGTTTGGTTTTTTGTCCTTGCGATAGTTTGCTGAGAATGATGGTTTCCAGTTTCAGCCATGTCCCTACAAAGGACATGAACTCATCCTTTTTTATGGCCGCATAGTATTCCATGGTGTATATGTGCCACATTTTCTTAATCCAGTCTATCGTTGTTGGACATTTAGGTTGGTTCCAAGTCTTTGCTATTGTGAATAGTGCAGCTATAAACATACGTGTGCATGTGTCCTTATAGCAGCATGATTTATAATCCTTTGGGTATATACCCAGTAATGGGATGGCTGGGTCAAATGGTATTTCTAGTTCTAGATCCCTGAGGAATCGCCACACTGACTTCCACAATGGTTGAACTAGTTTACAGTCCCACCAACAGTGTAAAAGTGTTCCTATTTCTCCACATCCTCTCCAGCACCTGTTGTTTCCTGACTTTTTAATGATCGCCATTCTAACTGGTGTGAGACGGTATCTCATTGTGGTTTTGATTTGCATTTCTCTGATGGCCAGTGATGATGAGCATTTTTTCATGTGTTTTTTGGCTGCATAAATGTCTTCTTTTGGGAAGTGTCTGTTCATATCTTTCGCCCACTTTTTGATGGGGTTGTTCGTTTTTTTCTTGTAAATTTGTTTGAGTTCATTGTAGATTCTGGATATTAGCCCTTTGTCAGACAAGTAGGTTGCAAAAATTTTCTCCCATTCTGTAGGTTGCCTGTTCACTCTGATGGTAGTTTCTTTTGCTGTGCAGAAGCTCTTTAGTTTAATTAGATCCCATTTGTCAATTTTGGCTTTTGTTGCCATTGCTTTTGGTGTTTTAGACATGAAGTCCTTGCTCATGCCTATGTCCTGAATGGTATTGCCTAGGTTTTCTTCCAGGATTTTTATGGTTTTAGGTCTAATATTTAAGTCTTTAATCCATCTTGAATTAATTTTTGTATAAGCTGTAAGGAAGGGATCCAGTTTCAGCTTTCTCCATATGGCTAGCCAGTTCTCCCAGCACCATTTATTAAATAGGGAATCCTTTCCCCATTGCTTGTTTTTGTCAGGTTTGTCAAAGATCAGATAGTTGTAGATATGCGGCATTGTTTCTGAGGGCTCTGTTCTGTTCCATTGGTCTATATCTCTGTTTTGGTACCAGTACCATGCTGTTTTGGTTACTGTAGCCTTGTAGTATAGTTTGAAGTCAGGTAGCGTGATGCCTCCAGGTTTGTTCTTTTGGCTTAGGATTGACTTGGCGATGTGGGCTCTTTTATGGTTCCATATGAACTTTAAAGTAGTTTTTTCCAATTCTGTGAAGAAAGTCATTGGTAGCTTGATGGGGATGGCATTGAGTCTATAAATTACCTTGGGCAGTATGGCCATTTTCACGATATTGATTCTTCCTACCCATGAGCATGGAATGTTCTTCCATTTGTTTGTGTCCTCTTTTATTTCATTGAGCAGTGGTTTGTAGTTCTCCTTGAAGAGGTCCTTCATATCCCTTGTAAGTTGGATTCCTAGGTATTTTATCCTCTTTGAAGCAAATGTGAATGGGAGTTCACTCATGATTTGGCTCTTTTGGTTATTTTAAAAGTATGATTAAATTATTTTTTTACTACAGTCTCCCTGTTGTGCTAGCAAATACTAGGCTTTATTCATTCTTTCTAACTATTTTTTGTACCCACTAACTTTCCCCACTTCCTCCTCACCCTCCCACTAACCTTCCCAGCCTCCCTTCTACTCTCTATCTTCATTTCAATTATTTAATTTTTAGCTCACACAAATAAGTGAGCACATGCAAAGTTTGTCTTTCTGTGCCTGGCTTATTTCACCTAATGTAATGTCCTACAGGCTTATCCATGTTGTCACACATGACAGGATCTCATTATTGGTTATGGCTGAATAGTACTCCATTGTGAATATGCACCACATTTTCTTTATCCATTCATCTGTTGATGGACACTTATGTTGATTCCATATCTTGGCTATTGTGAATAGTGCTGCAATAAACATGGGTGTGTTAGTCAAGGTTCTCCAGAGAGACAGAACCAATAGGATATATGAGAGAGGATTTATGAGGTGTAGTTGGTTCAGATGATTATAGAGATGGAGAAGTCCCACAATAGGCCATCTGCAAGCTGCAGAACCGAAGAAGCTGGTAGCACGATTCACTCCAAGTCTGGAAGCCTCAGAACTAGGGAAGCTGAGAGTACAGACCCCAGTCTGAGGCCAAAGGCCTAAGAGCCCACTGGAGGCTGTGGATGCAAGTCCCAGAGTCCAAAAGTGGAAGAAACTGGAGTCTGATGTCCAAGGACAGGAGGAGGAAAGAAATCTGGCTGCAGAAGGGAGATAGGATGAGCAGAGAGAGAGAATTCCTCCTCTTCTGTCTATTTGTCCCAACCAGGCTCCCAGCTAACAGGACAGTGCACGCCCGCATTGAAAGTGGATCTTACCTGTTGCAGTCCACTGTCTCACACACCAAGCTCCCCTGGAAACACTCTCACCGACACACCCAGGGAACAATGTTTCAACAGCCGTCTTGGCATCCCTCAATCCAGTCAAGCTGACTCGTAAATTGAACCATCACAATGAGAGTGCAGGTATCTCTCCAACATACTGATTTCATTTCCTTTTAAAATACCCAGTAGTGAGTTCTTTGGATCATATGCTAGTTCTATTTTTAATTTTTTGAGGAACCTCAGTACTGTTGTCCATATTGCCTGTACTAGTTTACATTCCCATCAACAATGTATAAGATTTCCCCTTTCTACACATCTTCACCAGCATTTGTTGTTTCTTTAACATAAAGAGTGTAAAATCACTTTATTAGAAAGTTTAACTAATCAGTCACAAATGAACAGCATTTTTGAGCACTAAACAGAGGATTAAAATAATTTCCAAACACTAGAGAAAATTATTGAAAATTCTAATATTTTAGGCTTAAAATATCATTACCCTCATGAAAGCAAAAATCCTATAGATGATATTTTCTAATATATATATATATTCTAAGTACTATGAAATTATAATAGAAATCATCAATTAAAGTGTAACAAGTAATATCTAACCACGGGCAAATTTCTTTTAAGATCACTTTATTATATTTTATGTTATTAAATTAAATTTTGATTTTTTTAATTATTATGGGTAAATAATAGTTGTATATATTTATGGAGTGCATGTGATGTTTTGATACAGGCATACAATATGTAATGATCAAATCAGGATAATTGAGGTATCTATCATTTCAAGCCTTTATTATTTCTTTGTGTTAGGAACACTCCAGTTCTACTCTCTTAGTTATTTTTAAATATACAATAAGTTATTGTTAACTATAGTTGCCTTATTGTGCTGCCAAATACTAGATCTTATTCATTCTCTCTGTGTTTGTACATACTAACCATCCTTACTTTCAGCCTATTTTTTGTCTTTTTAATGATAGCCATTGTAACTGGGGTGAGGTGATATTGTGGTTTTGATTTGCATTTCCCTAATGATTAGTGATGTGGAGCATTTAAAAATATACCCATTTGCCATTTGTCTGCCTTCTTTGGAGAAATGTCTATTCAGAACTTTTGTCCATTTTTAAGGGAATATGTCTTTTTTGGTTATTGAGTTTGAGTTCCTTATATACTCCGGGTATTAATCTCTTGTAGATGCATAGTTTGCAAACATTTTCTCACATTCTGTGAGTTATCTCTTCACTCCGTTGATTGACTGTTTCTTAGAAATTTTCAAATTACGATACATTGTTATTAACTATAGTCATCACATGGAAAAATAGATCACTTGAACTTATTTCTCTGATCTAAAATTATGTATCCTCTGAGCAACATATCCCCAACCACCCAACCACTACTCCACAACCCACCAGCCTCTAGTACCCACCATTCTGCTCTCTATTTCTATGATATCAACTTTTTTTTTACATTACACATATGAGTGAGATCATGCAGTATTGATATTTCTGTGCCTGGCTTATTTTCACTTAATGTTCTCCAGGTTCATCCATGTTGTCACAAATGACAGGACTTTCTTCTTTTTCAAGGATGAATAGTATTCCACTTTTTATGCATACCACATTTTCTCTATATACACTCCCATGTATTCTGCCTAGATTGATTTTATATCTTGGCTATTGTGAATATTTCTGCAAAGAACATGGAAGATATCTCTCGGACATACTGATTTCATTTCCTTTGGGTATATACCCAGTGGTGAGATTGCTGGATGATGTAGTAGTTCTACTTTTAGCTTTTTTTAGAAACCTCCGTATTGTTTTCCATAATGGCTGCACTAATTCACATTCCCACCAACAGTGTGCAAGGGTTCACTTATCTCCACATCCTCATCAACATTGTTATCTTTTGTCTTTTTAATAATAGCCATCCTAAGGCGTATGAGATGATATCCCGTGGTGGTTTTAATTTGAATTTATCTGATTACTAGTGATGTTGAGCACTTTTTCATATACCTCTTGGCCATTTGTATGTCTTCTTTTGAGAAATGTCTATCCAGATCCTTTGCCCATTTTTAAATCAGGTTATTTGTTTTCTTACTATTGAGTTGTTTGAGTTCCTCAAATATTTTAGATATTAACCCCTTATCAGATGTATAGTTTGCAAATACTTTCTCCCATTCTGCAGGTTGTCTCTTCATTCTTTTGTTTCCTTTGCTGTGCAGAAGCTTTTCAGTTTGATGCAATTTCATTTACCTAGTTTTTCTTCCGTTGCTTATACTTTTGGATCATATCCAAAAGGTAATTGTATAGACCAATATCATAGAGTTATACCATGTGTTTTCTTCTAGTAGATTTACGGTGTCAGGTCTTACATGTAAGCGTTTAATCCATTTCTAGTTGATTTTTGTATATGTTGTAAGAAAAGGGTCTAATTTCATTCTTCTGCATGTGGACATCCAGTTTCCCCAGCACCGTTTATTGAATGTATAAGAGTTCTTTTCTCTCCACATACTTGCCAACGTCTGTCATTTTTGGTCTTTGTAATAACAGCCATTCTACAATGGCCATATTCCCATACTGTGGGTTGTTTCTTCACTCTGTTGATTGTTTCCCTTGCCTCACAGAAACTCTTTAGTTTAATCCAGTCTCATTTGTCTATTTCTGGGTTTTGTTTCCTGTGCTTTTGGGGAATAAAATCTTTTCCCAGAGCATTATCCTGGAGAGTCATCCCGAGGTTTTCTTCTAGCATTTTTATAATTTCTATAGCTCCTCCAAGGTCACACACCTGAACTGAGATTGTAATGGTGATCTAACTGAAAGCCTATTTATCTACCTATCTGAAAGCCCACCAGCTTTCACTTACACCACAATACACAAATCCATCAAATGCATCGTCTGCTCAATTATGGAGCTCTCTTGGGAAATACTTGTCTGTCAACTAAGAAGAAGGATAACTTTGTTAAATCTTCCTAGCTTTTCTTGTCAGATAAATGCCTGCTTTATTTGCTTTCCCCTACTCCCACGTCTCTCTTGCTTCATATCAAAGCAGGAAAAAAAGGAAAAACTGCACAATAATATGATGGCATCACTTTGTGCCAAAGTCCAGAAATAGTCTTATTCTAATCCAAAGTATTGCACAACCATTTTGCTTATGTGTAATAGACTTTTCCTGCTACTTTCTCTGTTGGCTTTAGAAAACACCACCATCTAATATAAATAGTGAATACCAAATTCCATGTAAGCTTGGACAAATCACAAGGTCTTATCATTATTTTCCTTATCTATAAAGTAAGACAATAACAGCTGTACTACTTACCTCACGTGGTTATCATGCAGAGGGTCAATCAGATAGTGTATATGGAAACATTTCTAAACTGCAAATCTCAGTTTGAAGTCAAAAGATTGTAAGTGTGATCTGTAAAAATGTTGCTCTCATGAACAAGCGTACACAGGAATTACGATCATTTTTCTGTTCTCTGGTATAAACAATGAGTTAAAGAATTAAGGACACCTGATTTCAAAACCTCTCTGCTACGTATGAACTCTGTGGCAGGTCTCTAAGTTTCAGTTGCCTTAAATGTAAAAGGAGGTTAATAACACCTTTCCTTCTGGGATGATGAAATAAGTAAATTAAATAATATTTTCACAAATGCCTAACCCAGCACTAGAAGTTTCTGGAAATGACAATGGGTGTCAACAGCCTGGTGAAGACTGTGCTTCCTCACTCCATTCTCCCTCCAGGCATGGCTCCTTGAAGCCTGGGAGGATGGACTATTATATTCTTTTTCTTTCTTTCTTTCTTTCTTTTTTTTTTTTTCTTTGAGACAGAGTCTCGCTCTGTCGCCCAGGCTGGAGTGCAGTGGCGCGATCTTGGCTCACTGCAGCGTCCGCCACCCAGGTTCAAGTGATTCTCCTGCCTCAGTCTCCCAAGTAGCTGGGACTACAGGCGCGTGCCACCGCGCCTGGCTAATTTTTTTGTTGTTTTGTTTTGTTTGTATTTTTAGTAGAGATGGGGTTTCGCCATGTTGGCCAGGCTGGTCTTGAACTCCTGGCCTCAGGTGATCTGACCGCTTTGGCCTCCCAAAGTGCTGGGATTACAGGCGTGAGCCATCGCGCCCGGCCTATTTTTGCATTTGATTCTTGCAGTAGCCCTGTGAGATCAGCTAAGCAGATGTTATTATGCTCATTTTATATGCAACAAAACTAAGAATGTTGGCTCTGATTGTGCCATGTACTATCTAACACTAAGGAATATTGCCTGAGATATCCAAAAATGGCACCATTGGATGTTAATTTATCTTTGGAAAGAATATCTTTGGCAGTATCTAGTAAATCTGAGCATACACATACCTTATGATCCATAAGTTCCATTCTTAAGTTTATTTCAAATAGGAGTGAATATATTTGTTCACCAAAAGACATGTAATAGAATGTTCATAACAGCACTGTTTGTAGTAGTTCCAAACCGGAAATTACTCATATGTCCATCAACAGTAGAATGGATAAACTGTGGTGTGATCACGCACTCAACTTCCATATAGCACCAATAAACTATTGCTAAGCAATGATGAAACTCCTAAACATAATATTAAATGAAAGAAGCCAGACACAAAATGAATACATATTGTGATTGCAATTATATAAAGTTTTATATAAACAGGCAAAACTAATCTTTGGTGATAGAAGTCAGGATGGTAGTTACCCGTGGGTTGGGGGATGGGCGTTACTGGAAAGGGGCATAAGGGAGGGTTCTGGGGTTCTGGTAATGATCTGTTTATTGACCTGGGTGCTAGTGATATGGATGCGATTACATCATGAAAATTCATCAAGCTTACGATTTGTGTACTTTTTCCGTAATGTATAGTATACTTCAGTAAAAAGTTAATTTGCCTTAGGCAAAACAGAAACCCATTATCTTAGGCAAGGTTTTTCAGTGGCTTCCCATGGTACTCAGAATAAAATCCAAAGTCCTTACCATGGCCTGCATGGCAATATATACATGATCTAGCCCCTGACTACCTCCTCCACGTAATTTCTCCCACCATTATTCCCCTTGCTTACTCAGCTCCAGCCACGTGACCTTCTTACTGGTCGGCAAACAGAATAAAACTCCATTCCACTCCAAGGCTGTGTTTTTGCTTTTCCCTTTGCCTGGAATGCTCTCCCCTCAGCTTGTTACATTGTTGGTCTCGTATCATACAGGTAACAGCTCAAATGTCGCTTCTTCAAAAAGTCCTTCACTTAACACTCCATGTGAAATAGATTTCCCAGTCGCTCTTTATTATATAACACTATTATTTTTTCATAGCATTTATAGCTAGCTGAAATTACTTTGTTTATGTATTTATTACTTGTTTATCATCTATCTTCCTCAATAGAAGGTAAACTCTGTCCAAAGACTGAGGTCGTGTCTGCTGTATTCGTCCTTGTATCTTTAATGCCTGACGCACTGCCTAGCATGTAGCTGGTGCGCATATAAATGTTAGGGTTGAACGAATGATTGAAGATCCCTGGGTGAATGGTCCACTAGGCTATAGCTGGGATTCCTCCCACAAAGGGAGACACTTAAGTTGTAAGTCATCCTGTTAAAAGGAAAGCTTTGTTAGTACAACCTCTCTTGTCCACCCCACCTCAGCTTGGTGAGGAGAAAGCTCAGCGCTTTCCCCAGTGCTTCCATGACCTTTGGCCAGTAAAGACTTAAAATATCATATCATAAGATGAGAGAAACAGTTGGAACTTAACTTCTATCCCGTATCCTTAGATTATTCAAAGAAAAACAAAACACGGTCAACAGGCAGTGGAACTCCTCACTCCAATGTGATATTCCTGAGAGAATATTGACTTATCGTCACTTCGTCTCTGGGACAAGTATTGAACATAGGGGAAGCCTTATATAAAATTGTTCAATAAACAAAAGATGTCTTTAACATGTGTTTGAGATCTTTCTTCTCATGATTCCATGTTAGGTACAACAACTATGACCGGGCTGTCATCAATACCGTTCCTTATGATGTCGTCCATCGCTGGTATACAGCACACCGGACTCTAACGATAGAGTTGAGGAGACCTGAGAATGAGTTTTGGGTCAAACTAAAGCCTGGCAGGGTGGGTCCTAATCTCTAAAGATGTCAAGCAAGCTTGTAATACTGAAGCAGTGAAGAACGGGTACTTACTTAATATGTGAGTCACGATGTTGCAAAGGAAAAAGAGAAAAGAGTCCTTGGTTTTGTTTATGGTCCTGCCGCCCACTCACTGAATGCTCTGGAAGCAAGCCTCATCCCATCTCTAAGGCATCAGTGACTCTATTTGTATGATGAAGGGGTTTAACTAGATGACCCCCAAGGGTCCTTCCAGCTTCATGATTCCATAGTTTTTATTTTTGGTATTTCCTCTGGATGAAAAATACCTTCAGCTTAGCATAAAATGTCATGAGATAATTTAACCCTTTGAGAAAGGGTAGAATAAGAATTAAAGAAAAAGAAAAAGAAACAAACCAATTATCTGATTTACTTTGATAAGAGAACAATTACTTGAGAAACAGAAGCTCCTCCAGTGCAGGGCCCATTACCTACTGTTGCCTCTGTAACTTCCATTTAGCCTACTACAGGGCTATACACATCTTAGTTTCCAAAAGTTTGTTTAATTTCAAAAGAAAAATATCTCATTTAATGCAACCAGAAAACAACCTAAAGGTTATCTTTTAAATGATCTCTTCTGACTTAGGGTTCCTTTGGTCTGTCCTTCTTCTGACAGTGTTTTCTCTCTCTTTTTTTTTTTTTTTTGGCCCATTCACAGGTCCTATTTATAGACAACTGGCGTGTCCTACATGGCAGGGAATGCTTCACTGGCTACCGCCAACTGTGTGGCTGCTATTTAACAAGAGATGATGTATTAAACACTGCTCGCCTCTTGGGGCTTCAGGCTTAAAATTGACAGCATCTGGATTATGAATACACCTGGCACCCTGGCTACCAGAATTTCATATGGGCAGAATAATATTGTGTCAAACTCTACTTCAGATTGTCTCCTTATCCCATCCCACAAAACAGAATCTGTCCGTTTCTCTAGTAAGGGAGACTTGTTGGAGAGGCGGGACTCTGAGTTATCTAATGTCAGACATCTAGTGGGGCAGCTCTCTTCCTCATGTTATAACATGGATCCACTTGTTTGATTTAAACCTTTTAATATAATTTTGGTCAGTCTCCTTCAGAAATATAATCTCCATATTGATAGGAAAGCAATAATTGCCATGAGGTAACGATTTTTTTCCCAAGTAGATCAGTTAGAAAGAAATGCATTCTAGAAATAACAAAAATCCTGATAAAGCAACAATTTGCAAAATGTTTGGTCTTAGGACACCTTAACACTCTTAAAAGTTATTGAAGGCCCCAAGGAGTTCTTGGGTGTGGGTTCTATCTATTGATACTAATTATTTTAGGTATTAAGACTGAGAAATATTTAAAGCTCAAGAAGAACACAGAAGCACACATCCCTCAGCTATGAGAGAGATGACATAACCATATGTCATGTAGCCTCTGGAAAAGTCCTCTGTATCCTCATGAGATAACGAGAGGGGGAAAAAAAGCTACTACTGCCTTTGTAACTTCCACTTAGCCTACTACAGGGCTATGCACATCTTAGTTTCCAAAAGTCTGCTTAATTTCAAAAGAAAAATGCCTAATTGAATGTAACTCATCTTGGTGTTATTATACAAAATAATTTTTAATCTGCAGACCCACGAAAAGGGTCTCAGGGACTCCTCCAGGGGTCTTCAGACCATACTTTGAGAACCCATGGGCTAGCGACTACCTTGAGACAGTCCTTTACCTAGGCCTGTGGATTAAAGGGTTTAGCTGAAACCCTAGATTCTTCTCTGTAGTCTAATAGAACTCCAAACATTGTAAGAATTGCTTGGTAGCATAAGCTCAGGGATAAGGTGGGAATTGAGTTCAAATATAGTGTTTTATCTTCCACACAAATCATCTCTATAGGAGTTAAATTAGGAAGTCACAACAGCGCCTGTTGAACAAACTCATCAGTGTGGTAATCCTATGAGGGATAATTGCAGAAAGGTTTTAGAGACTTGTGAGGTTCCATATGATAATTCTTTACACCTCCCCCCCCAAGAGAAAGTACACAGGGCTATTCTGTAATATTGTTCAGGGAAATCAGCATGATAGATGCTGTGCCTCCAGAGAGTTCTCTGGAGATTACTACCCAAATGTGTATTTTGGCAATTTGGTGGTATTTAGGATGTAATATGTTTTCCTCCATTTCTGCTAATTTTCTCTCTCTCTCTCTCATAACATACTATACATGCTAATTGCCAAGATTTGAATGAGTCAAATTTAGTAGCTTGCTGCTTTTATTTTTTAAATGGCTTCTTTTACGTATTGGCGGGGGCGGGTGGGGGGCAGGGTATGAGGCTTCTTTTCCCTCAGCTTTCATTGAAAGTGAAGCTGTACAATAACCACATTGACCACTGTAGAATGATGAAAGAGAATATAGGCTAGGATGCACACAAGAGGGGGGAAAAGGCATTATTAGTGAAGATAGGAGTTACAAAGCAAAGCAAAGTCAGTATTCAGATAGAGAATAGAGCCTAATCTGATGTTTGCAGGGAGTTCCTAGATCACATTTGGCAATTTACACATTATTTTATTGACCTATCCAGTGCTCCAAAATGTGTTCCAAAATATTTTGGCATTTTATTTGTACTACATAGGAATCTTTAGGGGAGTCCCTGAAATTTGTTTTCCTCTTAGGTCAAAGGACTGATAATTAACTTTGGTTCTTAAGGAGTATGCCCTTTAGCAATAAGAACAGCAATAACATTTTACCCTGCAGTTTTTTCTCTATACCTACTATTATGCACTCCTAAAATATGTCATCATTAGTCTTCATGAGGATGTTTACCATTTCTGAAGTTTTGCGTAAATTAGCCTTGAAGATTACACTATAACTGAGGTCATCAGCATTGACTTATGGCCAGCAAAGGACATGCTCATGGCCCTGGAGAGATGAGGACACAAAACAAATCAATTTCCCCACTTACTGAAGGACTCCCCTTACCTTCTGTCTCTCCTGAGACCTTGACTCATTAATTATTTTACTCTCCTTTTTGGAAATTTGCAACCGGTCCTTCTCAACAATGTGCTCCCTTTAGTACACTGAAGAAAAAGAGAAGGGGATTATTTGAGTCCTGATCACGATGCATTGAAAACTTCCTATGTGAGATGTTTCTGTTTTTATATCTCTTCCAGGTGTCCCTGAGTATATAAGCATGGGTCTATGTCTACCAAGCTCACTGTAGAGTCACTTTTACCTTTTGCTATGGTGGAATGGGATCTGTAGGGTCAGGAACACAGCACCTAACACAGTGCCTTATGGATAGTAGTTTTATAATACAGATGTGTTGGAAGAATAAATGAATGGGTCCTTTTCAAACAAATTCACCAGAAGTTACCACATTCTCTGTATGTATGTCCTTTTTCGTTTGGCATTTAGCTGACACTGACTTTTGTTTGCTTTCATCTAGAGTGACCAACCATCCTCTTGTGCCCAGAACTACAGGACTTTCCATTTTAAAAGTAGGAGAGTCCCACACAAACCAGGACTGTTGGTCAGTCACCGTACCTTCTTGCTGCTAGATATGTAATTTTCTTTGGTTTTCATCACCGGTTCCCATTTCTTTGAAAGTGTTTGTAGGTCACACACTGTGTAGTCCATGATGAAAAGAACAAAAGATGTATGAATTATGGTGTGTTGTGGTGGTTCCCAAAGTAGGGTCCCCAGACCACCAGCAGTGGCATCATTTGAGAACTCCTTAGAAATGCAAATTTTCAAGGCCCACCCCACGCCTACTAAGTAAGAAACTCTAGGCATGGGTACCAGCAGTTTGTTTTAGCAAGTCCTCTGCAGGATTGTAACACATGACAAAGTTTGAGAACTACTGACAGGAAGAGTCCTGCTGCTGAGTTCTAGGCCCAGTTCTGTCACTGGCTCACTAAATGACTTCAGGCATGTCCCTCTCCTATTTTGAACTTCAGTTTTCTCTTCTGTGAAATGAAAGCCTTGGACTAGGCAGCGTCTAAAGGCTCTGTCACTCCGTAATTGTGTGACTTTGGTAACTTTGTTTGACTTCTCCTTGCTTAAGTTTTCTCATATGGGTATGGTAAGGAAAATACCTACCTCACAGGATTTTCTAACAATTTTGTGATTATTAAGTATGATGACTGATGACTAATATATGACAGCCAGCTCTTACACAGTGCTTTCTATATCCTGGACTGTTGTAAGTGCTTTTAATCCCCGCAACAATCCCATCTCCATTTTACAAATGAAAAATAGAGGTCACACGGCTAATACGTGTCAGAGTTTGGATTAAAACCCAGAAAAATCTGTCCCCAGAGACAATGATTTTAACTAGCATGCCCTTTTGCTCAATAAATGTTAATTCCCTCACCCTTTCCACACACACACAGTCTAGCTGACCATTCATAGACAATAATCCCACTTTCACAGTCCATCCAACAAGATCTTAAAAGAACCATGAGAATCTCTAGGTTTCTTTTGCAAATAGTTTTCAAGCATTTAAAAAAAAAAGGTGGGGGGCGGGGAGGGAGTGGCCAAGATGGCTGACTAGAAGCAGCTAGGGTGAGTGGTTCTCATGGAGGGGAAGGAAAGGGGCGAGTAAATACAGCGCCTTCAACTGAAACATCCAGGTACCCACATTGGGTCTAATCAAGGAAACAACTCGATCCACAGAGAATGAAGAAAAGCAAGGCAGGATGACAGCCCACCCAGGAGCAACATGGAGACAGAGGAACCTCCTCCACCCAGGGAAGTCGTAAGTGAATGTGCGATCCTGGGAAACCACGCTCCTCCCATGGATCCTTGCAACCCTTGGGTCAGGAGATCCCCTGGTGAACCCACTCCACCAGGGCCTTCAGTCTGACACACAGAGATACATGGAGTCTCAGCAGAGTAGCCGCTTGAGCACGTGCAGAGACCCAGCAGCTTTACATACTCCGGCCCTGGGTTTCCCAGCAAAAGTAACTGCAACTCCTGCAAAGCGGGAGATTAGACCCCTGTACATACCCCTAGGAAAGAGGCTGAATCCAGGGGGCCAAGCGGCACGATCTGCGGGCCCCACTTCCACTGCACCTCACAGGATAAGACCCACTGGTTTGGAATTCCAGCCAGCCACCAGCAGCAGTGTTGCACCTACCTGGGACAGAGGTCCCAGGGGGAAGGGCAGGCTGCTCTCTGGGACAGAGCTCCCAGAAGTGGTACCCCAGAACAGCACAGCACAGCTGCTCTTCAGAAGCATGGCCAGACTGCTTCTTTAAGCAGGTGCCCAATCTGTTCCTCCTCACTGGGTGGGACTTTTCAACCAAGGCCTCCAGCAACCCCTACTGGTGTTCTCTGGCTGACAGAGATTTGAATTCTCCCTGGGACAGAGCTCCCGGAGGGAGGGAGGGGCCACCATCTTTGCTGTTTGGGCGACTTAGCTGTTCCGGCCTCCAGGCTTTGGAGAGCCCACACCAACCAGGGGTGGAAGCAGTGCCCCAGCACAGCACAGCTGATCTGTGAAAGCATGGACAGACTGCTTCTTTAAGCAGTTCCCTGATCCCGTTCCTCCTGACTGGGTGAGACCTCCCAACCAGGGTCTCCAGCCTTGTCCTGCAGGCGCATTTGGGCTGGCAACAGGTCTGTACCTCGCTGGGCCGGAGCTCCCAGAGGAAGAGGCAGGCTGACATCTTTGCTGTTTCACAGCCTTCACTGGTGATAGCTCCAGGTACTGGAAAATCCAAGGAGACTAGGAACTGGAGAAGAAGCCCAGCAAAGTACAGCAGCCCTACAGAAACATGGCCAGACTGTTAAAAGAAAAAAAAAATCCAAAGGTCAGCAACCTCAAAGACTGAAGGTAGATAAGCCCACAAAGATGAGAAAGAATCAGTGCAAGAATGCTGAAAACTCAAGAAGCCAGAGTGCCCTCTTTCCTCCAAATGACTGCATCACCTCTCTAGCAAGGGTTCGGAATTGGGCTGAGGCTGAGATGGCTGAAATGACATAAGTAGAATTCAGAATATGGATAGAAATGAACTTCACTGAGTTAAAAGAGTACATTGTAACCCAATGCAAGCAAGCTAAAAATCATGATAAAACATTGCAGGAGCTGACAGACAAAATAGCCCATGTAGAGAAGAATGTAACCAACCTGACGGAACTGAAAAAACACACTACAAGAATTTCATAATGCAATCACAAGTACTAATAGCAGAATAGACAAAGCGGAGGAAAGAATTTCAGAGCTTGAAGACTGGCTTTCTGAAATAAGACTGGCAGACAAGAATAGAGAAAAAAGAATGAAAAGCAATGAACAAAACCTCCGAGAAATATGGGATCACGTAAAGAGAGCGAATCTAAGACTGATTGGTGTCCCTGAAAGAGATGGGGAAAACGGAACCAATTTGGAAAACGCATTTCAGGATATCATCTATGAGAAATTCCCTAACCTAGCTAGAGAGGCCAACATTCAAATTCAGGAAATCCAGAGAACTCCAGGAAGATACTCCACGAAAGGAACATCCCCAACACACATAATCATCAGATTCTCCAAGGTTGAAACGAAAGAAAAAATGTTAAAGGCGGCTAGAGAGAAAGGCCAGGTCACCTACAAAGGGAAGCCCTTCAGACTAACAGTGGATGTCTCAGTGGAAAACCTACAAGCCAGAAGAGATTGGGGGTCAATACTCAACATTCTTAAAGAAACTCCAACCCAGAATTTCATATCTGGCCAAAGTAAGCTTCATAAGCGAAGAAGAAATAAGATTATTTTCAGACAAGCAAATGTTAAGGGAATTTGTTACCACCAGACCTGCCCTACAAGAGCTCCTGAAGGAAGCACTAAATGTAGAAAGGAAAGATGGTTACCAGCCACTCCAAAAACACACTGAAGTACTCAGACCAGTGACACTACAGAGCAAACATGTAAGCAAGTCTGCAAAATAACCAGCTAGCATCATGATGAAAGGATCAAATCCAAACATACCAATACTAACCTTAAATTGTAAATGGGCTAAATGCCCCAGTTAAAAGACACAGAGTAGCAAGCTGGATAAGGAACTAAGATCCAATGGTATGCTGTCTTCAAGAGAACCATCTCACATGCAATGACACACATAGGCTCAAAATAAAAAGATGGATGAAAATCTACCAAGCAAACGGAAAACATAAAAAAGCAGCAGTTGCAATCCTAGTTTCTGACAAAACAGACTTTAAATCAACAAAGATCAAAAAACACAAAGAAGGGCATTACATAATGGTAAATGGTTCAATTCAACAAGAAAATCTAACTATCCTAAATACATATGGACCCAACACAGGAGCACCCAGATTTATAAAGCAAGTTCTTAGAGGCCTTCACAGAGACTTAGACTGCCAGGCAATGATAGTGGGAGACTTTTTAACACCCCACTGACAATATTAGACAGATCATTGAGACAGACAGTTAACAAAGATATTCAGGACCTGAACTCAGCACTGGATCAAATGGACCTGGTGGATATCTACAGAACTCTCCACCCCAAAACAACAGAATATACATTCTTCTGATCACCGCAAGGCACTTACTCTAAAATCGACCACATAATCAGAAGTAAAACACTCCTCGACAAATGCAAAAGAACTGAAATCATGACAAACAGTCTCTTGGGCCACAGAAGAATCAAATTTGAAATCAAGATTAAGAAATTCACTCAAAACCATGCAATTACATGGAAATTGAATAACCTGCTCCTGAATGACTTTTGGGTAAACAATGAAATTTAGGCAGAAATCAAGAAGTTCTATGAAACTAATGAGAACAAAGATACAAAGTACCAGAATCTCTGGGATACAGCAAAGGCAGTGTTAAGAAGGAAATTTATAGCACTAAATGCCCACATCAAAAAGTTAGAAAGATCTCAAGTTAATAACCTAACATCACTACTAAAAGAACTAGAGAAGCGAGAGCAAACAAATCCCAAAACTAGCAGAAGACAAGAAATAACAAAAATCAGAGCTGAACTGAAGGAGACAGAGACATGAAAAACCCTTCAAAAAATGAAAGAATCCAGAAGCTGTTTTTTTTTTCTTTGAAAAAAAGTAATAAAATAGACCGCTAGCTAGACGAATAAAGAAGGAAAGAGAGAAGATTTGAATAAACACAATCAGAAATGATAAGGGGAATATTTATCACTGACCCCACAGAAATACAAACAACCACCAGAGAATATTGTGAACACCTCTGGGCACATAAACTAGGAAGTCTAGAAGAAATGGACAAATTCCTGGACACACACACCTCCCCAAGGCTGAACCAGGAAGAAACTGAATCCCTGAACAGACCAGTAATGAGTTTGGAAATTGAGGCAGTAATAAATAGCCTACCAACCAAAAAAATCCCAGGACCAGATGGATTCACAGCTGAATTCTACCAGATGTACAAAGAGGAACTGGTAGCATTCCTACTGATACTATTTCAAAAAATTGAGAAGGAGGGACTCCTCCCTAACTCATTCTATGAGGCCAGCATCATCCTGAAACCAAAACCTGGCAGAGATACAACAACAAAAGAAAACTTCAGGCCAGTATCCTTCATGAACATCAATGCAAAAATCCTCAACAAAATGCTGGCAAACTGAATCCAGCAGCACATCAAAAAGCTTATCCACCACGATCAAGTTGGCTTCCTCCCTGGGATGCAAGGTTGGTTCAACATATGCAGATCAATAAATGTGACTCATCACATAAACAGAACTAAAGACAAAAACCACATGATTATCTCAATAGATGCAGAAAAGGCTTTTGATAAAATTCAACATCGCTTCATGTTAAAAACTCTCAATAAACTAGGTATTGAAGGACCATGCCTCAAAATAATAAGAGCCATCTGTGACAAACGCACAGCCAACATCATACTGAATGGACAACAGCTGGAAGCATTCCCCTTGAAAACCGGCACAAGACAAGGATGCCCTCTCTCACCACTCCTATTCAACATAGTATTGGAAGTTCTGGCCAGGGCAATCAGGCAAGTGAAAGAAATAAAGGGCATCCAAATTGGAAGGGAGGAAGTCAACCTATCCCTGCTTGCAGATGACATGATCCTATATCTAGAAAACCCCGTTGTCTCAGCCCAAAGGCCTCTTAAGCTGATAAACAACTTCAGCAAAGTCTCAGGGTACAGAATCAATGTGCAAAAATCACTAGCATTCCTATACACCAGCAACAGTAAAGCCGACAGCCAAATCAGCAATGAACTCCCATTCACAATTGCTACAAAAAGAATAAAATACCTAGGAATACAGCTAACTAGGGAGGTGAAAGATCTCTACAAGGAGAACTACAAACCACTGCTCAAAGAAATCGGAGATGACACACAAAAAAATGGAAAAACATTCCAAGCTCATGGATAGGAAGAATCAGTATTAAAATGGGCATACTGCCCAAAGCAATTTATAGATTCAATGCTATTCCCATTAAACTACCATTGACAGTCTTCACAGAACGAGAAAAAAAAAACTATTTTAAAATTCATATGGAACCAAAAAACAAAAAAAGCCCGAATACCGAAGGCAATCCTAAGCAAAAAGGACAAAGCTGGAGGCATCATGCTACCTGACTTCAAACTATGCTACAAGGCTACAGTAACCCAAACAGCATGGTGCTGGTACAAGAACAGACACATAGACAAATGGAACAGAACAGAGAACCGAGAAATGAGACCACACACCTACAACTAACTGATCTTCGACAAACCTGACAAAAACAAGCAATGGGGAAAGGATTCCCGGTTCAATAAATGGTGCTGGGATAACTGGCTAGCCATGTGCAGAAGATGAAAACCGGCTCCCTTGCTTACACTATATACAAAGATTGACTCAAGATGGATTAAAGACTGACATGTAAAACCCCCAACTATGAAAACTCTGAAAGACAACTTAGGCAATGCCATTCAGGGCATAGGCATGGGCAAAGATTTCATGATGAAGACGCCAAAAGCAATTGCAACAAAAGCAAAAAATTGACAAATGGGGTCTAATAAAATTAAAGAGCTGTGCACAGTGAAAGAAACTATCAACAGAGTAAACAGACAACCTACAGAATGGGAGAAAATATTTGCAAACTATGCATCTGACAAAGGTCTAATATCCAGCATCTATAAAGAACTTAAACAAATTTACAGGAAAACAAACAATCCCATAAAAAAGTGGGAAAAGGACATGAACAGACACTTTTCAAGAGGAGACATACATGCAGCCAACAATCATATGAAAAAAAAAGGTCAACATCACTGATCATTAGAGAAATGCAAATCAAAACCACAATGAGATCCCAACTAATATTAGCCAAAATGGCCATTATTAAAAAGTCAAAAAATAACAGATGCTGGCGAGGCTGTGGAGAAAAAGGAATGCTTATACACTGTCTGTGGGATTGTAAACAAGTTCAGCCACTGTGGAAGACAGTGTGGTGATTCCTCAAAGACCTAAAGACAGAAATACCATTCAACCCAGCAATCCCATTACTGGGTCTACACCCAAAGGACTAAAAATCATTCTGTTACAAAGACACATGCATGTGTATGCTCATTGCAGCACTACTCACAATAGCAAAGACATGGAATCAGCCTAAATCCCCAACAGTGACAGACTGGAGAAAGATAATGTGGTACATATACACCATGGAATACTATGCAGCCGTGAAAAAGAATGAGATAATGTCCTTCGCAGGGACATGGATGGAGCTGGAGGCCCTTATCCTTAGCAGACCAACACAGAAAGAGAAAACCAAATACTGCATGTTCTCACTTATAAGTGAGAGTTAAATGATGAGAACATATGGACACATAGAGGGGAACAACACACACTGGGGCCTTTTGGAGGATAGAGGGTGTGAGGAGGGAGAGGATCAAGAAAAACAACTAATGGGTACTAAGCTTAACACCTGGGTGATGAAATAATCTATGCAACAAATCCCCTATGACACAAGTTTACCTATGTAACAAACCTGCACTTGTACCCCTGAACTTAAAAGTTTAAAAAAAAAAAAAAAAGGAGTTAGTGGCTAATAAACTCTAAATAAAGCATTTCAAACTTAAAAGCAAAATCTAGCCAGGTGCCGTGGCTCACGCCTGTAATCCCAGCACTTTTGGAGGCCAAGGCAGGAGGATCGCTTGAGGTCAGGAGTTTGAAACCAGCCTGAGCAGCAAAGCAAGACCCCGTTTCTACAAAAAAATAGAATTAAAAGAAAAGTTAGTTGGGTGGAGTCATGAGTGCCTGCAGTCCCAGCTACTCGGGAAGCTGAGGTGGGAGGATCTCTTGAGCCCAGCAGTTCAAGGCTACTGTGAGCTATGATCACGCCACTGCACTCCAGCCTGGGTAACAGAGCAAGACCATGTCTCAAAAAAAAAAAAAAAAAAAAAATTCATCATTTCTAATTTTGCCTCTTCCAAGAATGGAAGGAAATTAACCTATTCAGTACTGTTTTTTCTCTTGAAAAATACCAGTCAGTTGTTAGGCTCAAAACCCTTTGATAGAACATATCCATATCACTGGCCCCAGGGTGCTCTTGGGCATATTGGAAATCCACTCACTTAGCTCAGCTGTGGATTAGCTCAACTCTTAGTTACGAGACCAGAACATGTCTGCATCCTCACCTCCTTAAGCCTGCAGCTCATCAGAACCAAAGACCCTGGCAGAGTTTGGTGGTAGTTCTTTTTTGTCAGACTTACAGTCAGGGGTTGGTGGGTTTGTGGGTAGCTCCATTCTAGTCCTGGGCTTTAATCTGTGAGTATGGCTTTTGTCTTCCATCTTGCTCAGGGTACTTTGGAACCGCTATACATTGCAGGAGCTTAGCTTCTGGTTACCATGGTTTGCTTCCAGAGCAACAAGCCTAGTACTTCAACATGGAGACAATTATCTTTTGTTTTTGTTTTGTTTTGTTTGTTTTGTCTTGGCCATGCCTTTTTGAGTTTACCTTTTTATATTTTGTCCATCATTGCCATGTGTTTGGAGCAGTGGGCGTTCCATAACATGAACTCACTGTACCATCACGAATGGGAAGTAAGGGGAAACCTTATCCATGTGGATTTTACTCTTCCCTGATTCCCTAAATTGGGTTTGCAAAATACTACTGTGCACTTTCTTGATGATTCGGGCTTATCTTTATGACTGTCTGTTTTTGTGTCAGACTGTAAAGAAGTATAAAAGTCTTTAGCTTGATTAATGCAATCCACGCTTCCTTTCTGGAAAAAAAAGGGGGGGGGCGCGCATTTTTTTACAGTTGCAATAAATCGTCTTAAGCCATGTTGGTGTATATCATATAGATTAGTAGTGGTGTTCTAGCTTACTTTCTGTGTGGGCAGGCAGGCACGGTAATTTATCCCCTGCACGACTAAAGATCACAAGGGCTAATGCTGTGTAAAACTGTGAACTCAGTGAAGGTTTTTCTCTGTTAGCCCCATCTTTCTCCATGGTCTACCCACTGATGGTGGCCACTCCCTCCAATTCAGGTACTCCCTCCAATTCAGGTACTCCCTCTCACCATCTGCTTTCTAACTTCCTCTCTGATGCCTTGACTGAGGCAGTGTCGTGTCACAGGAAGAGCACAAACTTGGAATGATCTGGGCTTGAATTCCATCTCTGACTTTTACTAGCCTGGGAAATTGTGGGAAGTTGCTTTCTTTCCTTGAGCCTGTGTTCCTACATATGCAAAGTGGGGCTAATAAATGCCAGCTAGCTGAAAAATCTATGATGAAGAATGAATCTATACATGTGTATAAAGTGTGAGCAGCACATAAAAAAACACTCAGTACATAGTAGTTGTTTATCATTGTTGACAATATCACTGCTTGAGAGAAGAGGAGGAATCAGGGCTAGGCTGTGTGTTTGACAGGAATCAACATTCTACTTAGGGGGAAGCAGCAAATTTATGACAGGCAGAATTGGAAAAGTATGTGAAAATGTTAGGGGTCAGAGAGAGTAGGCAAGTTGTGAAGCACAGATATATTGGCAAGACATCTGAACTTCTAGGCCGGAGGGTTCCTGGATAGGAAGTTGGCTTGGGGTTTTGGCAGTCCGAAGGCTGAGAGCTGAAAGAACAGAATGGTCAGGGAACAGGTCAGAGAGCCAGATGAGAAAAGCTGAGTCTGGAGAGTTTTAGGGAGAGTGGTGTGGTAATGAAGGTGTGTAGAATCAATGAGACAGGCAGGCAGACACCCATGCTCGTGATGATGCATAGTTAAGGTGGAGCACATACTTCCACATCTAACTTCACCATCTCCCAAAACCCCACTGGAACTGCTACAAATGTGATTTTTGAAAGGATTAGAAGGATAGGAGTGAAGATGAAATAAAAAGGGTTGAAGAACAGGAAAGGAGGCAACAACTAAATTTTGGATGCTGAAGAACAGATGGATGAGTGGCAACTGACTTAGCAGATCCAAGAAGGCCACAAACTAGGAATTCTGAGACCTTAGTGGGAAAAGCAAAAAGCTAACTTGATTTACTCCTCACCCCCAGGAATCTTCAAAGGCTGGACCAAGGTAACTCTGGAAGTGGAGTTACCTCTGGAAGTGAAGGGGGGTGGGTATCAAAATAATGAAGGCTGTTTGAAAACTCTTTTAAGAAGTAGATTCATTGCCAAATCCCCTCCTGCTGTCAATGCCAGTGAGGGGCTGGCCCTTCCCTGCTCTGACAGAAGCCTGGAGTGTTATTCCCTGGAGAGGGTAAAGCAGAGGGTCTCTGGATGGGGAGTTCGCAGACTTAGTTGAGGGCTGGGGTCCTGTACTGAAAACAGGGGTGTTGAGTGGAAGCATGTGTCCTGAAAGCTGTGAACTCCCAGTCTTCTTCCCTGCCCCTGCCCCTAAACTTCTGGCAGCTGGAAGAGTCTTCTGTGAGCCATCTGACCAACCTAAGAGAAAAAGATCTAAGGAGACTCACACTGAAGGCTCCCCAGTAAAGGGCTCACTCAGCTGGGTTACTCCCCGATGAGGTACATATCTTGATACTGTGAGGAAGAAGACACCCATTCAATTGAGGGTACTTATTTTTGGAATAGGAGGAGAGACCTGAGCATTTTAGTTACTGCAAGGAAAGGAGCCAGGCAGAGAAGACGGAGAGATTAGACATTCTTGAGAGAAGAGGTAATTGATGGAGTGAGGCACCTGGGGAGGCAGGATGGGATCGAACCCAGAGCAGGAGTGGAAGTGACAGCCTGAGTCAGAAGAAAGCACCTTCATCTTTCACTGAGATAGGATGAAAAGAAATGAGATCTGGTTATAGACTCAATTTGATCCATTATTATTTTGCAGCCACTATATCCAAGGCGTTGTGTGGGGTAGTGTTCATTCATCCATCCACTCATTCATCCAACATTTTTTGGAGCAACTACTGTGTTCCGGCACTGTGCTGCGTGCTGGAGATACCGAGATAAGTCAGACAAGGTTCCAGTCCTCAAGGAGCTCACAGTCACAGGACGAAAGCAGGCTCACAACATAGGGCAATATGTGCTGTGAAAACTGAGCACAGGGGGCTGTGAGAACACGGAGCAAGGGACACTGTAGAGAAGGGAATGAAGCAGGTATGGAAATGGATATAGAACAAGACATGGACTGCTCTGTGCATTCAAGGGCAGAGAGATCTCATCCAGCAGGGCCCATCTGCAGAGGTTTCATGAAGTTAGGTGGTCTTTGAGTTGAAACCGAGAGGATGCCTAGGGTTTCTTTCAACCTGCAGTGACGTGGGGGTGGGGAACGGGTGCCCACCAAGAGGTGAAAACAGATGCAAAGATCCAGAGGCAGGAAATTGCAAGAGGACATGTTCAGGGTAGAGGGAGAGGCCCTGGTTGAGCACCTGAGAAGCCCCGGTTGAGAGTATGCTGAGGCAAGTGGTAGGAGGTGCAGTTGTGAAGCAGGAATAGGATGAGATGCAAAAAATATCACTGAAGCAACATCACAAATTGCAGCCGGGTTGAACAAATGGATTGTGTAAAAAACACCAGACTGTGAAATGAGAAACCCGATTCTGTTTGAGGCCCAGCTCTGAAACAAACTTGCTCTTGATGTGGTGTGTAGTGACTCAGTTAATGTCTCTGAACATTGGTTTCTTCATCCATCAAGTGGTAGCAGGAACACCTTTCCTGCCTGTCTCATGGGGTTCTCGTGAGGAGCATATAAGTCAGTGTACGAGAAAACACCTTTAAAACAACAACAACAACAACTCTTTAAAGTGCCGGTGCACACACGTGAAGGCTTATTATTGAGGAGACGCTTGTGCTGGGAACACAACCCTAACCCTAACCCTAACCCCTAACCCTAACCAGGGGAGCAAATGTACTGAAATATTCTCCTAAAGGGATCCAACAACATTCCGAAACTAGTTGTTAGGTAACATGGGGAGCGAATCAACTCCTGTTAATTTGGAATGTCTATATGTCAAATTTACATACAATAAAAATAGATTTGTACTATCCTGGCGGTCTACCGATGATAGTACAACAGGAATTATACACACAAAAACATGCAAATGTCCGATTGTTCTTCATTCACTCAACCAACATTCATTGACCATTCTGCTGTGCACTGAGGGCAGGCACGCTGGAGGCCAGACAAATAGAATTTCTGCCCTCAAGATCTCCTTGTACCACGGGAGACACATGTATTAACAGCCAATGTTAACACCAGGTAAGCACAAGGAGTCTGTGGGAGCTCAGAACAAGGGTACCTAAACCAGTCTTTTGCAGCTGAGGTTGTATTAATATGAAGTAGTACCATTGCCCCGATTTTACAGATGAGGAAACTGAGAGTTAGAGAGCAAGTGACAGAGCCAGTACTCTAACCCAGCTGTTTTAATTCTGAATCCAGGGCTTTTTCTGTCTCGCCACAGCTGCCTCTTTTGCTTTGTAAATACTTTAGGTCTAATGCATATGGCAAAAGATAAGTTGTCTTGTGTGTCCCTGCCCATCCTAGACTGCCTGCTCCTTTCCAGAGACAAACAGGAATTTGGGGGTTAGAGCACTTCCGTGTGTCCAAAATGTTATATTTCAGATATAAGTAATAATAATAATAATTAATAATTAATAGTAAAAGTCCTCACCCTATCTATAAGTTCCTTTTGAAAGCTTCTCAAGAGTCCAGGAGTGTGTGTGCACACACGCATGTACGTGTGGGTGTATATGTATGCACGTGTACGTGCACGCATGCAAGTGGGTGCGTGTGCATAGGCGTTTGGAGTAGGGAAGGTTGGGAAGCACTGGCTCCTGCATTTTCAACAAACCTGGATACAGAGAAAATGGAAAATGAGCCCAAACAAAAAGGAACTTGCAGAAGAAGGCAGGTGAAAATAACCAATGAGAGAAAAGAGTTCTCAGGAGACACCAGGAAAGCAGTGTCTGCTGGCCACATCTACTGCTTCACTGGCAGTTCCATTAAAATAAAATATATTCCACTAAAATATATATAGGGAAAGTGGTTTCCTCCATCATGTTCTTCTGGGAATTTTGTGGAAATTTCCTGACGTTGTGTGAGTCATAAAAGGAAAAAGAAATAATTTCCATTTCTGGAAATATTGCAGATTACATAACCCGAAATCCCTCCTTGCTACACAACACCTAAAAAAGCTGGGTAACTAGTGGTCTGTGGTTGCCAAAAATGACATCCTGTGAACATCCGGGAGCCTCAAGCAATCCCAACGCTACGGCAACTGAAAAAAAAAAAAATGAAGGGATTGCACTAAGTAGCTCGTAAGATCCCTTTCATCCATTTCTTTGCACCATATCATTCTTTAGTTCTTGTATTCACTCATTCACTGGAACATTTACTGAGCACTGATTCTATATCAGGTATTGGCTGCGTTGTGTTTTGATGAATACAAAGTTGAAAGGCATGGTCCCTGTATTCAAATAGCTCACCACGTTGTGCAGTGGCTCTTGACCGGAGCTGCACATCTGAATCACTTGAGAAGGTTTGCAACAATGCATATGCCTGCCTTCCTCGCTGCCCTCAAGATTCTAACTTCATCCTGGAGGGAAATGAATAGCCCGGCATTCTTTCTGTGTTGATTTCTGAAACCCAGAGCCTGAAGGGAATTCAAAGTGTTAGACAGCATTCTATAGAAATATGAAAGGGAAAGGATTTCTTCTGGACAGGATAGATCCTCAAGCTCGGGGGAAGGTGCAGAAGAGGCGAGACCTCTGTCATTTCCAAGAGGAGTGGGAACCTGGGCCCTGCTGCCCGACAGCAATGCCAAGGAGAGACGTGGATTGATTTGAGAGGCATTTTGAAGGTAGAGTCCACTGAACTTGGTGTCCAATTAATTGCGAGAGAGGGGTTGAGGGAGAGGAAGTTGTCAAGATGACTCCCAGGTTACTGGTTTGGTCAACTGGGCACACCTTATTCACACAGGGAATATTAGAAGAGGAGAGAGCTTGGAGAGAAGATGTTTTCAGTCTTGGATATATTTGAGTTTGGGGTGCATGTGGAACAGAACATCCAGGCAGGGAAGTCCAAGAGGCAATTGGATACTCTTACCTGAAGCTTAGCAGAGTGTTCAACCTTGTATATCATTTTAAAGTGATTGCATCACTCCCAACCCTCTTAAAAACTTTCTGAGTAAAGCATAATACCAACTTTATACATTTCCTTTCAAAGAGCACACAAAAAAAATCAGTTCTTTGTGCCTCAGGGAAGAGCCACACCCAGTTACCTATATAACCATATTTTGAGTACCACCTCGTGACTTTTCTGCAGCCTTCAGTACCTGCTTTTAAATGGTCACATATAATAAATGCACTAAAAGCAGCCATGTCTCACCACCGTTTGCTTAGGGCAGGATTCCCATCAGCAATGGATCTTCATATTTTTCCACTTCTGAGCCTAGGGAAGAAAAATCCATGAAGGTAACCAGTTCATAAAGTGGCTCTTCTTCCCAAAATTTCTTGTGACATGTGGCTTTGAGCAATTAGGGCTCTTTCAACCCCTAGGCCCTTCCTCACTCATCTTAAGCTGTCATTGAGTGTCTGGCACCCCAAAGCACCAATCTTTCTTTGAGGCTACATATTCATGAAAAGTCTTCCCCCGCCCCCATCACATTCCTCTTCCAGAGAATTTGTGGGAGCTTCTTAGTGCTCTGGGAGTTTTAAAGGGGAAAGCAATTTCCATTTCTGGAAACAGTGCACACTAGATAACCTGAAAACCCTCCTGTTACAAAGCACCTTTTAAAAGGCAGGATAAAATTTAATAAATATTCCTTTTAATGCACATGTGATGAACTTATGGTGGAAGTTGACCCTCAGGTGTCAAAAAACAAAGAGGAACCTAAAGAGCAGATCAATGGGCATTTGAATTTATGTTAGGGTGGTAGGGGAATGGATTCAATAACCACCAGGGAGAGGAGAAAAGCCTTGGTGCCTCACAAGGGCTACACAGTCAGTGAAAGGATGGACTAGGAAAAAAAAGTCTTCCCACCACCATGGTGAGATGACAAGAGAGTTTGTTTCTTCATGGGTTCTGGTGGGAGAAAATAAAATGCTTCCCCTGGTCATTTGTAACTCTAAGGCTATTGTCATGTAGGTCTAGGGTTGGAATTAATACCTCTTATTTAGGTCTTGAAAACCCCAAGCTTACACATTAACATCAAAAAGATAACAGCCAGAGATACACCCCCAGTCAAACCTCATTGAAGTCACACAGATGAAGCCGTTTGAACAAATCCCTAAACTCACAAACAAAATTATAAAACACCTGAGGAAAAAAAAAAACCGCCTGTGATTGAGTATCAGCAAACACAATGATGAGCAGGATTACACTACCAAAAACTTTAGATAATAGAGCCAACCGAGAGTATAAAATAAGTTTGTATAAGATACTTAGAAACAATAAGGAATCCAAACATATGAGAAAGATCAAGATTCTACGGAAAAAGAAGAGGCCGGTTTCTTTCTTTAAGGAACCAAATAGAACTTCCGAAAATGAAAGACATTATTTCCAGTGACAGCAAAAGATCAGAGGATGGGTTTAAAAGCAGATTCATCTGCTTTAGTGAACTGGAAGATAGAAGTAAGGAAATTATTCAGAAGGCAGCAAGGAGAGATAGCAAATGTATAAACGGTTAAGAGATACAGAAAAATGATGCAAAGGTCCAAAAAAACTCTAATAGGAATGACAGAATCAGAGAATAAAGAGAGCAGGGGTAAACCAATAATCAAAAGGATACTGGCTGGAAATTTTCAGATTTGAAAACAGACATAGTTCCTCGTATTCTAAAAGCATGAGCCACAGCAAGAATCAATAAAACTGAATCACAGGGGAACCGGCGCAGGTCAACAAAGAAAAGGGGAAAGATCTTAAAATCAACCAGAAAGAAAAGACACAGTGCTATCAAAGGGATAATAAACTGACAGCAGACTTCTCACCAACTGCAATAAAAATGGAATCATATCACTAATGCATTCGGGGAATGGGGGGAAATGTCATACCCAACTAAACTACAATTCAAGAATGAGTGAAATAAAGATAGTCTTTTTGATATATTTTAAAATATTTATTTATTTATTTGTTGAGACAAGGTCTCACTCTGTCGCCCAGGTTGGGGTACAGTGGTGCGATCATGGCTCACTGCAGCCTCGATCTCATGGGCTCAAGGGATCCTCCTGCCTCAGCCTCCCTAGTAGCTAGGACTACAGGTGTGCACCTCCATGCCTGGCTAATTTTTTTTTTTTCCCCAGTAGCTGGGACTACAGGTGAGCACCACCACTCCCGGCTATTTATTTATTTATTTATTATTTTGTAGAGACAAAGTCTCATTATGTTGCCCAGCCTGGTCTTGAACTCCTGAGCTCAAATGATCCTCCCACCTCGGCCTCCCAAAATGCTGGGATTACAGGTGTGAGCCACTGCACCCAGCCAGTAAAGATATTCTTCAACAAAGGTTGAGAGGGCTGACCACTCACAAACCCTCACTGAAAGAACGACTTAAAGATGTTCTTCCATTAAAAGGAAATTGAACGAAAAGAACAAAGCAAGATGCAACAGAGGAATGGTGAACAAAGAAACTAGTAACCATGGCCATGAGTCCAAAAAAAAAAAAAAAAAGACTGCATAAAAACAATATGACTGACCAAATTATAACTAAATACTGGACAGCACTGACTTGTAAGACAAGGTCCTTGCATTGTTTGCGGTGAAATTGGAGACGATTAAGATTTGATAAAATGAAGTGTTTGCGATTAAAAATAAAAAGACCTTGATAATTTCATATCCGTTAGTGTGGATTCAGATCCATTAGAAAGCTTACATTTATCTAAAACTAACTCCAAGTCAGCCGGAATATATCCCAGGAATAAAAAAATAACCCTTCAAAACCAGAGATTTTGTAACTGAACTCCGGTCCAGGCCATTCATCACCTGAAGGCCAAAAACTCAAAGAGAGGAGCTTTGGTGAAAGGAAAGTTAGCTTTATTTGAGAAGCCAGCAACCGGGAGGAGTCAGTGAACTAGACTTCAGTGATCACCTCTCTGAGTTGTGCCTCTGGATTAGGGTTTTTTAAGGGAAAGCAGAGGAAATAATGATCAAAACATTCTTCTAAAACGTGTTCAGTCTCAGGTGGGCAGTTAATCACTGCTTTCTTGGTCAGTGTTTTGTGACCTTCCACAGGCACCGTCAGCCTATTCTTACCAGGCTGGTCAGCCCCTTCCCAGAGCTGCTGGTTGGCGTGTTTTCTTTTATCTCTGTTGAAGGTCCTGTTTTCCTGAGACTATTTTTAGTGAATAATCTACAAACTCAAGCAAAGCAATAATCACATTCAAGCAAGCAAACTTTTATCTTAACTTGGAGTCAGTAACATTACAATTTATTTGTAAAAGATGGCAGAGTGAAGAAAGATAAAAGAATCTCCCTTCCCCGATCCTACTAAATAAATTAAAAAATAATACATAAATAATGGTAAAAAGCAGAATGAGAAGAAGAGAAGACTAAGGAGGAGAAGAAGAGAAGACTAAGGAGGAGAAGCAGGAGAAGGAGGGAGAGAGGGAGGAAAGTGGCTTCCCAGGAATATATATATATATATTTATATGAATATACATACATGCATTACACATGTATGTATATCTACATGTATATTATATAAGTATTTATATAAATACATGTATATTACATATATAGATACAAATATAAATACATGTATATTACATATATATTTATATAAATATACTTACATGTATATTACATATATATTTATATAAATGTACTTACACGTATGTTACATATATATTTACACCAATATACATACATGTATGTTACAAATATATTTATATAAATATACATACACGTATATTACATATATATTTATATAAATATACATACATGTATATTACATATATATTTATATAAATATACATGCATGTATATTACATATATATTTATATAAATATACATGCATGTATATTTACATGTATTTATATAAATATACATGCATGTATATTTACATGTATTTATATAAATATACATGCATGTATATTTACATGTATTTATATAAACATACATACATGAATATTTACATGTATTTATATAAATATATGTCTATCTATTTATATAAATACATGTATATTTACATGTATTTATATAAATATAAATACATGCATATTTATATAAATATAAATACATAAATATACATGTATATTTATATAAATATAAATACATAAATACACATGTATTTATAGTTATATAAATACATAAATATACATGTATTTATATTTATATAAATACAAAAATATACATGTGTTTATATAACTATAAACACATATATATTTATATAACTATAAATACATATATATTTATATAACTATAGATACATATATGTTTATATAACTATAGATACATATATATTTATATAACGATAGATACATATATATTTATATAACGATAGATACATATATATTTATATAACGATAGATACATATATATTTATATAATGATAGATACATATATATTTATATAACGATAGATACATATATTTTACATATATATTTATATATATTTATATAACTATACATACATACATATTTATATATATTTATATAACTATAAATACATACATATTTACATATATTTATATAACCATAAATACATACATATTTATATATATTTATATAACTATAAATACATATATATTGATATAACTATCAATACATATACATATTTATATAACTATAAATACATATATATTCATATATATTTATATAACTATAAATACATATATATTCATATATATTTATATAACTATAAATACATATATATTCATATATATTTATATAACTATAAATACATATGTATTTATATAACTATAAATACGTATGTATTTATATAACTATAAATACGTATATATTTATATAACTATAAATACGTATATATTTATATAACTATAAATACGTATATATTTATATAACTATAAATACGTATAAATTTATATATATTTATATAACTATAAATACGTATATATTTATATATATTTATATAACTACAAATATGAACATATTTATATATATTTATATAATATAAATACGTATATATTTATATAACTATAAATACGTATATATTTATATATATTTATATAACTATAAATACGTATATATTTATATATAAATCTAAATACGTATATATTTATATATAACTATAAATATGTATATATTTATATATAACTATAAATAAGTATATATTTATCTATGTATGTAACTATAAATAAGTATATATTTATATATTTATAAAACTATAAATAAGTACAAATTTATATATTTATATAACTATAAGTAAGTATATATTTATATATTTATATAACTATAAATAAGTATATATTTATATATATTTATATAACTATAAATAAGTATATATTTATATTTATATAACAATAAGTATATATTTATATACATTTATATAACTATAAATACGTATATATATTTATATAACTATAAATACATATATATTTATATGTATTTACATAACTATAAATACATATATATGTATTTCACTATAAATACATATATATGTATATAACTATAAATACATATGTGTATTTATATAACTATAAATACATATGTGTATTTATATAACTATAAATACATATATGTAGTTATATAACTATAAATACATATATGTAGTTATATAACTATAAATACATATATGTAGTTATATAACTATAAATACATATATATGTAACTATAAATACATATAGATGTAACTATAAATACATATATGTAGTTATATAACTATAAATACATATATATGTAACTATAAATACATATATGTGTAGTTATATAACTAAAAATACATATATATGTAGTTATATAACTATAAATACATATATATGTAGTTATATACCTATAAATACATATATATGTATTTATATAAGTATAAATACATTTATATTTATATATACATATTTATATATAAATATACATATATGTATTTATATCTACGTATTTATATATACAAATATATACGTATTTATACATACAAATGTATACGTATGTATATATACGCATTTATATATATAAATATATACAGATTTATATATATAAATATATGCACATTTATATATAAATATATACATATATAATATATGCACATATATACACATATGTATACATACATACGTATATACATATACATACATATATACATATACATATACATACATATATACATATACATACATATATATGCATATATATAAATATATAGGTATTCATATATACATGTATATTATATAGGTGTTTATATATGTATTTATATATGTATTATATATAGTACATATATATGTATTATTGTACATATATATGTACTATATATTTATAGTACATATATATATATGTATAAATTCTTGTGGGGAGGATGGCTGGTTTAGCACACTTCTCATTCTGTCCCCACCCCCTGGAAGCAATACTGAGGAAAAACAATGTGAGCCAGTCAGATCCTGAGAATGGGATGTAAGGCTCTCTAACTTGAGGAGAAATGGACTGAGAGAATAAGCAGAAAAAAGTAAATACCTTTGTGAACAGAAGCCCTCAACTGCCACTCCTAGATTTCACCAGCGGTAGGAAGGCTCCCAATTCTTTCCATTTTCCAAGACACCGTGCTGAGTTGGGCAAACAAAACAAAACCCTCAGAGTAAGACACACCCTTGCATGGATGGACTAGAGCATGATACATGATATTTAGCAAGATCTTAGAAGAAAAGGTAGATTGAAATCAACATCCCACCTGCCCTCAAATTATCACCCTCAGAATGTTAGAGCAAATAGAACGTCTGACAATGTTTTCCATAATTGAAATAAAAATAAATGGTTTAGCAATGATGCTAACAATCTACAGGGATAGAGGGAGAGGGAAAAGGAGGGAAGAGAGGAGAGAGAGAGGGAGGGAGGAAGGAAGGAAGAAAGAAGGAAGAAAGGAGGGAAAAAGAGAAGAGGGGAGGAGGGAAGGAAGAAAAAGAAGAAAAGAAATAAGGAAATAGAAAGAGAAAGAAAGAAGAAGAAAGAAAAAAGAAAGAAGAAAGGAAGAAGAAAGAGAAAGAAAGAAACCATCATAGTATACAAAAGACAGATAACCATCACAGACTGGAAGAATGCATAAAACAAGGAACAGATGCAACTAACCCTAGAGTTCTCTAAGCCATAGTAAAATTTAAAATATGATTTCAACTTAACAAAGTTTCAAAGACCAGATGATTGGCAACCGAATATGATTTTTTTTTTTTTTTAAAAAAGGAGATTACTGAGCTCAGAAAAGAAACCGAGAACTCAAAGAACCACATGGTGGATCAAAGAAGTAAATTAGGAAGAGCAAGATGCAGAAGAGACATGCACACAAATCGAAACAAGGGCATGGAGGAAGGACTTTAGATGGTCACGCTAATGCTGATCCAACATTAAGATAATTTACATGCCTTAAGTAAAGAGCCTAATAAATGGGATAGAAAAATATCCACAGATGCCATATGTGAAAAGTTTCCAGAAATAAAGGAAGAATTGAACCTGCTCCTCAAAACGACAAAGTCTCTACCATCAAAAATTGATGCAGAACAATCAATATTGAGATATATTCTAGTTGTGTTATGGTACTTCAAAAAAAATTAAAGAATTTCTTAAATTCTTTAAATTAAAGACACCTAAGCACGTGCGCGTGCACACGCGCGCGTGCACACACACACACACACACATCAATTACTTACAAGGGAACAAATTTGTTCCACTTAAATGTAAAAGTAAAATGTAACATCTCCAGAATGTTTCTGCTCCTGGGTGAGATGAAGCATGCACACTCTACTGAATGCAGCTATAAAATGTGGACACAGTGCATGGGCCAGCTATTTGAGGACTCTGAAAAGTAAATGGAAGGAGGCAGACCGGGGAAAGACTACAATTTGAAGCACCACTGAAACAGCAGTGAATTTGACATTTTCCCCCCTTTAGTATCCTTGGCTCAACGTAGCCTGCAAGTTAGAAGTAGACAGTGGTGTGAACAGAGAGAGCTCTGGTTCTGACTTGAGAAGAGGGAAAAGGGAATACTAACCCTCAGCGATAGTTAAGGGAATCCCCAGTTTTTCTTTCTTCTTTTCTTTGTACTTTCATGTTCTAGCCCACAGGCAATCCTGTGGCAGCAGTGGTGGTGACAGAGGCAGTGACAGTGACAGTGGCAGCCGCCAGGGCCTTCAGGTGATTAAAGCTCTGAAGGAAAGTAACCTTCCTCTCTGATTGTAGGTCCCAAAGGGGTGCCCGTGACTTCTTTTTCCCCTCTTTGGTCTTCCTGCCGAATCACACCAGAGGAAGGCAAAGGCACAGGAAGCGTGTGGCAGAGAAGAGTCACTAAAGCGACAGCAACAGCTTCATGGCTACAAGGTTGAAAAGGGGAAGCTGAGGGAAGCAGAAAGTGCTGGGGAGATTGCAGGGAGGGAGGAAGTGCTTGGGAAAGTAAACCCATGAAGCTGTGTATGAGCTTCTGGGCTTACCCCACAAGGTGTGTATGTACAGATGTGATCCTGTACGACATACAAAGGACTTTGAGAACTGCACTGAGTAAGGGATATAGACCTCGCCAGCTCCAAGACTGCTGATCATGCTTAACAGAACCAAATACCATTGCAAAGGCTTTGAAATGGAACTAACAATAAAACCCCCGGTCAGAACATGTGGCCTGAGCCTAAGTGACTGGGGGAAAAATGAGTGGAGACTTGGGGATCTGTGGGAATATGACAAAAGAGCTACCTTTTGTGTCATCATAGTGACAGAAGGAAAGGAGGAAGGGGGTGGGACTGAAAAAGTATTCAAATAAATAATGGCTGGAAGATTCTAAATACGGCAAAAGACACATGCCTGTACATTTAAGAAGCTGAGTGAACCCCAAACAGAATAATCTTAAAGAAACCTACACCAAGAAGCATCACAGTCAAACTTCTGAAAACTAAGGACCTAGGAAAAAAGTCCCAAAAGCAGAGAGAGAGAGAAAGGAAACCTTACCTATACGGGAAAAGGAATTAGAATGGCAATATATTTCTCATTAGAAACCATGGAGGCCAGAGGAAGTGGCATAACACTTCTCAAGTGGCGAAACAAAAGAACCAGAACCCTGTCTACAAAGTGAAATTACCTTCAGGAATGCAGGGGAAATCAAGACATTCGCAGAAGAAGGAAAAGTAAGAGAGATTGTTGCCATCAGACCTACCCTTACCTCTACGCTTAGAGAAGCTTCCTGCATGAGATTCCACTAGGCATGTAAAATGCCTTGGCTGAGCATGACCTGCTCACCAATTCTCTCTAATGTGGACATTTATCATGCTGCCCAGTATTGGGAAGATATGTCTTAGAATTTCTCACGAGCTCCTAGTACAAGTCTGGTCTAGTTTCTGCCTCCAGCCCCTCCACTGAAATTGCTCTTGCCAAGGCCCCCAGCAACACTTGCATTGCTTAACTCAGTGAACAGGTTTTAATGCTTATCATTTTGGAACTCAGCAAGTGTTTCTGAGTTTGTCCCTTCTTCTTCAGTTCCTCTGGCTTCCTTCTGCACCTTTGCTCTCATCTCTTTCTGGCTTGATTATCTTTTAGCGTGCCCCCCCACCCCGCACCAACTTTATCTGTGGAGACACTCCTCTAGTCTTCTTCCAATGATGTTCCTCTTTTGCTTGCCCCTTAAAAGAAGTTGTCCTTGGTCCCCTTATATATTCTATGTGCTCTCCCTGAATGGTCTCAACTACATTCATGGCTTCAAGAACTACCCTGATGAGTCGCAAATCTGTATTTTCAGTATTGACTTCACTCCTGAACTCCTAAGCCAAATCTCCTTCATCTCCATCTGGATATCCCACAGGCATTTCAAATTTCACACGCTCAAGACTGAACTCATCTTCCTACCCATACGCAGACCTCCTCCTTCATCCCATTTGTCCAGGAATGACTCCAAAGTCTGTGGTCACCTCACTCTATCCCTGTGGAGTCATGCTAGAGCTTTTTCACTTCCCCATCGCCACTCCCCTCCCCTGCCAACCAATGCCCCGCTTTTCCAATTGGCTAACTTGTACTCGTTCTTCAAGCTTCATATTGGACACCATTTCTCCAGGAACATTTCCCCAACCCCAAACGTCTGTGTAAAGTACTCCTCTTATGTGTTCCTACAGCACTTTCTTAGTCCATCTGTGTTGCTATAAAGGAATACCTGAGGCTGGGTAATTTATAAAGAAAAGAGGTTTATTTGGCTCATGATTCTGCAGGCTGTACAGGAAACATGGTGCTGGCATCTGCTTGGTTTCTGGTGAGGGTCTCAGGCTGCTTCCACTCATGGCATAAGGTGAAGGGGAGCCGGCAAGTGCAGAGATCACATGATGAGAGAGGAATCAAGGTGGGGTGGGGGGGAGGTGCTACACTCTTTTTTAACAACCAGCTCTTGTGGGAATGAATCAAGTGAGAACTCACTCATTACTGCGAGGCTGGCACCAAGCCATTCATGAAGGATCCACCCCATGACTCAAACACCTTCCATTAGACCCCACCTTCCAACACTGGGTATCAAATTTCCACATGAGATTTGGAGGGGTCAAACAAACCAAACTATAACCAGCACCTTGAACTTCCCCTCTCATAGCACTTATCACAGTATAGTGTTGTCATTGTCTGGCTCCTTGTCTGTATGTTCCGCCAGACTGCATGCAGGGATCTGATCTATATTTCTCGTTGGTGTTGTCTCAATGCTTAACACAGTATACCTGGCACTACCCTTCAATATTTTTTGAAGAATGAGCACATGAATTATCATGTCTCCAGCTAGGTTCGCCAGTATGAGTAATATGTAGTGAGTGTCTACTGTGTGCCATTTTACTACCTAAACTTTTTATGGACTCTGTCCCCTAGTCTTATCTACCAATGCCATTGTCTTAGTTGAGATATCTGTCATTTCTTGACTGGTATAATACAGCAGCTTTCTAATTCCAATCTCAGTCCTCTCTGTTCTATTCTCCACACACAATCCTCTCTGTTCTATTCTCCACACAGCTTCCAGGGTGATATTTCTAGAGGCAAATCAGACCACGTCACTCCCAAGCTGAAAGACCACAGTGGGTTCAGTGTAGCCTACAGGGTATTCTAAAACCTGAGCATGGCATAATAGAACCTCCATGTCTTGGCTCCTGCCTACCTCTTTCCCAGCCACATCAACCACTACTGCTCCACTGGCATCGTACTCTCCAGCCTTAATGAATTGGTTGCAACTCCCCTCCTCCCACCGGTGCCTTGGCTTCTCATCATGCTACAGATTCTTTAACACACACATTGTCCTCCAAGAAGCTTGCCAGATCCACTCCTATTCTTTCAACGAAATGTTTATTGACCACTCTTTATACACTATGACCAAATAGGATTTATCCCACAAATGTAAGGTTGGTTCAACATGTGAAAATCAGTGTATATAATACACCATATTAATGGTTGGTTCAACATGTGAAAATCAATTTATATAATACACCATATTAACAGAATGCATGGCGGAGCGGGGGCGGGGGAGGGGGCTCATGGTCATCTTAATCATGTACAAAAAGGATCATTTGACAAAACGCAGTACCCTTTCATGAAAATAAATTCAACAAACCAGGAACAGAAAGAAACTTCTTCAACCTGATAGAGGGCATCCATGAAAAACCCAGAGATAATATCATACTTAATGGTGAAAGACTGGTTGATTTCCCCCTAAGATCAGGAATGCCACTTGTAACTCAACATTGTACTCAAAGTTCTAGTCAGGGCAATTAGTCAAGAAAAAGAAATAAAAGGCATCCAGATCGGAAAGGAACAAGTAAAACCATCTCTATTCATAGATGCATAGATGGCATGTTCTTATATAGAGGACACTAAAGAGTCCAACAAAAGAAAAAAAAAAAACTGAGACGGTTTGGCTCTGTGTCCCCACCCAAATCTCATGTCGAATTGTAATCCCCACCTGTTGAAGGAAGGGCCTAGTGGGAGGTGATTGAATCATGGGGGCGGACTTCCCCCTTGCTATTCTTCTGATAGAGCGCTCACAAGATCTGATGATTGTTTGAAAATGTGCAGCGCTTCCCCCTTTGCGTGCGTTCTCTCTCTCTTCCTCCTGCTCCAACATGTGAAGAAGGTGCTTGCTTCCCCTTCGCCTTCCGCCATGATTGCACGTTTCCTGAGGCCTGCCCAGAAGCAGAAGCCTTGTACAGCCTGCAGAACCATGAGGCAATTAAACCTCTTTTCTTTAGGAATTACCCATTCTCAGGCAGTTCTTTATAGCAGTGTAGGAACGGACTAATATGCCAACCCTGTCTGAGTATGCTCAGCAAAGCATATTCGGCTCAGCAAAGTTGCAGTATCCAAGATCAATCTGCAACAGTCGGTTGTATTTCTACACCCTAGCAATGAATAACATGAAAATAAGATTAAGGAAATGATTCATTTTACAGTAGCATCGAAACAATAAAATGTCGAGGAATAAATTTAACTAAAGGTGTACAAGATGTATACTCTGAAAATTTCAAGACGTTGCTAAAATAAATTAAAGAAGACCTAAATAAATCGAAAGGCATTTTGTGTTAACGGATTGGGACACTTAATATTGTTAAGATGCCCATAATCTCCAAGGCAATATACAGATTCATCGTGATGCCTGTCAGAATCCAACCTGCCTTCTTTGTAAAAACTGACAAGCTGATCCTAAAATTCATAAGAAAATGTAAGGGGCTCAGATAGCCAAAACAATCTCAGAAAAGAAAAAAGTTGAAGGACTCACACTTCCCAATTTCAAAACGTACTACAAAACCGCAGTAATCCGAAAAGGGTGGTACTGCCATCGTGATCGATACATTAGGTCAATGTTACAGAACTCAGAGTCAGGAATAAACCCATATATTTATGTAAAGTTTATTTTCAGTAAGAGTTCCGGCACCCCTCAATGGGTGGAGGGGAAGAATAATCCCCTCAACAAACTGCGCTGGGACAACTGGATAGCCACATGCAAAAGAAGGCCCCTGGACCCCTACCTCACATCATGTAAAGAATTAATTCAAAATGGATCACAGATCTAAATGTAAGGGCTGAAACTATAAAACTCTAAGAAGAAAACGGAGATGTAACTTTGCACGACCTTGGATTAGGCAACAGCTCCTTCAGTATGACACCAAAGGCAAAGCCACAGATATCTTTTCATTTGGCAAGTTGGACTACATCCAAATGTAAATCTTTTGGGCAACAAAGGGCTCTATCCAGAAAGTGAATGGGAGAAACATTTGCAAGTCACATATCTGATAAGAGTCTATTTTCCAGAATATATGAATAAGTTTTAGAAGCCCACAGCCAAAATACAATCAACCGAATTAAAAAATGGGCAAAGGGCTTGAATAGACATTCCTCCAAAGCAGAGGTACAGAGGGCCAAGAAGCACATGAAAAGATGTCTTAGTCTGTTTTCTGTTGCCATAATTGAATACCCGACACTGAACAATTTATAAAGAAAAGAAATTTATTTCTTACCGTTCTGGGGACTGGGAAGTGACCCGGCATCTGGGGACGGCAGAGGGTATCACACGGCGAGAGGGCAAGAGCGTGTATGTCGTTTCAGGCCTCTCTTCCTATTCTTATAAAGCCACCAGTCGCATCCTGGGGGTCTCACCCCGATGACCTTATCTAATCCTAATTACCGTCTCAGAGGCTGCGCCTCCAATCAACATGTGAATTTGGGGATTAAGTTTCCAAGACACACAATTTGGGGGATGCACTCAAACCACAGCAACATCATTAGCCATTTGGGAAATACGAATGAAAACCACCATGAGATAGCACTTGACACCCAGTAGGATGGCTACTGTAAACAAAACAAAATGAGGCAAACAGAAAACAGGTTTTGATGAGGCTGTGAAGAAATTGGGACTCTCATGCACTACTGTTGGGAATGCGAAAGATTACAGCTGCTGTGGAAATCAGTTTGGTGGTTCCTCAATAAGTTAAACAGAATTACCACACGAGCCAGCAGTTTGACTGCTAGAAATAGACCCAAAAGAACTGAAAAGAGATATTCAAAGAAAAACCTGTAGAGAGATGGTCATGGCAGTGCCACTCACAATAGCCAGAAGGGGGAAATAACCTGTCCATCAACTGACGAGTGGGTAAACAAAATGTGGCCTCCTATTCATACAACAGAATCGTACTCAGTCATTCAAAGGAAGGAAGTAGTGATTCATGCCTCTACATGGATGCACCCTGATGAAACCATTACGCTAAGTGAAAGCAGCCAGACACACACGGCCTCACATTTGGTCGTATAATTCCATCTATAGGAAATCTCCAGAACAGGCTAACCTCTATGGACAGAAAGCAGATGGACTAGGGGTTGCCAGGGACTATCGGGAACGTGTGTATGGGCGGGGGCAGGGGGTGTGTGTGGGAGGGTGTGGGGGCTGGTAGTGGTGGTGTGGAAGGAGGCGTGCGGCAAGTGACTGCTTATAGGTACAGGGGTTTCGGTTTCTTTTCGGGGTGTTGAAAACGTTTTGGAACTAGGTGGTCGTGATGGATGTGCAACATTGTGAAGGCGTGGTACCCGTCCTCCCCTCGCCCACCCCTTTGTCTTTCCCACGGTGTTCCCATCCAGTAGAAAGGGAAAGTTCCCACTGGCAAAGAGAGGGTCACCAGCGCGATTCCCCCTGCCCCGCCCCACCCCACCCCCACGGCCCTCCAGCCACTTCTAGGCCCAGGCCTGCTCCCTCGAGGCCAATGGGAAAGTGATGAGGTCACCTGACGGACGTGTGTCCCTTGTGAGGGGCCGTCACCACATGCGTGCCCGTCGCCGGATGTGCGTGCCCATTGGTCTCGGCTCCCTAGCCAATGAGGGGCTGGGCCCTGGTCGCTAGGATACACAGTACTGGACGCGGTAACTGTCCTCTTGAGAGCCATCTTGCCTAGCTGGGCCAAGCCGAGATAGCACACTCAACGCCCAGCATGCCGAGGAGGAGGAGACGCCGAGGGTCCTCCGGTGCTGGCGGCCGGGGGCGGACCTGCTCTCGCACCGTCCGAGCGGAGCTTTCGTTTTCAGTGAGCCAGGTGGAGCGCAGTCTACGGGAGGGCCACTACGCTCAGCGCCTGAGTCGCACGGCGCCGGTCTACCTCGCTGCGGTTATTGAGTACCTGACGGCCAAGGTCCTGGAGCTGGCGGGCAACGAGGCCCAGAACAGCGGAGAGCGGAACATCACTCCCCTGCTGCTGGACATGGTGGTTCACAACGACAGGCTACTGAGCACCCTTTTCAACACGACCACCATCTCTCAAGTGGCCCCTGGCGAGGACTAGCTTCTGACACCCGGCCCCTGGGACCTGACAGGTCCACTCGTCCACCCACCCGGCCCCAAATCCCCCGGCCTGAACCCCCGGCCTTAAACACCCTCCCCCCACAACCCAGGCCCCAAAGTCTTGGGCCTTCATTAATTCTGTCAATAAAATGTTTCAAGGAAGCCATCTGCCCGCTTCAGTCACTTTGCCTTGGGGTGGGGGTGGGGGGGCGGTGAGATGGGTTGGGGGGTTGTGAGACCTCCACAGCTGGAGGGATGGAGAGGTGGTGGGGGTCTGGGGTTGGGTGGGAGCCAGGGATGGCACAGAGGAGCCGTCTCTCCGGGTGACAGTGCAGGGGAGTGGCCCTGGGTGGGAAGGGGACACCCCCGCTGGTTCTGAGCAAGTCAGGGCCTGCCCGGGAAAGTCCTCAGCATGATGGTGTTCGTTGGGGCGGGTGGGCCTCAAGACCATGACTGCAGTGTTGCGACAGGACGGACTTCTAAGGCAACCGGGGTGGGGACGGAGAGGTGGACCCGGTGCTTGGCAAGGGGCCCTGGACCGGAAGACGGAGGACTGAGTAGTCGGGGCGGGGGGGGGGGGGGGGACAACAGTCCAGAAATGCGCAGACATGGAATTAGGGTCACGAGTTTCCTTTGGGTCATGTTCAGATGGAGAGGCTGTGGGATGCCTTTAGCAACCTAGACCACTTGCATTGCAGCCGAGCTAGCAGCAGCTGGTGCCCCGCCAGGCCCCGCGTACCTTCCCAGGGTCTTGGATCCGCATCCCCGAGACCCTCGATTTGCATACGCCGCTCACAGCCCGGCCAGGCCCCGCCTCCGATCCCGCTCTTTGCACCTCACCAGGGCAAGGGGCAGGCTCGGGCTGGGGAGCCGGCGCGGGCACGGCGGCAGCCCGCCGAGGGGGACGCAGGGCACGTCGCCCCGCCCCGGCCCGCCCGCCAGCTGCGGCGGCGCGTCGGGAAGTGCTTGGGGCGGCGAGCATGGCGGCAGCGGCTGCAGGCCTGGGCGGCGGCGGCGCCGGCCCGGGACCCGAGGCCGGGGACTTCCTGGCCCGCTACCGGCTGGTATCGAACAAGCTGAAGAAGCGGTTCCTGCGGAAGCCGAACGTGGCGGAGGCCGGCGAGCAGTTCGGACAGCTGGGCCGGGAGCTGCGCGCCCAGGAGTGTCTGCCCTACGCGGCCTGGTGCCAGCTGGCGGTGGCGCGCTGCCAGCAGGCGCTCTTCCACGGGCCCGGGGAGGCGCTGGCCCTCACCGAGGCCGCCCGCCTCTTCCTGCGGCAGGAGCGCGACGCGCGCCAGCGCCTGGTCTGCCCCGCCGCCTACGGGGAGCCGCTGCAGGCCGCCGCCAGCGCCCTGGGCGCCGCGGTGCGTCTGCACCTCGAGCTGGGCCAGCCGGCCGCCGCCGCCGCCCTCTGCCTCGAGCTGGCCGCCGCCCTGCGCGACCTGGGCCAGCCGGCCGCCGCCGCCGGTCACTTCCAGCGCGCCGCCCAGCTCCAGCTGCCCCAGCTGCCCCTGGCCGCGCTGCAGGCGCTTGGCGAGGCCGCCTCCTGCCAGCTGCTGGCGCGCGACTACACCGGCGCCCTGGCGGTCTTCACGCGCATGCAGCGCCTGGCGCGGGAGCACGGCAGCCACCCGGTGCAGTCACTGCCGCCGCCCCCGCCGCCGGCACCCCAGCCCGGGCCCGGGGCGACGCCCGCCCTACCGGCCGCGCTGCTTCCTCCGAACTCCGGCTCGGCGGCGCCCTCTCCCGCCGCCCTGGGCGCCTTCTCGGACGTGCTGGTCCGCTGCGAGGTGTCCCGCGTGCTGCTGCTGCTCCTCCTGCAACCACCGCCCGCCAAGCTGCTGCCGGAGCACGCCCAGACCCTGGAGAAGTACTCCTGGGAGGCTTTTGACAGCCACGGGCAGGAGAGCAGCGGCCAGCTTCCCGAGGAGCTCTTTCTGCTGCTCCAGTCTTTGGTCATGGCTACCCACGAAAAGGACACGGAAGCCATCAAGTCGCTGCAGGTGGAGATGTGGCCACTGTTGACTGCTGAGCAGAACCACCTCCTTCACCTCGTTCTGCAAGAAACCATCTCCCCCTCAGGACAGGGAGTCTGATCCATCCCATTCACCCAGTGACTTCTTTTTGCCCAGGCCGGGACTTTTTGCATCAGTCACGTTAACCAGATGACTTTGCCTGTTACCAAACCTCATGCATCCACGTTTGCGTCTGGGGAGGAATAAAAAGACATCGTTCCCGCTTCTGCGTTTTGTTATTCCTACTGCCGCCATAGGAATTATTTCGTTGGCTGAACGTTACCAGCACCCCGAGAACACATTTTGATAGAATCAGAGTAGAGGACATGGCTGTCTTCTAAAAAGCCACGACATGAAAATGACAATCCCTTTCGTCTCCTTCCTCCGCTGCTTCCACCCAACGCAGCCTCCTGCCTCCGCCTTTGTTTCATAGTGAGGATTTTATTTTGCACGGCGCCCTCCCTCTAAATACCTACCCTAGATGATTTCATCCTGCCCCTCACTTCTTAACATATTCCTGTGTCTTTGTAATGGCCAAATTTCTCCTTCCACTCGTCCGCACGGTACGTCTTCATGGGAGTCATTTTATTCCTTACAGCTTCCTTGTAACCACAGCCCTAAATCCATGATAAAGCTACTCTTGTACTCCTCATGTGTGGTTTTGGTGTCCGTCGTCTATAAAATGTGACTCTCTTACCTACTTGTCAGGAGGCCAGCAGCAGAACCAGATAGCTGTTTGGGCTCCAGGATGTATTCGTTCCTTTGAAATTTGCGCTATGCCTCCTATGTGGGCAACGAACCTGCAGAGATCATCTATGATGTGCTCCGTACTCGGGTGACTGCAATGCAGATACATCCAGTGCAGCGGGTCTGGTGCCGATGCATCGATTTGCATTGGAATTCACGGTTCTGGTTCCATTCGCAGAGGTATATGCAGTCTGGATCACAACAGCTTTTATTTGTAATAGGGATTTTTTTTTTTTTTTTTTTTTCCCCCCCCGAGATGGAGTCTCACTCTGTCGCCCAGGCAGGAGCGCAGTGGCGTGATCTCGGCTCACTGCAACCTCCGCCTCCTGGGTTCAAGCGATTCTCCTACCTCAACCTCCAGGGTGCCTGGGATTACAGGCGTGCACCACCACGCTGGGCTAATTTTTGTATTTTTAATAGAGATGGGGTCTCACCATGTTGGCCAAGCTGGTCTCCAACTCCTGACCTCAAATGATCCACCCTCCTCGGCCTCCCAAAGTGCTGGGATTACAGGCATGAGCCACCACGCCTGGCCTGTAATAGGGATTTTGCTGCAACTTTTAGTTAAGTAGGTGAAATCAGAGTGCGTGGCCCTTTGGTGTTGCGCGATCACGTGACTGCAAGGCAGCCTCCGTGTTCCCCCAAAGCAGGATGGCGTTCCGTTTGAGAACACTTAAGTTTCCAAGGCTTTCTGCCTCAAATGGAGCATGCCCCCCAACTACGCTGTTTTCTTATTTATTGCGTCTTTTTAATCCTTTTGATGGTGACAACAAGAACTCTTCAGAATATAGCCTCTTTCTCAAACTTTCAACCCTGGGGAAATGCATCCTTTGGGCCGAAGTTGCACACAATCCTGATCTTCGGGGCTGAGATGTAAGGACACAGTTTGGAGTAGGTGTTTTTGTTTTGCGTCTTTTTGCAGGGGAGAGGTGTGGAGGGTTGTCACTGTGAGTTGAGTGCCTCCAAATGGGTGGGACTTGTAGGGTGTTCTTTTCTGCTTCTATTTCTATTTCGACAGTGTGGAAGTAATGGGAAGCACAGGAGAGGCCCATTCCACCATCATTCCTCTTTCTCTCACTTGGCTGCCAGGAAGGGTCCTACGGAGCCCTGAACGCCTAGCCCAAATTATTGTAAAAGCGGTTGAAGGGCTCATGCTCTTTTGCTCTTTGGCTCTTTCCTGGTATGCTCCTCTTAACCCGGGCTGCAGACCTGGCCGGCTGGCTTCTTGTCAGGTTCAGGAGTTACGGAGCATGACTGGTGACCAGTTTGGGATTTGGGCTTCAGGAGAAGCCTCCTTAGGCCTCTGGTCCAAACTCCTTGCGTCAGGGAGGTGAGGGGAAGGATAACCAGACGGTCAGGTAGTGGGTATCTGAGCATAATTCTAGGAAACACTAAAACTCCTCGTTTTCCATTTGCCGTGGGCTCATTCATGTATCTCCCTCAGAAGCTTAAGAGCAGTGATAACTGGGCCGAGGCCAGATTTCAGCAGTTTTGAGAATTCCCTCGTAATGTATCACATCAGTATCAAAAGTCAACACTGATTTCTAGCATGCCAAAAGCAAATACTTTCAGAGGACATGATTAGTTTGCTTTTTAACTTGAAAACAATTCCAAATTCACACTTAAAACAGTGTAAACCGTCGGAAATGGTGGCAGCGAAGCAGTGAACCCTTAAAGGCTGTTGGGGTTCCCCTTCTCCCCATTGTGAGGTACTCCCAAAAGGATAAATGTTGCTTATGAAAGAATATTTTATACGTGAATAGTACAAAGACAAAGACGTTTGAGAACCGCTACGCCGGAGGAAGGTGGTCAAGACTGAAATTAGCGTGTTAGGCAAGATCTGGTTCCTAGGTGCTGAGGATTCTGGTGCCAAGGATTAATGTTAACCGTGCAGGCATCTCTACCACCGTTAGAGGAGACCAGCAGCCCACAGACTCTTTCTGTCAAGGGCGGGATAGAAATGTGTTAGTCTTTACAGACCACAGGTGGTCTCTGTTGCACAGTCTTCTTTGTTTCTTTGTATGTTTGTCTTTGCAATCCTTTCAACGTGTAAAAACTATTCTTAACTCACAGTCCGTACAAAAGCAGGCTATGGGCCAAATTCTGGGGCTATAGTTTGCCCACCCCTGAATTAGAACCCAGGACATAGTAGTTGCTCAATAACTGTTTAATTTTTTTTTATTTCAATAACTTTTGGCTTACAAGTGCTTTTTGGTTAAATGGATGAATTATATAGTGGTAAATTCTGAGATTTTAGTGCACCCATCACCCGAGTAGTGTACATTGTACCCAATATGTAGTTTTCTTATCCCACACCCTCACACTCTTCCCCCTTGTGTGTCTCCAAAGTCCATTATATCACTCTGTATGTCTTTGCATTCTCATAGCTTAGCTCCCACTTACAGGTGAGAACACAGGGTAATTTGGTCTTCCATTCCTGAGTTACTTCACTTAGAATAATGGCCTCCAGCTCCATCCAAGTTGCTGCAAATGACATTATTCTGTTTCTCTTTATGGCTGAGTAGTTCTCCACGGTGTGTACATACCACATTTTCTATATCTACTCATTGGTTGATTGGTGCTTCGGTTCGTTCTATATCTTTGCATTTGTGAATTGTGCTGAAATAAACATATGTGTGCATTTGTGTTTTTCATATAATGACTTCTTCTCCTTTGGGCAGATACCCAGTAGTGGGATTGCTGGATCGCGTGGTAGATCTACTTTTAGTTCTTTAAGGAATCTCCATACTGTTTCCCATAGAGGTTATACATTCCCACCTAGCAGTGTATGCACCGTCCCTTTTCACCACATCCACGCCAACGTCTATTGCTTTTTATGTGTTTGATAGAATTCACCAGTAATACTATATGGGTCTGAAGTTTTCTTCACAAAAGAAGGTTTTTTGTTCTGATTTTAATTTCTTTAATATCTATAGGACAATTTCCATTTTAAATTTCTTCAGTCACTTTTAGTAACTTGTATTTGTCTATTTATTTTTTTGCATTTTTTGACTGAAGTTGATCTTAATATTTCCTTGTTATACTACCAGCATCTCTAGAGTCTGTCGATATATCCTCTCATTCATTCCTGGGCATATTGAGAATTTGTGTTTCCTCACTCCTTTTTGTTTTTTTTGATTCATTTTGTTGCTGACTTGTCAGAGTATTCATTTCAATGACGCTATTGACTTTTAAAATTTCTTGTGTTTTTAATCTGTTTTGTATTTCATTGATTTCTGCTCTGGTTGTTATTCTTTCTTTCCTTCCACTTCCTTTGGGTTTATTTTTCTCTCGTTTTTCTAGTTGCTTAAGGAAGTTACAAATGTGTTTGAGTTTGAACCTTTCTCCTTTACTAATGTAAGCATTTAAAGCTATAAATTTTCCTTTAGGAACTGTTTTAGTTGCAGTCTATAAATTTTGATGTGTTGCTTTTTTATAATAATATTTCACAATATTGTATGATGTATAATGTGATTTCTTAGATCCACTTAGTTCTTAAAAGTGTATTATTTAATTTCCAATTTAACTTCATGTGGTCAGGGAATATATAAGTTTTCAGTCCTTGGAAATGTATTGAGATTTATGATTTATGGCTCAACACTTGGTTTCATTCAGCCATTTTATGTCTTTTGAACTGGAAAGTTCAATTGATATATATTTAAAATAATTATTGATAAGTGAAAACATATGTATTTGTCCATTTTTATACTGATATGAAGAAATACCTGAGACTGGGTAATTTATAAAGAAAAAGAGGTTTAACAGACTCACAGTTTCACACGGCTGGGGAGGAGCAAAGGCACATCTTTCATGGCAGCAGGCAAGAGAGCATTGCAGGGAAACTGCCCTTTATAAAACCATTGGATTTCATGAGACTTATTCACTATTATGAGAATAGCATGGGAAAAACCCACCCTTGTGATTCAATTACCTCCCACTGGGTCCCTCCCAGGAAACTTGGGGATTATGGGAGCTACAATTCATGATGAGATTTAGGTAGGAACACAGCCAAACCATGTCATTCCACCCCTGGTCCCTCACAAATCGCACGTCTTCACATTTCGAAACCAATCCTGCCTCCCCAACAGTCCCTCAAAGTCTTAATTCATTCCAGCATTAACTAAAAAGTCCACAGTCCAAAGTCTCACCTGAGGCAAGGCAAGTCCCTTTTGCCTATGAGCCTGTAAAATCAAAAGCAAGTTAGTTACTTCCTAGATACAATGGGGGTACAGTCATTGGATAGATACACCTGTTCCAAATGGGAGAAATTGACCAAAACAAAAGGGCTACAGGGCCCATGCAAGTCTGAAATCCAGTGGGGCAGTCAAGTCTGAAAGCTCCAAAATGATCTTCTTTGACTCCATGTCTCACATCCAGTTCACACTGATGCAAGAGGTGAGTTCCCATGGTCTTGGGCAGCTCCACCCCTGTGGCTTTGCAGGGTACAGCCCCCACCACCTCCTGGATGCTTTTATGGTCTGGAGTTGAGTGTGTGAGGCTTTTCCAGGTGCACAGTGCAAGCTGTTGGTGGATCTGCCATTCTGGGGGCTGGATGATGGTGGCCCTCTTCTCACAGCTCCACTAGGCAGTGCCCCAGTGGGGACTCTGTGTGACAGCTCCCACTCCACATTTCCCTTTTGCACTGCCCTAGCAGAGGTTCTCTATGAGGGCTCTGCCCCTACAGCAGGCTTCTACCTGGATATCCAGGTGTTTCCATGCATCCTCTGAAATCTAGGCAGAGGTTCCCAAACCTCAGTTCTTGACTTCTGAGCACCAGCAGGCCCAACACCATGTGGAAGCTGCCAAGGCTTGTGGCTTGCACTCTCTGAAGCAATGGCCTGAGCTGTATGATGGTCCTTTTTAGCCATGGCTGGGACGCAGGACACCAAGTCCTGAAACTGGACAAAGCAGCAAGGCCCGTAAAACCAGTTTTTTTCTCCTAGGTCTCCCAGCTTGTGATGGGAGGGGCTGCTGTGAAGACTGCTGGCATGCTCTGGAGACATTTTCCCCATTGTCTTGGCAATTAACATTTGGCTCTTCATTACTTATGCAAATTTCTGCAGCTGGCTTGAATTTCTCCTCAGAAAATGGGTTTTTCTGTTCTTTCCCATTGTAAGGCTGCAAATTTTCTGAACTTTTCTGCTCTGCTTCCCTTTTAAACATAAGTTTTAATCCCAAATCATATCTTTGTGAATCAGTAAAACTGAATTCTTTTAAGAGCACCCAAGTCACATCTTGAACACTTTGCTGCTTAGAAATTTCTTCCACCAGATACCCTAAATCATCCCTCTCAAGTTCAAAGTTCCACAGATCTCTAGGGCAGGGGTAAAATGCCACCAGTCTCTTTGCTAAAGCATAGCAAGAATCACCTTTGCTCCTGTTCTCAATAAGTTCCTCATCTCCATCTGAGACCACCTCAGCCTGGACTTTTTGGTCAAAACTATTCAACAAATCTCTAGGGAGCTCCAAACTTTCCCACATCTTCCTGTCTTTTTCTGAGCCATCCAAAGTGTTCCAATCTCTGCCTGTTACCCAGTTCCAAAGTTGCTTCCACATTTTTGGGTATCTTAATAGCAGTACCCCACTCTACGGGTACCAATTTACTATATTAGTCCATTCTTACACTGCTATAACAGCATACCTGAGACTGCGTAATTTATACAGAAAAATAGGTTTAATGGACTCACAGTTTCACATGCCTGGGGAGGCCTCACAATCATGGCAAAGGTGAAGGAATAGCAAAGGCACATCTTACATGGTGGTAGGCAAGAGATCATGTGCAGGGGAACTGCCCTTTATAAAACCATCCCTGAGACTTATTCACTGTCATGAGAACAGCATGGGAAAAACTTGCCTCCATGGTTCAATTACTTCTCACTGGGTCCCTCCCATAACACGTGGGGATTATAGAAGCTACATTTCAAGATGTGATTTGTGTAGGAACACAGCCAAACCATATCAATATATTATTGCCATGTTGCTCATTGTTTTCTCTCCATTTTGCTGTTGTTTTGTTCCTCTAGTCCTCTCATGTGTTCTTTATTTGATGGTTTTTTATAGTCATTTGCTTTGATTCTTTTCATCTTTTGTGCGTCTATTATAGGTTTTTTATTTGTGGTTACTACAAGGCTTGCATAAAATATCTTGTAGTTATAACTATCTACTTTAAGTTGATAACAACTTTACTTTGATCCCATACAAAAACTTTATACTTTTATGTCCTTCCCTCACATTGTGTTCTTGTAGTCAGAGTGTACTTCCTTTTATATAGAACAGTCATTAACAAATTTTTGTGGTGATAGTTATTCTTAATATTTTTGTTTTTTAACTTTTATATTAGGGTAATAGTAATTACTCACCATCATTACAATGTTCCATTATTCTGTATTTGTCTATATATTTACACTTACTAGGAAGATTTATGCTTTCATGTGCTTTTATGTTGCTGTTTAGCATGTTTTTATTTTATTTTATTATTACTTTTTGAGACAGGGTCTCACTCTGTCATCCAGGCTGGAGTGCAGTGGTGTGATCACAGCTCATTTCAGCCTTGACCTCCTTGAGCTCAGGTGCTCCTCCTACCTCAGCCTCCCAAGTAGCTGGTACTACAGGCACATGTCACAATGCCTGGCTAATTTTTTATTTTTTTGTTGAGACAGAGTTTTGCCATGTTGCCTTGGCTGGTCTTGAAGTCCTGAGCTCAAGCAATATGCCTGCCTTGGCTCCCAAAGTGCTGGGATTGTAGGCATGAGTGCATGCCCAGCATGTTTTCATTTCAATTTGAAGAACTCCCTTAAGTGTTTCTTATAAGGCATATGTAATGGTGATTATCTCCTTCAGTTTTTGTTTGTCTGGGAAAGACTTTATCTCTCTTTCATTTTTAAAGGATAGTTTTTCCAGGTATAGTTATCTTGTTGGCAGGTTTTTTTTTTTAATTTCAATACTTTGAATGTATCATCCCACTCTCTCCTGGCCTACAAGACTTCTGCTGAGAAATCCACTAAAAGTCTCATTGAAGTTCCTTTATATGTGATGAGTCACTTTTCTCTTGCTAATTCAAAATTATCTCTTTGGCTTTGACTTTTGACAAATTAATTATAATGCCTTAGTGTAGACCTGTTTATGTTCCACTTATGTGACGTTATTTGGGCTTCTTGAATCTAGGTATCTATTTTCTTCCCCAGATTTGAGAAGTTTTGAGTCATTATTTCTTTAAATATGCTTTTCTCTCCTTTCCCTCTCACTTCTGTTCTGGGGAATATCATAATGTGTATGTCATGATAGTGTTCCATAAATCCTGTAGGCTTTTCTCATTTTCATTTTTTTCTCTTCTTACTGTATAATTTCAAAAGATGTGTTTTTGAGTTGGCTAATTATTTCTCTCCGATTGAATATGCTGTTGAAGTGGTCTATTGCATTTTTTAGTTTTGCCACTGTATTCTTCAGATCCAGAACTTCTGTTTGGATCTTTTTTAATAATTTCTAATATTTTTGGAACTTTTTTGTTCATGTATTGTTTTCCTGATGTTGTTGAGTAGTCTGTCTGTGTTCTCTTGTAGCTTGCTGAGCTCCTTTAGATTTATTATTTTGAATTCGTCATCAGGCATTTCGTAGGTCTTCATTTATTTTGGGTGGGTTACTGGAAATTTGTTGTGTTGCTTTGATGGTGTCATGTTTCCCTGATTTTTCACATTTCATGTAGCTTAGCACTGGAATCTGTACTTTTATTTTTATTTTTATTTAAATTTTTGATACATTGTATTTGTACATATTTATGGGATATATGTGAAATTTATTACATGTGTACAATATGTAATGATAAAGTCAGGGTGTGATGGTTAATATTGTCAACTTGATTGGATTGAAGAATGCAAAGTATTGTTCCTGGGTGTGTCTATGAGGGTGTTGTCAAAGGAGATTAACATTTGAATCATTGGACTCGGAAAGGCAGACTCACCCTCAATCTGGGTGGGCACAATCTAATGAGCTGCCAGTGTGGCCAGAATAAAAGCAGGCAGAAGAGCATGAAAAGACTAGACTGGCTTGGTCTCCCCACCTACATTTTTCTCCCATGCTAAATGCTTCCTGCCCTCAAACATTAGACTCCAAGTTCTTCAGCTTTGGGACTCTTGGACCTTCAACAACAGACTGAAGGCTGCACTGTTGGCTTCCTTACTTTTGAGGCTTTGGGATTCAGACTGGCTTCCTCTCTCCTCAGCCTGCAGATGGCCTATTGTGGGACCTCACCTTGTGATTGTGTGAGTCAATACTCCTTAATAAAATCCCCTTTATATATACATCTATCCTATTAGTTCTTTCCCTCTAGAGAACCCTAATACACAGGGTATATAGAATATCCATCACCCTAATATTTATCATTTATATATGGGTACATTTCAAGTCTTCTAGCTATTTTTAAAAATACAATGCATTGTTGTTAACTATAATCACCCTACTCTGCTATCAAACGTTAGAACATATTCTATCTAGTTGTATTATTGTACCCATTAGCCAACCTTTCTTTCACCAACCCATACACAATTCCCAGTCTCCGGTATCCATCATTTCACTTTCTACCTCTGTGATCTACTTGTTTAGATCCCATGTATGAGTGAGAACATGTGAAATTTGTCATTCTGTGCCTGGCTTATTTTGCTTAACATAATGTACTTCAGTTCCATCCGTGTTGCTGCAAATAACATGGTTTAATTCTTTTTTATGGTCATATATATAAAGACCACATCCTCTTAATCCATTTGTGCATTAATGGACATGTAGGTTGATTCCATATCTTTGCTATTGTGAATAGTGTGGCAATAAACATTGGAGTGCATGCATCTTTTTGATATATTGATTTATTTTCTTTTAGATAAATACCCACTAGTGGGATTGTTGGATTGTATGGTAGTTCTATTTTTAGTTTTTTGATAAATCATTATACTGTTTTCCATAGGGGATTACTAACTTACATTCCCATCAACACTGTAAAAGAGTTCCCGTTTCACTACATCCTTGCCAACAATTGTTATTTTTGTCTTTTTAATAATAGCCATTCTAACTGTGGTAAGATAATATCTCATTGTGGTTTTGATTTGCATTTCCCTGAGGATTAGTGATGTTGATCATTTGTTCATATAGCTCTTGACCATTTGTATGTCTCCTCTTGATAAATATGTATTCATGTTCTTTGCCCACATCTTGATGGGATTATTGTCTTTTTTACTGTTGAGTTGATTGAGTTCCTTGTATATTCTGGATATTAATCCCCTGTCAGATGAGTAGCTTGCAAATATTTCCTCTTATTCCATAGGTTGTTTCTTCACCCGATTGATTTCTTTCTTTTGTGTGCAGAAGCTTTTTAGTTGAATATAGTCCCATTTGTCTATTTTTGATTGTGTTGCCTGTGCTTTTGAGGACTTAGTCATGAAATCTTTGCCTAAACCAAGGTGCTGAGGAGTTTTCCCTAGGTTTTCTTGTAGTCGTTTTATAGTTTCAGGTCTTACGTTTGTCTTTAATCTATCTTGAATTAGTTTTTGTACATAGTGAGAGATAGGGCTCTAGTTTCACAATAATCAAAAATTATTGTTATCCAGTTTTCCAACACCGTTTGTTTAAGAGGGTATCCTCTTTTCCCAATGAAAATTCTTGAAGACTTTGTAATGATTGATTGGCTGTAAATCTGTGGATTTATTTCTGGGTCCTCTATTCTGTTCCTTTGAGGTATATGTCTATTTTTATACTAGTACCATGCTGTTTTGGTTAATATAGCCTTGTATTTTGAAACTGGGTAGTGTGATTTTTCCAGCTTTGTTTTTTTATGCTCAGAATTGCTTTGGCTAGTCAGACACTTTGTTCAATATAAATTTTAGGATTTTTTTTCTAATTCTGTGAAAAATGACATTGGTATTTTGATAGGAAATGCATTTAATTTGTAGGTTGCTTTGAGAAGTATGGTCATTTTCATGATATTAATTCCTCTGATCCACGAACATGTGATGATTTTCCATTTGTTTGTGTCCTCTTCAGTTTTTTTCACGAACGCTTTGTAGTTTTCATTGTAGAGATCTTTTGCCTCTTTGGTTATATTTGTTCTGAGGTTTTGTTTGTTTGTTTGTTTTTGTGACCATTATAAATAGGAATGCTCTCTTGATGTCTTTTATGGATATTTCATTATTGGTGTATATAAAAGCTCTTGATTTTTCTATGTTTTTATACCCTGCAACTTTACTAAAGTTGTTTATCAGTTCTAAGAGCTTCTTGGTATAGTATTTTCATTTTTCTAAATGTAAGTTTATGTTGTCTACAAAGACAAATAATTTGACTTTATCTTTTCTGATTTGGATTCTTTTTATTACTTTCTCTTGCCTGATTGCTATGCCTGATTCTTATGCCCAGGACTTCCAGTACTATGTTGAATGAAAGTGGTAAACATAGGCATCCTTGTCTTGTTCCAATTCTTTGAGGGAAGGCTTTCAAATTTTCCCCATTCAGTATGATTCTAGCTGTGGGTTTGTCATATATGGCCTTTATTATTTTGAAATAATAAAGGTTCCTTCTATGCCTAGTTTGTCGAGTTTTTAATCATGAAATGATATTGAATTTTATCAAATGCTTTTTCTGCATCTATTGAGATGACCATATGCTTTTTGTTTCTTATTCTTTTGATGTGATTCATGACATTCAATGATTTGCATATGTTGAAACATCCTTGCATCCCTGGTATAAATTATACTTAATCATGGTGTATTCATTTTTTGATGTGCTGTTGGATTTGGTTTCCTAGTATCTTGTGGAGAATTTCTGTGTCTATGTTCATTAGGAATATTGACCTGTACTTTTCTAAATTTATTGTGTCATTTTCTGATTTTGTTATTAGAGTAATGCTGGTCTCATAGGATGAGTCAGGAAGTATTCTTATACCTTGAACTTTTTGGAATAGTTTGAGAAGTGTTGGCATTAGTTCTTCTTTATATGTTTGGTAGAATTTAGCAGTGAATCCAGTCCTGGACTTTTCTTTGTTGGGAGACATTTAATTATTAATTCAATCTCACTACTCATTATTTTTCCATCTAGGTTTTCTATTTCTTCCTGATTCAATCTTGTTAGGTTGTATGCTTCCAGAAATTTATCCAGTTCCTCTAGGTTTTCTTGTTGTTAGTATATAGTTTTCGTAATAATCCCTGATGACCCCTTGCATTTTTGTAGTATCACTTGTAATGTCTTCTTTTCCATTTCTAATTTTGTTAATGTTTGTGTTCTCCCTTCTTTTCTTGGTTAGTCTCGCTTGCAATTTATCAATTTTGTTTATCTTTTCAAAAAACTTACTGTTTGTTCCATTGATGCACTGTATTTTTTTCCTCTATTTTGTGTAGTTCTGCTCTGATCTTTATTATTTCTTTCCTTCTGCTAATTTTGGATTTGGTTTGTTGCTGCTTTTCTAGTTCCTTAAGGTACATTGTTAGATTTTTTTAACTTTAAAAGTTTATTTAAAATTTTAAAGATTTAATATTTTAAATCTTTCTACTTTTTTGATATAGGCATTTATTGCTGTAAACTTCCCTCTTATCACTGCTTTTGCTGTATCCCATAGGTTTTGGTATGTTGTATTTTTATTTTCATTTGTTTCAATGATTTTTAATTCCCATCTTAACTTCTTCATTGACCCAATGGTCTTTCTGAAGCATGTTGTTTAATTTCCATGTATTCGTGTGGTTTCCAAAGCTGTTTTGTATTGATTTCTAATTTTTTCCACTGTGATCTGACAAGATGCTTGATATGACTTCGGTATTTTAAAGTTTAAGACTTGTTTTGTGTCCTAACATATTGCCTATTCTATAGAATGTTCCATGTGCTTTTGAGAAGAATGTGTATTCTACAACTATTGGATGACATATTTTGTAAATGTCTGTTAGATCCATTTGGTTTAAAGCCTGATTTAAATCCAATGTTTCAGCCAGGCATGGTGGCTCACACCTGTAATCCCAGCACTTTGGGAGGCCAAGGCAGGTGGATCACTTGAGCCCAGGAGCTCAGTGCCAGCCTGGGCAACATGGTAAAACCCTGTCTCTACCAAAAATACAAAAATTTGCCAGTCTTATAACCCAGCCTCAAAATAAATAAATAAATAAATCCAGTGCTTTAGATGATCTGTCTAAGAGTAGGGTGTTGAAATCCCTCACTATTATTATATTGAGCCATTCTCTTTAGATCTAGTAATATTTGCTTCAAGAATCTGAGTTCTCCAATATCGGGTACATGTATATTTATAATTGTTACATACTCTCCATGGATTGATCTCTTTATCATGATATAATAATATTGTTTTTTTTTTTTACTATTTTGACTTAAAGTCTGTTTTTTCTAACTACTCCTGCTTATTTTTACTTTCTGTTTGTGTGAAATATATTTTTCTATCCCTATACTTTCAGTCTATATATGTCTTTACAGGCAAAGTGCATTTCTTGTAGGCAACATATACTTGGGCCATGTTTTTATTCGTTTAACCATTCTATGCATTTTAAGTGGAGAATTTAATCCATTCACATTTAAGGTTATTATGGATATGTGAGGTTTTGTTCTTGTCATATTGTTCATTGTTTTCTGGTTGTTTTTAATATTCTTCATTCCTTTCTTTCTCTCTTATTGTTTATCATTGTGGTTTGGTGGTTTTCTATAGTGATAATATTTTATTCCATTCTCTTCTTTATTTGTAGGTTTGCTCTATTAATGGGTTTTATACTTTCATATGTTTTCATGATAGTAGATATCATGCTTTTGCTTCCATGTGTAGGACTCCCTTAAGTATTTTTTGTAGAGCCATTCTAGCGGTGATAAATTCTCTCAGCTATTGTTTTTCTGGAAAATAGTTTATTTCTGCTTTATTTATAAAGGATAACTTTGTTAGGTTTAATGTCCTTAGCTGACAATTTTTTTCTTTCTGCACTTTGAATATATCATCCAATTCTCTCCTGTTTATAAGGTTTCTGCTGAGAAATCTGCTGTTAGTCTAATGGGGATTCCTTTATAAGTGACTAGATGCTTTTCTCTTGCTAATTTTAGAATTCTCTCTTTGTCTTTGACTTTTGACAGTTTAACTACAGTGCACTGTGGAGAAGAGCTTTTTGCATTGTATCTGTTTGGCAGTCTCTCGGCTTCCTGCATCTGGATGTTTACATCTCTTTACTTGGGAAATTTGTATCTATTATTTTGTTTAATAGGTTTTCTTACCCTTTCATTCTCTCTTTGTCTATTGGAACTGTGATAATTCAAAGATTTGTCACCTATGGTGTCCCTTATGTCATGAAGGATTTGCTTATTCTTTTTTATTGTTTTTTCTATACTCTTGTCTGACTGGGTTATTTCAAAAAAACTTGTCATCAAGTTCTGAGATTTTCATCTGCTTGATACAGTCTATTGTTGTAACTTTTGAATCCAGTGTGTATTTCTCACAATGAATTCTTTACTCCAGGATTTCTGTTTGGTTTGTTTTTATTATATCTATCTATTTGGTAAATTTCTCATTTGTATCCTGAATTGTTTTTCTTATTTCTTCCTATTGTTTTCTGGAATTCTCTTATATATCACTAAGAATTTTTAGTATTGAAATTTTGAATTTTGGGGGGTTTCATGCTTTCTTTTTTCTTTTTTCTTTTTTTTTGAGATGGAGTCTCACCCTGTCACCCAGGCTGGAGTGCAGTGGTGCAAACTCAGCTCACTGCAACCTTCGCCTCCCAGGTTCAAGTGATTCTCCTGCCTCAGCCTCCTGAGTACCTGGGATTATATGCATGTGTCACCATACACAGCTATTTTTTTTTTATTTTTAGTAGAGATGTGGTTTCGCCATGTTGGCCAGGCTGTTCATGAACTCCTGACCTCAAGTGATCCACCTGCCTTGGCATCCCAAAGTGCTTGGATTGCAGGCATGAGCCACCGTGCCTGGCCTTATGCTTTTTTTAATTGGGATCTGTTGCTGGAGAATTATTGTGTCCCTTTGTAGGTGTCATATTTCTTTTTAATGTTTCTTTTGTCCTTACGCTGATATCCATACATCTGATGTAACAGTCACTTTTTCCAATTAAAAACATTGCTATCATAGGAGAGTGCTTTAACTTTGGAGTATGGGGAGTAGTGTAGTCTTTGCATGACTTGCTTGGCTGTAAACAGCATCAGTGATAACTGATTTCCTCAGTGGCTTAGGTTGTGGCTACTACTGGAGGCTGGGGTGAAATTTTGCTGGTGACTGGGATGCCAGGTAGGCCAGTTTTTGGGTCCCAATGTCATCAATGGTGGGATGGGCAAATCTGTCCCTGGGTTTTAGGTTGGCACACATTGGTGCCAGTGTTAATGGGTCCTCTAAGGCTGACTCTTAAGCCTCCAGGTGGCTTGTTCAGGTGCCAGGAATGACATTGATGGGCTGAGCATGTGGGTCAGTCCTTAAGGCCCTGGACAGCCTGCATGATGTGGGTGATGGCAGTAGCTATGGTAGGGCTATCCAGTAGCTATGTTAGGCTCATGCTGGTGTTGGCAGTGGCTGTGATGGGTTGGGGAGGCCAGTGCCCAGACTGGAAGGTGATGCATGGGGGTGGGCACCAGCTTTGGTGGTAACAGCAGGTTGAGTGGGCCTGATGTCAGACCCTGGGAGGAGTGCTCAGGTGCTACTGGTGGTGAACTGGGCTGGTCAATCCCTGGGCCTCTGACTGATATGCTTGGATCTTGGGCATGAGGTGGAGCCTGGCTGAGCTGTGGTTTCACACCACCCCCATCATGCTTCATGAAGATGCTGACTGTGTTATGTAGGGGTGAAGTGAGCCATAGGTCATCAACAGAATGCTCAGGTGAAGGCGGCAATGGCTGTGCTGTTACTAAGTTACTTAAGAAGGTGGAATTGCTTTCCCTGGGAGCAGCCATAGGTAGTTGGCTTTGCCTACACATCATCTGATATGGTTTGTCTGTGTCCCCACCCAAATCTCATCATGATTTGTATTTCTCACAAACCCCATGCATTACGGGAGGGACCAGGTGGAGATCATTGAATCATGGGGCCTGTTACCCGCATCCTGTTCTCATGATAGTAAGTTCTCATGAGATCTGATGGTTTTACAATGGGCTTCCCCCTTCACTTGGCTGTCATTCTTCTTCTCCTTCCTGCTGCCATGTGAAGAAGGACGTGTTTGCTTCTCCTTCCACCATGATTGTAATTTTCCTGAGGCCTCCCTAACCAGCAGAACAGTAAGTCAGTTAAGCCTCTTTTCTTTATAAATTACCCAGTCTCAGGTATTTCTTCATAGCAGTGTGAGAATGGACTAATACAGTAAATTGGTACTGGTAGAGTGGGATGCTGAGAATTTCTCTGCAGAAAATGGGATTTTCTTTTCTATTGAATCACTAGGCTGCAAATTTTTCAAATATTTATGCTCTGCTTCCTCTTCAATGCTTTGCCACTTAAAAATTTCTTTCACCAGATACCCTAAATCATCTCTCCCATCACAGGCCCAGTGGCCTAGGAGGAAAAAATGGTTTCCTGGGCCAGGTCCAGGGCCTTCCTGCTCTATGCAGCCTCAAGTTGTGGTGTTCAGGTAGAGGTCTGCTGCAGGGGCAGAGCCCTTATGGAGAACCTCTGCTAAAGCAGTGCAGAAGGGAAATGTGGGGTGTGAGCCCCCATACAGAGTCCCCACTGGGGCACTGCCTAATGGAGCTGTGAGAAGAAGGCTACCATCATCCAGACCACAGAATGGTAGATCCACTGAAAGCTTGCACCATGCGCCTGAAGAAGCTGCAAATACTCAACGCCAGCCATGAAAGCAGCCAGGAAGGGGGCTGTACCCTGCAAAGCCACAGGGGTGGAGCTGCTCAAGGTTGTGGGAGCTCACCTCTTGCATCAGTGTGACCTGGATGTGACACATGGAGTCAAAGGAGATCATTTTGGAGCTTCAAGACAGACTGCCCCATTGGATTTCATGCTTTCATGGGGACTGTAGCCTCTTCATTTTGGCCAATTTAACCCATTTGGATTGGATATATTTACCCAATGCCTGTATCCCCATTGTATCTAGGAAGTAACTAACTTGCTTTTGATTTTACAGGCTCAGGTAGAAGGGACATTCTTGTCTCAGATGAGACTTTGGACTTGGACTTTTGGGTTAATGCTGGAATAAGTTAAGACTTTGGGGGACTGTTGGGAAAGCATGATTACATTTTGAAATGTGAAGACTTGAATTTTGGGAGGGGCCAGGGGTACAGTGATATGGTTTGGCTGTGTAGCCACCCAAATCTCATCTTGAATTGTAGTTCCCATAATCCCCATGTGTCATGGGAGGGACCAGGGGGAGATAATGGAATCATGGGTGTGGTTTCCCCCATCCTGTTCTCGTTATAGTGAGTAAGTTCTCTTGATATCTGATGGTTTTATAAAGGGCTTCCCTGCTTCACTCAGCTCTCATTCTTCTCCTTGCTGCCACCCTGTGAAGAAGGATGTGTTTGCCTCCCCTTCTACCCTAGTTGTAAGTTTCCTGAGGCCTCCCCAAGCCTGTGGAACTGTGAGTCAATTAGTTCTCATTTCTTTATAAATTACCCAGTCTGAGGTATTTCTTCATAGCAGCGTGAGTACACACTAATGCATCAGCTCACAGCAGTCTGCAGCCACTGCAATAGCAGGCAGTGGAATTTGTCCTTGGGGCATGTTAAAATACATGGCCACCCCTTTGCAGGAGGTGAGGGGAAAGGATTGCTGCCTGCTGCCTATGGCTACTACCTTGGTGCTGGATGCAGGGCACCACATAGTCCGGTGTGGACTGTGCTCTAAAGATGGTACTGTGTCACTGTTGCCAAGGACGTGGGAGCTTGTGGTACCCAGAGTGAGTCCTCTCTCTGGTGCAGTTCCTTCTTGTGATTTCCAGAGAGCTCACCATGTTAGTCTCAGGGCCAAGGAGGGTTAAGGGGCTCTCTCAAACTAGGATTTCAGGAGTTCATAATGGGAATGTGGACTGCTGATGGTCTCTCACGTTTTCCATGCATTGGGGAGTCTGTCTCAGCTCCCAGCCAATCCTGGCCAAGCAGGCTGCCTCACTTCCCTCCCTTTCCTTGCTTTGTTTCCTGTCATTTCACTATTGAATTCCAGTGTCCTCTCTTGGATGATCTACTTGAGGTGTAGTTATCTACCTGCTATTTTGGTTCTTCTTAGTGGACAAGGTGAGTAGGAGATACCTCTAATCAGCCGTCTTGAAGACCCTGCCCAACCCAGTGTCTGTGCATTAAAAAAGGTCACTTCTTCCAGACTTTATGGACTGGTTACTATAGGGAAAAGCCTTCACCTGTGAACGAGTATGAGGGCACCATCTGGGTCAAGTGGGCAGTAGCACTAGGTCTGGGGCACATGCACTTTTTGGCAACTGGCTGGGGGAGCGCAGTGGCACTGGCTTTGAGGGGCCCACAGTTGCATCATCCAGGTGAGGGGGATTTGGTTTCTCTGGCTTTGGGAGCCACAGTAACTTGAGATCCAGGAGGCTCCATCAACTGAGTTTTACATTTGCAAAGACTGCAGGGGTCCTCTCCAGCAGAAGGCTGTTTAGGGGTCCGTGATGGTCACAAGGGCTTCTGGGGTCCTCAATGGCAAAGATTGCTGGGGTCCTCCTGTTCTTCTTATTCTCTGCAGTGGGAACTCATAGCCAAGGAGATTCCTCTTGGAACTAAGCTTTTCCAGCCAGAGGTAAAATATTTCCTACCTTTTTCTATGCAGCCATCCTTGATTTTTGTGCTCCACTCGGCTACTGTTCCTTTTTAGTTGTAGCCCAGAACTGTCCCAGAGCTATTTTCATCCATGAATAGTTGTTAAATTGTTGTTTTTGTGAGAGGATGAAGGTTAGCACCGCCTAGCTTGCTGTCTTCCTGATATCATCTCTCCTTTTTTATTTAAACTATTTATACTAACTACTTTATCATTGTTTTCTTTTAAATTTAACATCTGGAGCATCTTTTGGTTGATTCCTAGTGATTGCTTTTTTTGTGTCACATTTTCTTTTCTGAACATGGTGTATAATATCGTAGAGAATCTGCATTCTATTATCTTCCTCTATTAATGTTGACTTTTGTTCTAGTAATCTGTTCACTTACTGTTTAATCACCTGTAACTTGTTTAGGCTGTGTTTTATATCTTGTTAGTATGGCCCTGTTGAAAGTCCATTGTGTTTTTTAGCTCTTCCATCTTATTGTTACTTGTCTTAGTCCATTTAGTGTTACTATAAAGGAATACTTGAGGCTTGGTAATTTACAAAGAAAGATGTTTCTTTGGTTCATGGTTCTGCAAGCTGTACAAGAAGCAAGTTGCCAACAACTGCTTCTGCGGGGGGCCTGAGGCTGCTTCCATTCATTGTGGAAGGGGAAGGGGAGCCAATTGGTGCAAGAGATCACATGACAAGAGAGGAAGCATGGGTGAGAGGGGAGATACCAGACTGCTATGATTTCAGTTCTTTTGCATTTGCTGAGGAGTGTTTTACTTTATGTGGTCGATTTTAGAGTAAGTGACATGTGGTGATGGGAAGAATGTATTTTCTGTTGTTTTTGGGTGGAGAGTTCTATAAATATCTATCAAGTCCACTTGATCCAGAGCTGAGTTAAGGTCCTGAATACTTTGTTAATTTTCTGTTTCAATGATCTGTCTAGTATTGTCAGTGGGATGTTACAGTCTCCTACTATTATTGTGTGGGAGTCTAAGTCTCTTTGAATGTCTCTAAGAACTTGCTTTATGAATCTCAGTGCTCCTATATGGGGTGCATATATATTTAGGATAGTTAGCTCTTCTTGTTGAATTGAACCTTTTACCATTATGTAATGCCCTTCTTTTTCTTTTTTGATTTTTGTTGGTTTAAAGTCTGTTTTGTCAGAAAGTAGAATTGCAACCACTGCCTTTTTCTATTTTCCATTTGCTTGGTAAATTTTCCTCCATCCCTTTATTTTGAGCCTATGTGTGTTATTGCATGTGAGATGGTTCTCTTGAAGACCGCATACCAGTGGGTCTTGGTTCTTTAACCAGCTTGCCATTCTGTATCATTTAATTGGGACATTTAGCCCATTTACATTTAAGGTTAGTATTGTTATGTGTGGATTTTATCCTGTCATTATGATGTTAGCTAGTTATTTTGTAGACTTGTTTACATGGTTGCTTTATAGTGTCACTGGTCTGTGTACTTCAATGTGGTTTTGGAGTGACTGGTAATGGTCTTTCCTTTCCATATTTAGTACTTCCTTCTGGAGCTCTTGTAAGGCAGATCTGGTGGTAACAAATTCCCTCAGCATTTGCTTGTCCAAAAAAGATCTTATTTCTTTGCTTATGAAGCTTAGTTTGGCTGGATAGGAAATTCTGGGATGGAAATTCTTTCTTTAAGAATGTTGAATATTGTCCCCTAATCTCCTGGCTTATGGGCTTTCCACTGAGAAGTCTGCTGTTAGTCTGAAGGGCTTCCCTTTGTAGGTGACCTGGATTTTCTCTCTAGCTGCCCTTAACATTTTTTCTTGCATTGCAACCTTGAAGAATCTGATGATTATTGTCGTGGGGATGATCTTCTCATGAAGTATCTTAATGGGGTTCTCTGCATTTTCTGAATTTGAATGTTGGCCTGTCTTGCTAGGTTGGGGAATTTTTCCTGGATGATATCCTGAAGTATGTTTTCCAACTTGGTTCTATTCTCCTCATCTCTTTCAGGTACCCCAATCAGTCAAAGGTTTGGTCTCTTTACATAATCCCATTTCTCAAAGGTTTTGTTTATTCCTTTTCATTCTTTTTTCTCTATTCTTGTCTCCCTGCCTTATTTCAGAAAAAAATAGTCTTCAAGCTCTGAGAATAATCTGCTTGGTCTATTCTGCTATTAATACTTGTGATTGCATTGTGAAGTTCTTGTAGTGTGTTTTTCAGTTCTAATAGGTCAGTTATGTTCCTCTCTATGCTGACTAATTTGGCTATCAGCTCCTGTATTGTTTTATCTTAATTCTTATCTCTTTGCATTGGGTTACAACATGCTCCTTTAGCTCAGCAAAGTTCATTATTACCCACCTTCTGAAGCTTACTTCTGTCATTTCAGCCATCCCAGCCTCAGTCCAGTTCTGAGCCCTTGCTGGAGAGGCACTGCAGTCATTTGGAGGAAAAGGGGCACTCTGACTTTTTGAGTTTTCTGCATTTTTGTATTGATTCTTTCTCATCTTTGGGGGCTTACTACCTTCAATCTTTGAGGTTGCTGACCTTTGGATGGGGACTTTGTGGGGGACTTTTTTTGTTGTTGTTGTTGTTTTCTGTTTGCTTTTCTTTTAATGGTCTAGCCAGTCTTCTGTAGGGCTGCTGCTATTTGCTGGGGGTTCACTCCAGACCCTACTTGCCTCAGTTATTCCCACACCTGGAGGTGTCACCAGTGAAGACTGCAAAACAGCAAAGATGGCAGTCTGCCCCTTTCTCTGGAAGCTCCATCCCAGAGGGCTACTGATTTATTGCTGGCTCCAACAGGTCTGTAGGAGGTGGCTAGAGACCTCATTTGGAGGTTCTCACTCAGTCAGGAGGAACAGGATCAGGGACCCAGTTAAAGGAGCAGTCTGGCTGCTTTGTGGCAGAGCAGCTGTGCTGTGTTGGGGATCCTTTCAGCCCCCGTCTGGTTTGGGCTTTCCACGGCCCAGAAGCTGGACTGGCTAAGAAGCCCGAATGTCTCAGGTGGTGACCTGCCTTGCCCCTCAGGCACTCTGTCTCAGGGAGAAATTAGAGCTCTGTTGGCCCTATAGAACATGGGTGGGGGTGGCCAGAGGCCCTGGCTTGGAGGACCCTGCTGGGAGGATCTGCCCCATGAGGAGGAGTGGATTGGGGTCCCACTTAAAGAAGCAGTCTGGCCACACCTCAACAAAACAGCTGTGTCATGGTGGGGAACCACCTCTGTCCCCATTGGCTTGGACTTTCCAAAGCTTGCAGGCTGGAACGGCTGAGTCGTCCAACCAACCCAGGTGGCAGCCCTCCCCTCCTCAGGGCACTCCATCCTAGAGATAGTTCAGAGCTCTGTCCATAATATGTGCAAGCAGGCATGGCCAGAAGTCCCAGCTGGGAGGTTCTGCCCAGTGAGGAGGAATGGATTGGGCCCACTTAAAGAAGCAGTTTGGCCACAATATGGCAACGGAGGGACCCTTCCTGTCTGGACCATTTGGATTCTCCAAAGCCTGCAGGCTGGAACAGCTGAGTTGACCAAAGAGCAGAGATGGTGCCCACCCCTCCCCCTGCCCACAGGGGGCTCTGTCCAGCCTTAGGCAGGCTCCACCTTGTTGCTGGTAGCTGGCTGGAATTCCAAGCCAGTGGGTCTTATCTTGTGAGGTGCCATGAAAGTGTGGCCCACAGAACAATGCTGCTTGGCTCCCTGGGTTCCACCCCCTTCCTAGGGGTATGTGCAGCTCTCTTGCCCTGCATGAGTTGCAGACATCTATGTTGGGGATCCCGGGGCTGGAGTATGTAATGCTACTGGGTCTCTTTGTGTGCCTGAGCATCTGCTCTGCCAAGACTCCAGACAACTCTGTGTGTCAGCCCCAAGGCCCTGGTGGGCTCACAAGGGGATCTCCTGATCAGCAAATTACAAAGATACATGGGAAGAGCGTGGTTTCCAGGGGTTGCACAATCACTCACTGCTTCCCTTGGCTGGGTTTGGGCGTTCCCTTGGCTGAGTGTCGCTCCTGAGTGAGCCATTTCCCCACCCTGCTTATCTTCATGCTCCGTGGGTCGAGCTGTCCTAATCAGTCCCAGTGCAAGAACCTGGATATTTCAGTTGAAGGTGCTGTATTCACTTGCCTCTTTCATTCCTCTGAGTGCGGCGGGCCACAGCTGCTTCTAATTAGCCATCTTGGCCCCTCTGACAAAGGACTCTTAGTAAGAGGACCTCAGGGCAGGGGTTAAAAACATGTTGAACTATGTTTAAATACTAGCTTTACTACTTACTCTCTAGTATCTTCACCTTTCTGATCCTCATTGCTTTTCTTTTGAAAAATGTGGATAATAATTTTACTGAGCTCATAGGGTATTTTTGAGGATTAAACGAGATAAGCCTTGCAATAAGCTTAGAATAGTAGGCTGCCTATATACTTCCTCTGTCAGAATTGGATGAGAAATTTGGGTAGAATGGATTTTGCTAGTAGAAGTTCAGGAAGAAAGAGGAATATTAGTAGATTCACTTGGAGGGAAGAGGAGAGGCAGAAGCAAAAGATAAGGATTTATAGTAACCTTTGCGATATCATGGCATGCAAAAGGTAGGTATCTGTGTCACACGGCTGCTCTAGCTTAAAAAGAGCCTGAAAAAGCAAGTGTCTCAACTGGGGCTGAGTACATTATTACCACAAACAAAATTAAGCCTCCTATTAGTAAAGAAAGATAGAAATAAATACTGGGTAGTCAATAAAGTGTCTGACACAGTCTCATAAGATAGGCAATAATAGTATAGTGTGCTTGTTTTCAAACTAGAAGTAAAAGGTGACTTCTAGAAATCACATTGTTCTCTATTTCATTCAGACTCTATCTGGTGTTGTTTCTAATACTTTAAGAAATTTATTGTCAAGCTAGACATGGTTCATATGCGATTTTAAAGTATGGTGAGAAGTTTGGAAATTAGGAAGTTTCTCAACTTAGGTTGAGAAAATTTGTTTTGTAGTGCAAGAAAGTCACTGTCCTTAAATATCTAATAGAGTATTATGAAAAAGAGGACTCAGACCTAGTTTTTTTAATAACTCCTAGTGATGGAAGTAGAATTAATAGGCAGAAGTTGCAAAAGGGAGACCAGGAATTCATTCAACATGAGGAAACACATTTAACCAATATAACTATTCAACAGCCACATAACAAATATACCCTATTATTAAAAGTGTTTAGGAAGATTCTAGATGACTGATTACTGGGAATCTATAAAAGATACTTAGGCACTGTATGGGGATTTAGCAGGGTTGAAATTTGAGGTCCTTTATAAGAGTCTAGGAGTACTTTGGGAGTTATACAGTATTCTTCTCCATTATCTACCTCCAACATTCCCCCAGCCTAACTAAAGAAGGTCCTGAAGAAACATATAGCTCATGAATGCTATGGAGAGCAACTGGGAATCATGTACCCACAAAAGGCATCTATTATTATCCCTTCCGCTTTTTTTTATGATTATTATACTTTAAGTTCTAGGGTACATGTGCACAACGTGCAGGTTTGTTACATATGTATACATGTGCCATGTTGGTGTGCTGCACCCATTAACTCTTCATTTACATTACGTATATCTCCTAATGCTATCCCTCCCCCCTACCCCCGCCACGTGACAGGCCCCAGTGTGTGATGTTCACCTTCCTGTGTCCAAGTGTTCTCATTGTTCAATTCCCACCTATGAGTGAGAACCTACGGTACTTGGTTTTTTGTCCTTGTGATAGTTTGCTCAGAATGATGGTTTCCAGCTTCATCCACGTCCCTACAAAGGACATGAACTCATCCTTTTTTATGGCTGCATAGTATTCCATGGTGTATATGTGGCACATTTTCTTAATCCAGTCTATCGTTGTTGGACATTTGGGTTGGTTCCAAGTCTTTGCTATTGTGAATAGTGCTGCAATGAACATACGTGTGCATATGTCTTTATAGCAGCATGATTTATAATCCTTTGGGTATATACCCAGTAAAGGGATGGCTGGGTCAAATGGTATTTCTAGTTCTGGATCCCTGAGGAATCGCCACACTGACTTCCACAATGGTTGAACTAGTTTACAGTCCCACCAACAGTGTAAAAGTGTTCCTATTTCTCCACACCCTCTCCAGCACCTGTTGTTTCCTGACTTTTTAATGATCGCCATTCTAACTGGTGTGAGACGGTATCTCATTGTGATTTTGATTTGCATTTCTCTGATGACCAGTGATGATGAGCATTTTTTCATGTGTCTGTTGGCTGCATAAATGTCTTCTTTTGAGAAGTGTCTGTTCATATCCTTCACCCACTTTTTGATGGGGTTGTTTGTTTTTTTTCTTGTAAATTTGTTTGAGTTCTTTGTAGATTCTGGATATTAGCCCTTTGTCAGATGAGTAGATTGCAAAAATTTTCTCCCATCTGTAGGTTGCCTGTTCACTCTGATGGTAGTTTCTTTTGCTGTGCAGAAGCTCTTTAGTTGAATTAGATCCCATTTGTCAATTTTGGCTTTTGTTGCCATTGCTTTTGGTGTTTTAGTCAAGAAGTCCTTCGCCATGCCTATGTCCTGAATGGTATTGCCTAGGTTTTCTTCTAGGGTTTTTATGGTTTTAGGTCTAACATTTAAATCTTTAATCCATCTTGAATTAATTTTTGTATAAGGTGTAAGGAAGGGATCCAGTTTCGGCTTTCTCCATATGGCTAGCCAATTTTCCCAGCACCATTTATTAAATAGGGAATCCTTTCCTCATTTCTTGTTTTTGTCAGGTTTGTCAAAGATCAGATGGTTATAGATGTGTGGTATTATTTCTGAGGGCTGTGTTCTGTTCCCTTGGTCTATATCTCTGTTTTGGTACCAGTACCATGCTGTTTTGGTTACTGTAGCCTTGTAGTATAGTTTGAAGTCAGGTAGCGTGATGCCTCCAGGTTTATTCTTTTGGCTTAGGATTAACTTCGCGATATGGGCTCTTTTTTGGTTCCATATGAACTTTAAAGTAGTTTTTTCCAATTCTGTGAAGAAAGTCATTGTTAGCTTGATGGGGATGGCATTGAATCTATAAATTACCTTGGGGAGTATGGCCATTTTCATGATATTGATTCTTCTATCCATGAGCATGGAATGTTCTTCCATTTGTTTGTGTCCTCTTTTATTTCCTTGAGCAGTGGTTTGTAGTTCTCCTTGAAGAGGTCCTTCACATCCCTTGTAAGTTGGATTCCTAGCTATTTTATTCTCTTTGAAGCAATTATGAATGGGAGCTCACTCATGATTTGGCTCTCTGTCTGTTATTGGTGTATAAGAATGCTTGTGATTTTTGCACATTGATTTTGTATCCTGAGGCTTTGCAGAAGTTGCTTATCAGCTTAAGGAGATTTTGGGCTGTGATGATGGGGTTTTCTAAATATACAATCATGTCATCTGCAAACAGGGACAATTTGACTTCCTCTTTTCCTAATTGAATACCCTTTATTTCTTCCTCCTGCCTGATTGCCCTGGCCAGAACTTCCAACACTATGTTGAATAGGAGTGGTGAGAGAGGGCATCCCTGTCTTGTGCCAGTTTTCGAAGGGAATGCTTCCAGTTTTTGCCCATTCAGTATGATATTGGTTGTGGGTTTGTCATAGATAGCTCTTATTATTTTGAGATCCATCCCATCAATACCTAATTTATTGAGAGTTTTTAGCATGAAGGCTGTTGAATTTTGTCAAAGACCTTTTCTGCATCTATTGAGATAATCATGTGGTTTTTGTCTTTGGTTCTGTTTATATGCTGGATTATGTTTATTGATTTGCGTGTGTTGAACCAGCCTTGCATCCGAGGGATGAAGCCCACTTGATCATGGTGGATAAGCTTTTTGATGTGCTGCTGGATTCGGTTTGCCAGTATTTTATTGAGGATTTTTGCATCAATGTTCTTCAGGGATATTGGTCTAAAATTCTCTTTTTTTGTTGTGTCTCTGCCAGGCTTTGGTATCAGTATGATGCTGGCTTCATAAAGTGAGTTAGGGAGGATTCCCTCTTTCTCTATTGATTGGAATAGTTTCAGAAGGAATGGTTCCAGCTCCTCCTTGTACCTCTGGCAGAATTTGGCTGTGAATCCGTCTGGTCCTGGACTTTTTTTGGTTGTAAGCTATTAATTATTGCCTCAATTTCAGAGCCTGTTATTGGTCTATTCAGAGATTCAACTTCTTCCTGGTTTAGTCTTGGGAGGGTATGTGTATCCAGGAATTTATCCATTTCTTCTAGATTTTCTAGTTTATTTGTGTAGAGGTATTTATAGTATTCTCTGATGGTAGTTTGTATTTCTGTGGGAATGGTGGTGATATCCCCTTTATCGTTTTTTATTGCGTCTATTTGATTCTTCTCTCTTTTCTTCTTTATTAGTTTTGCTAGCAGTCTCTCAGTTTTGTTGATCTTTTTGAAAAACCAGCTCCTGGATTCATTGATTTTTTGAAGCGTTTTTGTGTCTCTATCTCCTTCAGTTGTGCTCTGATCTTAGTTATTTCTTGCCTTCTGCTAGCTTTTGAATGTTTGCTCTTGCTTCTCTGGTTCTTTTAATTGTGATGTTAGGGTGTCAATTTTGGATCTTTCCTGCTTTCTCTTATGGGCATTTAGTGCTATAAATTTCCTTCTATGCACTGCTTTAAATGTGTCCCAGAGATTCTCGTATGTTGTGTCTTTGTTCTCATTGGTTTCAAAGAAAAATGAAGAAAGGCAGGGGTTGCAATCCTAGTCTCTGATAAAACAGACTTTAAATCAACAAAGATCAAAAGAGACAAAGAAGGCCATTACATAATGGTAAAGGGATCAATTCAACAAGAAGAGCTAACTATCCTAAATATATATGCACCCAATACAGGAGCACCCAGATTCATAAAACAAGTCCTTAGAGACCTACAAAGAGACTTAGACTCCCACACAATAATAATGGGAGACTTTAACACCCCACTGTCAACATTAGACAGATCAACAAGGCAGAAAGTTAACAAGGATATCCAGGAATTGAACTCAGCTCTGCACCAAGCGGACCTAATAGACATCTACAGAACTCTCCACCCCAAATCAACAGAATATACTTTCTTCTCAGCACCACATCACACTTATTCCAAAATTGACCACATAGTTGGAAGTAAAGCACTCCTCAGCAAATATAAAAGAACAGAAATTATAACAAACTGTCTCTCAGACCACAGTGCAATCAAACTAGAATTCAGGATTAAGAAACTCACTCAAAACCGCTCAACTACATGGAAACTGAACAACCTGCTCCTGAATGACTACTAGGTACATAACGAAATGAAGGCAGAAATCACTTCCACTTTTTATGGTCATAAAGTCTCCAAGGAAAACTTTTGCCCAACTCCAATTGGTAGGACCAGTGAAAATGCCAACTGTGTGTCAGTCACAACTAGACAGGTAAGATGCAACTTCTCAGAGAGTAAGGTTATCGATAACTCTACATTCAAAAGTAAAACACACTGATTTTATCTGAGAAAGGAACAGATTGGATATGTAACTACCAGGACAAGGTAAATAAAATAAAAAATAAAGAAATTAGTCCTAGATGGTTTTCCTACACCATTTGGATCAGGAGAATTTTGATCTTAGTTACATGATCTTAATTTGGCCAATTTCTTTCCTTTCTTATAATACTAGCTGATGTTTATTAAACAGCTACTATGTGCCAGGTATGTTGCTTGGCACAGCATAAGCATTCTAGCCATTAATCTACATAATAACTCTATGAAGTAGTTACTATTTTTTAAACCATTTTAAGGATGAGGAAACAGAATCAGGTGGGTGAACTGATTCTTCTATAGCTCCATAGCTAGTAAGTGACAGAGGCCATTAATGACCTAGATGGGAGCTGGACTAAGGGATCTACCAGTTGGAAAGCTGGTAGATCAGTCTGTAATAGAAACTAAATATATAGCTTTCTGACTGGCCTTTATTTTGTCTTATTCTGTTTAAAAAAACACACTCTCCATCTTTACTTTCTCAATAGAAATTCACTCAGTCTTATTTCTGACACCACCAGCTTCACTGAGGTCATTAATGATGTCCATGTTGTTAAATCTGATGGACACTTTGATGTCTTTATCTGATCTAACTCCTTAGGATTATTTGACACAGCCTACCAGTCTACCTTTTTTTAAACACTCAATTCCCTTGGCTTCCATGGTTCCATGTCTCTTGATTTTCTTCTTGCCATTCAGTGTGCCCTCTCCCATTTTAATGAGCCACAAATATTATTGGCCTGTGTGTTATTCCTAATCATTTCCAGAGCCAGAGTACTCAGCTTGTCCATATAGTAAAAGCTTTGATTTCTGTAGTAATTGAATTTGAACATAGTTTTTTGCTTAACTTGTGCTGGGAATTACTATCTCCATGAAACATAAAGAAATAAAATTTTGTGGATATAATTTTTTAATAGTCATAGAGCAAGTAAATGACAGAGCTATAATTCACGGTTTTAATTTTTCATGTCTAATGTATCTATCTAGCTATCATGAATCTGTCTATATCTTTTCAGTGTTCATTGAATAGAACTTCTAGATATCAGAGTAAAAAGAAACATTTTATTGAAAAGTTGTAAAATTCATTGATGGAAATGATAACACATTAAGGTGTACATCACATTTTTATTTCGTAATCTCCTCTTCTCTTCTCTTCTCTTCTCTTCATAAGAAACTCATGGATGAGTGCCAGGACCAAAACTGGTATCTGATATCTGTGAATAGTTGAGTATTTGGACCAGACCCATGTCCTGAGACATATAAGTAGCTTCTTGTGTCTTATAAGTGTAGACCAGGCAAGTTTCACAGAGGTATTTACAATTAAGAGGGGATTTATCAAAAAGGATTGTAGTCCTGCATAGTTTTGGACTCATTTCTAAGTGCTATATCTGTGTTTTCATGTTTATTAATTTTTAAATCAATGCATAATACCTTAAGCTGTATAACCCACAGACACAAAATACCTCTTGGTTACAGAGGTATTTTGTATTTTTTTTTACTTTTTATTATTTATTTATTTATTTATTTATTTATTATTATTATTATACTTTAAGTTTTAGGGTACAGTGTGCAGGTTAGTTACATATGTATACATGTGCCATGTTGGTGTGCTGCACCCATTAACTCGTCATTTAGCATTAGGTATATCTCCTAATGCTATCCCTCCCCCCTCCCCCACCCCACAACAGTCCCCAGAGTGTGATGTTCCCCTTCCTGTATCCATGTGTTCTTATTGTTCAATTCCCATCTATGAGTGAGAACATGCGGTGTTTGGTTTTTTGTCCTTGCGATAGTTTACTGAGAATGATGATTTCCAATTTCATCCATGCCCCTACAAAGGACGTGAACTCATCATTTTTTATGGCTGCATAGTATTCCATGGTGTATATGTGCCACATTTTCTTAATCCAGTCTAGCATTATTGGACATTTGGGTTGGTTCCAAGTCTTTGCTATTGTGAATAGTGCCACAATAAACATACGTGTGCATGTGTCTTGATAGCAGCATGATTTATAGTCCTTTGGGTGTATACCCAGTAATGGGATGGCTGGGTCAAATGGTATTTCTAGTTCTAGATCCCTGAGGAATCGCCACACTGACTTCCACAAGGGTTGAACTAGTTTACAGTCCCACCAACAGTGTAAAAGTGTTCCTATTTCTCCACATCCTCTCCAGCACCTGTTGTTTCCTGACTTTTTAATGATTGCCATTCTAACTGGTGTGAGACGGTATCTCATTGTGGTTTTGATTTGCATTTCTCTGATGACCAGTGATGAAGAGCATTTTTTCATGTGTCTGTTGGCTGCATAAATGTCTTCTTTTGAGAAGTGTCTGTTCATATCCTTCACCCACTTTTTGATGGGGTTGTTTGTTTTTTTTCTTGTAAATTTGTTTGAGTTCTTTGTAGATTCTGGATATTAGCCCTTTGTCAGATGAGTAGATTGCAAAAATTTTCTCCCATCTGTAGGTTGCCTGTTCACTCTGATGTTAGTTTCTTTTGCTGTGCAGAAGCTCTTTAGTTGAATTAGATCCCATTTGTCAATTTTGGCTTTTGTTGCCATTGCTTTTGGTGTTTTAGACATGAAGTCCTTGCCCATGCCTATGTCCTGAATGGTAATGCCTAGGTTTTCTTCTAGGGTTTTTATGGTTTTAGGTCTAACGTTTAAGTCTTTAATCCATCTTGAATTAATTTTTGTATAAGGTGTAAGGAAGGGATCCAGTTTCAGCTTTCTACATATGGCTAGCCAGTTTTCCCAGCACCATTTATTAAATAGGGAATCCTTTCCCCATTGCTTGTTTTTGTCAGGTTTGTCAAAGATCAGATAGTTGTAGATATGCGGCGTTATTTCTGAGGGCTGTGTTCTGTTCCATTGATCTATATCTCTGTTTTGGTACCAGTACCATGCTGTTTTTGTTACTGTAGCCTTGTAGTATAGTTTGAAGTCAGGTAGCGTGATGCCTCCAGGTTTGTTCTTTTGGCTTAGGATTGACTTGGTGATGTGGGCTCTTTTTTGGTTCCATATGAACTTTAAAGTAGTTTTTTCCAATTCTGTGAAGAAAGTCATTGTTAGCTTGATGGGGATGGCATTGAATCTATAAATTACCTTGGGCAGTATGGCCATTTTCACGATATTGATTCTTCCTACCCATGAGCATGGAATGTTCTTCCATTTCTTTGTATCCTCTTTTATTTCATTGAGCAGTGGTTTGTAGTTCTCCTTGAAGAGGTACTTCACGTCTCTTGTAAGTTGGATTCCTAGCTATTTTATTCTCTTTGAAGCAGTTGTGAATGGGAGTTCACTCATGATTTGGCTCTCTGTCTGTTATTGGTGTATAAGAATGCTTGTGATTTTTGTACATTGATTTGTATCCTGAGACTTTGCAGAAGTTGCTTATCAGCTTAAGGACATTTGGGGCTGAGACAATGGGGTTTTCTAGATCTACAATCATGTCGTCTGCACACAGGGACAATTTGACTTCCTCTTTTCCTAATCGAATACCCTTTATTTCCTTCTCCTGCCTAATTTCCCTGGCCAGAACTTCCAACACTATGTTGAATAGGAGTGGTGAGAGAGGGCATCCCTGTCTTGTGCCAGTTTTCAAAGGGAATGCTTCCAGCTTTTGCCCATTTAGTATGATATTGGCTGTGGGTTTGTCATAGATAGCTCTTATTATTTTGAGATACGTCCCATCAATACCTAATTTATTGAGAGTTTTTAGCATGAAGGGTTGTTGAATTTTGTCAAAGGCCTTTTCTGCATCTATTGAGATAATCATGTGGTTTTTGTCTTTGGTTCTGTTTATATGCTGGATTACATTTATTTATTTGTGTATATTGAACCAGCCTTGCATCCCAGGGATGAAGCCCACTTGATCATGGTGGATAAGCTTTTTGATGTGCTGCTGGATTCAGTTTGCCAGTATTTTATTGAGGATTTTTGCATCAATGTTCATCAAGGATACTGGTCTAAAATTCCCTTTTTTGGTTGTGTCTCTGCCCGGCTTTGGTATCAGGATGATGCTGGCCTCATAAAATGAGTTAGGGAGGACTCCGTCTTTTTCTATTGATTGGAATAGTTTCAGAAGGAATGGTACCAATTCCTCCTTGTACCTCTGGTAGAATTCGGCTGTGAATCCATCTGGTCCTGGACTCTTTTTGGTTGGTAAGCTATTGATTATTGCCACAATTTCAGAGCCCGTTATTGGTCTATTCAGAGATTCAACTTCTTCCTGGTTTAGTCTTGGGAGGGTGTATGTGTCGAGGAATTTATCCATTTCTTCTAGATTTTCTAGTTTATTTGTGTAGAGGTATTTATAGTATTCTCTCATGGTAGTTTGTATTTCTGTGGGATCGATGGTGATATCCCCTTTATCATTTTTTATTGCGTCTATTTGATTCTTCTCTCTTTTCTTCTTTATTAGTCTTGCTAGCGGTCTATCAATTTTGTTGACCCTTTCAAAAAACCACCTCCTGGATTCATTAATTTTTTGAAGGGTTTTTTGTGTCTCTATTTCCTTGAGTTCTGCTCTGATTTTAGTTATTTCTTGCCTTCTGCTAGCTTTTGAATGTGTTTGCTCTTGCTTTTCTAGTTCTTTTAATTGTGATGTTAGGGTGTCAATTTTGGATCTTTCCTGCTTTCTCTTGTGGGCATTTAGTCCTATAAATTCCCCTCTACACACTGCTTTGAATGTGTCCCAGAGATTCTGGTATGTTGTGTCTTTGTTCTCATTGGTTTCAAAGAACATCTTTATTTCTGCCTTCATTTTGTTATGTACCCAGTAGTCATTCAGGAGCAGGTTGTTCAGTTTCCATGTAGTTGAGCGGTTTTGAGTGAGTTTCTTAATCCTGAGTTCTAGTTTGATTGCACTGTGGTCTGAGAGACAGTTTGTTACAATTTCTGTTGTTTTACATTTGCTGAGGAGAGCTTTACTTCCAACTATGTGGTCAATTTTGGAATAGGTGTGGTGTGGTGCTGAAAAAAATGTATATTCTGTTGATTTGGGGTGGAGAGTTCTGTAGATGTCTATTAGGTCCGCTTGGTGCAGAGCCGAGTTCAATTCCTGGATATCCTTGTTAACTTTCTGTCTCATTGATCTGTCTAATGTTGACAGTGGGGTGTTAAAGTCTCCCATTATTATTGTGTGGGAGTCTAAGTCTCTTTGTAGGTCACTCAGGACTTGCTTTATGAATCTGGGTGCTCCTGTATTGGGTGCATATATATTTAGGATAGTTAGCTCTTCTTGTTGAATTGACCCCTTTACCATTATGTAATGGCCTTCTTTGTCTCTTTTGATCTTTGTTGGTTTAAAGTCTGTTTTATCAGAGACTAGGATTGCAACCCCTGCCTTTTTTTGTTTCCCATTTGCTTGGTAGATCTTCCTCCAACCTTTTATTTTGAGCCTTTGTGTGTCTCTGCACGTGAGATGGGTTTCCTGAATACAGCACACTGATGGGTCTTGACTCTTTTTCCAATTTGCCAGTCTGTGTCTTTTAATTGGAGCATTTAGTCCATTTACATTTAAAGTTAATATTGTTATGTGTGAATTTGATCCTGTCATTATGATGTTAGCTGGTTATTTTGCTCGTTAGTTGATGCAGTTTCTTCCTAGTCTCGATGGTCTTTACAATTTGGCATGATTTTGCGGTAGCTGGTATCGGTTGTTCCTTACCATGTTTAGTGCTTCCTTCAGGAGCTCTTTTAGGACAGGCCTGGTGGTGATAAAATCTCTCAGCATTTGCTTGTCTGTAAAGGATTTTATTTCTCCTTCACTCATGAAGCTTGGTTTGGCTGGATATGAAATTCCGGGTTGAAAATTCTTTCCTTTAAGAATGTTGAATATTGGCCCCCACTCTCTTCTGGCTTATAGAGTTTCTGCCGAGAGATCCGCTGTTAGTCTGATGGGCTTCCCTTTGTGGGTAACCCGACCTTTCTCTCTGGCTGCCCTTAACATTTTTTCCTTCATTTCAACTTTGGTGAATCTGACAATTATGTGTCTTGGAGTTGCTCTTCTCGAGGAGTATCTTTGTGACATTCTCTGTGTTTCCTGAATCTGAATGTTGGCCTGCCTTGCTAGATTGGGGAAGTTCTCCTGGATAATATCCTGCAGAGTGTTTTCCAACTTGGTTCCATTCTCCGCATCACTTTCAGGTATACCAATACGATGTAGATTTGGTCTTTTCACATAGTCCCATATTTCTTGGAGGCTCTGTTCATTTCTTTTTATTCTTTTTTCTCTAAACTTCCCTTCTCACTTCATTTCATTCATTTCATCTTCCATCACTGATACCCTTTCTTCCAGGTGATCGCATCGGCTCCTGAGGCTTCTGCATTCTTCATGTAGTTCTTGAGCCTTGGCTTTCAGCTCCGTCAGCTCCTTTAAGCACTTCTCTGTATTGGGTATTCTAGTTATACATTCATCTAAATTTTTTTCAAAGTTTTTACCTTCTTTGCCTTTGGTTTGAATTTCCTCCTGTAGCTCGGAGTAGTTTGATCATCTGAAGCCTTCTTCTCTCAACTCGTCAAAGTCATTCTCCGTCCAGCTTTGTTCCGTTGCTGGTGAGGAACTGCGTTCCTTTGGAGGAGGAGAGGCGCTCTGCCTTTTAGAGTTTCCAGTTTTTCTGCTCTGTTTTTTCCCCATCTTTGTGGTTTTATCTACTTTTGGTCTTTGATGATGGTGATGTACAGATGCGTTTTTGGTGTGGATGTCCTTTCTGTTTGTTAGTTTTCCTTCTAACAGACAGGACCCTCAGCTGCAGGTCTGTTGGAGTTTGTTAGAGGTCCACTCCAGACCCTGTTTGCCTGGGTATCAGCAGCGGTGTCTGCAGAACAGCGGATTTTCGTGAACCGCGAATGCTGCTATCTGATCGTTCCTCTGGAAGTTTTGTCTCAGAGGAGTACCCGGCCGTGTGAGGTGTCAGTCTGCCCCTACTGGGGGATGCCTCCCAGTTAGGCTGCTCGGGGGTCAGGGGTCAGGGACCCACTTGAGGAGGCAGTCTGCCCGTTCTCAGATCTCCAGCTGCGTTCTGGGAGAACCACTGCTCTCTTCAAAGCTGTCAGACAGGGACATTTAAGTCTGCAGAGGTTACTGCTGTCTTTTTGTGTGTCTGTGCCCTGCCCCTAGAGGTGGAGCCTACAGAGGGAGGCAGGCCTCCTTGAGCTGTGGTGGGCTCCACCGAGTTCGAGCTTCCCGGCTGCTTTGTTTACCTAAGCAAGCCTGGGCAATGGCGGGCGCCCCTCCCCCAGCCTCGCTGCCACCTTGCAGTTTGATCTCAGACTGCTATGCTAGCAATCAGCGAGACTCCGTGGGCATAGGACCCTCCGAGCCATGTGCGGGATATAATCTCCTGGTGCGCCATTTTTTAAGCCCGTCAGAAAAGCGCAGTATTTGGGTGGGAGTGGCCCGATTTTCCAAGTGCCGTCTGTCACCCCTTTCCTTGACCAGGAAAGGGAACTCCCTGATCCCTTGCGCTTCCCGAGTGAGGCAATGCCTCGCCCTGCTTCGGCTGGCGCATGGTGCGCTGCACCCACTGTCCTGCGCCCACTGTCTGGCACTCCCTAGTGAGATGAACCCGGTACCTCAAATGGAAATGCAGAAATCACCCGTCTTCTGCGTCACTCACGCTGGGAGCTGTAGACCGGAGCTGTTCCTGTTCGGCCATCTTGGCTCCTCCAGTATTTTGTATTTTATAATTAGAGAAAGATCTGAAATCTACCCAAAAGTAAGAGCCACTTTCACTGTAATATCTCATTTTGTAATTTTTTGGATTGTAATCCTTCTGAAAATTGATTTCTGGAAGTTCAACTGACTCTATGATAGATTTATCCTCATTTTAAGGAAATTTAAACTTTCAATGCTTCCAGACAGCTTAAAAATATACATGTTGGAATATAGTATTGAATTTGAAAGGGAAGCTAAAGTATCAGCCTTGTTTCCTAGAGAACTACCAAATCAAGAAAATGTGTGAGAATGGCATGATGAGGCTTCAGCGCAGAAATAGATCTGTCCTGGCAATTTTCTCTGCAAGTTATGGCAAATTCTTAGAGGAAAACAGAAATGTGATGTAATGAATAAAAATGGACCAGTCACAAGTATGTTGGAAATGGGAGACATGCAAGACCTGCAATAAAGTTTTTCAAATTATTTGTTTAATGTTAGTGGTTTACTGAGCTTTAAATAACAGACTGATATTGTCCAGATCACCATGATATTCAATATATGGGCAATGTAATGAGACTAGCTTTGTCTTGGTGTATAATGATATACACATTCTTAACTAGTTAAAATTATATTATGAGTAAGAATATAATCTTGCTCAGCTAGTTCATGGCCAAAGAAATGTTGTTTTTGAAAGCTACACCTGATATGTATTTCTGGGCTGTTTCCCAAGACAGTGTGGTAGAAAATACTGCTTGGTTCTCAAGTGTGCAAACTCAGTAGCTTCTTCCCAGTCCAGCTCATCCTAAAGTGTGTTCCACAGAAAAAATTAACATTCTTAAGAATTCCATTGGAAAACCCAGTTATACTCACTTATTTTCAGTTAATAATGCAACACTATATCACAGCATTATTGCTGGAGTGTGCTTCAGCATTAGCTATCATATACGGGTCTGTATGGAATTCTCAGTGATGTAATTTCTGTCTGTGGCCTAAATCCTTCTCATTTTTGGCAATGCTGCCCTGTAATTGTTATTGCATTGTATTAGTTCCTGCTTCTGGTATATTCATGATCTGTAGGATACAAATCTCTTGAATGCTTAGGCCACAAAGTTTTGAATAACCCTTATTGATTTGCCTCAACCTCAGTATAAAGAGGAAATCTTCATAAATGATTTTCTCAATGCACAGGATTTTGTAGCTTTACCTCTAGTCTAGTAGTTCTGAACCAGCAGTGATTTTATACACCCTCCCCAAATCGTTGGCTATGTCTGGAGATATATGTGACTGTCACAACTGAGGGGTAGGGAATGCTATAGGCATCTAGTAGGTAGAGTCCAGAAATGACTCTAAACATCCTACAATGCACAGAACAACACCCTGTAACTAAGAGTTATTTGGCCCCAAATGGCCCCTGAGGTTGAGAAATTCTGTCCTAGTGATAGAGCATAGCAGATACCTCCAATCTAGCTCCTTCAACTACATTTCAATTACTTCTTCTATAACCAACAGAAGGAATTAAGCACTAAAACTCAAAATATTTCTTTTTTATTTTAGTAATCAGTATTTTTCAAAGTCGCTTGGTAGCACTAATATCTTTAATTGCTAAATATGTATGGTTACCAAAAATCTAAAACAACACATTGTAAACTCTATATTTAGAGCAGTAAAAAAATTGAGCTATTAGGAACTTGGAGAAAATTGGCAATTTTTAAAACATTCATAAATAAAAATTGTACTGTACTTTTTCAAGTACAAAAAACTACGAGAACTTGTTTTACTCATTTCAGAAGACAAAAACCCAACACTCATCATTATTTGATATTTGCCCGTAACCTTGGAGGTGCTGTGGCATTGCTTTCTAAGGAAAATAAATTATGATGCCAGTCTCTCTGCACCAAAAAACAATTCTCAACCTGGCATGGTACTAAAGCCTGGCAGTATGACATGGTAGAAAAAAACAAGATTACTTTTTCCATTTCACAATCATGTGCATTTGTTGTTGCTGTCAGCATCTATTTTTCTGTCATCCCTATACCCTCAATTTCTTTGTAGAGAATTATCTCTTTTGGATATGGTCTAAAGGAACCAGGCCCTCTCCTAGGCAAAGAACAGGTGTGCTAGCCAAGTCAGGCCAATCCAGTACATATTTCTTCCATGATGCATCTCAAGCAAAGTGACAAAAACGTTAACAATATCCTGATTCATTTGCTTCAGTGATGGCAGCCTGAATAGACTGTTTTTACTGTAAGATCCTCTTTTTAGTTCTATTTCCTTGAGACCTCAAAGTATTTTGCATCAGTTTCTTTTTTGTCTCTCTCAAGCCTGCATTACAGAAATATCAATTCTTGTTCTGCTATCTATTTTACCTCCCTTTCAAGTTCCCAACCCTCAAATTATTTTTGTTTCTTCAAATCATTACCAACAGAGTGCTTCGCTCCTGGTGCTCTACAAGGACTATAGAGGCAACGTCAAAAGAAATAAAACTCTACATTGTTTGCAGATACAGCTACTTTGGGGAAACCTTGTTTCCCAGGAGTAAAGAAACAGTTACAAGCCTCCCACACATTTGGTAAGAAAAGCAAGGTACCACTACCATTTAATGTAGAATAAACTATAATAGTATAAATTATATTTTACAATACTGTATTGCATTATTCAGTTTACAATTTTTGACACCTAAGTTTCTCACTTGACCATTACAATATTCCTGTGAGGTAGGTATTAATATAATTCTCATTTTATACAAGAGCAAAGGTTCAGAAAGAAGTAACGTGCTCAAGATTACACAGCTAGTAAGTGGTTTGGCTCCATAACTGTGAGATATCAGGTATAGAGCCAAACCACTGTGAGATATCCTGTATGGAACCTGTGAGATATGTGAGATATGATCTTACGTATATCTCAGAGTGAGGGCAGGGCCAGAGGTAAATATTAGGAGCTGTATCAATTGGGGTTGTTAGGTGCAAGCAGTAGAGGCCAATCCTAGCTGACTGAACAGAAAGGGAGTTTATTAAAAGGACAGTAGAGATCTCATAGAAGTTGTTTAAGGGAATGTAGAACCTGGCTCAGCTATACCTAAGAAAAATGCCTCAAATCACACCTTAGAATTCTCTGATTAGATACAAAAATTAGCTGGGCATGGCGATGTGTGCCTGTAATGCCAGCTACTCAGGAGGCTGAGGCAGGAGAATTGCTTGAACTAGGGAGTCGGAGGTTGCAGTTGAGCCGAGATCGCACCTCTGCACTCCAGCCTGGCGACAGAGTGAGACTCTGTCTCAAAAAAAAAAAAAAAAAGAAAATCTGATTAGAAAAATGATTATACCACTGCCACCAGAAAGAGAAATCTTCTTATTATATCTTTAGTTTCCAACTCAGTCTGACACAGACACATCTGATTGAGGGAGCTTAGGTTATGTGGCCACTCCCTAGCTGTAATGGAGATTAGGCAAGTTAGCATCTAGAATTTTCATCCCTTGTAGTAGGAGGTATATTTTGCTTCCCACCAAAACCCATGAGGTGGGGTAATTTTGCATTCATAGAAAGGGATTAATATTTTGGGCAGCCAAAACAGTTGGCAATATCCAAAATAATCTAAGCTGTGATGTCTCAATTTCAAAATACACCCTTCTTCACTGACTTAAAATGTTGAAGTCCCACCTAACCCAACATAGCTATCCCTTACATTTTTTCCAGCATTACTGAGGTATAATTGACAAACAAAATCGTATATATCCAAGGTGTACAGATTTGATATATGTATACTTTGTGCAATAATTACCACAATCAAATTTATTAACATGTCTGTCATCATCATAGTTACCATGTTGTGTGTGCGTGTGTTAAGTGCATTTAAGTGTGTAAGGACACTTATAATCTGCTCTCTTACCAAATTTCAAATATTAACTGCAGCTACCATGCTGTACATTAGATCATCAGAACTTATTCATCCTGTAACTGAAAGAGAAATACCATATGATCTCATATGTGGCATCTCACCATTTCCCCCACTCTCCAGTCCCCAGCAAACACTATTCTATTCTCTGCTTCTATAAGTTCATCCTTTCTAGATTCCACATATGAGATCATATGGTATTTCTCTTTCTGTGCCTGGATTACTCATTTAGCCTAGTGCCCTCTAGGTTCATCCATGTTGTCACAAAGACCCATAAACTTGTGTCAACTTTAAGGTGGTTTCCTTATTTTGGCTATTGTGAAAAATGGTGCAAGGAACATGGGAATGCAGATATCTTTTTGAGATTCTAGTTTTATTTTCTTTGGATGTATACCCAGCAGTGAGATTCCTGAATCATATGGTAGTTCTGTTTTTAATATTTTGAGGAAACTCCTTACTGTTTTCCACAGAGACTGTATCAATTTATATTCCCATCAGCAATGTACAAGGACTCCCTTTTCTCTGCATCCTCACCAACACTTGTCTCTTGATAATAGCCATCGTAATGAGTGTGAAGTGATCTCATTGTGGTTTTAATTTGAGTTTTTCTGATTACTGATTTTGTGCATTTTTCATATACCTCTTGGCTATTTTACATCTTATTTGGAAAAATGTCTTTTGAAGTCCTTTGCCCATTGTTTAATTGGGTTATTAGTTTTTTGTGGGGTTTCTGTTATTGAGTTATGTGAGTTCCTTACATATTTTGGATATTAGCCCCTTATCAGATACACAGTTCACAAATATTTTCTCCCATTCTGTAGGTTGCCTCTTAATTTTGTTGATTTTTTTCCTTTGCTGTGCAGAAGCATTTTGGATATAGTCTCATTTGTTTATTTTTGCTTTTGTTACCCGTGCTTTTGATGTCAAATCTACCCTTAATATATCTTAAAATATGCTAACATTTGCCCTAAAAAGTAGATTATATTTATCCCACTAATATTCATAGAATGGGGGAAATCCACAAACAATAGGTTGATATAAGATGGTGATAACTGGGCTGGGCGCGGTGGCTCATGCCTGTAATCCCAGCACTTTGGGAGGCCGAAGCGGGCGGATCATGAGGTCAGGAGATTGAGACCATCCCGGCTAACACACGGTGAAACCCCGTCTCTACTAAAAATACAAAAAATTAGCCGGGCGCGGTGGCGGGCGCCTGTAGTCCCAGCTACTCGGGAGGCTGAGGCAGGAGAATGGCGTGAACCCGGGAGGCGGAGCTTGCAGTGAGCCGAGATCGCGCCACCGCACTCCAGCCTGGGCGACAGAGCCAGACTCCGTCTCAAAAAAAAAAAAAAAAAAAAAAAAAAAAAAAGATGGTGATAACTGTTGTGTGTAGTTGGAAAAGAAGAGGGAATAGGACAAAATCCTAAGGAATATTATCACTTGAGGGACTTGCAGAGAAAAAGAAACTTTCAAAGGGGACAAAGGAGAGACAAGTAAAGTAGGAAGAAAATGAGAAGAATGTGGTGTGATAGCATAGAGAAAGAAGACAATTAGGTATTTAAATTATGGAGTTAATATTATAATAGCAGAGAGTCTAGGGTAATTCATTTAACCTTCATTAATCTTCTTTACTCAATCTCAAATGGCAAACTTTCTCCAACAATTTTTATTGTATTTCATTTTTGTATATTTTTGTACCATAAAACACCAATTTTAAAATAAAAATTCAATAATTTTCAGTATATGCACAGAGTTGTGCAGTCATCTGTGATCAACTGTACCTAGTAGTGTTAAGGGGCAAAGTAAGCTGAAAACTGCGGCCTGTGACTTTAGTCAGTGGTATGGTAGAATTTAGAGTCAGATTGCAATGGATTGAGGAGAAAGTAGAAGGTGAGCAAGCAAAGAAAACAAATGTGAACTATTCTTTATTACAAAGAGGAAGAGAGACATAGCTCTGGGGGATGTGAGATCACAGAAAAGTTTTGATGGATTTTTATGACTTAAAATATGTCAATACTTTTCTAAACTGAGAGGAAGGAGCCATTTCATCCAATTGAAACAATGGCCAGACCCATTTTGGTATTTGTCAAATCCTTATTTTGAAATTGCTTCAATCCCAAATCTTTTCATGATTTTCCATTTTGAGTCCCTAGCACTTAGTGTACAGTCCTAACTTCTGAGCCTTGCAATTTCATTAGTTTATTTCTTCCACTTCCCTGGAATAATGCCTAGACCATTACCCTACCCAATACTCAGAATGTAATAAATAGGTGTGATAATGCTGTAATTTTTAAATTTGGTTTTAACACTATTTTAATTCAGGCTCTCACAATATGTTGATCTTTAAATAAATATCTGCCAAATATCAGCTTTCTCACCATCTCAGACATGTGAAGAATAACTGCAGTTCCCATGATAATTTTTCTACTCTTGACTGTTTTCATTTCAGTGCCTATAAAGCTGCTGCAACAAACAGACCATGGCTCAGTGGAGTGTTTTACACAATCTGATTATATACATGGTAAGCATCAGAAGACCTTCAGCATAATAGGATTGCTTAAAGGTGAATAATTGGAAATTGAATAGCTAAATAGCCCTATTTAATTTAAATAATACATTCTTTTCTCTCTATTCCTTGCCTTCTTTAAAAACTTGGGCCCAAACTGACCTCCTGCAGAACACTTTCATATAAAATATTTATTCAATTCTGACACAATTATGTGAATTTAATCTCTAGTTTTATATGCAAGGACAATGCCTCCAGAAAAACTATCGACTACATAGATAATTCAATGGAATTTAGAATTCAAAATGGTATACATTATCATCTAAGTCTACTGGAAAGGTTGCCTAGACCTTCTGGCAGTGAAGAACTTTCAGATGAGTACTCATCCAGCAATGGAACATAATCTCTGGATGTCAGTTGTTTCATTATATTTAGATATTTAAATTATAGAGTTAAATTATAGTGTTAATATTATAGTAGCAGAGAATCTAGGGGAATTCATTTAACATTCTTCATTAATATTCTTTACTCAATCTCAAATAGCAAATTTTCTCCAACAAATTTTTCTTGTATTTCATTTTTTGCATATTTTGGAGGTATAATTTATGTACCATAAAATTCACCAATTTTGAAATAAAAATTCAATAATTTGTGCAGTCATTACCATAATCACATTTTATAACATGTTTATCACCTCCCCACAAAATGCTGTACATATTGGCAGTCACTTGACATTCTCCCCTACCTACAGCCCTTGACAACCACTGATCTATTTGTATCTCTATGGATTTACCTGGTTTATATATTTCATATAAATGGAATTAAACAGTGTGTGGTCTTTTGTGAACAACCTCTTTCATTTAGCATGTTTTCAAGGTTTATCTCTATCATAACGTGTCAATACTTAATCCCTTTATATTGCTGAATAATATTCCATTGTATGGGTATGCAAACATTTTATTTATCCATTCATCAGATGATGGATATTGTTTCAGCTTTTTGGTTAGTATGAATGGTGTTGCTATGAACAATTTCTGTAAAAGTTGTGTGGTTTTTCTTTTAACACTTGATTTCAATTCTTTTGAGTATATATTAGGAGTACAATTGATAGGTCATATAGTAATTCTATGTTTAACTTTAACTTTTTGAAGAATGATCAAACTATTTTCCACAATGGCCATACTATTTACATTCACACCAGCAATATATGAGGATTGTAATTTCTCCACATCCTTACCAACACTTGTTATTTCCATTTTCTTTTTCTTATGGCCATCCTTGTGGGTGTGAAGTAGTATCTCATTATGGTTTGATTTGAATCTCTCTGATGACTAATGATGTTGACAATCTTTTCATGTGCTTATTGGTCATTCATGTCTATTTGGAGAAATGTGTATTCAAATACTTTGCCCATTTTTTCAATTGGATTGTCTTTTTATTATTGAGTTCTAAGAGCTCTTTATAAATTATGGAAAAGACCCTTATTCGATATGTGATTTGAAAATATTTTATCTCATTCTGTGGGTTGTCTTTTTATTTTCTTGATAGTGTCTTTTGATGCACAAAAGTTTTAAATTTTGATGAAATTCAATTAATCTAATTTTTTGTTATTGCTTATACTTTGGTGTTATATCTAAGAAACTATTGCCTAATCCAAGGTCACAAAAATTTACTATAACTTTTAGAGGATTATAATTTTAGTTGTTACAATTAGTTCTATGGCCTATTCTGAGTTAATTTTTGTGTATGTTGTGAAGTAGGGGGTTCAGCTTTATTTTTTGTGTGAATATCTAACTGTTTCTGCATGATTTGTTGAAAATATTATTCCTTCTCTATTGAATGATTTCAACACCCTTGTCAAAAATTAATTGAACATAAATGTAAGGTGTTTTGTGGCCATGTTAATATGCAGGATGGATCCCCACTCAAAATTTGGTTTGTATGTTGAGACTAATGACGCCACACATACACCAAGAGGGTATGAAAAGTTTATTACACACGATAAAGTCTTCTTGGGAAGATCAAAGTGGCTTCAAAGCAGGCCTGAAGATGGCTTGAAAGAGCAGAGTAAGGAGAATAACTTCCATTTTTTCTGGCAGTTAGGATGTGTGGCCTAGGTGAGGGTTCCCGTACATGATTTGGACTTCCTGCCAGCATTAAAGGAGGCAGTACCCCAGCTTTCCTATCAGCCTCCCCAGATATGAGGCAGAAAGGGAAGAGGGAAAGTAAGGCTTAAGAGCTGTCAGTAGTCAAACCAAAATGGTGTCAGACTATTTATTACCTGTGGGCTTATTTCCTAAATCTTGATTCTATTCCATTGATCTATACATTTATCTTTATGCCAGTACTGCAGTGCCTTGATTACTGTTGCTTTGTGGCATTTTTTGAAATCAGAAACTATGAATCCTCCAACTTAGTTCTTCTTTTTCAAGATTGTTTTGGTTAAATGTGGTCCCTTGCATTTACACATGAATTTTAGGATCAGCTTTTTAATTTATGCAAAAAAAGCAAACTAGGATTTTGAAAATATTGTATGAAATCTGTAGATCAATTTGAGGATTATTGCCATCTAAAAAATACTAAGTGTTACAATCCATGACTGGAATGTCTCTCTATTTGTTTAGGTCTTTAATTTCTTTCAAAAATATCTTTTGTAGTTTTCAGAGTATACTATACTTCTTTTTGGCGTTCTTGTACCTCTTTTGATAAATCAATTTCTAAGTATTATATTATTATTCTATTGTAATTGAATTTTTTCTTAATTTTATTTTCATGGTGTCACTGCTAGGGTATAGAAATACAATCAATTTTTTTACATTGACCTTGTATTCGGCAATCTTGTTGAGCTCATTTAGTAACTTTAATAGTTTGTGTGTGTGTGTGTGTGTGTATTCATTAGAATTTTCCATATAGAAAATAATGTCATCTGTGCATAGAGAGAGTTTTACATCTTCCTTTCCAATCTGGATGCTTTTTATTTCTTTTTCTTTCCTAATTACCACAGCAGAACTTTCAAGACAATGTTGAATAGAAGTGGCTGGAGCAGACTCTTTGTCTTGTTCCTGATCTTAGGGGGATGTCTTTCAGTAATATATTGAGCTTTTTGTATGCATATATTAACGGTTTTAAAAATCCAGTTTGGGGATATTTCAGCCATTATTTATATGAATAAATTTTTCTGCCTCAATTTTTCTCTTCTATCTTCTGTTATGCCCATTATATGTCCATTGGTGCTATTATTGGTGTGCCACATTTTTCAGAAACTGTTAATTTATCTTCATTCTTTCCTCTCTTTATTCTTCAGATCACATAGTATTTTTCAAATCTGCTTCAAGTTCAGTGACTCTTTCTTCTGGAAGCTCAAACCTGTTGAGTCCTTCTATTGATCTTTCAGTTGTTATTCTACTGTTTAACTCCTAATTTTCTACTTGGTGATTCAAAAAATTGTATCTCTTTATTGGAATTCACTGTTTGATGGGCATTATTATCATAAATACTTTTCCTTTTTTACAGCTTTATTGAGGTATAATTGACAGATAAATATTGTATATATTTAAGGTATACAATGTAATGTTTTGATCTATGTATACATTGTGAAATGATTACCGCAATCAAACTAACGAACATTCATCATTACTTTTACATGAATGATGAAAATATTTAAGGTCTATTTTCTTAGCAAATTTCAAGTATACAATATTAACTATAGTCACCATGTCTCACTTTAGATCTCCAAATTATTCATCTTATGAATTGTACCCCTTAACCAACGTCTCCCTATTTCCACCACACCCACCACCTGGTAACGGACCCGTCTCTCTGTTTCTATGAGTTTGATATTTTAGATTCCACATATCAGTGAGATCATGCAGTATTTGTCTTTTTATATCTGGCTTATTTCACTTCGCATGATTTCCTCCAGGTTCATCCATGTTGTTGCCAATGGTAGGACTTCCTTCTTTTTATGGCTGAATAATACTTCATTTTTTATCCATTTATCAGTTGATGGACACTTACGTTGTTTCCATATCTAGGCTATTGTGAGTAATAATGAAATGAACATGGCAGTGCAGATATCTCTTTGAAATATTGATTTTTATTTCCTTTGGATATACACTCAGGAGTGGGATTGCTGGATCATATATGGTAGTTCTATTTTTGAGTTTTTGAGGCATCTTCATACTGTTTTCCATAGTGGCTGTACCAACTTACATTCCCCCCAAAGTGTACAAGTGTTCCCTTTTCTCCAGATCCTCACCAACATTGGTTATCTTTTGGCTTTTTGATAATAGCCATTCTAACAGGTATGAGGTGATATGTCATTCTAGTTTGGATTTGCATTTTCCTGATAATTAGTGATATTGAGCATCTTTTCATATACCTATTGGCAATTTGCAGGTCTTCTATGGAAACACATCCATTCAGGCCCTTTGCCCATTGTTTAATCAGGTTATTTGTTATTATTATTTATTTACTTATTTGCTGTTGAGTTGTATGAGTTCCTTATATATTTGGATATTACCCCCTTATTGGACATGTGGCTTACAAATATTTTCTCCCATTCCATATGTGGCCTTTTCATTTGATTGTTTGCTTTGCAGAAACTTTTTAGTTTAATATAGTACCAGTCATTTATTTTTGCCTTTGTTGTCTATGTTTTTGGCACCAAATCCAAAAAATAATTGCTGAGACCAATGTTATAGAGCTTTCCTCCGTGTTTTCTTCTAGGAGTTTCAGATCTTTGAATTGATTTTTTGTAGGTAATACAATAGGGATCCAACTTCACCTTTTGCAAGTGGATATCTAGTGTTTCCAATACCATTTATTGAAAAGACTATCTTTTCTCCAATATGTGTTCTTAGAGATTTTGTCAAAGATTAGTTGACCATATATGCATGGGTTTATTTTTGGGCTTTCCATTTTTTTCATTGGTCCATGTGTCTATTTTCATGCTTTTACCATACTTTAAAAAAAAATTGGAAACAGACAAATGACACTGTACAAGTAGTAAACATAAGAGAACTTATATCCAGAAGTGGGATTGCTACTGTTAGATCATATGGTAGTTCTATTTGTAATTTTTTGAGGAAACTCCATGCAATTGCCCATAATGGCTGTATTGGTTACATTGTCACCACAAATGTACAAGGGTTCACTTTTCTCTATATTCTTGCCAACCCTTGTTATCTTTGATTTTTTTAGTAGTAGAAACTAGAAAAGCAAAAGAAAAGATCAAAAAACTAAGAGACATGAGCTTTCTCAAAGGTAGTTTCCATCATCTACTTTTTTTAGATGGAGTCTGGCTCTGTCACCCAGGCTGGAGTGCAGTGGCGCAATCTTGGCTTACTGCAAGCTCCACCTCCCGGGTTCATGCCATTCTCCTGCCTCAGCCTCCCGAGTAGCTGGGACCGCAGGCGCCCACCACCATGCCTGGCTAATTTTTTTTTTTTTTGTATTTTTAATAGAGATGGGGTTTCACTGTGTTAGCCAGGACGGTCTCAATCTCCTGACCTCGTGATCCACCCACCTCGGCCTCCCAAAGTGCTGGGATTACAGGCATGAGCCACCGCGCCCGGCCCAAAATCAGTAATATTTCTATACACCAATAACACCCAAGCTCAGAACCAAATTAAGAATGCAATCCCATTTACAATAGTCACACCAAAAATAAAATATGGAGGAATGCATCTGTATTAGTCCGTTTTTACACTGCTGATAAAGACATACCCAAGACTGAGTAATTTATAAAGGAAAAGAGGTTTAATGGACTCACAGTTCCATGTGGCTGGGAAGGCCTCACAATCATGGTGGAAGGTGAAAGGCACATCTTAGATGCCAGCAGGCAAAAAGAGAATGAGCACCAAGTGAAAGGGGTTTTCCTTTATAAAGCCATCAGATCTCATGAGACTTAATCACTATCATGAGAACAATATGGGGGAAACCACCCCCATGATTCAATTATCTCCCACCAGGTCCCTCCCGCAACACATGGGAATTATGGGAGCCTGCAATTCAAGATGAGATTTGGGTGGGACACAGCCAAATCATATCATTCTGCCCCGTCCCCTCCCAAATCCCATGTCCTCACATTTCAAAACCAATCATGCCTTCCCAACAGTCCCCCTAAAGTCTTAACTCATTTCAGCATTGACTCAAAAGTCCACAGTCCAAAGTCTCATCTGAGCAAGGCAAGTCACTTCCACCTATGAGCCTGTAAAATCAAAGCAATTTAGGTACTTTTTAGATACAATGGGTGTACAGGAATTCTGTAAGTACATCTATTCCCAATGGGAGAAATTGGCCAAAATGAAGAGGCTACAGGCCCCTTGCAAGTCCAAAATCCAGTGGGACAGTCAAATCTTAAAGCTCCAAAATGATCTCCTTTGACTCCATGTCTCACATCCAGGTCACACTGATGCAAGAGGTGGGTTCCCATGGACTTGGATAGTTCTGCCCCTGTGGCTTTGCAGTGTATAGCTCCCCTCCTGGCTGCTTTAACAGGCTGGTGTTGACTGTCTGCGGCTTTTCCAGGTGCATGGTACAAGCTGTTGGTAGATCTACCATTCTGGGTGCTGGAGGATGGTGGCCATATTCTCACAGCTCTACTAGACAGTGCTCCAGTGGGGACTCTTTGTGGGAGCTCCCACCTGACATTTTCCTTCCACACTGCTGTAGCAGAGATTCTCCATGAATGTCCCACCCCTGCAGCAAACTTGTGCCTGCACATCCAGGCATTTACATACATTCTCTAAAATATAGGTGGAGGTTCCCAAACCTCAATTATTGACTTCTGTGCACTCACAGGCTCAACACCACATGGAAGCTGCCAAGGCTTGGGGCTTGCACCTTCTAAAGCCACAGCCTAAGCTGTATCTTGGCCCCTTTTAGCCACAGCTAGAGCAGCTGGGATGCAGGACACCAAGTTCATAGACTGCATACAGCAGAGGGGCCCTGGGCCCAGCCCATGAAAACATTTTTTCCTCCTAGGCTTCTGAGCCCATGATGAGAAGGGCTGCCATGAAGACCTCAAATGTGCCCTGGAGACATTTTCCCAACTGTCTGGGTGATTAACATTTGGCTTTTCATTACTGATGCAAATTTCTGCAGCTGGCTTGAATTTCTCCCCAGGAAGTGTGTTTTTATTTTTCCATCACATTGTTAGGCTGCAAATTTTCTGAACTTTTATGCTCTGCTTCCCTTATAAAACTGAAAGTTTTTAACAGCACCCAAGTTGCCTCTTGAATACTTTGCTGCTTAGAAATTTCTTCCACCAGATATCCTAAATCATCTACCTCAAGTTCAAAGTTCCGCAGATCTCTAGGGCAGGGGCAAAATGCTACCAGTCTGTTTGCTAAAATATAGCAAGAGTCACCTTTACTCCAGTTCCCAAAAATTTCCTCATCTCCATCTGAGACCACCTCAGCCTGGATTTCATTATTCATGTAATTATCAGCATTTTGGTGAAAGCCATTCAACAAGTCTCTAGGAAGTTCCAAACTTTCCCACATTTTCCTGTCTTCTTCTGAGCCCTCCAAACTTTTCCAACCTCTGCCTGTTACCCAGTTCCAGAGTTGCTTTTACATTTTCAGGTATCTTTACAGCAGCACCCCACTCTACCAGTACCAAATTACTGTAGTAGTCCATTTTCACTCCGCTGATAAAGACATATCCAAGACTGGGCAACTTATAAAGGAAAAGAGGTTTCATGGACTCACAGTTACATGTGGCTGGGGAGGCCTTACAATCATGGTGGAAGGTGAAAGTCACATCTTACATGGCAGCAGGCAAAGAGAGAATGAGAACCATGTGAAAGGAGTTTTTCTTTATAAAGCCATCAGATCTCATGAGACTTATTCACTACCAGCAGAACAGTATGGGAGAAACTGCCCCCATGATTCAGTTATCTCCCACTGGGTCCCTCTCATAACACATAGGAATTTTGGGAGCTACAATTTAAGATGAGATTTGGGTGCAGACACAGTCAAACCATATGAACATCTAAATGCAGACACAGTCAAACCATATCAACATCTAAACAGTGAGGTGAAATATCTCTACAAGGAGAACTATAAAACACTGCTGAGATAAATCAGAGATGACACAAACATAATGGTAAAACACCCCATGCTTATGAATTGAAATAATTAATATTGTTAAAATGGCCATACTGACCAAAGAAATTTATAGATTCAATGCTATTCCTAGCAAATGGCCAACATCATTTTTCACAGAATTAGGAAAAAACTATTCTAAAATTCATATGCAACCAAAAAAGAGCATGAATCACCAAAGTAACCCTAAGCAAAAAGAACAAAGCTGGAGGCATCACACTACCTGACCTGAAACTATACTACAAGGCTACAGTAACCAAAACAGCATGGTACTGGCACAAAAACAGACACATAGACCAATGAAACAGGATAGAGAACTTAGAAATAAGGTCACACACCTACAACAACTTGATCTTTGACAAACTCAACAATGAAAATGGGAAAAGGAGTCCTTATTTAATAAATGGTGCAGGATAACAGGCTATCCATATACAGAAGATTGAAACTGGACCCCTTCCTGTCACCATATACAAAATTCAACTCAAGATGGATTAAAGACTTAAATGTAAGACCCAAAACAACAAAAACCCTAGAAGAAAAGCTAGGAAACATCATTCTGAACATTGGCCTTGGCAAACAATTTATGACTAAGTCCCCAAAAGTATTTGCAACAAAAACAAAAATTGACAAGTGGGACCTAATTAAACTAAAGAGCTTGTGTACAGCAAAAGAAACTATCAACAGAATACACAGACAAACTACAAAATGGGAGAAAATATTCTCAAACTGTACATCTGACAAAGGTCTTATATCCAGAATCCATAATGAACTTAAACAAATCATCAAGTAAAAAACAAATAACCTCATTAAAAATGGGCAAAGAACATGAACAGACATTTCTCAAAAGAAGACATATGGCTGACATGTGGCTGACAAGCATATGAAAAAAATGCTCATTATCACTAATGATTAGAGAAATACAAATCAAAACTACAATGAGATTCCATCTTACACCAGTCAGAATGGCTACGATATAAAGTCAAAATACCTCAGCTTTTGTTTGGCAGAAAAATTTTTATTTCTTCGTCATGTTTGTAGGATAGTTTTGCTAGATATAATATTCCAGGTTAGAAGTTTTTTTTTTTCCTTCAGCACTTTGAATACGTTATCCTATTTCCTCCTGGCTTGTATGGTTTTTGCTGAGAAGTCTGCCAGATATGTATTGAAGCTCTCTTATATGTTATTTGCTTCTTTTTTTCTTGCTACCTTTGGGATCCTTACTTTTTCCTTGACCTTTGAGATTTTGATTATTATATAACTTGAGGTAGTCTTATTTGGGCTGAGTCTACCTGGTGTTCTTTGACTTTCTTATACCTGGATATTTATATGTTTCTCTAGGTTTCAAAAGTTCTCTGTTATTATATCTTTGAATAAACTTTACACCCCCATCTATTTCTCTATATTCTGTTTAAGGTCAATAATTCTTAGACTTGCTATTTTGAGGCTATTTTCTAGATCTTGTAGGCAGGCTTCATTGTTTTTATTCTTTTTTTGCCCCTGACCATGTATTTTCATATAGCCTGTCTTTGAGCTCACTATTTTTTTTCTTCTGCTTGTTTGACTCTGCTGCAAAGAGACCCTGGTGCATTTTTTAAAATTTGTTAGTTGAATTTTTCAGCTCTAGAATTTCTGCTTGATTTGTTAAAATTATTTCAATCTCTTTGTTAAATTTCTCCAGTAGAGTTTTGAATTCCTTCTCTGCATTATCTTGAAGTTCGTTGAACTTTCTCAAGACAGCTATTTTGAAGTCCTTGTCTGGGAGGTGGGTGTAGTATTCTGTTTGTCACCATTAGATCAAAAGTACTAATTGTATTAAACCAATATTCATACATTTATTGAATTTATGATTGCTTCTTCTATCAGTTACTGAAGAAGGTAATAATGTTCAGTTTTTACATTTCTCTTTTATTCCTGTAAATTTTTGATTCATAAATGTTGAGGCTACGTTTTTACTTGACTAAGGTTTATAAATATCATCCTGCTGTGTTGACCCTTTTATTCTTATGCAGTGACCTTTTTTTAATATTTAGTACATTCCCTTACCCTAATGTTTATTGTGTTCAGTGTAATATAGTTACATCAAATTTTCATAGTTTGCATTTGCCTGTTATATCTTTATCCATTCTATTGCTTTCCACATTCAGAATTGGTATCTTCTCCTTTTCTTCTATTTTTTTTTTTTTTTGAGATAGAGTCTTGCTCTGTCACCCAGGCTGGAGTGCAGTGGTGCAATCTTGGCTCACTGCAGCCTCTGCCTCCTGGGTTCAAGTGATTCTCCTGCCTCAGTCTCCCGAGTAGCTGGGACTACAGGCGCACACCATCACACCCAACTACTTTTTGTGTTTTTTAGTAGAGACGGGGTGTCACCATGTTGGCTGGGCTGGTGTTGAACTCCTGGCCTCAAGTGATTTGCTTGCCTTGGCCTCCCGAAGTTGAGAAAACTAGGTTCCCATAATGCTTTTAAACTTCATATTTTGAAATAATTTCAAACATACAGAAAACTTTCAAGAATAATACAAAGAATTCACCCACATTCCCCATTAAAAACTTTGTTTTACCACATTTGCTTTATTATTATATCATATAACCATCTATCTCTCTTTATATTACTAATATATATATAATAGCATTTTTCTGAACGCATTGATAATACGTCATAGATATGATATTCAATACCTTTAAGTAGCTCAGTGTGTGTCTAAAAATACAAGCAATCTTTCATTCATTATTATAGTACAACCCTTGAAATTTGGGAGTTAATACTGATATAAAACTATCACTTAATGCGCAGATCTTTTTCAATTTTTTTTCAATTGTTTCAATAAGACTCCTCATAATTTTTCTTATCCAGGATTTAATACATGATTGTATGTTGCATTTAGTTTTCATGATTTTTTTAGTCTCTTTCAATCTGGAATGGTTCCCCAATCTTTCCTTTTCCTTATGACCTCGACAACTTTGAAGAACAGACCAGTCATTTTGTAGAATGTCCCTCAGTTCAGGTTTTTCTGATGTTTTCTTATGATTAGGTGCATGTTATGCACTACTGGAAGAAATAACACAGAAGTAACATTGTGTACTCAGTGTATTGTAGTAGGTGAGCCTGATATTTATCTGTCCCATTACTGATGATGTTACCTTGGATAACTTGGTTAAGGTGGTGTGTTCCAGCTTTTCCCACTGTAAAGCAACAAATTTTTCTTTTGTAAGTAACATGTGTCTTGTAGGAAGACACTCTAAGACTACGGTTGACCCTTGAACAATGAGGGTTTGAACTGCATGGGTCCACTTATACATAGATGTTTTCAGTCAAAGCCAGATCAAAAATACAGTATTTGGGGGATGCAAAACTCACATTTATGGAGGGCCAACTTTTCATATATGTGCAGACTGTGATACTTGAGCATGCATGGATTTGAGTATGCATGGATTTGGGTATACATGGAGGTCCTGGAACCAATCACCCATGTATACCAAGAGATAATTGTATACGAATGTCTTACTCCTCAATAAACTTTAACTCACCATTAATGATTCTTGCCTCAATCATTTATTCCTATTTCGGTTGCAAAATAGTGATTTTCCAATTTCATCATTCCTTCTACATTTATCAGTTGGAATTCCTTTTTAACGAAGATCTTTCCTTTCTCTCCATTTATTAAGCTACTTTGATTGTCTTTGATTACTTTTTTATTTAAATTTTTATTCCCATAGGTTTTGGGGGAACAAGTGATGTTTGGTTACATGAATAAGTTCTTTAGTGGTAATTTGTGAGATTTTGGTGCACCCATTACCCAAGCAGTGTACATTTTACCCAATTTGTAGTCTTTTATCCCTCACCCCTCTCCCACCCTTTCCCCCAAGTCCCCAAAGTCCATTGTATCATTCTTATGCCTTTGCATCCTCATAGCTTAGCTTCCACTTATGAGTGATAACATACGATGTTTGGTTTTCCATTCCTGAGTTACTTCACTTAGAATAGTGGTCTCCAATTCCATCCAGGTTTCTGTGAATGCCATTATTTCATTTCTTTTTATGGCTGAATAGTATTCCGTGGTATATATACCACAATTTCTTTATCCACTGGTTGATTGATGGGCATTTGGGCTGGTTCCATACTCTTGCAATTGTGAATTGTGCTGCTATAAACATGCATGTGCAAGTATCTTTTTTGTATAATTACTTCTTTTCCTCTGGGTAGGAATCTACCCAGGGATTGCTGGATCAAATGGTAGTTCTACTTTTAGTTCTTTAAGGAATCTCCATAGTTTTCCATGATGGTTGCACTAGTTTACATTCCCACCAGCAGTGTAAAATATTCCCTTGATTTCTTTTTTTTTTCATTATTATTATACTTTAAGTTTTAGGGTACATATGCACAATGTGCAGGTTAGTTACATATGTATACATGTGCCATGCTGGTGTGCTGCACCCATTAACTTGTCATTTAGCATTAGGTATATCTCCTAAAGCTATCCCTCCCTCCCCCACCCCACAACAGTCCCCAGAGTGTGATGTTCCCCTTCCTGTGTCCATGTGTTCTCATTGTTCAATTCCCACCTATGAGTGAGAATATGCAGTGTTTGGTTTTTTGTTCTTGTGATAGTTTACTGAGAATGATGATTTCCAATTTCATCCATGTCCCTACAAAGGACATGAACTCATCATTTTTTATGGCTGCATAGTATTCCATGGTGTATATGTGCCACATTTTCTTAATCCAGTCTATCATTGTTGGACATCTGGGTTGGTTCCAAGTCTTTGCTATTGTGAATAGTGCCACAATAAACATACGTGTGCATGTGTCTTTATAGCAGCATGGTTTATAGTCCTTTGGGTATATACCCAGTAATGGGATGGCTGGGTCAAATGGTATTTCTAGTTCTAGATCCCTGAGGAATCGCCACACTGACTTCCACAAGGGTTGAACTAGTTTACAGTCCCACCAACAGTGTAAAAGTGTTCCTATTTCTCCACATCCTCTCCAGCACCTGTTGTTTCCTGACTTTTTAATGATTGCCATTCTAACTGGTGTGAGATGGTATCTCATTGTGGTTTTGATTTGCATTTCTCTGATGGCCAATGATGGTGAGCATTTTTTCATGTGTTTTTTGGCTGCATAAATGTCTTCTTTTGAGAAGTGTCTGTTCACGTCCTTTGCCCACTTTTTGATGGGGTTGTTTGTTTTTTTCTTGTAAATTTGTTTTCTAAATGCAGTGTCTAAGTGTAAATTTCTTTTTATTCATCCTGATTGAGATTCATTGAAATTTCTGAATCTGTGGACTGGTCTTCTGTCAGTTCTGGGAAATATCTGCCTTTATAACCATATATTCCCTCTGCTCTGTTTTTTCTCTTTCCTCCTTCTACACCTCCGATTATATAGTAAACCATTATGCTCTATCCTTCATGTTCTCCATCTCTTGTATTTATTTTTTGTCTCTGTGCTGAGTTTCAAGTAATGTCTTTTGGTCTATCTTAGTTTTCTAATTTCAGCTGTATCTGATCTGCCATCAAACTGATCAGATGAGTTTTAATTAAAATTGGTATATTTTTATTTCTAGAATTCTCTTTGGTTTTTCAAATTTACATGGTCATTTTCATTATATCTTGTCCTATACTCATATTTTAATCTATTTATGTAAATATACAAAACAATGCCATTTTATATACTGTTCCTGAGAATTTCTATCCTCCAAATCATTATACTGCTTCTAGATCCTTTGAGAATTGGGGATACATTGGAGTAGAAGAGAAAAGTAAGGAGGCAAAATGGTTTTAATTGAATAGTGCCACTGTAATCTGGAATTAGTGCCTTCCAGATGGCACTGGATGCCCTCTAGATGGCAAAACGTTGGCTGTTTTCATTTGGAGTGCATTTGTGCATTCTTTTGAGACCTTCAATACTGCACTGCTCTTTGGTGTAACAATGCACTCTTTTTCCTACCCTTTATGAACTTACAGTAGAACCCACATAGCCTCTTTTTTCTGGGGTTCACCTCACTTCAACAGAAAGATCTCTAGGAAAGGATCCTCTCAAGATGTACCCAGCTACCTTCTTTGATGTCTGATCTCACCCAAGGGAAGTAATAGGCCATATTTTTCCACCAAAACTTGGACAGTGAAAGCTTCTTCTTACCAGCTTCATCTCTGTACTTTGTTATTCCAAACAGCACCAGCTGGCTTCTTATGTTTGGAATTTACTAGGAAAAGTCAGTTACCAATATCGGTGCCCTTCAAACTTCAGGAGATACAGATAAATTTCACCCAAGAACTTTCTTACATGTTTTACTTCAGTAATAGCACAGGAAAGGCCTATACATTTTTCCTTCTCAGCAAAGATCCTGTAAGAGTGGTGTAGGGCTGGGAGTGAGAAGTAAATCTTTCCTCTTGGCAAACACATCCATGCTTTATGAGGTTAAAATTTTCCTCATTTGAAAAGGGAGAGAGTTGTGGAGATAACTTAACCAGAGAGGGGAAACAGCATTCCACACCCCATCACTTGATAGAAGACCCTTTAAAAAATTGTGCTACTAGCCTCTTTCCTCAAGCACTCTCACATTCTTTTGTACAGCCTAAAGGTGGATGATGGTAGGCTAGAAGTCACAAAACTGTTTTGGAGTCAGCTCTTAGTAAGTCCTTCCCAGATGGTTGGTCAAATACCTTTTATTGTTTGTTTGAGACGGAGTCTCGCTCTGTCGCCCAGGCTGGAGTGCAGTGGCGGGATCTCGGCTCACTGCAAGCTCCGCCTCCCGGGTTCCAGCGATTCTCGTGCCTCAGCCTCCTGAGTAGCTGGGATTACAGGCGCCCACCATCACGCCCGGCTAATTTTTTGCATTTTTTGTACAGACGGGGTTTCACCGTGTTAGCCAGGATGGTCTCGATCTCCTGACCTCGTGATCCGCCCGTCTCAGCCTCCCAAAGTGCTGAGATTACAGGCGTGAGCCACTGCGCCCGGCCTCAAATACCTCTCTTTAATGTAGAGTTACTTGGTCCTATTGTCCTCAATAGCAGTTCTGTGACAGGAAAATTCCCATTTTACACACACATTTGCATTTTGTATTCTTATTTTGACTGTGCAGGAACAAAAACTTAAATATTTTCATCACGATTACCTTCTAAGATAAAGCATAGAGCTATTTGAGACAGCAGCTGTGGTAATGAGTGGAGCTTTAGAATGAGAGACATCTAAATGGACTTAAAAGAAATATTTTTCTGTGTTTTAACACTTGTAAAGCTGATGTGCTTTAGGCTGTGAGCAGTGTCATGTCTAAGAAGCATAGTTCAATACCTAAATATGTTTCTAAAAAGGTAATATTCTTTACTTTCATTTCCTAAAGTTGAAAGGGTATTTGTAGACCAAAGCAGCATTTTTTTAAAAAAATTCCTTTTCCCTTCTTCAGTATAATTCCTTCACACTACAACTATTCCTAGGCTTCTGTAGGACTTCATTAAAGATTTACTTCTCAAACCTTTTTTCAAAACATGTTTGTGTTTCTTATACAAATACTGCTGTGAGTCTTAGTGAGCAGGGCAAGAAGGCTCGGTTTCATACATCTCTCTATTGGGAAGATCATATGCTTTCTCAATGCAAGGACTTTATTTATCTTTATAGTTGTGTCACCAGAAGTAAAGCACCTAGCAATCTTAGGTGCACAGTAAATATTTGTTAAGCATTTCATTCATAGGCAGGTCACATGACCACTCCTGGGTTTAATAAAAAAGAGATGTATAATTCTTCTATGGAAAGTAGCACCTTGTGTTGAAAAGCTGGAATATTTGATAAAGACTGAAAGCATTTACTGTGAGCTGTCCTCTAGTCACCAAATATTAAACATACACAATACAATTGCCCGTGTCAAAGGATCAATAAGTCAAAAATTACTAATCAGTCATTGTTTAGAGCTCAAAAGTCTAAGATTTCTAGGTGTTATGTGGTAATGTCATCAAGTCCAGATGGGACTCCTTTTGATACAGAGACATGTGAACTGAAAATGACTGAAGGTGGGAAATATTCCTTAATTAGGCTCTTGTTCTGTTCCTTGAGAGTATCTCTCCCAGCCTATTGTTATTTATGACTCTTGGAACTCTCCTACAGAAAATCTTTCCTTTTCTATTATCCTCTTTGGTACTATATGAAATATTCCAATTTTAGGTGCTGCTGGGCCTGTTTCTCACCCATAAAAGGTTAGAGGCCAAAGGATTATTTTAAGTCTACAACCATCATATTTTCTATTAGTCCAGACTTATTTTTATTTTGACAGTATGTCTCCCTCAATTTATTCCAAAGTTTTAGCTATTTTGCTCTGGTCAGATTCATGTACGAACAGCTACGCCCACAATTATTGTTAAAACACATTCTCTTTCTCTCTACTTAATTTTAGGTACCTCAAATCTTACAGACATCTGTGGAAGACCTGCAGCCTTAATTTCTTTTCCCTGGGCCACTTTTCATTTTTACACCATGAAAGGATATATTGGGTACCAAATTATTTGATTCACTTTTAAAATTTCTCCTTCATTTAAAAATTTTTAATTTTAATTCTTAATTGAAGTAAATTTATATAACAAAAATAACTAAAGTGCACAGTTCAGTAGGTAGTCTGTTTTTAATTGACAAATAATAATTATATATATTTATGGGGTACAACATATTTTATGCATGTATACAATGTAGAATGATAAATTCATAATAATCAGCATTTTTAGTGGTGAGAACATTTAAAATCCTCCCTTGTAGCTATTTCAAAATATACAATACATTATTATCAACTATAGTTACTGTGCTGTGCAATAGATCACCAGAACTTATTTCTTCTATGTAACTGAAACTTTGTACCTGTTGAACAATGTCTCCCCTTTCCCTGTCCACTCCCCTACTCCAGCCCCTGGCAACTACCATTCTACTCTTTACTTCTATAAATTTGACTTTTTTAGATTGCACATATAAGTCAGATAATGTAATATTTGTCTCTCTGTGCCTGGTTTATTTCACTTAGCATAATGTCCTCTAAGTTTATCTGTGTTGTTGCAAATGGCAAAAATTTCTGTTAAGGTTGAATAATATTACATTGTGTGCATGTGTGTGTATATAGCTATATGTGTGTGTGTGCGTGTGTGTGTGTGTGTGTGTATGTATACACACACCACATTTTAAAAATCCATTACATCTGTTGATGGAAACAGGTTTATTTCATATCTTGGCTATTGTGATAGTGCTGCAATGAACATGGGAGTGCAGACATCTCTTCAGTATTATTTCCTTTGGCTATATATCCACTAGTGGGATTGCTGGATCATATGGTAGTTCTATTTTGAATTTTTCAAGGAATCTCCATATTGTTTTCCAAAATAGGTGTACTAATTTATAATACTACCAAGAATGTATAAGTGTTCCCTTTTCTCTACATCCTCACCAACATTTATTATCTTTCGTCTCTTTGAAAATAGCCAAAATAACAGGTGTGAGGTGATATCGCATAGTGGTTTTAACTTGAATTTTTGCTGATGATTATAGATGTTGAGCATGTTTTCATGTATCTATTGGCCATTTGTATGCTTTCTTTTGAGAAATGTCTGTTCAGGTACTTTGCCCATTTTTAATAGGGTTATTTGTTTCCTTGTTACCAAGTAGTTTGAGTTCCTTATATATTTTTAATATTCTTCTGATATCTAGATTTCCCAACACCATTATAAATATAAAAATATATTTTTAATATTCTTCTGATGTCTAGATTTCCCAACACCATTTACTGAAGGGACTGTCCTTTCTCCAATGTGTGTTCTTGGCACCTTTGTCAAAAATCAATTGACCATACTTGTGTGAGTTTATTTCTGGGCTCTGTATTCTATTCTATTGGTTGATGTGTCTGTTTTTGTGCCAGTACCATGCTGCTTTGATTACTATAGATTTGTAATGTATTTTGAAATTTGATAGTGGGATGCCTCTAGCTTTATTCTTTTTGGTAAAGATTGCTTTAGCCGTTAGGTGTCATTTTTGGTTCCATAAAAATTTTAGTTTCTTTTTCTATTTCTATGAAGAATGACTTGGAATTTTGATAAGGATTGCATTGAATCTGTAAGTCATTTTGGGTAGTATGGAGATTTTAACAGTAGTAATTATTTCACTCCGTGAACACAGGATATCTTTCCACTTATGTCATCTTTAATTTCTTTCATAAATATTTTATCATTTTTGGTATACAGATATTTAACTTCCTTGGTTAAATTTACTCATGTATTACTTTTTGCTATTGTAAATGAGATTGTTTTCTTAATTTCTTTTTCAGATAGTTTGTTTTTAGTGTATAGAAATGCTACTGAATTTTGTAAGTTGATTTTGTATCAGGAACTTCATTGAACTTCCTTATCAATTCTAATAGTTTTCTGGCACAGTCTGCAGGGTTTTCTATATATAATATTATGTAGGCTGGGCGCGGTGGCTTATGCCTGTAATCCCAGCACACTGGGAGGCCAAGGTGGGCGGATCATGAGGTCAAGAGATACAGACCATCCTGGTCAACATGGTGAAACCCTGTCTCTACTAAAAATACAAAAAAGGAATTAGCTGGGCGTGGTGACACATGCCTGTAGTACCAGCTACTCTGGAGGCTGAGGCAGGAGAATCGCTTGAACCTGGGAGGTGGAGGTTGCAGTGAGGTGAGATTGCACCACTGCACTCCAGCCTGGGTGACAGAGTGAGACTCCATCTCAAAATAATAATAATAATAATAATAATAATAAGAAGAAGAAGAAGAAGAAGAAGAAGAAGAAGAAGAAGAAGAAATTAACAAACACGGACAGTTTCACTTTATCCTTTTGTATTTTCATGACTTTTATTTCTTTCTCTTGTCTAATTGCTATGGCTAGGACTTCCAGTACAATGTTGAACAGAAGTGGTGAGAATAAGCATTCTTGTCTTGTTCCTGATCTTAGAGAAAGAGCCTTTAACTTTTTGCCATTTAGTATAATTTTAGCTGTGGGCTTCTTATACATGGCTGGCCTTTATTGTGTTGAGAAACATTCATTTTATTTGTGGAGAGTTTTTAATCATAAAAAATGTTGAATTTTATGAAATGATTTTGCTGCATTTATTGACATGATCCTGTGCTTTTTGTCCTTTATTCTATTAATGTGGTGAATCACATTTATTGATTTGCATATATTGAACCAACCTTACATCCCAGGAATAAATCCCACTTGATCATGGTGAAAAATCCTTTTAATGTACCGGTAAATATGGTTTGGTAGTATTTTGTTTAGGATTTTTGCACCTATGTTCATCAGTTATATTGTCCTGCAGTCTTCTTTTCTGTTTTTAAATAACTTATTTTAGGTTCAGAGATACATGTGCCTGTTTGCTATGTAGGCAAACTCATGTCACAGAGGTTTGTTGTACAGATTATTTTGTAACTCAGATACTAAGCCTAGTACCTAGTAGTTATTTTTTCTGATGCTCTCCCTCCTCCCACCCTCCACTTTCAAGTGGGTCCCAGTGTCTGTTGTTCCCCTCTTTGTGTCCATGCCTTTCCATCATTTTGCTCTCATACATGAGAATAAGCAGTATTTTGTTTTGTGTTTCTGCATTAGTTTACTAAGGATAATGGCCTCCAACTCTATCCATGTTCCTGCAAAGGACATGCTCTCGTTCTTTTTTATGACTGCATAGTATTCCATGGTGGATAAGTACCACATTTTTTTTATCCAATCTGCCATTGATGGGCATTTAGATTGATTTCCTGTCTTTGCTATTGTGAATAGTGCTGAAATGAATATACACATGCCTGTGTCTTTAGGGTAGAGTGATTTATATTCCTTTGGGTATATACCCAGTACTAGGATTGCTGGGTTGAATGGTAGTTTTGTTTTTAGCCCTTTGAAGAATCGCCACACTGTTTTCCACAATGGTTGAAGTAATTTACACTCTCACCAATAGTGTATAAGGGTTCCCTTTTCTCTGCAACCTCACCAGCATCTGGTATTTTTTGACTTTTAAATTATAGCCATTCTTACTGGGGTGAGATGGTATTATATCTCATTATGGTTTTGATTTGCATTTCTCTAATGATCAGTGATATTGAGCTTTTTAAAATATGCTTGTTGGCTGCATGTATGTCTGTAACCTGCACAGAACTAGGGGGACTGAACAAAGAGGGCAAATGCAGGAATAAAAGACAAAAACAAAAGAGTATTTTTGGAAGAAGGGGTCAGGGGGCACCTTGCCTCTAGTGGACAAGGGCCCTGAGCTTTACATAGCCCTCTGTATTTATTAGGCAAAAGAGATAGTGAGAAGGGGGGATGGAAGGAAGGAGTCAGCTGCTCAGTCCAGAGTAGGCTTGCAAGACTGCATTCTCTAGATGTCCCAGTAGATAACCTCAAGGAGCTCGTGCCAGGAAGCGATTGCCCTCAGCAAACCTTCTGGCAGCGGGAGCAGTCGTGAGTTTGCCCACATCCTGCATTCATCATAAACAGTTTGCTGTTTGATCATATAGCCTCCAGTGGAATGCTGAGTTGGTCACGTCCCACGGGGCCTTCGGCTCCCTGCATATATCATCTTTTGAAAAGTGTCCATTCATGTCCTTTGCCCTCTTTATTATGGCCTTTTTTTTCTTGTAAATCTGCTTAAGTTCCTTATAGATGTTGGATATTAGACCTTTGTCAGATGCATAGTTTACAAATATTTTCTCCCATTCTTTAAGTTGTCTGTTTACTCTGTTGATAGTTTCTTTTGCTGTGCAGAAGCTCTTTAGTTTAATTAGATCCCATTTGTCAATTTTCTGCTTTTTTTTCACCATTGCTTTGGCTGTCTTCATCATGAAATCTTGCCAGTTCCTACGTCCAGGATGATATTGCCTAGGTTGTCTTCCAGGGTTTTCATAGTTTGGGGTTTTACATTTATGTCTTTAATCCATCTTGAGTTATTTTTTGTGTATGATGCAAGGAAGGGGTTCAGTTTCAATCTTTTGCATATGGTTAGCCAGTTATCTTAACACCATTTATTGAATAGGAAATCCTTTCCCCATTGCTTGTTTTTGTCAGGTTTGTCAAAGATCAGATGATTGTAGGTGTGTGACCTTATTTCTGGGCTCTCTATTCTGTTCCATTTGTCTATGTGTCTGTTTTTGTACCAGTACCATGCTGTTTTGGTTACTGTAGCCCTACAGTATAGTTTGAAGTCAGGTCACCTGATGCCTCTAGCTTTGTTATTTTTGCTTAGGATTGCCTTGGCTATTTGGGCTCCTTTTTTATTCCATGTGAATTTTAAAACAGTTTTTTCTAGTTCTGTGGAGAATGTCATTGGTAGTTTGATAAGAATAGCATTGAATTTATAAATTGTTTTGAGCAGTATGGCCATTTTAATGATATTGATTCCTCTTATCTATGAGCATGGAATGTTTTTCAATGTTTTGTTTGTGTCATCTCTGATTTCTTTGAGCAGTGTTTTGTAATTCTCATTGTAGAACTCTTTTCACCTCCCTAGTTAGCTGTATCCCTAGGTATTTTATTCTTTTTGTGGCAACTGTGAATGGGTTTGTATTCCTGATTTTGCTCTTGGCTTGGCTGCTGTTAGTATATAGGAATGCTAGGGATTTTTGTACTTTGATTTTGAATCCTGATACTTTGCTGAAGTTATCACCTGAAGGAGCTTTGGGGCTGAGACTATGAGGTTTTCTAGATATAGAACCATGTCGTCTACCAACAGGGATAGTTTGACTTCCTCTCTTCCAATTTTATTTCTTTCTTTCTTTCTCCTGCCTGATTGCTCTGGCCAGGACTTTCAATACTATGTGAATAGGAGTGGTGAGAGAGGGCATCCTTGTCTTCTGCCAGTTTCTCAAGGGGAATGTTTTCAGCTTTTGCCCATTCAGTATAATGTTGGCTGTGGGTTTGTCATAGATGGATATTATTTTGAGATATTTTCCTTCAATACCTAGTTTATTGTTTCTTTTTAACATAAAGGGTGTTGAATTTTATGAAAAGCCTTTTCTGCATCTATTGAGATAATCATGTGGTTTTTGTCTTTAGTTCTGTTTATGTGATGAATCACATTTGTTGATTTGTATATGTTGAATTAACCTTGCATCCCAAGGATAAAGCCTACTTGATGGATTAACTTCTTGATGTGTTGCTGGATTTGGTTTAAAGTATTTTGTTGAGGATTTTTGCATCGATGTTCACCAAAGTTCTGTTTTTTTGTTGTGTCACCTGAAGTTTTGTTTTTTTGTTGTGTCTCTGATAGGTTTTGGTATCAGGGTGATGCTGGCCTTAGAAAATGGGTTTGAACATATTCCTTCCTCTTTGATTTTTTTGGAAGAGTTTGAGAAAAATTGCTATTAGCTAATCTTTAAATGTTTGGTAGAATTCAGGGTGAAGCTATCTGGTCCTGGGGTTTTCTTTGATGGGAGACTAGTGATTAGTGACTCAATTTCTTAATTCATTATTGGTACATTCAGATTTCCAACTTCTTCATGATTCAATCTTGGTTGGTTATATGTTTCTAAGAATTTATCCATTTTTTTCTAGATTATCCAATTTGTTGAAATATAATTGTTTCTAATAGTCTCTTATGATCCTTTGTATTTCTGTGTGATTAGTTGTAATGTCTCCTCTTTCATTTCTGATTTCATTTATTTGAGTATTCTCTCATTTTTTAGTTAGCCTATGTGATGGTTAATACTGATTGTCCACTTGATTGGATTGAAGGATGCAAAGTATTGATCCTGGGTGTGTCTGTGTGGGTGTTGCCAAAGGAGATTAACATTTGAGTCAGTGGTCTGGGAAAGGCAGACCCACCCTTAATCTGGGTGGGCACCATCTATCAGCTGCCAGCATGGCTAGAATATAAAGCAGGCAGAAAAATGTGAAAAAAAAAATGAGAATGGCCTAGCCTCCCAGCCTACAGCTTTCTCCCATGCTGGATGCTTCCTGCCCTCGAACATTGGACTCCAAGTTCTTCAGTTTCGGGACTGAGACTGGCTCTCCTTGCTCCTCCGCTTGCAGACAGCCTATTGTGGGACACTGTGATTGTGTGAGTTAATACTTAATAAACTAATTGTATATATAATTAGTTCTGTCCCTCTAGAGAACCCTGACAGATTTTGGTACCAGGAGTGGTTCTAGAGGAAGAGAATATTAAGGATGGAGTTCTTTCATTGGTTTTGGGGTTTCTGGAGTTGGCTGCTTAATACGATTAGACTCAAAAATGCTAAGGAATCTACTTCTAATAGTATGGAGAACACTGATAGTCCTTGTCATAGACTGTTTAGAGAGTTATGCAAAATAAATGCATTTAACACTCCTGATTCACCGTTTGTGAGAGGCAAGGAATTTAGTGACTCTATACATCATATCTTTGACCTTATATGGGGGACCAAGGAATATAATGAAGCCGGTTGGTTGCTCCTAAGTTCAGCGGACAACGTGATGAAAGAAAATGAACTCATGGATTTTATCTCCTGGCTTCAGAAACAGATACTGAGCCTCAAATCTGCTGAGATTGCCCTGAGTGAGAGTGTTATCTCTTGTAGAGAAAGAGCTGAAATTGTGGAAAAACAGACACAGGCTCTTATCACGTGAGTGGCTGACCTGCAACCAAAGGTGCATGCACAGCCTCACCAGGCATCTACTGTTAAAGTGAGGGCATTGATTGGAAAAGAATGGGACCCTGCAACTTGGAATGGGGACATGTGGGAGGACCCTGATGAAGCTGGGGACACAGAGTATGTAAACTCTGATGAACCTTTTTTGCCAGAAGAAACAGCTTCCCCATCCCCAGTAGTGGCAACATCCTCTCCCTAACCCATGCTGCCATCAGCCTTTCCACCTTCGCCTGAAGAGATAAACCCTGTGCTGCCTGAGGCAACAGTGATGGCCTCCCCTGAGGCAGTTGCCAGGCAAGATAATGTTGATTCTCCTTAGGAGCCAACCCTAATACCCCTGTTTGCTTCTAGACCTATAACTAGACTAAAGTCACAGTGGGCCTCTAGAGGTGAGGTTGAGAGTGTGACCCATGAGGAGGAACACTACACTCAAAAAGAACTGCTTGACTTTTCTAATTTATATGAACAGAAATCTGGAGAACAGGCATGGGAATGGATATTAAGGGTGTGGGATAATGGTGGAAGGAACATAGAGTTGGATCAGGCTGGATTTATTGATTTGGGCGCACTAAGTAGGGACTCTGCATTTAATGTTGCAGCTCGGGTAGTTAAATAAGGTTCTAATAGTTTATTTGCTTGGTTACCTGAAATATGGATTAAAAGATAGCCCACTTGAGCGAGCTGAAATGCCTGCTCTCCCTTGGTTTAATGTAGAGGAAGGGATCCAAAGGCTTAGGGAGATTGGGATAGTGGAGTGAATTAGTTAATTTAGACCTACTCATCCCAGCTTGGAGGGTCCAAAAGATATAACCTTGACCAATGCCTTGAGAAATAGATTTGTGAGTGCAGCACCTGTATCTTTGAAGAGTCCTGTAATTGCTGTATGTCAGATCTAACAGTGGGCCTATTTGGATTTTGGAGGCAACACATTCCTCATTCAAGTGTGTTACTCTGGCCCATTTATCGAGTGACCCAAAAGGCTGCCAGTTTTTAGTGGGGTCCAGAACAGGAGAAGGCTCTGCAACAGGTCCAGGCTGCTGTGCAAGATGCTTTGTCACTTGGACCATATGACCCAGCAGATCCAATGGTGCTTGAGGTGTCAGTGGCAGATAGGGTTGCTGTCTGAAGCCTTTGGCAGGCCCCCATAGGTGAATCACAGCAGAGGCCGCTAGGATTTTGGAGCAAGGCCCTGTCATCTTCTGCAGATAACTACTCTCCTTTTGAGACAGCTCTTGGCCTGTTACTGGGCTTTGGTGGAAACTGAATGTTTGACTATGGGTCACCAAGTCACCATACCGCCTGAACTGCCTGTCATGAACTGGGTGCTTTCTGACCCATCTAGCCATGAAGTGGGTCATGCACAGCAGCATTCCATCATCAAATGGAAGTGGTATATATGCAATCGGGCTCAAGCAAGTCCTGAAGGCACAAGTAAGTTACATAAGGAAATGGTTCAAATGTCCACGGTCTCTACTCCTGCCACCCTGCCTTCTCTCCCCCAACCTTGCACCTATGGCCTCATGGGGAGTTCCCTATGAGCAGTTGATAGAGGAAGAGAAGACTAGGCCTTGGTTCACAGATGGTTCTGCACAATATGCTGGCACCACCCAAAAGTGGACAGCTATAGCACTACAGCCCCTTTCTAGGACATCCCTGAAGGACAGTGGTGAAGGGAAATCTTCCCAGTGGGCATAACTTTGAGCAGTATACCTGGTTGTGCACTTTTCATGAAAGGAGAAGTGGCCTGAAGTACGATTATATACCGATTCATGGACTGTAGCCAATGGTTTGGCTGGATGGTCAGGGTCTTGGAAGAAGCATAATTGGAAAATTGGTGACAAAGAAATTTGGGGAGGCGGCATATGGATGGACCTCTCTGAGTGGTCAAAAGCTATGAAGATATTTGCATCCAATGTGAGTGCTCACCAATGGGTAACCTCAGCAAAGGAGGATTTTAATAATCAAGTGGATAGGATGACCCGTTCTGTGGACGCCCCTCAGCCTCTTTCCCCAGCCACCCGTCATCGCCCAGTGGGCCCACAAACAAAGTGGCCATGGTGCCAGGGATGGAGGTTACACATGGTTTCAGCAACATGGACTTCCACTTATCAAGGCTGACCTGGCCACGGCCACTGCTGAGTGCCCAATTTTCCAGCAGCAGAGACCAGCGCTGAGCCCTCAATATGGCACCATTCTTTGGGGTGATCAGCGAGCTATCTGGTGGCAGGTTGATTATATTGGACCTCTTCCATCATGGAAGGGGCAGAGGTTTGTCCTCACTGGAATGGACACTTACTCTGGATATGGGTTTGCCTATCCGGCACACAATGCTTCTGCCAAGACTACCATCTGAGGACTCACGGAATGCCTTATCCACCGTCACGGTATTCCACACAGCATTGTCTCTGACCAAGGCACTCACTTTACAGCTAAAGAAGTGTAGCAATGGGCTCATGCTCATGGAATTCACTGGTCTTACCACGTTCCCCATCATCCTGAAGAAGCTGGATTGATAGAATGGTGGAATGGCCTTTTGAAGTTACAATTACAACATCAACTAGGTGACAATACTTTGCAGGGCTGGGGCAAAGTTCTCCAGAAGGCCATGTATGCTCTCAATCAGCGTCCAATATATGGTACTGTTTCTCCCATAGCCAGGATTCACGGGTCCAGGAATCAAGGGGTGGAAGTGGAAGTAGCACCACTCACCATCACCCCTAGTGAAGCAAAATTTTTGCTTCCTGTTCCCGCAACATTACATTCTGCTGGCCTAGAAGTCTTAGCCCCAGAGGGAGGAATGCTGCCATCAGGAGACACAACAACGATTCCATTAAACTGGAAGCTGGATGGGAGCAGTGGCTCATGCCTGTAATCCCAGCACTTTGGGAGGCCGAGGCAGGCAGATCACCTGAGGTCAGGAGTTCAAGACCAGCCTGGCCAACATGGTGAAACCCCATCTCTACTAAAAATACAAAAAAATTAATGAGGCATGGTGGCAGGTGCCTGTAATCCCAGCTACTTGGGAGGCTGAGGCAGGAGAATTGATTGAACCTGGGAGGTGGAGGTTGCAGTGAGCTGAGATCCTGCCATTGCACTCCAGCCTAGGCAACAAGAGTGAAACTCTGTCTCAAAATAAGGAATACAGAGAAACCCTGAACAGACCAATCACAAGCAGAAAGACTGAATCAGTAATAAAAAAAATATTGCCAACCAAAAATGCTCAGGTCCAGATAGATTCACAGCTGAATTTTACCAGACATTCAAAGAAGAACTGGTACCAATCCCACTGAACCTATTGCAAAAGATAGAGAAAGGGGATCCTCCCTAAATTATTCTATGAAGCCAGTATCATTCTAATACCAAAACCAGGAAAGAACATAACAACAAAAGAAAATTACAGACCAATATCCCTGATGAACATAGATGGAAAAATCCTCAACAAAATACTAGGTAAACAAATCCAACAGCACATCAAAAATACAATACACCATGATCAACTGGGTTTCATCCCAAGGATGCAGGGAAGGTTTAACATACACAAGTCAATAAATGTGATACACAACATAAACAGGATTAAAAACAAAAACCATATGATCATCTCAATAGATGCACAAAAAGCATTTGATGAAATCCAGCATCGCTTTATGATAAAACCCCCCAGCAAAATAGGCATAGAAGGGATTTGTCTAAAAAAAAAAAGCTATATATGACAAACCCACAGCCAATATCAAACTGAATAGGAAAAGGTGAAAGCATGCCCCCTGAGAACTGGAACAAGATAAGGACGCCCACTTTCACCACTTCTATTCAACATAGTACTGGAAATCCTACCCAGAGCAATCAAGCAAGAGAAAGAAATAAAGGCCATCCAAATTTAAAAAGAAAAAGTCAAATTATCACTGTTTGTTAATGATATGGTCATATACCTAGAAGACTTCTCCAAAAGACACGTAGATTTGATAAACAAGTTCAGTAAAGTCTCAGGTTACAAAGTCAATGTACACAAATTGGTAACACTACTATACACCAACAATTACCAAGCTGAAAATCAAATTAAAAACGCAATCTCTTTTACAACAGCTGCAAAAAATTTAATACCGAGGAATATACTTAACCAAAGAGGTGAAAAATCTCTACCAGGAGAATTACAAAACACTGGTGAAACAAATCATAGATGACACAAACAAATGGAAACACATCCTATGCTCATGGATTTGAAGAATCAATATTGTGAAAATGACCATACTGCCCAAAGGAATCTACAGATTCAATGCATTTCCCATCAAAATGCTAACATTGTTTTTCAAAGATTTAGAAAAAACAATCTTAAAATTCATATGGAACCAAAAAGAGCCCAAATAGCCAGAGCAATCATAATTTAAAAGAAAAATATGGAGGCATGACATTACTGGACTTCAATTTATAATACAAGGCTATAGTTACTAAAACAGTATGGAACTGGTATAAAAGTGGGCACATAGAACAATGGGACAGAATAGAGAACCCAGAAATAAAGCCAAATACTTAACAACCAACTAATCCTAAAAAAAGCATACAAAAACATAAATTGGAGAAAGGACACTCTATTTAATACATGGTGCTAGGAAAACTGGCTAGCCACATGTAGAAGAATGAAACTGGATCCCTATTTTTCACCTTATACAAAAATCAACTCAATATGGAACAAAGACTTAAATTTAAGACCTGAAACCATACAAATTCTAAAAGATAACCTTGAAAAACGTCTCTGGATATTGGTCTAGAGAAAGAATTCATGACTAAAACCCCAAAAGCAAATGAAACAGAAAAAAAAATAAATGGGACCTAATTAAACTAAAACACTATGCACAGCAAAAGAAATAATCATCAGAGTAAACAGATAACCCACAGAATGGGAGAAAATATTTGCAAATTATGCAGCCAACAAAGGACTAGTATATAGAATCTACAACGAATGCAACAAATCAGCAAGAAAAAAATAAAAATAATCCCATCAAATAGCAAATAACATGAATAAACATTGGTCAAAAGATATACAAATAGCCACAAAATATATGAAAAAATACTCAACATCACTAATCATCAGGGAAATGCACATTAAAACCACAATAAGATACCACCTTACTCCTGCAAGAATGGCCATTATTAAAAAGTCAAAAAGCAATAGACGTTGGCGTGGATGTGGTGAAAAGGGACGGTGCATACACTGCTAGGTGGGAATGTATAACCTCTATGGGAAACAGTATGGAGATTCCTTAAAGAACTAAAAGTAGATCTACCACGCGATCCAGCAATCCCACTACTGGGTATCTGCCCAAAGGAGAAGAAGTCATTATATGAAAAACACAAATGCACACATATGTTTATTTCAGCACAATTCACAAATGCAAAGATATAGAACGAACCGAAGCACCAATCAACCAATGAGTAGATATAGAAAATGTGGTATGTACACACCGTGGAGAACTACTCAGCCATAAAGAGAAACAGAATAATGTCATTTGCAGCAACTTGGATGGAGCTGGAGGCCATTATTCTAAGTGAAGTAACTCAGGAATGGAAGACCAAATTACCCTGTGTTCTCACCTGTAAGTGGGAGCTAAGCTATGAGAATGCAAAGACATACAGAGTGATATAATGGACTTTGGAGACACACAAGGGGGAAGAGTGTGAGGGTGTGGGATAAGAAAACTACATATTGGGTACAATGTACACTACTCGGGTGATGGGTGCACTAAAATCTCAGAATTTACCACTATATAATTCATCCATTTAACCAAAAAGCACTTGTAAGCCAAAAGTTATTGAAATAAAAAAAAATTAAACAGTTATTGAGCAACTACTATGTCCTGGGTTCTAATTCAGGGGTGGGCAAACTATAGCCCCAGAATTTGGCCCATAGCCTGCTTTTGTACGGACTGTGAGTTAAGAATAGTTTTTACACGTTGAAAGGATTGCAAAGACAAACATACAAAGAAACAAAGAAGACTGTGCAACAGAGACCACCTGTGGTCTGTAAAGACTAACACATTTCTATCCCGCCCTTGACAGAAAGAGTCTGTGGGCTGCTGGTCTCCTCTAACGGTGGTAGAGATGCCTGCACGGTTAACATTAATCCTTGGCACCAGAATCCTCAGCACCTAGGAACCAGATCTTGCCTAACACGCTAATTTCAGTCTTGACCACCTTCCTCCGGCGTAGCGGTTCTCAAACGTCTTTGTCTTTGTACTATTCACGTATAAAATATTCTTTCATAAGCAACATTTATCCTTTTGGGAGTACCTCACAATGGGGAGAAGGGGAACCCCAACAGCCTTTAAGGGTTCACTGCTTCGCTGCCACCATTTCCGACGGTTTACACTGTTTTAAGTGTGAATTTGGAATTGTTTTCAAGTTAAAAAGCAAACTAATCATGTCCTCTGAAAGTATTTGCTTTTGGCATGCTAGAAATCAGTGTTGACTTTTGATACTGATGTGATACATTACGAGGGAATTCTCAAAACTGCTGAAATCTGGCCTCGGCCCAGTTATCACTGCTCTTAAGCTTCTGAGGGAGATACATGAATGAGCCCACGGCAAATGGAAAACGAGGAGTTTTAGTGTTTCCTAGAATTATGCTCAGATACCCACTACCTGACCGTCTGGTTATCCTTCCCCTCACCTCCCTGACGCAAGGAGTTTGGACCAGAGGCCTAAGGAGGCTTCTCCTGAAGCCCAAATCCCAAACTGGTCACCAGTCATGCTCCGTAACTCCTGAACCTGACAAGAAGCCAGCCGGCCAGGTCTGCAGCCCGGGTTAAGAGGAGCATACCAGGAAAGAGCCAAAGAGCAAAAGAGCATGAGCCCTTCAACCGCTTTTACAATAATTTGGGCTAGGCGTTCAGGGCTCCGTAGGACCCTTCCTGGCAGCCAAGTGAGAGAAAGAGGAATGATGGTGGAATGGGCCTCTCCTGTGCTTCCCATTACTTCCACACTGTCGAAATAGAAATAGAAGCAGAAAAGAACACCCTACAAGTCCCACCCATTTGGAGGCACTCAACTCACAGTGACAACCCTCCACACCTCTCCCCTGCAAAAAGACGCAAAACAAAAACACCTACTCCAAACTGTGTCCTTACATCTCAGCCCCGAAGATCAGGATTGTGTGCAACTTCGGCCCAAAGGATGCATTTCCCCAGGGTTGAAAGTTTGAGAAAGAGGCTATATTCTGAAGAGTTCTTGTTGTCACCATCAAAAGGATTAAAAAGACGCAATAAATAAGAAAACAGCGTAGTTGGGGGGCATGCTCCATTTGAGGCAGAAAGCCTTGGAAACTTAAGTGTTCTCAAACGGAACGCCATCCTGCTTTGGGGGAACACGGAGGCTGCCTTGCAGTCACGTGATCGCACAACACCAAAGGGCCACGCACTCTGATTTCACCTACTTAACTAAAAGTTGCAGCAAAATCCCTATTACAGGCCAGGCGTGGTGGCTCATGCCTGTAATCCCAGCACTTTGGGAGGCCGAGGAGGGTGGATCATTTGAGGTCAGGAGTTGGAGACCAGCTTGGCCAACATGGTGAGACCCCATCTCTATTAAAAATACAAAAATTAGCCCAGCGTGGTGGTGCACGCCTGTAATCCCAGGCACCCTGGAGGTTGAGGTAGGAGAATCGCTTGAACCCAGGAGGCGGAGGTTGCAGTGAGCCGAGATCACGCCACTGCGCTCCTGCCTGGGCGACAGAGTGAGACTCCATCTCGGGGGGGGAAAAAAAAAAAAAAAATCCCTATTACAAATAAAAGCTGTTGTGATCCAGACTGCATATACCTCTGCGAATGGAACCAGAACCGTGAATTCCAATGCAAATCGATGCATCGGCACCAGACCCGCTGCACTGGATGTATCTGCATTGCAGTCACCCGAGTACGGAGCACATCATAGATGATCTCTGCAGGTTCGTTGCCCACATAGGAGGCATAGCGCAAATTTCAAAGGAACGAATACATCCTGGAGCCCAAACAGCTATCTGGTTCTGCTGCTGGCCTCCTGACAAGTAGGTAAGAGAGTCACATTTTATAGACGACGGACACCAAAACCACACATGAGGAGTACAAGAGTAGCTTTATCATGGATTTAGGGCTGTGGTTACAAGGAAGCTGTAAGGAATAAAATGACTCCCATGAAGACGTACCGTGCGGACGAGTGGAAGGAGAAATTTGGCCATTACAAAGACACAGGAATATGTTAAGAAGTGAGGGGCAGGATGAAATCATCTAGGGTAGGTATTTAGAGGGAGGGCGCCGTGCAAAATAAAATCCTCACTATGAAACAAAGGCGGAGGCAGGAGGCTGCGTTGGGTGGAAGCAGCGGAGGAAGGAGACGAAAGGGATTGTCATTTTCATGTCGTGGCTTTTTAGAAGACAGCCATGTCCTCTACTCTGATTCTATCAAAATGTGTTCTCGGGGTGCTGGTAACGTTCAGCCAACGAAATAATTCCTATGGCGGCAGTAGGAATAACAAAACGCAGAAGCGGGAACGATGTCTTTTTATTCCTCCCCAGACGCAAACGTGGATGCATGAGGTTTGGTAACAGGCAAAGTCATCTGGTTAACGTGACTGATGCAAAAAGTCCCGGCCTGGGCAAAAAGAAGTCACTGGGTGAATGGGATGGATCAGACTCCCTGTCCTGAGGGGGAGATGGTTTCTTGCAGAACGAGGTGAAGGAGGTGGTTCTGCTCAGCAGTCAACAGTGGCCACATCTCCACCTGCAGCGACTTGATGGCTTCCGTGTCCTTTTCGTGGGTAGCCATGACCAAAGACTGGAGCAGCAGAAAGAGCTCCTCGGGAAGCTGGCCGCTGCTCTCCTGCCCGTGGCTGTCAAAAGCCTCCCAGGAGTACTTCTCCAGGGTCTGGGCGTGCTCCGGCAGCAGCTTGGCGGGCGGTGGTTGCAGGAGGAGCAGCAGCAGCACGCGGGACACCTCGCAGCGGACCAGCACGTCCGAGAAGGCGCCCAGGGCGGCGGGAGAGGGCGCCGCCGAGCCGGAGTTCGGAGGAAGCAGCGCGGCCGGTAGGGCGGGCGTCGCCCCGGGCCCGGGCTGGGGTGCCGGCGGCGGGGGCGGCGGCAGTGACTGCACCGGGTGGCTGCCGTGCTCCCGCGCCAGGCGCTGCATGCGCGTGAAGACCGCCAGGGCGCCGGTGTAGTCGCGCGCCAGCAGCTGGCAGGAGGCGGCCTCGCCAAGCGCCTGCAGCGCGGCCAGGGGCAGCTGGGGCAGCTGGAGCTGGGCGGCGCGCTGGAAGTGACCGGCGGCGGCGGCCGGCTGGCCCAGGTCGCGCAGGGCGGCGGCCAGCTCGAGGCAGAGGGCGGCGGCGGCGGCCGGCTGGCCCAGCTCGAGGTGCAGACGCACCGCGGCGCCCAGGGCGCTGGCGGCGGCCTGCAGCGGCTCCCCGTAGGCGGCGGGGCAGACCAGGCGCTGGCGCGCGTCGCGCTCCTGCCGCAGGAAGAGGCGGGCGGCCTCGGTGAGGGCCAGCGCCTCCCCGGGCCCGTGGAAGAGCGCCTGCTGGCAGCGCGCCACCGCCAGCTGGCACCAGGCCGCGTAGGGCAGACACTCCTGGGCGCGCAGCTCCCGGCCCAGCTGTCCGAACTGCTCGCCGGCCTCCGCCACGTTCGGCTTCCGCAGGAACCGCTTCTTCAGCTTGTTCGATACCAGCCGGTAGCGGGCCAGGAAGTCCCCGGCCTCGGGTCCCGGGCCGGCGCCGCCGCCGCCCAGGCCTGCAGCCGCTGCCGCCATGCTCGCCGCCCCAAGCACTTCCCGACGCGCCGCCGCAGCTGGCGGGCGGGCCGGGGCGGGGCGACGTGCCCTGCGTCCCCCTCGGCGGGCTGCCGCCGTGCCCGCGCCGGCTCCCCAGCCCGAGCCTGCCCCTTGCCCTGGTGAGGTGCAAAGAGCGGGATCGGAGGCGGGGCCTGGCCGGGCTGTGAGCGGCGTATGCAAATCGAGGGTCTCGGGGATGCGGATCCAAGACCCTGGGAAGGTACGCGGGGCCTGGCGGGGCACCAGCTGCTGCTAGCTCGGCTGCAATGCAAGTGGTCTAGGTTGCTAAAGGCATCCCACAGCCTCTCCATCTGAACATGACCCAAAGGAAACTCGTGACCCTAATTCCATGTCTGCGCATTTCTGGACTGTTGTCCCCCCCCCCCCCCCCCGCCCCGACTACTCAGTCCTCCGTCTTCCGGTCCAGGGCCCCTTGCCAAGCACCGGGTCCACCTCTCCGTCCCCACCCCGGTTGCCTTAGAAGTCCGTCCTGTCGCAACACTGCAGTCATGGTCTTGAGGCCCACCCGCCCCAACGAACACCATCATGCTGAGGACTTTCCCGGGCAGGCCCTGACTTGCTCAGAACCAGCGGGGGTGTCCCCTTCCCACCCAGGGCCACTCCCCTGCACTGTCACCCGGAGAGACGGCTCCTCTGTGCCATCCCTGGCTCCCACCCAACCCCAGACCCCCACCACCTCTCCATCCCTCCAGCTGTGGAGGTCTCACAACCCCCCAACCCATCTCACCGCCCCCCCACCCCCACCCCAAGGCAAAGTGACTGAAGCGGGCAGATGGCTTCCTTGAAACATTTTATTGACAGAATTAATGAAGGCCCAAGACTTTGGGGCCTGGGTTGTGGGGGGAGGGTGTTTAAGGCCGGGGGTTCAGGCCGGGGGATTTGGGGCCGGGTGGGTGGACGAGTGGACCTGTCAGGTCCCAGGGGCCGGGTGTCAGAAGCTAGTCCTCGCCAGGGGCCACTTGAGAGATGGTGGTCGTGTTGAAAAGGGTGCTCAGTAGCCTGTCGTTGTGAACCACCATGTCCAGCAGCAGGGGAGTGATGTTCCGCTCTCCGCTGTTCTGGGCCTCGTTGCCCGCCAGCTCCAGGACCTTGGCCGTCAGGTACTCAATAACCGCAGCGAGGTAGACCGGCGCCGTGCGACTCAGGCGCTGAGCGTAGTGGCCCTCCCGTAGACTGCGCTCCACCTGGCTCACTGAAAACGAAAGCTCCGCTCGGACGGTGCGAGAGCAGGTCCGCCCCCGGCCGCCAGCACCGGAGGACCCTCGGCGTCTCCTCCTCCTCGGCATGCTGGGCGTTGAGTGTGCTATCTCGGCTTGGCCCAGCTAGGCAAGATGGCTCTCAAGAGGACAGTTACCGCGTCCAGTACTGTGTATCCTAGCGACCAGGGCCCAGCCCCTCATTGGCTAGGGAGCCGAGACCAATGGGCACGCACATCCGGCGACGGGCACGCATGTGGTGACGGCCCCTCACAAGGGACACACGTCCGTCAGGTGACCTCATCACTTTCCCATTGGCCTCGAGGGAGCAGGCCTGGGCCTAGAAGTGGCTGGAGGGCCGTGGGGGTGGGGTGGGGCGGGGCAGGGGGAATCGCGCTGGTGACCCTCTCTTTGCCAGTGGGAACTTTCCCTTTCTACTGGATGGGAACACCGTGGGAAAGACAAAGGGGTGGGCGAGGGGAGGACGGGTACCACGCCTTCACAATGTTGCACATCCATCACGACCACCTAGTTCCAAAACGTTTTCAACACCCCGAAAAGAAACCGAAACCCCTGTACCTATAAGCAGTCACTTGCCGCACGCCTCCTTCCACACCACCACTACCAGCCCCCACACCCTCCCACACACACCCCCTGCCCCCGCCCATACACACGTTCCCGATAGTCCCTGGCAACCCCTAGTCCATCTGCTTTCTGTCCATAGAGGTTAGCCTGTTCTGGAGATTTCCTATAGATGGAATTATACGACCAAATGTGAGGCCGTGTGTGTCTGGCTGCTTTCACTTAGCGTAATGGTTTCATCAGGGTGCATCCATGTAGAGGCATGAATCACTACTTCCTTCCTTTGAATGACTGAGTACGATTCTGTTGTATGAATAGGAGGCCACATTTTGTTTACCCACTCGTCAGTTGATGGACAGGTTATTTCCCCCTTCTGGCTATTGTGAGTGGCACTGCCATGACCATCTCTCTACAGGTTTTTCTTTGAATATCTCTTTTCAGTTCTTTTGGGTCTATTTCTAGCAGTCAAACTGCTGGCTCGTGTGGTAATTCTGTTTAACTTATTGAGGAACCACCAAACTGATTTCCACAGCAGCTGTAATCTTTCGCATTCCCAACAGTAGTGCATGAGAGTCCCAATTTCTTCACAGCCTCATCAAAACCTGTTTTCTGTTTGCCTCATTTTGTTTTGTTTACAGTAGCCATCCTACTGGGTGTCAAGTGCTATCTCATGGTGGTTTTCATTCGTATTTCCCAAATGGCTAATGATGTTGCTGTGGTTTGAGTGCATCCCCCAAATTGTGTGTCTTGGAAACTTAATCCCCAAATTCACATGTTGATTGGAGGCGCAGCCTCTGAGACGGTAATTAGGATTAGATAAGGTCATCGGGGTGAGACCCCCAGGATGCGACTGGTGGCTTTATAAGAATAGGAAGAGAGGCCTGAAACGACATACACGCTCTTGCCCTCTCGCCGTGTGATACCCTCTGCCGTCCCCAGATGCCGGGTCACTTCCCAGTCCCCAGAACGGTAAGAAATAAATTTCTTTTCTTTATAAATTGTTCAGTGTCGGGTATTCAATTATGGCAACAGAAAACAGACTAAGACATCTTTTCATGTGCTTCTTGGCCCTCTGTACCTCTGCTTTGGAGGAATGTCTATTCAAGCCCTTTGCCCATTTTTTAATTCGGTTGATTGTATTTTGGCTGTGGGCTTCTAAAACTTATTCATATATTCTGGAAAATAGACTCTTATCAGATATGTGACTTGCAAATGTTTCTCCCATTCACTTTCTGGATAGAGCCCTTTGTTGCCCAAAAGATTTACATTTGGATGTAGTCCAACTTGCCAAATGAAAAGATATCTGTGGCTTTGCCTTTGGTGTCATACTGAAGGAGCTGTTGCCTAATCCAAGGTCGTGCAAAGTTACATCTCCGTTTTCTTCTTAGAGTTTTATAGTTTCAGCCCTTACATTTAGATCTGTGATCCATTTTGAATTAATTCTTTACATGATGTGAGGTAGGGGTCCAGGGGCCTTCTTTTGCATGTGGCTATCCAGTTGTCCCAGCGCAGTTTGTTGAGGGGATTATTCTTCCCCTCCACCCATTGAGGGGTGCCGGAACTCTTACTGAAAATAAACTTTACATAAATATATGGGTTTATTCCTGACTCTGAGTTCTGTAACATTGACCTAATGTATCGATCACGATGGCAGTACCACCCTTTTCGGATTACTGCGGTTTTGTAGTACGTTTTGAAATTGGGAAGTGTGAGTCCTTCAACTTTTTTCTTTTCTGAGATTGTTTTGGCTATCTGAGCCCCTTACATTTTCTTATGAATTTTAGGATCAGCTTGTCAGTTTTTACAAAGAAGGCAGGTTGGATTCTGACAGGCATCACGATGAATCTGTATATTGCCTTGGAGATTATGGGCATCTTAACAATATTAAGTGTCCCAATCCGTTAACACAAAATGCCTTTCGATTTATTTAGGTCTTCTTTAATTTATTTTAGCAACGTCTTGAAATTTTCAGAGTATACATCTTGTACACCTTTAGTTAAATTTATTCCTCGACATTTTATTGTTTCGATGCTACTGTAAAATGAATCATTTCCTTAATCTTATTTTCATGTTATTCATTGCTAGGGTGTAGAAATACAACCGACTGTTGCAGATTGATCTTGGATACTGCAACTTTGCTGAGCCGAATATGCTTTGCTGAGCATACTCAGACAGGGTTGGCATATTAGTCCGTTCCTACACTGCTATAAAGAACTGCCTGAGAATGGGTAATTCCTAAAGAAAAGAGGTTTAATTGCCTCATGGTTCTGCAGGCTGTACAAGGCTTCTGCTTCTGGGCAGGCCTCAGGAAACGTGCAATCATGGCGGAAGGCGAAGGGGAAGCAAGCACCTTCTTCACATGTTGGAGCAGGAGGAAGAGAGAGAGAACGCACGCAAAGGGGGAAGCGCTGCACATTTTCAAACAATCATCAGATCTTGTGAGCGCTCTATCAGAAGAATAGCAAGGGGGAAGTCCGCCCCCATGATTCAATCACCTCCCACTAGGCCCTTCCTTCAACAGGTGGGGATTACAATTCGACATGAGATTTGGGTGGGGACACAGAGCCAAACCGTCTCAGTTTTTTTTTTTTCTTTTGTTGGACTCTTTAGTGTCCTCTATATAAGAACATGCCATCTATGCATCTATGAATAGAGATGGTTTTACTTGTTCCTTTCCGATCTGGATGCCTTTTATTTCTTTTTCTTGACTAATTGCCCTGACTAGAACTTTGAGTACAATGTTGAGTTACAAGTGGCATTCCTGATCTTAGGGGGAAATCAACCAGTCTTTCACCATTAAGTATGATATTATCTCTGGGTTTTTCATGGATGCCCTCTATCAGGTTGAAGAAGTTTCTTTCTGTTCCTGGTTTGTTGAATTTATTTTCATGAAAGGGTACTGCGTTTTGTCAAATGATCCTTTTTGTACATGATTAAGATGACCATGAGCCCCCTCCCCCGCCCCCGCTCCGCCATGCATTCTGTTAATATGGTGTATTATATAAATTGATTTTCACATGTTGAACCAACCATTAATATGGTGTATTATATACACTGATTTTCACATGTTGAACCAACCTTACATTTGTGGGATAAATCCTATTTGGTCATAGTGTATAAAGAGTGGTCAATAAACATTTCGTTGAAAGAATAGGAGTGGATCTGGCAAGCTTCTTGGAGGACAATGTGTGTGTTAAAGAATCTGTAGCATGATGAGAAGCCAAGGCACCGGTGGGAGGAGGGGAGTTGCAACCAATTCATTAAGGCTGGAGAGTACGATGCCAGTGGAGCAGTAGTGGTTGATGTGGCTGGGAAAGAGGTAGGCAGGAGCCAAGACATGGAGGTTCTATTATGCCATGCTCAGGTTTTAGAATACCCTGTAGGCTACACTGAACCCACTGTGGTCTTTCAGCTTGGGAGTGACGTGGTCTGATTTGCCTCTAGAAATATCACCCTGGAAGCTGTGTGGAGAATAGAACAGAGAGGATTGTGTGTGGAGAATAGAACAGAGAGGACTGAGATTGGAATTAGAAAGCTGCTGTATTATACCAGTCAAGAAATGACAGATATCTCAACTAAGACAATGGCATTGGTAGATAAGACTAGGGGACAGAGTCCATAAAAAGTTTAGGTAGTAAAATGGCACACAGTAGACACTCACTACATATTACTCATACTGGCGAACCTAGCTGGAGACATGATAATTCATGTGCTCATTCTTCAAAAAATATTGAAGGGTAGTGCCAGGTATACTGTGTTAAGCATTGAGACAACACCAACGAGAAATATAGATCAGATCCCTGCATGCAGTCTGGCGGAACATACAGACAAGGAGCCAGACAATGACAACACTATACTGTGATAAGTGCTATGAGAGGGGAAGTTCAAGGTGCTGGTTATAGTTTGGTTTGTTTGACCCCTCCAAATCTCATGTGGAAATTTGATACCCAGTGTTGGAAGGTGGGGTCTAATGGAAGGTGTTTGAGTCATGGGGTGGATCCTTCATGAATGGCTTGGTGCCAGCCTCGCAGTAATGAGTGAGTTCTCACTTGATTCATTCCCACAAGAGCTGGTTGTTAAAAAAGAGTGTAGCACCTCCCCCCCACCCCACCTTGATTCCTCTCTCATCATGTGATCTCTGCACTTGCCGGCTCCCCTTCACCTTATGCCATGAGTGGAAGCAGCCTGAGACCCTCACCAGAAACCAAGCAGATGCCAGCACCATGTTTCCTGTACAGCCTGCAGAATCATGAGCCAAATAAACCTCTTTTCTTTATAAATTACCCAGCCTCAGGTATTCCTTTATAGCAACACAGATGGACTAAGAAAGTGCTGTAGGAACACATAAGAGGAGTACTTTACACAGACGTTTGGGGTTGGGGAAATGTTCCTGGAGAAATGGTGTCCAATATGAAGCTTGAAGAACGAGTACAAGTTAGCCAATTGGAAAAGCGGGGCATTGGTTGGCAGGGGAGGGGAGTGGCGATGGGGAAGTGAAAAAGCTCTAGCATGACTCCACAGGGATAGAGTGAGGTGACCACAGACTTTGGAGTCATTCCTGGACAAATGGGATGAAGGAGGAGGTCTGCGTATGGGTAGGAAGATGAGTTCAGTCTTGAGCGTGTGAAATTTGAAATGCCTGTGGGATATCCAGATGGAGATGAAGGAGATTTGGCTTAGGAGTTCAGGAGTGAAGTCAATACTGAAAATACAGATTTGCGACTCATCAGGGTAGTTCTTGAAGCCATGAATGTAGTTGAGACCATTCAGGGAGAGCACATAGAATATATAAGGGGACCAAGGACAACTTCTTTTAAGGGGCAAGCAAAAGAGGAACATCATTGGAAGAAGACTAGAGGAGTGTCTCCACAGATAAAGTTGGTGCGGGGTGGGGGGGCACGCTAAAAGATAATCAAGCCAGAAAGAGATGAGAGCAAAGGTGCAGAAGGAAGCCAGAGGAACTGAAGAAGAAGGGACAAACTCAGAAACACTTGCTGAGTTCCAAAATGATAAGCATTAAAACCTGTTCACTGAGTTAAGCAATGCAAGTGTTGCTGGGGGCCTTGGCAAGAGCAATTTCAGTGGAGGGGCTGGAGGCAGAAACTAGACCAGACTTGTACTAGGAGCTCGTGAGAAATTCTAAGACATATCTTCCCAATACTGGGCAGCATGATAAATGTCCACATTAGAGAGAATTGGTGAGCAGGTCATGCTCAGCCAAGGCATTTTACATGCCTAGTGGAATCTCATGCAGGAAGCTTCTCTAAGCGTAGAGGTAAGGGTAGGTCTGATGGCAACAATCTCTCTTACTTTTCCTTCTTCTGCGAATGTCTTGATTTCCCCTGCATTCCTGAAGGTAATTTCACTTTGTAGACAGGGTTCTGGTTCTTTTGTTTCGCCACTTGAGAAGTGTTATGCCACTTCCTCTGGCCTCCATGGTTTCTAATGAGAAATATATTGCCATTCTAATTCCTTTTCCCGTATAGGTAAGGTTTCCTTTCTCTCTCTCTCTGCTTTTGGGACTTTTTTCCTAGGTCCTTAGTTTTCAGAAGTTTGACTGTGATGCTTCTTGGTGTAGGTTTCTTTAAGATTATTCTGTTTGGGGTTCACTCAGCTTCTTAAATGTACAGGCATGTGTCTTTTGCCGTATTTAGAATCTTCCAGCCATTATTTATTTGAATACTTTTTCAGTCCCACCCCCTTCCTCCTTTCCTTCTGTCACTATGATGACACAAAAGGTAGCTCTTTTGTCATATTCCCACAGATCCCCAAGTCTCCACTCATTTTTCCCCCAGTCACTTAGGCTCAGGCCACATGTTCTGACCGGGGGTTTTATTGTTAGTTCCATTTCAAAGCCTTTGCAATGGTATTTGGTTCTGTTAAGCATGATCAGCAGTCTTGGAGCTGGCGAGGTCTATATCCCTTACTCAGTGCAGTTCTCAAAGTCCTTTGTATGTCGTACAGGATCACATCTGTACATACACACCTTGTGGGGTAAGCCCAGAAGCTCATACACAGCTTCATGGGTTTACTTTCCCAAGCACTTCCTCCCTCCCTGCAATCTCCCCAGCACTTTCTGCTTCCCTCAGCTTCCCCTTTTCAACCTTGTAGCCATGAAGCTGTTGCTGTCGCTTTAGTGACTCTTCTCTGCCACACGCTTCCTGTGCCTTTGCCTTCCTCTGGTGTGATTCGGCAGGAAGACCAAAGAGGGGAAAAAGAAGTCACGGGCACCCCTTTGGGACCTACAATCAGAGAGGAAGGTTACTTTCCTTCAGAGCTTTAATCACCTGAAGGCCCTGGCGGCTGCCACTGTCACTGTCACTGCCTCTGTCACCACCACTGCTGCCACAGGATTGCCTGTGGGCTAGAACATGAAAGTACAAAGAAAAGAAGAAAGAAAAACTGGGGATTCCCTTAACTATCGCTGAGGGTTAGTATTCCCTTTTCCCTCTTCTCAAGTCAGAACCAGAGCTCTCTCTGTTCACACCACTGTCTACTTCTAACTTGCAGGCTACGTTGAGCCAAGGATACTAAAGGGGGGAAAATGTCAAATTCACTGCTGTTTCAGTGGTGCTTCAAATTGTAGTCTTTCCCCGGTCTGCCTCCTTCCATTTACTTTTCAGAGTCCTCAAATAGCTGGCCCATGCACTGTGTCCACATTTTATAGCTGCATTCAGTAGAGTGTGCATGCTTCATCTCACCCAGGAGCAGAAACATTCTGGAGATGTTACATTTTACTTTTATATTTAAGTGGAACAAATTTGTTCCCTTGTAAGTAATTGATGTGTGTGTGTGTGTGTGCACACGCGCGTGTGCACGCGCACGTGCTTAGGTGTCTTTAATTTAAAGAATTTAAGAAATTCTTTAATTTTTTTTGAAGTACCATAACACAACTAGAATATATCTCAATATTGATTGTTCTGCATCAATTTTTGATGGTAGAGACTTTGTCGTTTTGAGGAGCAGGTTCAATTCTTCCTTTATTTCTGGAAACTTTTCACATATGGCATCTGTGGATATTTTTCTATCCCATTTATTAGGCTCTTTACTTAAGGCATGTAAATTATCTTAATGTTGGATCAGCATTAGCGTGACCATCTAAAGTCCTTCCTCCATGCCCTTGTTTCGATTTGTGTGCATGTCTCTTCTGCATCTTGCTCTTCCTAATTTACTTCTTTGATCCACCATGTGGTTCTTTGAGTTCTCGGTTTCTTTTCTGAGCTCAGTAATCTCCTTTTTTAAAAAAAAAAAAAAATCATATTCGGTTGCCAATCATCTGGTCTTTGAAACTTTGTTAAGTTGAAATCATATTTTAAATTTTACTATGGCTTAGAGAACTCTAGGGTTAGTTGCATCTGTTCCTTGTTTTATGCATTCTTCCAGTCTGTGATGGTTATCTGTCTTTTGTATACTATGATGGTTTCTTTCTTTCTCTTTCTTCTTCCTTTCTTCTTTCTTTTTTCTTTCTTCTTCTTTCTTTCTCTTTCTATTTCCTTATTTCTTTTCTTCTTTTTCTTCCTTCCCTCCTCCCCTCTTCTCTTTTTCCCTCCTTTCTTCCTTCTTTCTTCCTTCCTTCCTCCCTCCCTCTCTCTCTCCTCTCTTCCCTCCTTTTCCCTCTCCCTCTATCCCTGTAGATTGTTAGCATCATTGCTAAACCATTTATTTTTATTTCAATTATGGAAAACATTGTCAGACGTTCTATTTGCTCTAACATTCTGAGGGTGATAATTTGAGGGCAGGTGGGATGTTGATTTCAATCTACCTTTTCTTCTAAGATCTTGCTAAATATCATGTATCATGCTCTAGTCCATCCATGCAAGGGTGTGTCTTACTCTGAGGGTTTTGTTTTGTTTGCCCAACTCAGCACGGTGTCTTGGAAAATGGAAAGAATTGGGAGCCTTCCTACCGCTGGTGAAATCTAGGAGTGGCAGTTGAGGGCTTCTGTTCACAAAGGTATTTACTTTTTTCTGCTTATTCTCTCAGTCCATTTCTCCTCAAGTTAGAGAGCCTTACATCCCATTCTCAGGATCTGACTGGCTCACATTGTTTTTCCTCAGTATTGCTTCCAGGGGGTGGGGACAGAATGAGAAGTGTGCTAAACCAGCCATCCTCCCCACAAGAATTTATACATATATATATATGTACTATAAATATATAGTACATATATATGTACAATAATACATATATATGTACTATATATAATACATATATAAATACATATATAAACACCTATATAATATACATGTATATATGAATACCTATATATTTATATATATGCATATATATGTATGTATATGTATATATGTATGTATATGTATATGTATATATGTATGTATATGTATATACGTATGTATGTATACATATGTGTATATATGTGCATATATTATATATGTATATATTTATATATAAATGTGCATATATTTATATATATAAATCTGTATATATTTATATATATAAATGCGTATATATACATACGTATACATTTGTATGTATAAATACGTATATATTTGTATATATAAATACGTAGATATAAATACATATATGTATATTTATATATAAATATGTATATATAAATATAAATGTATTTATACTTATATAAATACATATATATGTATTTATAGGTATATAACTACATATATATGTATTTATAGTTATATAACTACATATATATGTATTTTTAGTTATATAACTACACATATATGTATTTATAGTTACATATATATGTATTTATAGTTATATAACTACATATATGTATTTATAGTTACATCTATATGTATTTATAGTTACATATATATGTATTTATAGTTATATAACTACATATATGTATTTATAGTTATATAACTACATATATGTATTTATAGTTATATAACTACATATATGTATTTATAGTTATATAAATACACATATGTATTTATAGTTATATAAATACACATATGTATTTATAGTTATATACATATATATGTATTTATAGTGAAATACATATATATGTATTTATAGTTATGTAAATACATATAAATATATATGTATTTATAGTTATATAAATATATATACGTATTTATAGTTATATAAATGTATATAAATATATACTTATTGTTATATAAATATAAATATATACTTATTTATAGTTATATAAATATATATAAATATATACTTATTTATAGTTATATAAATATATAAATATATACTTACTTATAGTTATATAAATATATAAATTTGTACTTATTTATAGTTTTATAAATATATAAATATATACTTATTTATAGTTACATACATAGATAAATATATACTTATTTATAGTTATATATAAATATATACATATTTATAGTTATATATAAATATATACGTATTTAGATTTATATATAAATATATACGTATTTATAGTTATATAAATATATATAAATATATACGTATTTATAGTTATGTAAATATATGTATCTATCGTTATATAAATATATATGACACACATTATATAAATATATATGTATCTATCGTTATATAAATATATATGTATCTATCGTTATATAAATATATATGTATCTATCGTTATATAAATATATATGTATCTATCGTTATATAAATATATATGTATCTATAGTTATATAAACATATATGTATCTATAGTTATATAAATATATATGTATTTATAGTTATATAAATATATATGTGTTTATAGTTATATAAACACATGTATATTTTTGTATTTATATAAATATAAATACATGTATATTTATGTATTTATATAACTATAAATACATGTGTATTTATGTATTTATATTTATATAAATATACATGTATATTTATGTATTTATATTTATATAAATATGCATGTATTTATATTTATATAAATACATGTAAATATACATGTATTTATATAAATAGATAGACATATATTTATATAAATACATGTAAATATTCATGTATGTATGTTTATATAAATACATGTAAATATACATGCATGTATATTTATATAAATACATGTAAATATACATGCATGTATATTTATATAAATACATGTAAATATACATGCATGTATATTTATATAAATATATATGTAATATACATGCATGTATATTTATATAAATATATATGTAATATACATGTATGTATATTTATATAAATATATATGTAATATACGTGTATGTATATTTATATAAATATATTTGTAACATACATGTATGTATATTGGTGTAAATATATATGTAACATACGTGTAAGTACATTTATATAAATATATATGTAATATACATGTAAGTATATTTATATAAATATATATGTAATATACATGTATTTATATTTGTATCTATATATGTAATATACATGTATTTATATAAATACTTATATAATATACATGTAGATATACATACATGTGTAATGCATGTATGTATATTCATATAAATATATATATATATATTCCTGGGAAGCCACTTTCCTCCCTCTCTCCCTCCTTCTCCTGCTTCTCCTCCTTAGTCTTCTCTTCTTCTCCTCCTTAGTCTTCTCTTCTTCTCATTCTGCTTTTTACCATTATTTATGTATTATTTTTTAATTTATTTAGTAGGATCGGGGAAGGGAGATTCTTTTATCTTTCTTCACTCTGCCATCTTTTACAAATAAATTGTAATGTTACTGACTCCAAGTTAAGATAAAAGTTTGCTTGCTTGAATGTGATTATTGCTTTGCTTGAGTTTGTAGATTATTCACTAAAAATAGTCTCAGGAAAACAGGACCTTCAACAGAGATAAAAGAAAACACGCCAACCAGCAGCTCTGGGAAGGGGCTGACCAGCCTGGTAAGAATAGGCTGACGGTGCCTGTGGAAGGTCACAAAACACTGACCAAGAAAGCAGTGATTAACTGCCCACCTGAGACTGAACACGTTTTAGAAGAATGTTTTGATCATTATTTCCTCTGCTTTCCCTTAAAAAACCCTAATCCAGAGGCACAACTCAGAGAGGTGATCACTGAAGTCTAGTTCACTGACTCCTCCCGGTTGCTGGCTTCTCAAATAAAGCTAACTTTCCTTTCACCAAAGCTCCTCTCTTTGAGTTTTTGGCCTTCAGGTGATGAATGGCCTGGACCGGAGTTCAGTTACAAAATCTCTGGTTTTGAAGGGTTATTTTTTTATTCCTGGGATATATTCCGGCTGACTTGGAGTTAGTTTTAGATAAATGTAAGCTTTCTAATGGATCTGAATCCACACTAACGGATATGAAATTATCAAGGTCTTTTTATTTTTAATCGCAAACACTTCATTTTATCAAATCTTAATCGTCTCCAATTTCACCGCAAACAATGCAAGGACCTTGTCTTACAAGTCAGTGCTGTCCAGTATTTAGTTATAATTTGGTCAGTCATATTGTTTTTATGCAGTCTTTTTTTTTTTTTTTTGGACTCATGGCCATGGTTACTAGTTTCTTTGTTCACCATTCCTCTGTTGCATCTTGCTTTGTTCTTTTCGTTCAATTTCCTTTTAATGGAAGAACATCTTTAAGTCGTTCTTTCAGTGAGGGTTTGTGAGTGGTCAGCCCTCTCAACCTTTGTTGAAGAATATCTTTACTGGCTGGGTGCAGTGGCTCACACCTGTAATCCCAGCATTTTGGGAGGCCGAGGTGGGAGGATCATTTGAGCTCAGGAGTTCAAGACCAGGCTGGGCAACATAATGAGACTTTGTCTCTACAAAATAATAAATAAATAAATAAATAGCCGGGAGTGGTGGTGCTCACCTGTAGTCCCAGCTACTGGGGAAAAAAAAAAAATTAGCCAGGCATGGAGGTGCACACCTGTAGTCCTAGCTACTAGGGAGGCTGAGGCAGGAGGATCCCTTGAGCCCATGAGATCGAGGCTGCAGTGAGCCATGATCGCACCACTGTACCCCAACCTGGGCGACAGAGTGAGACCTTGTCTCAACAAATAAATAAATAAATATTTTAAAATATATCAAAAAGACTATCTTTATTTCACTCATTCTTGAATTGTAGTTTAGTTGGGTATGACATTTCCCCCCATTCCCCGAATGCATTAGTGATATGATTCCATTTTTATTGCAGTTGGTGAGAAGTCTGCTGTCAGTTTATTATCCCTTTGATAGCACTGTGTCTTTTCTTTCTGGTTGATTTTAAGATCTTTCCCCTTTTCTTTGTTGACCTGCGCCGGTTCCCCTGTGATTCAGTTTTATTGATTCTTGCTGTGGCTCATGCTTTTAGAATACGAGGAACTATGTCTGTTTTCAAATCTGAAAATTTCCAGCCAGTATCCTTTTGATTATTGGTTTACCCCTGCTCTCTTTATTCTCTGATTCTGTCATTCCTATTAGAGTTTTTTTGGACCTTTGCATCATTTTTCTGTATCTCTTAACCGTTTATACATTTGCTATCTCTCCTTGCTGCCTTCTGAATAATTTCCTTACTTCTATCTTCCAGTTCACTAAAGCAGATGAATCTGCTTTTAAACCCATCCTCTGATCTTTTGCTGTCACTGGAAATAATGTCTTTCATTTTCGGAAGTTCTATTTGGTTCCTTAAAGAAAGAAACCGGCCTCTTCTTTTTCCGTAGAATCTTGATCTTTCTCATATGTTTGGATTCCTTATTGTTTCTAAGTATCTTATACAAACTTATTTTATACTCTCGGTTGGCTCTATTATCTAAAGTTTTTGGTAGTGTAATCCTGCTCATCATTGTGTTTGCTGATACTCAATCACAGGCGGTTTTTTTTTTTCCTCAGGTGTTTTATAATTTTGTTTGTGAGTTTAGGGATTTGTTCAAACGGCTTCATCTGTGTGACTTCAATGAGGTTTGACTGGGGGTGTATCTCTGGCTGTTATCTTTTTGATGTTAATGTGTAAGCTTGGGGTTTTCAAGACCTAAATAAGAGGTATTAATTCCAACCCTAGACCTACATGACAATAGCCTTAGAGTTACAAATGACCAGGGGAAGCATTTTATTTTCTCCCACCAGAACCCATGAAGAAACAAACTCTCTTGTCATCTCACCATGGTGGTGGGAAGACTTTTTTTTCCTAGTCCATCCTTTCACTGACTGTGTAGCCCTTGTGAGGCACCAAGGCTTTTCTCCTCTCCCTGGTGGTTATTGAATCCATTCCCCTACCACCCTAACATAAATTCAAATGCCCATTGATCTGCTCTTTAGGTTCCTCTTTGTTTTTTGACACCTGAGGGTCAACTTCCACCATAAGTTCATCACATGTGCATTAAAAGGAATATTTATTAAATTTTATCCTGCCTTTTAAAAGGTGCTTTGTAACAGGAGGGTTTTCAGGTTATCTAGTGTGCACTGTTTCCAGAAATGGAAATTGCTTTCCCCTTTAAAACTCCCAGAGCACTAAGAAGCTCCCACAAATTCTCTGGAAGAGGAATGTGATGGGGGCGGGGGAAGACTTTTCATGAATATGTAGCCTCAAAGAAAGATTGGTGCTTTGGGGTGCCAGACACTCAATGACAGCTTAAGATGAGTGAGGAAGGGCCTAGGGGTTGAAAGAGCCCTAATTGCTCAAAGCCACATGTCACAAGAAATTTTGGGAAGAAGAGCCACTTTATGAACTGGTTACCTTCATGGATTTTTCTTCCCTAGGCTCAGAAGTGGAAAAATATGAAGATCCATTGCTGATGGGAATCCTGCCCTAAGCAAACGGTGGTGAGACATGGCTGCTTTTAGTGCATTTATTATATGTGACCATTTAAAAGCAGGTACTGAAGGCTGCAGAAAAGTCACGAGGTGGTACTCAAAATATGGTTATATAGGTAACTGGGTGTGGCTCTTCCCTGAGGCACAAAGAACTGATTTTTTTTGTGTGCTCTTTGAAAGGAAATGTATAAAGTTGGTATTATGCTTTACTCAGAAAGTTTTTAAGAGGGTTGGGAGTGATGCAATCACTTTAAAATGATATACAAGGTTGAACACTCTGCTAAGCTTCAGGTAAGAGTATCCAATTGCCTCTTGGACTTCCCTGCCTGGATGTTCTGTTCCACATGCACCCCAAACTCAAATATATCCAAGACTGAAAACATCTTCTCTCCAAGCTCTCTCCTCTTCTAATATTCCCTGTGTGAATAAGGTGTGCCCAGTTGACCAAACCAGTAACCTGGGAGTCATCTTGACAACTTCCTCTCCCTCAACCCCTCTCTCGCAATTAATTGGACACCAAGTTCAGTGGACTCTACCTTCAAAATGCCTCTCAAATCAATCCACGTCTCTCCTTGGCATTGCTGTCGGGCAGCAGGGCCCAGGTTCCCACTCCTCTTGGAAATGACAGAGGTCTCGCCTCTTCTGCACCTTCCCCCGAGCTTGAGGATCTATCCTGTCCAGAAGAAATCCTTTCCCTTTCATATTTCTATAGAATGCTGTCTAACACTTTGAATTCCCTTCAGGCTCTGGGTTTCAGAAATCAACACAGAAAGAATGCCGGGCTATTCATTTCCCTCCAGGATGAAGTTAGAATCTTGAGGGCAGCGAGGAAGGCAGGCATATGCATTGTTGCAAACCTTCTCAAGTGATTCAGATGTGCAGCTCCGGTCAAGAGCCACTGCACAACGTGGTGAGCTATTTGAATACAGGGACCATGCCTTTCAACTTTGTATTCATCAAAACACAACGCAGCCAATACCTGATATAGAATCAGTGCTCAGTAAATGTTCCAGTGAATGAGTGAATACAAGAACTAAAGAATGATATGGTGCAAAGAAATGGATGAAAGGGATCTTACGAGCTACTTAGTGCAATCCCTTCATTTTTTTTTTTTTCAGTTGCCGTAGCGTTGGGATTGCTTGAGGCTCCCGGATGTTCACAGGATGTCATTTTTGGCAACCACAGACCACTAGTTACCCAGCTTTTTTAGGTGTTGTGTAGCAAGGAGGGATTTCGGGTTATGTAATCTGCAATATTTCCAGAAATGGAAATTATTTCTTTTTCCTTTTATGACTCACACAACGTCAGGAAATTTCCACAAAATTCCCAGAAGAACATGATGGAGGAAACCACTTTCCCTATATATATTTTAGTGGAATATATTTTATTTTAATGGAACTGCCAGTGAAGCAGTAGATGTGGCCAGCAGACACTGCTTTCCTGGTGTCTCCTGAGAACTCTTTTCTCTCATTGGTTATTTTCACCTGCCTTCTTCTGCAAGTTCCTTTTTGTTTGGGCTCATTTTCCATTTTCTCTGTATCCAGGTTTGTTGAAAATGCAGGAGCCAGTGCTTCCCAACCTTCCCTACTCCAAACGCCTATGCACACGCACCCACTTGCATGCGTGCACGTACACGTGCATACATATACACCCACACGTACATGCGTGTGTGCACACACACTCCTGGACTCTTGAGAAGCTTTCAAAAGGAACTTATAGATAGGGTGAGGACTTTTACTATTAATTATTAATTATTATTATTATTACTTATATCTGAAATATAACATTTTGGACACACGGAAGTGCTCTAACCCCCAAATTCCTGTTTGTCTCTGGAAAGGAGCAGGCAGTCTAGGATGGGCAGGGACACACAAGACAACTTATCTTTTGCCATATGCATTAGACCTAAAGTATTTACAAAGCAAAAGAGGCAGCTGTGGCGAGACAGAAAAAGCCCTGGATTCAGAATTAAAACAGCTGGGTTAGAGTACTGGCTCTGTCACTTGCTCTCTAACTCTCAGTTTCCTCATCTGTAAAATCGGGGCAATGGTACTACTTCATATTAATACAACCTCAGCTGCAAAAGACTGGTTTAGGTACCCTTGTTCTGAGCTCCCACAGACTCCTTGTGCTTACCTGGTGTTAACATTGGCTGTTAATACATGTGTCTCCCGTGGTACAAGGAGATCTTGAGGGCAGAAATTCTATTTGTCTGGCCTCCAGCGTGCCTGCCCTCAGTGCACAGCAGAATGGTCAATGAATGTTGGTTGAGTGAATGAAGAACAATCGGACATTTGCATGTTTTTGTGTGTATAATTCCTGTTGTACTATCATCGGTAGACCGCCAGGATAGTACAAATCTATTTTTATTGTATGTAAATTTGACATATAGACATTCCAAATTAACAGGAGTTGATTCGCTCCCCATGTTACCTAACAACTAGTTTCGGAATGTTGTTGGATCCCTTTAGGAGAATATTTCAGTACATTTGCTCCCCTGGTTAGGGTTAGGGGTTAGGGTTAGGGTTAGGGTTGTGTTCCCAGCACAAGCGTCTCCTCAATAATAAGCCTTCACGTGTGTGCACCGGCACTTTAAAGAGTTGTTGTTGTTGTTGTTTTAAAGGTGTTTTCTCGTACACTGACTTATATGCTCCTCACGAGAACCCCATGAGACAGGCAGGAAAGGTGTTCCTGCTACCACTTGATGGATGAAGAAACCAATGTTCAGAGACATTAACTGAGTCACTACACACCACATCAAGAGCAAGTTTGTTTCAGAGCTGGGCCTCAAACAGAATCGGGTTTCTCATTTCACAGTCTGGTGTTTTTTACACAATCCATTTGTTCAACCCGGCTGCAATTTGTGATGTTGCTTCAGTGATATTTTTTGCATCTCATCCTATTCCTGCTTCACAACTGCACCTCCTACCACTTGCCTCAGCATACTCTCAACCGGGGCTTCTCAGGTGCTCAACCAGGGCCTCTCCCTCTACCCTGAACATGTCCTCTTGCAATTTCCTGCCTCTGGATCTTTGCATCTGTTTTCACCTCTTGGTGGGCACCCGTTCCCCACCCCCACGTCACTGCAGGTTGAAAGAAACCCTAGGCATCCTCTCGGTTTCAACTCAAAGACCACCTAACTTCATGAAACCTCTGCAGATGGGCCCTGCTGGATGAGATCTCTCTGCCCTTGAATGCACAGAGCAGTCCATGTCTTGTTCTATATCCATTTCCATACCTGCTTCATTCCCTTCTCTACAGTGTCCCTTGCTCCGTGTTCTCACAGCCCCCTGTGCTCAGTTTTCACAGCACATATTGCCCTATGTTGTGAGCCTGCTTTCGTCCTGTGACTGTGAGCTCCTTGAGGACTGGAACCTTGTCTGACTTATCTCGGTATCTCCAGCACGCAGCACAGTGCCGGAACACAGTAGTTGCTCCAAAAAATGTTGGATGAATGAGTGGATGGATGAATGAACACTACCCCACACAACGCCTTGGATATAGTGGCTGCAAAATAATAATGGATCAAATTGAGTCTATAACCAGATCTCATTTCTTTTCATCCTATCTCAGTGAAAGATGAAGGTGCTTTCTTCTGACTCAGGCTGTCACTTCCACTCCTGCTCTGGGTTCGATCCCATCCTGCCTCCCCAGGTGCCTCACTCCATCAATTACCTCTTCTCTCAAGAATGTCTAATCTCTCCGTCTTCTCTGCCTGGCTCCTTTCCTTGCAGTAACTAAAATGCTCAGGTCTCTCCTCCTATTCCAAAAATAAGTACCCTCAATTGAATGGGTGTCTTCTTCCTCACAGTATCAAGATATGTACCTCATCGGGGAGTAACCCAGCTGAGTGAGCCCTTTACTGGGGAGCCTTCAGTGTGAGTCTCCTTAGATCTTTTTCTCTTAGGTTGGTCAGATGGCTCACAGAAGACTCTTCCAGCTGCCAGAAGTTTAGGGGCAGGGGCAGGGAAGAAGACTGGGAGTTCACAGCTTTCAGGACACATGCTTCCACTCAACACCCCTGTTTTCAGTACAGGACCCCAGCCCTCAACTAAGTCTGCGAACTCCCCATCCAGAGACCCTCTGCTTTACCCTCTCCAGGGAATAACACTCCAGGCTTCTGTCAGAGCAGGGAAGGGCCAGCCCCTCACTGGCATTGACAGCAGGAGGGGATTTGGCAATGAATCTACTTCTTAAAAGAGTTTTCAAACAGCCTTCATTATTTTGATACCCACCCCCCTTCACTTCCAGAGGTAACTCCACTTCCAGAGTTACCTTGGTCCAGCCTTTGAAGATTCCTGGGGGTGAGGAGTAAATCAAGTTAGCTTTTTGCTTTTCCCACTAAGGTCTCAGAATTCCTAGTTTGTGGCCTTCTTGGATCTGCTAAGTCAGTTGCCACTCATCCATCTGTTCTTCAGCATCCAAAATTTAGTTGTTGCCTCCTTTCCTGTTCTTCAACCCTTTTTATTTCATCTTCACTCCTATCCTTCTAATCCTTTCAAAAATCACATTTGTAGCAGTTCCAGTGGGGTTTTGGGAGATGGTGAAGTTAGATGTGGAAGTATGTGCTCCACCTTAACTATGCATCATCACGAGCATGGGTGTCTGCCTGCCTGTCTCATTGATTCTACACACCTTCATTACCACACCACTCTCCCTAAAACTCTCCAGACTCAGCTTTTCTCATCTGGCTCTCTGACCTGTTCCCTGACCATTCTGTTCTTTCAGCTCTCAGCCTTCGGACTGCCAAAACCCCAAGCCAACTTCCTATCCAGGAACCCTCCGGCCTAGAAGTTCAGATGTCTTGCCAATATATCTGTGCTTCACAACTTGCCTACTCTCTCTGACCCCTAACATTTTCACATACTTTTCCAATTCTGCCTGTCATAAATTTGCTGCTTCCCCCTAAGTAGAATGTTGATTCCTGTCAAACACACAGCCTAGCCCTGATTCCTCCTCTTCTCTCAAGCAGTGATATTGTCAACAATGATAAACAACTACTATGTACTGAGTGTTTTTTTATGTGCTGCTCACACTTTATACACATGTATAGATTCATTCTTCATCATAGATTTTTCAGCTAGCTGGCATTTATTAGCCCCACTTTGCATATGTAGGAACACAGGCTCAAGGAAAGAAAGCAACTTCCCACAATTTCCCAGGCTAGTAAAAGTCAGAGATGGAATTCAAGCCCAGATCATTCCAAGTTTGTGCTCTTCCTGTGACACGACACTGCCTCAGTCAAGGCATCAGAGAGGAAGTTAGAAAGCAGATGGTGAGAGGGAGTACCTGAATTGGAGGGAGTACCTGAATTGGAGGGAGTGGCCACCATCAGTGGGTAGACCATGGAGAAAGATGGGGCTAACAGAGAAAAACCTTCACTGAGTTCACAGTTTTACACAGCATTAGCCCTTGTGATCTTTAGTCGTGCAGGGGATAAATTACCGTGCCTGCCTGCCCACACAGAAAGTAAGCTAGAACACCACTACTAATCTATATGATATACACCAACATGGCTTAAGACGATTTATTGCAACTGTAAAAAAATGCGCGCCCCCCCCCTTTTTTTTCCAGAAAGGAAGCGTGGATTGCATTAATCAAGCTAAAGACTTTTATACTTCTTTACAGTCTGACACAAAAACAGACAGTCATAAAGATAAGCCCGAATCATCAAGAAAGTGCACAGTAGTATTTTGCAAACCCAATTTAGGGAATCAGGGAAGAGTAAAATCCACATGGATAAGGTTTCCCCTTACTTCCCATTCGTGATGGTACAGTGAGTTCATGTTATGGAACGCCCACTGCTCCAAACACATGGCAATGATGGACAAAATATAAAAAGGTAAACTCAAAAAGGCATGGCCAAGACAAAACAAACAAAACAAAACAAAAACAAAAGATAATTGTCTCCATGTTGAAGTACTAGGCTTGTTGCTCTGGAAGCAAACCATGGTAACCAGAAGCTAAGCTCCTGCAATGTATAGCGGTTCCAAAGTACCCTGAGCAAGATGGAAGACAAAAGCCATACTCACAGATTAAAGCCCAGGACTAGAATGGAGCTACCCACAAACCCACCAACCCCTGACTGTAAGTCTGACAAAAAAGAACTACCACCAAACTCTGCCAGGGTCTTTGGTTCTGATGAGCTGCAGGCTTAAGGAGGTGAGGATGCAGACATGTTCTGGTCTCGTAACTAAGAGTTGAGCTAATCCACAGCTGAGCTAAGTGAGTGGATTTCCAATATGCCCAAGAGCACCCTGGGGCCAGTGATATGGATATGTTCTATCAAAGGGTTTTGAGCCTAACAACTGACTGGTATTTTTCAAGAGAAAAAACAGTACTGAATAGGTTAATTTCCTTCCATTCTTGGAAGAGGCAAAATTAGAAATGATGAATTTTTTTTTTTTTTTTTTTTTTGAGACATGGTCTTGCTCTGTTACCCAGGCTGGAGTGCAGTGGCGTGATCATAGCTCACAGTAGCCTTGAACTGCTGGGCTCAAGAGATCCTCCCACCTCAGCTTCCCGAGTAGCTGGGACTGCAGGCACTCATGACTCCACCCAACTAACTTTTCTTTTAATTCTATTTTTTTGTAGAAACGGGGTCTTGCTTTGCTGCTCAGGCTGGTTTCAAACTCCTGACCTCAAGCGATCCTCCTGCCTTGGCCTCCAAAAGTGCTGGGATTACAGGCGTGAGCCACGGCACCTGGCTAGATTTTGCTTTTAAGTTTGAAATGCTTTATTTAGAGTTTATTAGCCACTAACTCCTTTTTTTTTTTTTTTTAAACTTTTAAGTTCAGGGGTACAAGTGCAGGTTTGTTACATAGGTAAACTTGTGTCATAGGGGATTTGTTGCATAGATTATTTCATCACCCAGGTGTTAAGCTTAGTACCCATTAGTTGTTTTTCTTGATCCTCTCCCTCCTCACACCCTCTATCCTCCAAAAGGCCCCAGTGTGTGTTGTTCCCCTCTATGTGTCCATATGTTCTCATCATTTAACTCTCACTTATAAGTGAGAACATGCAGTATTTGGTTTTCTCTTTCTGTGTTGGTCTGCTAAGGATAAGGGCCTCCAGCTCCATCCATGTCCCTGCGAAGGACATTATCTCATTCTTTTTCACGGCTGCATAGTATTCCATGGTGTATATGTACCACATTATCTTTCTCCAGTCTGTCACTGTTGGGGATTTAGGCTGATTCCATGTCTTTGCTATTGTGAGTAGTGCTGCAATGAGCATACACATGCATGTGTCTTTGTAACAGAATGATTTTTAGTCCTTTGGGTGTAGACCCAGTAATGGGATTGCTGGGTTGAATGGTATTTCTGTCTTTAGGTCTTTGAGGAATCACCACACTGTCTTCCACAGTGGCTGAACTTGTTTACAATCCCACAGACAGTGTATAAGCATTCCTTTTTCTCCACAGCCTCGCCAGCATCTGTTATTTTTTGACTTTTTAATAATGGCCATTTTGGCTAATATTAGTTGGGATCTCATTGTGGTTTTGATTTGCATTTCTCTAATGATCAGTGATGTTGACCTTTTTTTTTCATATGATTGTTGGCTGCATGTATGTCTCCTCTTGAAAAGTGTCTGTTCATGTCCTTTTCCCACTTTTTTATGGGATTGTTTGTTTTCCTGTAAATTTGTTTAAGTTCTTTATAGATGCTGGATATTAGACCTTTGTCAGATGCATAGTTTGCAAATATTTTCTCCCATTCTGTAGGTTGTCTGTTTACTCTGTTGATAGTTTCTTTCACTGTGCACAGCTCTTTAATTTTATTAGACCCCATTTGTCAATTTTTTGCTTTTGTTGCAATTGCTTTTGGCGTCTTCATCATGAAATCTTTGCCCATGCCTATGCCCTGAATGGCATTGCCTAAGTTGTCTTTCAGAGTTTTCATAGTTGGGGGTTTTACATGTCAGTCTTTAATCCATCTTGAGTCAATCTTTGTATATAGTGTAAGCAAGGGAGCCGGTTTTCATCTTCTGCACATGGCTAGCCAGTTATCCCAGCACCATTTATTGAACCGGGAATCCTTTCCCCATTGCTTGTTTTTGTCAGGTTTGTCGAAGATCAGTTAGTTGTAGGTGTGTGGTCTCATTTCTCGGTTCTCTGTTCTGTTCCATTTGTCTATGTGTCTGTTCTTGTACCAGCACCATGCTGTTTGGGTTACTGTAGCCTTGTAGCATAGTTTGAAGTCAGGTAGCATGATGCCTCCAGCTTTGTCCTTTTTGCTTAGGATTGCCTTCGGTATTCGGGCTTTTTTTGTTTTTTGGTTCCATATGAATTTTAAAATAGTTTTTTTTTTCTCGTTCTGTGAAGACTGTCAATGGTAGTTTAATGGGAATAGCATTGAATCTATAAATTGCTTTGGGCAGTATGCCCATTTTAATACTGATTCTTCCTATCCATGAGCTTGGAATGTTTTTCCATTTTTTTGTGTGTCATCTCCGATTTCTTTGAGCAGTGGTTTGTAGTTCTCCTTGTAGAGATCTTTCACCTCCCTAGTTAGCTGTATTCCTAGGTATTTTATTCTTTTTGTAGCAATTGTGAATGGGAGTTCATTGCTGATTTGGCTGTCGGCTTTACTGTTGCTGGTGTATAGGAATGCTAGTGATTTTTGCACATTGATTCTGTACCCTGAGACTTTGCTGAAGTTGTTTATCAGCTTAAGAGGCCTTTGGGCTGAGACAACGGGGTTTTCTAGATATAGGATCATGTCATCTGCAAGCAGGGATAGGTTGACTTCCTCCCTTCCAATTTGGATGCCCTTTATTTCTTTCACTTGCCTGATTGCCCTGGCCAGAACTTCCAATACTATGTTGAATAGGAGTGGTGAGAGAGGGCATCCTTGTCTTGTGCCGGTTTTCAAGGGGAATGCTTCCAGCTGTTGTCCATTCAGTATGATGTTGGCTGTGCGTTTGTCACAGATGGCTCTTATTATTTTGAGGCATGGTCCTTCAATACCTAGTTTATTGAGAGTTTTTAACATGAAGCGATGTTGAATTTTATCAAAAGCCTTTTCTGCATCTATTGAGATAATCATGTGGTTTTTGTCTTTAGTTCTGTTTATGTGATGAGTCACATTTATTGATCTGCATATGTTGAACCAACCTTGCATCCCAGGGAGGAAGCCAACTTGATCGTGGTGGATAAGCTTTTTGATGTGCTGCTGGATTCAGTTTGCCAGCATTTTGTTGAGGATTTTTGCATTGATGTTCATGAAGGATACTGGCCTGAAGTTTTCTTTTGTTGTTGTATCTCTGCCAGGTTTTGGTTTCAGGATGATGCTGGCCTCATAGAATGAGTTAGGGAGGAGTCCCTCCTTCTCAATTTTTTGAAATAGTATCAGTAGGAATGCTACCAGTTCCTCTTTGTACATCTGGTAGAATTCAGCTGTGAATCCATCTGGTCCTGGGATTTTTTTGGTTGGTAGGCTATTTATTACTGCCTCAATTTCCAAACTCATTACTGGTCTGTTCAGGGATTCAGTTTCTTCCTGGTTCAGCCTTGGGGAGGTGTGTGTGTCCAGGAATTTGTCCATTTCTTCTAGACTTCCTAGTTTATGTGCCCAGAGGTGTTCACAATATTCTCTGGTGGTTGTTTGTATTTCTGTGGGGTCAGTGATAAATATTCCCCTTATCATTTCTGATTGTGTTTATTCAAATCTTCTCTCTTTCCTTCTTTATTCGTCTAGCTAGCGGTCTATTTTATTACTTTTTTTCAAAGAAAAAAAAAACAGCTTCTGGATTCTTTCATTTTTTGAAGGGTTTTTCATGTCTCTGTCTCCTTCAGTTCAGCTCTGATTTTTGTTATTTCTTGTCTTCTGCTAGTTTTGGGATTTGTTTGCTCTCGCTTCTCTAGTTCTTTTAGTAGTGATGTTAGGTTATTAACTTGAGATCTTTCTAACTTTTTGATGTGGGCATTTAGTGCTATAAATTTCCTTCTTAACACTGCCTTTGCTGTATCCCAGAGATTCTGGTACTTTGTATCTTTGTTCTCATTAGTTTCATAGAACTTCTTGATTTCTGCCTAAATTTCATTGTTTACCCAAAAGTCATTCAGGAGCAGGTTATTCAATTTCCATGTAATTGCATGGTTTTGAGTGAATTTCTTAATCTTGATTTCAAATTTGATTCTTCTGTGGCCCAAGAGACTGTTTGTCATGATTTCAGTTCTTTTGCATTTGTCGAGGAGTGTTTTACTTCTGATTATGTGGTCGATTTTAGAGTAAGTGCCTTGCGGTGATCAGAAGAATGTATATTCTGTTGTTTTGGGGTGGAGAGTTCTGTAGATATCCACCAGGTCCATTTGATCCAGTGCTGAGTTCAGGTCCTGAATATCTTTGTTAACTGTCTGTCTCAATGATCTGTCTAATATTGTCAGTGGGGTGTTAAAAAGTCTCCCACTATCATTGCCTGGCAGTCTAAGTCTCTGTGAAGGCCTCTAAGAACTTGCTTTATAAATCTGGGTGCTCCTGTGTTGGGTCCATATGTATTTAGGATAGTTAGATTTTCTTGTTGAATTGAACCATTTACCATTATGTAATGCCCTTCTTTGTGTTTTTTGATCTTTGTTGATTTAAAGTCTGTTTTGTCAGAAACTAGGATTGCAACTGCTGCTTTTTTATGTTTTCCGTTTGCTTGGTAGATTTTCATCCATCTTTTTATTTTGAGCCTATGTGTGTCATTGCATGTGAGATGGTTCTCTTGAAGACAGCATACCATTGGATCTTAGTTCCTTATCCAGCTTGCTACTCTGTGTCTTTTAACTGGGGCATTTAGCCCATTTACAATTTAAGGTTAGTATTGGTATGTTTGGATTTGATCCTTTCATCATGATGCTAGCTGGTTATTTTGCAGACTTGCTTACATGTTTGCTCTGTAGTGTCACTGGTCTGAGTACTTCAGTGTGTTTTTGGAGTGGCTGGTAACCATCTTTCCTTTCTACATTTAGTGCTTCCTTCAGGAGCTCTTGTAGGGCAGGTCTGGTGGTAACAAATTCCCTTAACATTTGCTTGTCTGAAAATAATCTTATTTCTTCTTCGCTTATGAAGCTTACTTTGGCCAGATATGAAATTCTGGGTTGGAGTTTCTTTAAGAATGTTGAGTATTGACCCCCAATCTCTTCTGGCTTGTAGGTTTTCCACTGAGACATCCACTGTTAGTCTGAAGGGCTTCCCTTTGTAGGTGACCTGGCCTTTCTCTCTAGCCGCCTTTAACATTTTTTCTTTCGTTTCAACCTTGGAGAATCTGATGATTATGTGTGTTGGGGATGTTCCTTTCGTGGAGTATCTTCCTGGAGTTCTCTGGATTTCCTGAATTTGAATGTTGGCCTCTCTAGCTAGGTTAGGGAATTTCTCATAGATGATATCCTGAAATGCGTTTTCCAAATTGGTTCCGTTTTCCCCATCTCTTTCAGGGACACCAATCAGTCTTAGATTCGCTCTCTTTACGTGATCCCATATTTCTCGGAGGTTTTGTTCATTGCTTTTCATTCTTTTTTCTCTATTCTTGTCTGCCAGTCTTATTTCAGAAAGCCAGTCTTCAAGCTCTGAAATTCTTTCCTCCGCTTTGTCTATTCTGCTATTAGTACTTGTGATTGCATTATGAAATTCTTGTAGTGTGTTTTTTCAGTTCCGTCAGGTTGGTTACATTCTTCTCTACATGGGCTATTTTGTCTGTCAGCTCCTGCAATGTTTTATCATGATTTTTAGCTTGCTTGCATTGGGTTACAATGTACTCTTTTAACTCAGTGAAGTTCATTTCTATCCATATTCTGAATTCTACTTATGTCATTTCAGCCATCTCAGCCTCAGCCCAATTCCGAACCCTTGCTAGAGAGGTGATGCAGTCATTTGGAGGAAAGAGGGCACTCTGGCTTCTTGAGTTTTCAGCATTCTTGCACTGATTCTTTCTCATCTTTGTGGGCTTATCTACCTTCAGTCTTTGAGGTTGCTGACCTTTGGATTTTTTTTTTCTTTTAACAGTCTGGCCATGTTTCTGTAGGGCTGCTGTACTTTGCTGGGCTTCTTCTCCAGTTCCTAGTCTCCTTGGATTTTCCAGTACCTGGAGCTATCACCAGTGAAGGCTGTGAAACAGCAAAGATGTCAGCCTGCCTCTTCCTCTGGGAGCTCCGGCCCAGCGAGGTACAGACCTGTTGCCAGCCCAAATGCGCCTGCAGGACAAGGCTGGAGACCCTGGTTGGGAGGTCTCACCCAGTCAGGAGGAACGGGATCAGGGAACTGCTTAAAGAAGCAGTCTGTCCATGCTTTCACAGATCAGCTGTGCTGTGCTGGGGCACTGCTTCCACCCCTGGTTGGTGTGGGCTCTCCAAAGCCTGGAGGCCGGAACAGCTAAGTCGCCCAAACAGCAAAGATGGTGGCCCCTCCCTCCCTCCGGGAGCTCTGTCCCAGGGAGAATTCAAATCTCTGTCAGCCAGAGAACACCAGTAGGGGTTGCTGGAGGCCTTGGTTGAAAAGTCCCACCCAGTGAGGAGGAACAGATTGGGCACCTGCTTAAAGAAGCAGTCTGGCCATGCTTCTGAAGAGCAGCTGTGCTGTGCTGTTCTGGGGTACCACTTCTGGGAGCTCTGTCCCAGAGAGCAGCCTGCCCTTCCCCCTGGGACCTCTGTCCCAGGTAGGTGCAACACTGCTGCTGGTGGCTGGCTGGAATTCCAAACCAGTGGGTCTTATCCTGTGAGGTGCAGTGGAAGTGGGGCCCGCAGATCGTGCCGCTTGGCCCCCTGGATTCAGCCTCTTTCCTAGGGGTATGTACAGGGGTCTAATCTCCCGCTTTGCAGGAGTTGCAGTTACTTTTGCTGGGAAACCCAGGGCCGGAGTATGTAAAGCTGCTGGGTCTCTGCACGTGCTCAAGCGGCTACTCTGCTGAGACTCCATGTATCTCTGTGTGTCAGACTGAAGGCCCTGGTGGAGTGGGTTCACCAGGGGATCTCCTGACCCAAGGGTTGCAAGGATCCATGGGAGGAGCGTGGTTTCCCAGGATCGCACATTCACTTACGACTTCCCTGGGTGGAGGAGGTTCCTCTGTCTCCATGTTGCTCCTGGGTGGGCTGTCATCCTGCCTTGCTTTTCTTCATTCTCTGTGGATCGAGTTGTTTCCTTGATTAGACCCAATGTGGGTACCTGGATGTTTCAGTTGAAGGCGCTGTATTTACTCGCCCCTTTCCTTCCCCTCCATGAGAACCACTCACCCTAGCTGCTTCTAGTCAGCCATCTTGGCCACTCCCTCCCCGCCCCCCACCTTTTTTTTTTAAATGCTTGAAAACTATTTGCAAAAGAAACCTAGAGATTCTCATGGTTCTTTTAAGATCTTGTTGGATGGACTGTGAAAGTGGGATTATTGTCTATGAATGGTCAGCTAGACTGTGTGTGTGTGGAAAGGGTGAGGGAATTAACATTTATTGAGCAAAAGGGCATGCTAGTTAAAATCATTGTCTCTGGGGACAGATTTTTCTGGGTTTTAATCCAAACTCTGACACGTATTAGCCGTGTGACCTCTATTTTTCATTTGTAAAATGGAGATGGGATTGTTGCGGGGATTAAAAGCACTTACAACAGTCCAGGATATAGAAAGCACTGTGTAAGAGCTGGCTGTCATATATTAGTCATCAGTCATCATACTTAATAATCACAAAATTGTTAGAAAATCCTGTGAGGTAGGTATTTTCCTTACCATACCCATATGAGAAAACTTAAGCAAGGAGAAGTCAAACAAAGTTACCAAAGTCACACAATTACGGAGTGACAGAGCCTTTAGACGCTGCCTAGTCCAAGGCTTTCATTTCACAGAAGAGAAAACTGAAGTTCAAAATAGGAGAGGGACATGCCTGAAGTCATTTAGTGAGCCAGTGACAGAACTGGGCCTAGAACTCAGCAGCAGGACTCTTCCTGTCAGTAGTTCTCAAACTTTGTCATGTGTTACAATCCTGCAGAGGACTTGCTAAAACAAACTGCTGGTACCCATGCCTAGAGTTTCTTACTTAGTAGGCGTGGGGTGGGCCTTGAAAATTTGCATTTCTAAGGAGTTCTCAAATGATGCCACTGCTGGTGGTCTGGGGACCCTACTTTGGGAACCACCACAACACACCATAATTCATACATCTTTTGTTCTTTTCATCATGGACTACACAGTGTGTGACCTACAAACACTTTCAAAGAAATGGGAACCGGTGATGAAAACCAAAGAAAATTACATATCTAGCAGCAAGAAGGTACGGTGACTGACCAACAGTCCTGGTTTGTGTGGGACTCTCCTACTTTTAAAATGGAAAGTCCTGTAGTTCTGGGCACAAGAGGATGGTTGGTCACTCTAGATGAAAGCAAACAAAAGTCAGTGTCAGCTAAATGCCAAACGAAAAAGGACATACATACAGAGAATGTGGTAACTTCTGGTGAATTTGTTTGAAAAGGACCCATTCATTTATTCTTCCAACACATCTGTATTATAAAACTACTATCCATAAGGCACTGTGTTAGGTGCTGTGTTCCTGACCCTACAGATCCCATTCCACCATAGCAAAAGGTAAAAGTGACTCTACAGTGAGCTTGGTAGACATAGACCCATGCTTATATACTCAGGGACACCTGGAAGAGATATAAAAACAGAAACATCTCACATAGGAAGTTTTCAATGCATCGTGATCAGGACTCAAATAATCCCCTTCTCTTTTTCTTCAGTGTACTAAAGGGAGCACATTGTTGAGAAGGACCGGTTGCAAATTTCCAAAAAGGAGAGTAAAATAATTAATGAGTCAAGGTCTCAGGAGAGACAGAAGGTAAGGGGAGTCCTTCAGTAAGTGGGGAAATTGATTTGTTTTGTGTCCTCATCTCTCCAGGGCCATGAGCATGTCCTTTGCTGGCCATAAGTCAATGCTGATGACCTCAGTTATAGTGTAATCTTCAAGGCTAATTTACGCAAAACTTCAGAAATGGTAAACATCCTCATGAAGACTAATGATGACATATTTTAGGAGTGCATAATAGTAGGTATAGAGAAAAAACTGCAGGGTAAAATGTTATTGCTGTTCTTATTGCTAAAGGGCATACTCCTTAAGAACCAAAGTTAATTATCAGTCCTTTGACCTAAGAGGAAAACAAATTTCAGGGACTCCCCTAAAGATTCCTATGTAGTACAAATAAAATGCCAAAATATTTTGGAACACATTTTGGAGCACTGGATAGGTCAATAAAATAATGTGTAAATTGCCAAATGTGATCTAGGAACTCCCTGCAAACATCAGATTAGGCTCTATTCTCTATCTGAATACTGACTTTGCTTTGCTTTGTAACTCCTATCTTCACTAATAATGCCTTTTCCCCCCTCTTGTGTGCATCCTAGCCTATATTCTCTTTCATCATTCTACAGTGGTCAATGTGGTTATTGTACAGCTTCACTTTCAATGAAAGCTGAGGGAAAAGAAGCCTCATACCCTGCCCCCCTCCCCGCCCCCGCCAATACGTAAAAGAAGCCATTTAAAAAATAAAAGCAGCAAGCTACTAAATTTGACTCATTCAAATCTTGGCAATTAGCATGTATAGTATGTTATGAGAGAGAGAGAGAGAAAATTAGCAGAAATGGAGGAAAACATATTACATCCTAAATACCACCAAATTGCCAAAATACACATTTGGGTAGTAATCTCCAGAGAACTCTCTGGAGGCACAGCATCTATCATGCTGATTTCCCTGAACAATATTACAGAATAGCCCTGTGTACTTTCTCTTGGGGGGGGAGGTGTAAAGAATTATCATATGGAACCTCACAAGTCTCTAAAACCTTTCTGCAATTATCCCTCATAGGATTACCACACTGATGAGTTTGTTCAACAGGCGCTGTTGTGACTTCCTAATTTAACTCCTATAGAGATGATTTGTGTGGAAGATAAAACACTATATTTGAACTCAATTCCCACCTTATCCCTGAGCTTATGCTACCAAGCAATTCTTACAATGTTTGGAGTTCTATTAGACTACAGAGAAGAATCTAGGGTTTCAGCTAAACCCTTTAATCCACAGGCCTAGGTAAAGGACTGTCTCAAGGTAGTCGCTAGCCCATGGGTTCTCAAAGTATGGTCTGAAGACCCCTGGAGGAGTCCCTGAGACCCTTTTCGTGGGTCTGCAGATTAAAAATTATTTTGTATAATAACACCAAGATGAGTTACATTCAATTAGGCATTTTTCTTTTGAAATTAAGCAGACTTTTGGAAACTAAGATGTGCATAGCCCTGTAGTAGGCTAAGTGGAAGTTACAAAGGCAGTAGTAGCTTTTTTTCCCCCTCTCGTTATCTCATGAGGATACAGAGGACTTTTCCAGAGGCTACATGACATATGGTTATGTCATCTCTCTCATAGCTGAGGGATGTGTGCTTCTGTGTTCTTCTTGAGCTTTAAATATTTCTCAGTCTTAATACCTAAAATAATTAGTATCAATAGATAGAACCCACACCCAAGAACTCCTTGGGGCCTTCAATAACTTTTAAGAGTGTTAAGGTGTCCTAAGACCAAACATTTTGCAAATTGTTGCTTTATCAGGATTTTTGTTATTTCTAGAATGCATTTCTTTCTAACTGATCTACTTGGGAAAAAAATCGTTACCTCATGGCAATTATTGCTTTCCTATCAATATGGAGATTATATTTCTGAAGGAGACTGACCAAAATTATATTAAAAGGTTTAAATCAAACAAGTGGATCCATGTTATAACATGAGGAAGAGAGCTGCCCCACTAGATGTCTGACATTAGATAACTCAGAGTCCCGCCTCTCCAACAAGTCTCCCTTACTAGAGAAACGGACAGATTCTGTTTTGTGGGATGGGATAAGGAGACAATCTGAAGTAGAGTTTGACACAATATTATTCTGCCCATATGAAATTCTGGTAGCCAGGGTGCCAGGTGTATTCATAATCCAGATGCTGTCAATTTTAAGCCTGAAGCCCCAAGAGGCGAGCAGTGTTTAATACATCATCTCTTGTTAAATAGCAGCCACACAGTTGGCGGTAGCCAGTGAAGCATTCCCTGCCATGTAGGACACGCCAGTTGTCTATAAATAGGACCTGTGAATGGGCCAAAAAAAAAAAAAAAAAGAGAGAGAAAACACTGTCAGAAGAAGGACAGACCAAAGGAACCCTAAGTCAGAAGAGATCATTTAAAAGATAACCTTTAGGTTGTTTTCTGGTTGCATTAAATGAGATATTTTTCTTTTGAAATTAAACAAACTTTTGGAAACTAAGATGTGTATAGCCCTGTAGTAGGCTAAATGGAAGTTACAGAGGCAACAGTAGGTAATGGGCCCTGCACTGGAGGAGCTTCTGTTTCTCAAGTAATTGTTCTCTTATCAAAGTAAATCAGATAATTGGTTTGTTTCTTTTTCTTTTTCTTTAATTCTTATTCTACCCTTTCTCAAAGGGTTAAATTATCTCATGACATTTTATGCTAAGCTGAAGGTATTTTTCATCCAGAGGAAATACCAAAAATAAAAACTATGGAATCATGAAGCTGGAAGGACCCTTGGGGGTCATCTAGTTAAACCCCTTCATCATACAAATAGAGTCACTGATGCCTTAGAGATGGGATGAGGCTTGCTTCCAGAGCATTCAGTGAGTGGGCGGCAGGACCATAAACAAAACCAAGGACTCTTTTCTCTTTTTCCTTTGCAACATCGTGACTCACATATTAAGTAAGTACCCGTTCTTCACTGCTTCAGTATTACAAGCTTGCTTGACATCTTTAGAGATTAGGACCCACCCTGCCAGGCTTTAGTTTGACCCAAAACTCATTCTCAGGTCTCCTCAACTCTATCGTTAGAGTCCGGTGTGCTGTATACCAGCGATGGACGACATCATAAGGAACGGTATTGATGACAGCCCGGTCATAGTTGTTGTACCTAACATGGAATCATGAGAAGAAAGATCTCAAACACATGTTAAAGACATCTTTTGTTTATTGAACAATTTTATATAAGGCTTCCCCTATGTTCAATACTTGTCCCAGAGACGAAGTGACGATAAGTCAATATTCTCTCAGGAATATCACATTGGAGTGAGGAGTTCCACTGCCTGTTGACCGTGTTTTGTTTTTCTTTGAATAATCTAAGGATACGGGATAGAAGTTAAGTTCCAACTGTTTCTCTCATCTTATGATATGATATTTTAAGTCTTTACTGGCCAAAGGTCATGGAAGCACTGGGGAAAGCGCTGAGCTTTCTCCTCACCAAGCTGAGGTGGGGTGGACAAGAGAGGTTGTACTAACAAAGCTTTCCTTTTAACAGGATGACTTACAACTTAAGTGTCTCCCTTTGTGGGAGGAATCCCAGCTATAGCCTAGTGGACCATTCACCCAGGGATCTTCAATCATTCGTTCAACCCTAACATTTATATGCGCACCAGCTACATGCTAGGCAGTGCGTCAGGCATTAAAGATACAAGGACGAATACAGCAGACACGACCTCAGTCTTTGGACAGAGTTTACCTTCTATTGAGGAAGATAGATGATAAACAAGTAATAAATACATAAACAAAGTAATTTCAGCTAGCTATAAATGCTATGAAAAAATAATAGTGTTATATAATAAAGAGCGACTGGGAAATCTATTTCACATGGAGTGTTAAGTGAAGGACTTTTTGAAGAAGCGACATTTGAGCTGTTACCTGTATGATACGAGACCAACAATGTAACAGGCTGAGGGGAGAGCATTCCAGGCAAAGGGAAAAGCAAAAACACAGCCTTGGAGTGGAATGGAGTTTTATTCTGTTTGCCGACCAGTAAGAAGGTCACGTGGCTGGAGCTGAGTAAGCAAGGGGAATAATGGTGGGAGAAATTACGTGGAGGAGGTAGTCAGGGGCTAGATCATGTATATATTGCCATGCAGGCCATGGTAAGGACTTTGGATTTTATTCTGAGTACCATGGGAAGCCACTGAAAAACCTTGCCTAAGATAATGGGTTTCTGTTTTGCCTAAGGCAAATTAACTTTTTACTGAAGTATACTATACATTACGGAAAAAGTACACAAATCGTAAGCTTGATGAATTTTCATGATGTAATCGCATCCATATCACTAGCACCCAGGTCAATAAACAGATCATTACCAGAACCCCAGAACCCTCCCTTATGCCCCTTTCCAGTAACGCCCATCCCCCAACCCACGGGTAACTACCATCCTGACTTCTATCACCAAAGATTAGTTTTGCCTGTTTATATAAAACTTTATATAATTGCAATCACAATATGTATTCATTTTGTGTCTGGCTTCTTTCATTTAATATTATGTTTAGGAGTTTCATCATTGCTTAGCAATAGTTTATTGGTGCTATATGGAAGTTGAGTGCGTGATCACACCACAGTTTATCCATTCTACTGTTGATGGACATATGAGTAATTTCCGGTTTGGAACTACTACAAACAGTGCTGTTATGAACATTCTATTACATGTCTTTTGGTGAACAAATATATTCACTCCTGTTTGAAATAAACTTAAGAATGGAACTTATGGATCATAAGGTATGTGTATGCTCAGATTTACTAGATACTGCCAAAGATATTCTTTCCAAAGATAAATTAACATCCAATGGTGCCATTTTTGGATATCTCAGGCAATATTCCTTAGTGTTAGATAGTACATGGCACAATCAGAGCCAACATTCTTAGTTTTGTTGCATATAAAATGAGCATAATAACATCTGCTTAGCTGATCTCACAGGGCTACTGCAAGAATCAAATGCAAAAATAGGCCGGGCGCGATGGCTCACGCCTGTAATCCCAGCACTTTGGGAGGCCAAAGCGGTCAGATCACCTGAGGCCAGGAGTTCAAGACCAGCCTGGCCAACATGGCGAAACCCCATCTCTACTAAAAATACAAACAAAACAAAACAACAAAAAAATTAGCCAGGCGCGGTGGCACGCGCCTGTAGTCCCAGCTACTTGGGAGACTGAGGCAGGAGAATCACTTGAACCTGGGTGGCGGACGCTGCAGTGAGCCAAGATCGCGCCACTGCACTCCAGCCTGGGCGACAGAGCGAGACTCTGTCTCAAAGAAAAAAAAAAAAAGAAAGAAAGAAAGAAAGAAAGAAAAAGAATATAATAGTCCATCCTCCCAGGCTTCAAGGAGCCATGCCTGGAGGGAGAATGGAGTGAGGAAGCACAGTCTTCACCAGGCTGTTGACACCCATTGTCATTTCCAGAAACTTCTAGTGCTGGGTTAGGCATTTGTGAAAATATTATTTAATTTACTTATTTCATCATCCCAGAAGGAAAGGTGTTATTAACCTCCTTTTACATTTAAGGCAACTGAAACTTAGAGACCTGCCACAGAGTTCATACGTAGCAGAGAGGTTTTGAAATCAGGTGTCCTTAATTCTTTAACTCATTGTTTATACCAGAGAACAGAAAAATGATCGTAATTCCTGTGTACGCTTGTTCATGAGAGCAACATTTTTACAGATCACACTTACAATCTTTTGACTTCAAACTGAGATTTGCAGTTTAGAAATGTTTCCATATACACTATCTGATTGACCCTCTGCATGATAACCACGTGAGGTAAGTAGTACAGCTGTTATTGTCTTACTTTATAGATAAGGAAAATAATGATAAGACCTTGTGATTTGTCCAAGCTTACATGGAATTTGGTATTCACTATTTATATTAGATGGTGGTGTTTTCTAAAGCCAACAGAGAAAGTAGCAGGAAAAGTCTATTACACATAAGCAAAATGGTTGTGCAATACTTTGGATTAGAATAAGACTATTTCTGGACTTTGGCACAAAGTGATGCCATCATATTATTGTGCAGTTTTTCCTTTTTTTCCTGCTTTGATATGAAGCAAGAGAGACGTGGGAGTAGGGGAAAGCAAATAAAGCAGGCATTTATCTGACAAGAAAAGCTAGGAAGATTTAACAAAGTTATCCTTCTTCTTAGTTGACAGACAAGTATTTCCCAAGAGAGCTCCATAATTGAGCAGACGATGCATTTGATGGATTTGTGTATTGTGGTGTAAGTGAAAGCTGGTGGGCTTTCAGATAGGTAGATAAATAGGCTTTCAGTTAGATCACCATTACAATCTCAGTTCAGGTGTGTGACCTTGGAGGAGCTATAGAAATTATAAAAATGCTAGAAGAAAACCTCGGGATGACTCTCCAGGATAATGCTCTGGGAAAAGATTTTATTCCCCAAAAGCACAGGAAACAAAACCCAGAAATAGACAAATGAGACTGGATTAAACTAAAGAGTTTCTGTGAGGCAAGGGAAACAATCAACAGAGTGAAGAAACAACCCACAGTATGGGAATATGGCCATTGTAGAATGGCTGTTATTACAAAGACCAAAAATGACAGACGTTGGCAAGTATGTGGAGAGAAAAGAACTCTTATACATTCAATAAACGGTGCTGGGGAAACTGGATGTCCACATGCAGAAGAATGAAATTAGACCCTTTTCTTACAACATATACAAAAATCAACTAGAAATGGATTAAACGCTTACATGTAAGACCTGACACCGTAAATCTACTAGAAGAAAACACATGGTATAACTCTATGATATTGGTCTATACAATTACCTTTTGGATATGATCCAAAAGTATAAGCAACGGAAGAAAAACTAGGTAAATGAAATTGCATCAAACTGAAAAGCTTCTGCACAGCAAAGGAAACAAAAGAATGAAGAGACAACCTGCAGAATGGGAGAAAGTATTTGCAAACTATACATCTGATAAGGGGTTAATATCTAAAATATTTGAGGAACTCAAACAACTCAATAGTAAGAAAACAAATAACCTGATTTAAAAATGGGCAAAGGATCTGGATAGACATTTCTCAAAAGAAGACATACAAATGGCCAAGAGGTATATGAAAAAGTGCTCAACATCACTAGTAATCAGATAAATTCAAATTAAAACCACCACGGGATATCATCTCATACGCCTTAGGATGGCTATTATTAAAAAGACAAAAGATAACAATGTTGATGAGGATGTGGAGATAAGTGAACCCTTGCACACTGTTGGTGGGAATGTGAATTAGTGCAGCCATTATGGAAAACAATACGGAGGTTTCTAAAAAAAGCTAAAAGTAGAACTACTACATCATCCAGCAATCTCACCACTGGGTATATACCCAAAGGAAATGAAATCAGTATGTCCGAGAGATATCTTCCATGTTCTTTGCAGAAATATTCACAATAGCCAAGATATAAAATCAATCTAGGCAGAATACATGGGAGTGTATATAGAGAAAATGTGGTATGCATAAAAAGTGGAATACTATTCATCCTTGAAAAAGAAGAAAGTCCTGTCATTTGTGACAACATGGATGAACCTGGAGAACATTAAGTGAAAATAAGCCAGGCACAGAAATATCAATACTGCATGATCTCACTCATATGTGTAATGTAAAAAAAAAGTTGATATCATAGAAATAGAGAGCAGAATGGTGGGTACTAGAGGCTGGTGGGTTGTGGAGTAGTGGTTGGGTGGTTGGGGATATGTTGCTCAGAGGATACATAATTTTAGATCAGAGAAATAAGTTCAAGTGATCTATTTTTCCATGTGATGACTATAGTTAATAACAATGTATCGTAATTTGAAAATTTCTAAGAAACAGTCAATCAACGGAGTGAAGAGATAACTCACAGAATGTGAGAAAATGTTTGCAAACTATGCATCTACAAGAGATTAATACCCGGAGTATATAAGGAACTCAAACTCAATAACCAAAAAAGACATATTCCCTTAAAAATGGACAAAAGTTCTGAATAGACATTTCTCCAAAGAAGGCAGACAAATGGCAAATGGGTATATTTTTAAATGCTCCACATCACTAATCATTAGGGAAATGCAAATCAAAACCACAATATCACCTCACCCCAGTTACAATGGCTATCATTAAAAAGACAAAAAATAGGCTGAAAGTAAGGATGGTTAGTATGTACAAACACAGAGAGAATGAATAAGATCTAGTATTTGGCAGCACAATAAGGCAACTATAGTTAACAATAACTTATTGTATATTTAAAAATAACTAAGAGAGTAGAACTGGAGTGTTCCTAACACAAAGAAATAATAAAGGCTTGAAATGATAGATACCTCAATTATCCTGATTTGATCATTACATATTGTATGCCTGTATCAAAACATCACATGCACTCCATAAATATATACAACTATTATTTACCCATAATAATTAAAAAAATCAAAATTTAATTTAATAACATAAAATATAATAAAGTGATCTTAAAAGAAATTTGCCCGTGGTTAGATATTACTTGTTACACTTTAATTGATGATTTCTATTATAATTTCATAGTACTTAGAATATATATATATATTAGAAAATATCATCTATAGGATTTTTGCTTTCATGAGGGTAATGATATTTTAAGCCTAAAATATTAGAATTTTCAATAATTTTCTCTAGTGTTTGGAAATTATTTTAATCCTCTGTTTAGTGCTCAAAAATGCTGTTCATTTGTGACTGATTAGTTAAACTTTCTAATAAAGTGATTTTACACTCTTTATGTTAAAGAAACAACAAATGCTGGTGAAGATGTGTAGAAAGGGGAAATCTTATACATTGTTGATGGGAATGTAAACTAGTACAGGCAATATGGACAACAGTACTGAGGTTCCTCAAAAAATTAAAAATAGAACTAGCATATGATCCAAAGAACTCACTACTGGGTATTTTAAAAGGAAATGAAATCAGTATGTTGGAGAGATACCTGCACTCTCATTGTGATGGTTCAATTTACGAGTCAGCTTGACTGGATTGAGGGATGCCAAGACGGCTGTTGAAACATTGTTCCCTGGGTGTGTCGGTGAGAGTGTTTCCAGGGGAGCTTGGTGTGTGAGACAGTGGACTGCAACAGGTAAGATCCACTTTCAATGCGGGCGTGCACTGTCCTGTTAGCTGGGAGCCTGGTTGGGACAAATAGACAGAAGAGGAGGAATTCTCTCTCTCTGCTCATCCTATCTCCCTTCTGCAGCCAGATTTCTTTCCTCCTCCTGTCCTTGGACATCAGACTCCAGTTTCTTCCACTTTTGGACTCTGGGACTTGCATCCACAGCCTCCAGTGGGCTCTTAGGCCTTTGGCCTCAGACTGGGGTCTGTACTCTCAGCTTCCCTAGTTCTGAGGCTTCCAGACTTGGAGTGAATCGTGCTACCAGCTTCTTCGGTTCTGCAGCTTGCAGATGGCCTATTGTGGGACTTCTCCATCTCTATAATCATCTGAACCAACTACACCTCATAAATCCTCTCTCATATATCCTATTGGTTCTGTCTCTCTGGAGAACCTTGACTAACACACCCATGTTTATTGCAGCACTATTCACAATAGCCAAGATATGGAATCAACATAAGTGTCCATCAACAGATGAATGGATAAAGAAAATGTGGTGCATATTCACAATGGAGTACTATTCAGCCATAACCAATAATGAGATCCTGTCATGTGTGACAACATGGATAAGCCTGTAGGACATTACATTAGGTGAAATAAGCCAGGCACAGAAAGACAAACTTTGCATGTGCTCACTTATTTGTGTGAGCTAAAAATTAAATAATTGAAATGAAGATAGAGAGTAGAAGGGAGGCTGGGAAGGTTAGTGGGAGGGTGAGGAGGAAGTGGGGAAGGTTAGTGGGTACAAAAAATAGTTAGAAAGAATGAATAAAGCCTAGTATTTGCTAGCACAACAGGGAGACTGTAGTAAAAAAATAATTTAATCATACTTTTAAAATAACCAAAAGAGCCAAATCATGAGTGAACTCCCATTCACATTTGCTTCAAAGAGGATAAAATACCTAGGAATCCAACTTACAAGGGATATGAAGGACCTCTTCAAGGAGAACTACAAACCACTGCTCAATGAAATAAAAGAGGACACAAACAAATGGAAGAACATTCCATGCTCATGGGTAGGAAGAATCAATATCGTGAAAATGGCCATACTGCCCAAGGTAATTTATAGACTCAATGCCATCCCCATCAAGCTACCAATGACTTTCTTCACAGAATTGGAAAAAACTACTTTAAAGTTCATATGGAACCAAAAAAGAGCCCACATCGCCAAGTCAATCCTAAGCCAAAAGAACAAACCTGGAGGCATCACGCTACCTGACTTCAAACTATACTACAAGGCTACAGTAACCAAAACAGCATGGTACTGGTACCAAAACAGAGATATAGACCAATGGAACAGAACAGAGCCCTCAGAAACAATGCCGCATATCTACAACTATCTGATCTTTGACAAACCTGACAAAAACAAGCAATGGGGAAAGGATTCCCTATTTAATAAATGGTGCTGGGAGAACTGGCTAGCCATATGGAGAAAGCTGAAACTGGATCCCTTCCTTACAGCTTATACAAAAATTAATTCAAGATGGATTAAAGACTTAAATATTAGACCTAAAACCATAAAAATCCTGGAAGAAAACCTAGGCAATACCATTCAGGACATAGGCATGAGCAAGGACTTCATGTCTAAAACACCAAAAGCAATGGCAACAAAAGCCAAAATTGACAAATGGGATCTAATTAAACTAAAGAGCTTCTGCACAGCAAAAGAAACCACCATCAGAGTGAACAGGCAACCTACAGAATGGGAGAAAATTTTTGCAACCTACTTGTCTGACAAAGGGCTAATATCCAGAATCTACAATGAACTCAAACAAATTTACAAGAAAAAAACGAACAACCCCATCAAAAAGTGGGCAAAAGATATGAACAGACACTTCCCAAAAGAAGACATTTATGCAGCCAAAAAACACATGAAAAAATGCTCATCATCACTGGCCATCAGAGAAATGCAAATCAAAACCACAATGAGATACCGTCTCACACCAGTTAGAATGGCGATCATTAAAAAGTCAGGAAACAACAGGTGCTGGAGAGGATGTGGAGAAATAGGAACACTTTTACACTGTTGGTGGGACTGTAAACTAGTTCAACCATTGTGGAAGTCAGTGTGGCGATTCCTCAGGGATCTAGAACTAGAAATACCATTTGACCCAGCCATCCCATTACTGGGTATATACCCAAAGGATTATAAATCATGCTGCTATAAGGACACATGCACACGTATGTTTATAGCTGCACTATTCACAATAGCAAAGACTTGGAACCAACCTAAATGTCCAACAACGATAGACTGGATTAAGAAAATGTGGCACATATACACCATGGAATACTATGCGGCCATAAAAAAGGATGAGTTCATGTCCTTTGTAGGGACATGGCTGAAACTGGAAACCATCATTCTCAGCAAACTATCGCAAGGACAAAAAACCAAACACCGCATGTTCTCACTCATAGGTGGGAATTGAACAATGAAAACACATGGACACAGGAAGGGGAACATCACACACCGGGGACTGTTGTGGGGTGGGGGGAGGGGGGAGGGATAGCATTAGGAGATATACCTAATGCTAAATGACGAGTTAATGGGTGCAGCACACCAACATGGCACATGTATACATATGTAACAAACCTGCACGTTGTGCACATGTACCCTAAAACTTAAAGTATAATAATCATAAAACATAAAATAAAGTAAAATAACCAAAAGAGTATAATTTGGTTGTTTGTAATACAAAGATAAATGCTTGAGGAGATGGATACTCCATTTTTACCCTGATGTGATTATGTACTGCATACCTATATTAGAACATCTCATCTAACCCATAAATATATACACCTACTATGTAACCACAAAAATAATAAATAAAAATAAGATAAATATAAATTTAAAAGTTGATGTTATAGAGGTAGAGAGTAGAACAGTGGTTACCAGAGGCAGGGGAGGCGAGGAGGGAAGGAGAGATGGGAAGAGGTTGGTCACTGGGTACAAAGTTACAGTTATGGTTAGATAGGAGGATTAAGTTCTGGTGTTCTATTGCACAATAGGGTGACAATAGTCGACGATAATATGTTGTATAGTTCAAAATAGCTAGAAGAGATGATTTTGAATGTTCTCACTAAAAGAATAAGAGGGGGAATACTACAATCAATCTATGCCTATATATTTGATAACTTATATGAACCAATTTCTTAAACCCACATGGTAAAAAAAAACAAACTAATTCAAAGAAAAGTAGATAATCTGAATAGCCTGGCATGCATTAAAGAAACTGAATCTGTAATTTAAAACTTTTCAAGAAAGAGAACTCCGGGCCAGACAATTTCACTCATGAATTCTATCAAACATTTAAGTAAGATGTAATACAAATTTTACAGTCTCTTTCAGAAAATTAAGGAGAGAAAATGACCCCACTCATATTATGAGGATAGCATCATCCTAATACCAAACTCAGACAGAGATATTACGAGCAAAAAACAAAATAGCAATATCTCACATAAACATAGGTACAAATATTCTTACTAAGATATTAGCCAATCAACTCTAGCAATGTATAAAAAAGATAATGCATCAAGATCAAGTGGAGTTTATCCCAGGTATTCAAAGTTGGTTCAACATTCAAAAATCAATCAATGTATTTTATCATATTGTCATACTAAATACGCAACATCGAATGATCATATAAATAAATGCAGAAAAGGCATTCAACAAAATTCAATATTAATTAATGATAAAATTCCCAACAAGTTAGGAATAGAAGGAAATTTCCTTATTCTAATAAAGGCTATCCATGGAAAACCTACAGTGAACCACTGAGTAATTTTCCCCTAAAATCAGAAATAAGTCAAGGATGTCCTTTCTCACCACTACTATTCACTGTTAGTCCTGGAAGTCCCAGCTAGTGCGATAACACATGCACACACACACGCACACGCGCACACACACACACACACAGAGAGAGAGAGAGAGGGAGAGAGAGAGAGAAATGAAAGGCATACATATTATAAAGGAGAAAAATATACCCCATTATGTTGAAAACCCCAAATAATGTACAATAAAACTCCAAAAGACTCTTCCAGAAGACTCCTAGACTTGATAAAGAACTTCAGTAAAGTTTCAGGATACAAAATCAATGTACAAAACACAGTAGCATTTCTCTACACCAATATCATTCAAGCTAAGAACCAAATGAAGAACCCATTTACAATAGCCACAAAAAATAAAACACCTAGGAATACATTTAATCAAGGAGGTGAAAGATCTCTACAAGAGGAACTACAAAACACTGATGAAAAAATTGTGTATGACACAAATAAATGAAAACACATCCCATGCTCATGGATCAAAAGAACCAATATTATTAAAAATGACCACACTGCTCAAAGCAATTTACAGATTCAGTGCAGTCTCTATCAAATTACCAACACAATTTTTCACATAATTAAAAAAACTTAAAATTCATATGAAACCGAAAGAAGAGTCTGAATAGCCAAACCAATCCTAAGCAAAAAGAACAAAGCTTGAAGTATTACATTCTGACTTTGAATTATACTACAAGGCTATAGTAACCAAAACGTCATGATATTGGTATAAAAATAGACATATAGACCAACGGAACAGAATAGTGAACCCAGAAATAAAGTACCTATTAACAACTGATCTTCTGCAATATTGACAAAATTAAACAATAGAGAAAGAACACCCTCTTCAATATACGGTGCTAGGAAAACTGGCTAGCCATATGCGGAAGAATGAAACTGGACCCCTGTCTCTCACCATATACATGAATTAACTCGAGATGGATTAAAGATTTATACTTTAGACATGAAACTGTAAAAATCCTGTGAGAAAATGTAGGAAAAATTCTTCTGGACATTGGCCTGGCTTAGGCAAAGAATTTTTGACCAGGTCCTCAAAAGCAAATGCAACACAAACAAAAATAAACAGACGGGACTCAGTTAAGCTAAAAACCTTCCACACAGCAAAAGAAACAATCAACAGAGTAAACCTACCTAATGAGAAAAAATATTTGCAAATTATGTATCTAACAAAGGCTAATATCCAGAATCTACAAGAAACTCCAACAACTCAACAACAACAACAACGACAAAAACAAAAACAAAAAACAAGTAACGCCATTAAAAAGTAGGCAAAGGGCATGAATGGGTGTTTTTTGAAAGACATACAAGTGGCCAACAAACATATGAAAGATGCTCAATATCACTAATTATCAGAGAAATGCAAATTAAAACCAAACAATACTATCTTACACCAGTCAGAATAGCTATTATTTAAAAATCAAAAAACAACAGATGTTGGTGAGGATGTGGAGAAAAAAGTAATGCTTATGCACTGTTAGTGGGAATGTAAATTATCACATTTATGGAAAACAGTATGGAGATTTCTCAAAGAACTAAAAATAGATTTCTCAAAGAACTAAACATGGTAAAAAATGAAATACCATTTGATCCAGCAATCTCACTACTGGGTATCTACCCATCTGCATTTTACATATACGTGGAATACTATGCAGCCATAAAAAAATAATGAAGTCGTGTGTTTTGCAGTAACATGAGTGGAACTGGAGTACGTTATCTTAAGTAAAATAATTCAGAAACAGAAAGTCAAATATCACATATTCTCACTTGTAAGTGAGAGCTTAACAATGGGTACACATGGACATATAGAGTAGCATAATAGATATTGGAGACTACAAAAGGGTGGGAAGTTGACAAGGGTTGAAAAATTACCTCTTGGGTACAATGTTCCCTCTTCAGGTGATGGGTACACTAAAAGCCCAGACTCCACCACGATGCGATATATGCATGTAAGAAATCTGCACTTGTACCCTCTAAATCCATTTTTAAAATCGAAAAATATCACCGTAAGATACCGCTTCACAGCCACTGGAATGACTATTATAAGCAAACAAAGCAAAGAGCAAACAAGTTTTGGTAGGGCCTGGTGGGAGGTGTTTTCATCATGGGGGCAGGTCCTTCATGGGTGGCTTGGTACCACTCTCATAGTAATGAGTGAGTTCTCCCTCTGAATTCATTGCAAGAGTTGGTCGTTTAAAAGAGTGTGGCATGTCCCCCCACCACTTTCTCTCTTCCTCCCACTTTCATCATGTGAGATGCATGCTCCCACTCTACCTTCCTGAGGCTCTCACCAGAAGCAGATGCTGGCACCATGCTTTCTGTACAGCCTGCAGAATCATGAACCAATTAAACCTCTTTTCTTTATAAATTATTCAGCCTCAAGTATTTCTTTATAGCAAAGCAAAAATGGATTAACACAACATTTATATGAAATATTTAGAATAGGCAAATCCATAGGTACAGAAAGTAGATTAATGGTTGCCTAATACTGGGAGTGGTAATGAAGATTGATTACAAATGGGTAAGAAAGATGTCACTGACGTGATGCAAATGTTCTAAAATTAGATTGTAGTGATGGTTGCACCACCCAATAAATTTATAAAATCACTTTAAATATGCAAATTTTATGGCATGTAAATTATCCTAAATACAATATTTAAACACTGTGAGCATCAAGAAAAAAAGAGAACTTTCATCTCCTTACTTTGGCAATTTATTAGGGATCATACAGAGGTCATTAGGCTGTTTGTTGTTGTTGCTGTGGTGGTGGTGGGTTGTGGTTTTCCCATGAGAGTCGAGGGTCATGCAACCATTTGGTCTTTTAAAATAAAAATTTTTAAATCAATTAAAAAAGAATATTGCTGGCTTGAAATTTGGAGTAGTCATGGGGCAAAGAGAAGTGGATGGATTTTTTAAAATATTCAGGATGTAGAAGTGACAAGATTTTGTAGCAGTTAGATATAGGGAGTGGGGAAAGGTGAGGAGGCCTCAGACTGAGTATGCTTAAAGTTGAATTCCTGTTGTCCTCCCGAACTGGCTGTCCTGTGCTGCCAATCTCAGTGAATGGATCAGCATCCTGGCACAGAGTTGACATTCATTGATTGCCTTTGGAGTGAATGAACAGAGTATGATTAATAGAGTGAAAATATAGCTAAACAAGGCAGACACCAGGTCCTGCCAAATAGCCAGTACAAAACTCACCATTAAGGTTGGCTCAGCAGATGTCCAGCACAATTTTCTTCTCACTTTTCAAACCATTTGGGGAATCATGAGGTGTTTCCCTCATCCAGAAGAACACTCACCTACATATCAGCCACTCCTTCCCTAGAACCTACAGGTATGGAGCAGGCTGGGTTTTTTCAAGAGCCTCTTATCCTGTAAATCTTTACACAGGGCAATGGCAGGTGCATGTACAGCCCATATGAGCATGGGGAATGCTTGGTGTTATAGAAAGGGGATCACAGTGGTGCCCAACTGATGGATCTATGTTCAGTTTGGCTCCAAGCAGGAAGAGACTCTTCCCACCAAAGAGGTTTGTTAATCCCGGGGTCCCCCTCCCAGCCCCTGGAGGCATCAGATACAGCTGTCAGAAACATTGCAGACACAGAGTGATCTCACAGAGACATTCAGTTTGACTGGTTTTACTGCTGTTCCCAGGGTTGACAAGCAGAAATACAGAACTAATCATGGTTCCTGATACAGACGCCAAAACAAGGAAGTGATCTGTTCCAGTCCAAGCTTCCAAGAAATAAAGAACTAGGTGGGGCACACTAAACAAGCCCCCAGACTCAACCACCCCAGTGAACATTCCCTGGTTGTAGAGAGAAGTGAAATTTGCAACCCAGAACAGAAATCTGGCTGTGTGAGCAGTAGGATTGGGGGTGGAAACATTTAATGAAGTACAATTTTTTAACCCTCTTTTAGACAGTATCACTGGATAAACATCCTTTTCAATAATAAAAATCCAAGTCATTTCTGGCCCTTTTCCTGGAAGTGCTTTCAAGTTACAGGAACACCAATAAGAGGCCCTTTTCTGGGCATGGAGCCCAGGTCTCAAAGGGAGGCTCTAGAAAACATCTGGTCTGCTTGATATATAGAAACTAGCACTGCATGTGTGTGTTTCTGTGCATGTGTTTCTCCTGTGCTGACTCATGGCATTGAAGCCTCTCTGGAAACACCCCCACCCTTCTAGCCAGGCAGTTTATACACACCCCTTTGGCTCCTCCTTGATTTAAATGTTAGATCACGAGGAAGAAGGAAAACGATTTCAAGAGCTGCACTTAAGCATCTAGAATTTTCTGCGTCACACCTCTTGAGAGAAGAGACTGGCTCCAGGTCTGACTCAGTCCACTACAAGCTAGACGGTCTTCTTAAAGCACCAACATTACTTGAGTCTTTGGATAAAATTGAGAAAAGAGTCTACAAGTATTGTGGACTCTACAGGAGGCAGGAGGCTGACAACTGGCAGTAAAGACAAAGATGTCAGGCCTGCGGCCCGGCACTCAAGTGGACCCTGAGATTGAGCTTTTTGTAAAGGTAAGTTTTCCAGTTATAATAACTGCATGTAGAATATATTAGTTTTTGACACTGAAGTCCAATGTCTTTAAAAATTCTCCACATTTGGGCTAGAGATAGGAAAGAATGTTGTGATTATTTTCCTACTCTGAGTTCTAGAAGAATGCCCGGGTGTGTGACTGTTCTTAGATGACAACAGGAAAACAGATCTCTTCTGAAAAAGGCAAGGTGATATGGTGGAAAAGCACTAGACTGGTTTGTAGTGAGCGACTAAATTATATTCTTAATGGCTTCCTATATAACCTTAGAAAAATCCCTCCTTCTCTCCAGACTTTTTTTTCTCCATCTATACAATGAAGGAGCATGACAAGATGATCCTTAAGGGCTTTCCAAGTCTCAAAATCTGTGTTTTATGAGATAGGTTTTGGAAGGCCTGACTGGGTGGAGGAGAGGGCCGAGAATGACCTGAGAACTCCATTCCCACACATAGCCTAGACAGAACTTTCTAAACTTCTACAATGGACAAACATCACAGCAGGGTCACATGGACACTGGGAGAAAAAAAACAGGAGTCTGTGTGCTTGTTATGTGAGGAGGGGGACATTTTAGAATGCTCTGCTTCTTCTTTTTGGTCTGCCATGGAGTTGTTTTTTTTTTTTTTTAACATGTCAACTTTTCAGAAAAGCACTTTGGAAAACCCCTAAATCAAGAGAAAGGAACATGTGTTTCCAAATTAGCTCATCAAGAAAGAAAAATTTATATGGGTTATTCCCAGTAGAAATTAAACAGCTTACTAAATCCTCGCTTACATTAACTGTGTAGCTTTTCCCTTTATTTTCACTGACTATTGGATAGTATTCAGGATAATAAGAACAATAACAAACTCATATTGTGCCTGGCTCTTTTCTAAATACTTTACATATGTTACCTAATTTAGTCCTAACAACTTAGGAGATAGGTTGTTATTAATGGTGCTTGTATAGTACTAGCATCATCAGTAGTAGTAGTGATAGTAGTAGTTATTACTACTTCATTACAACTTTTAGTTATTACAATATTATAATGTTGTTCTCATCATTTCTAGATAGGTAAACTAAGGCATTAAAGTTTAAGTAACTTGCCTCTAAAACTATACAGCTCCCTGATGGCTTACAAAGACATAAAATAAGATATACTTACCAAATGTTAAGTTAAATACCTATTGGCAAAAGTAATGCTTTTACAGCCAGTTAGATTATTTAACAGCTTGTCACATATATACACCAAGGACATCATCAACCTGTCTTTTCAAAATTGTAAGAGAAAGACCCTTGAATTCCTGCAGTGCTAGGTAATGCAATTAAGTGTTTGCTAAACTATCGGGCATAAGAGCGACTTCTTCTATCTCTGGGTTGTAGCAAAACATATAACTGCTCAGATAGGATATAAATGAGCTGTAATTTCCTAACTGGCTTTTTACATTTACCAATTCCAAATCAGAAGTAATGTCTCTTCACTGGGTAACTAAAGTGTTCCCTTTGTCTGAACTGTTCATTCAACTCAATTAGACTCCTGAAATCAATTGTTGGCTTTCACCTATGTGTTTATCTTCATAGACTTTTCATATTTGGGTGGTAATCTGGACAGGAAACTTTAGCAAGTCACACATGGATGAGAAAATGTTGAATTAAATAATAACTTTCAAAGGAACCAATAATTTATTGAGTACTTACTATATGGTAGGCACTGTGCTAAGTGGTTTATTATTAACCCTCTTTTATGAATACAGAAATTAAAGCAAAGAGCAGCTAAGTAACTTTGTCCAAGGTCACATAGCTAGTTAGTGGCAGAGTTAGAATTCTATTCCTTTAAAATAGCTATGTCTAATATTATTCAATTGTTTTCAGTTGTGTGAACTTTTTAGTAAACTAGTCCAGAATTTTATCAGGTGGAGTGCTTTAGATGTAAGCTTATCTAATGACATTGATACAAATTACAGATTTTCTGGAAGAACCTCAAATATCATCTGGTCCAGGTTTTTGTTTTATTTTAAGCTGTGTTCCACAGATCTCTAGAAGTTTCGTGGAAGATACTGGGAGGGGAAATAGGGGTTGAGAAAGACTAAAAGTGCTAATGAGTAATTTTTAAAAGGCATTACTACAAGAGATTAAGCATTCTCCTGTCACAATTAAGAATTTATACTACGATATCTATGTGTTCTGTGTAGTCAATAAAAACATTGTCTTTTAGCTCTGAATGATTTGAGCAAGGTTTCTATCCAATAACTAAGAACAAAGATTTCATAACACACATTTTATTTTCTCTAAGTGTAGGGATGAAATAATCTTAATGATTTGTTGTTTGTTGTTAAATGGAATGTTTGCATTCTGTACCAAAGACTCTAAAATTAAGTTTTAGTATATTTGTACATAAAATTATGGAATTTAACATTTGGGCCAAAATTCTGAATGTAATACTTTTGTCAAAAACTTTTTTTAATGTGTGGGGGAAAGAAGGAAGAGATGATACTCTACTCTGAGTGTTCAGACCATTTCAAAGTATCTTATAGCTATTATAAATACTTATAAAGACTGATTAATATAAAAATTCAACAAAACTATTAAATGAGAGAAGGCAGTGTTTAAGAGTATGGTGTCTGGAGGATATAGTCCTGGTCCTGAATTTACTGAGTGAGAAGAGGATGTATGTCATCAACTCTTGATTAGCCGACTGTACTTGAGCAAGTCAGCCTCTCTGAGCCTCAGTTTCCTCACCTGTAAAACAAGTGTAATAACAGAGCCTACCTCATAGCATCATCCTATTTGTAAGGATTAAATAAAACAAGTGTATAAAGCACAGTAGTTGGCAATGTAGTAAACACTTTATAAATGTTAACTATTGTTGCCATTATTATTTTTCATGTTTAAAAACTTAGATCACAAACACAAAGAAAAAAATTGTTTTGGTGAATGGCTGCATCCTGTCTTTGCCAGCTGAAGATAATTAAGAGATCAGTAATTCATCAATCAGGCTAGCGAATTTATATCCTAAAATTGTATGTGATGGCACTTTAAATCAGCATAACATAACAGAAAAAAAAACCCTTCAGTTTTCCTGTAAAACTTTACTGCATTTCCCCCACACCTCAGTGTTTTGATTTTCCTTTTGCCAAAGGCGATCCACCCTTCCTGCTGTATCTATTATCAGACTCCATTCTTCTTCCTGCCTCCCACCCTTAATCATGTTTCCACTCACTAAACCTAGTTTTGATTGGATCCTTAGTCTGACTTCTATTACAAAACAAATGCAGCTGGTAAGGTTGGTTGCCTCTTCCCATTCCTCTTCACACCCTGCCATCATAAAGATCAACAATATCATTTTCTTTGTCACATCCACTATCAGGGAAAGAAAATTTTGTCAAAAAATTGAAATTTTGTCCAGTGTTTCTGGACCTTAATAATTCTACGCATAATAGATCAGAGCAGCCGTAAGATGAAGTACCTTTTATTTCCTTCTATAGGCTACTCTCTCTAGTCTTTCCTATCATAATTCTTGGTGATTTTAATATCTACACAGATGATTCTTCCAACACTCTAGCCCCTCAGATCCCTGACTTTCCCTCCTCCAGGGATCTTAGTCCTCATCATCTCTCAGGTGCTTCTTCCCATAGTCATACGCTTACCTTTGTCATTGCAATGTCTGCAACCTCTGCATAATATCATTTATTTGGGGGTGTTTTTTGTTCTTCTTTTTGAACTTCTCTATTTTCATAGGTACATGTTTAACTTTGACAAAATACTTTAAAAAGCAGTTGTACCATTTTACACTTCACTTCATTATGTGAGAGTTCCACTTGCTCCACTTTCCTGTCAACACTTGGTATGGTCATTCTTTTTCATTTCAGTTATTCTAATGTGTTTATCATGGTATCTCATTGTGGTTTTAATTTGCCTTTCCCACATGTCTAATGATATTGGGCATCTTTTCATGTCCTTATTTATCATCTGTATATCTTCCTTTGTAAAGTTTTCAAATCTCTTCCCCATTTTAATTGTTCTTTAACTTTAATTTTTAATTTTTGTGAGTACATAGTAGGTATATATATTTATGGGTTGCATGGAATATTTTGATACAGGCATGCAACATGTAATAATCACATCAGGTAAATGGGATATTCATCCCCTCAAGCATTTATCTTTTGGGTTACAAACAATTCAATTATACTGTTTTAGTTATTTTTAAATGTACAATTAAATTATTTTTCACTGCAGTCACCTTATTGTGCTAGCAAATACTAGGTGTTATTCATCCTTCCTAGCTATTTTTTGTACCCATTAACACTCTTCACCTCCCCACACACACAGACTCACTACCCTTCCCAGCCTCTAGTAGCCATCCTTTACTCTCTCTATGAGTTCAAATGTTTTTGTTCTTAGCTCTCACAAATAAGTGAGAACACGTGAAGTTTGTCTTTCTGTGCCTGGCTTATTTTATGTAATATATGACGTCCAGTTCCATCCATGTTGTTGCAAATGACTGAATCTCATTCTTTTTTATGGTTGAATAGTACTCTGCTGTGTATATGCCCACATTTTCTGTATCCATTCATCTGTTGATGGGATATTTAGGTTGCTTCCAAATCTTGGCTATTGTGAATAGTACTGCAATGAATGTGGGAGTGCAGAGATCTCTGTGATATGCTGATTTCCTTTCTTTGGGGTAGATACCTAGCAGTGGGATTGCTGGACCATAAGGTAGCTCTATTTTCATTTTTTTGAGGAACCTCCAAACTGTTCTCCATAGTGGTTGTACTAATGTTTACATTCCCATCAACAGTGTTTGAGGATTCCCTTTTCTCTATATCCTCGCCAGCGTTTGTTATTTCCTGTCTTTTGGATAAAAGCCATTTTATTAGGTTGGTGCAAAAGTAATTGCGGTTTTTGCAATTGAAAGTAATGGCAAAACCGCATTTACTTTTGCACCAACCTAATAACTGAGCTGAGATGATATCTCATTGTAGTTTTGATTTGAATTTCTCTGATGATCAATGACATTGAGCACCTTTTCATATGGCTCTTCACCATTTGTATATCTTCTTTTGAGGAATGTCTATTCACATCTTTTGCCCATTTGTCAAACACAGTATTAGATTTTTTCCTATAGAGTTATTTGAGCTCCTTATATATTCTGGTTATTAATCCCTTGTCAGATAGGTGGTTTGCAAATACTTTCTCCCATTCTGTGGGTCGTCTTTGCACATTGTTGATTCCTTTGCTGTGCAGAAGCTTGTTAACTTGATGTGATCCCATTCGTCCATTTTTGCTTTGCTTGCCTGTATTTATGGCATATTATTCAAGAAATCTCTGCCCACTCCAATGTCTTGGAGAGTTTCCCTAATGTTTTCTTTTAGTAGTTTCATAGTTTCAGGTCTTAGATTTAAGCCTTTAATCCATTTGTATTTGATTTTTTGTATATGGTGAGAGATAGGGGTCTAGTTTCATTCTTTTGCATATGGATATCCAGTTTTCCCAGCACCTTTCCCCAGTGTATGATCTTGGCACCTTTCCTGAAAATGAGTTCATTGTAAATGTATAGACTTATCTCCAGGTTCTCTATTCTTTTCCACTGATCTATGTGTCTTTTTTTATGCCAGGACCATGCCATTTTGGTTACTATAGCTCTGTAGTATAATTTGAAGTCAGGTATTGCTTAGGAGATAGCTTTGGCTATTCTGGGTCTTTCCTGGTTCCATATAAATATTAGGATTTTTAAAAATTTCTGTGAATATATGTCTTTGTCATTTTGATAGGGATTGCATTAAATCTATAGATTGCTTTGGGTACTATGGACATTTTAACTATATTTATTCTTCCAATTCATAAATATAGAATATCTTTCCATTTTTGTATGTCTTTTTCAATTTCTTGTATCAATGTTTTATAGTTTTCAGGTAGAAATCTTTTAGTATTTTTGTTAATTACTATGTACTTTATTTCATTTGTAGCTATTGCAAATGGAATTACTTTCTTGATTTTTTTTCACATTGTTCACTGTTGGCATATAGAAATGTCACTGATTTTTGTACGTTGATTTTGTAACCTGCAACTTTACTGAATTTATCAACTTTAAGAGTTTTCATTGGAGTGTTTAGGTTTTTCCAAATATAAGATCATATCATCTGCAAACAAGGTAATTTGACTTCCTCCTTTCCAATTTGGAAGCCTTTTTATTTCTTTATCTTGTCTGATTGCTCTGGCTAGGACTTCCAGTACTATGTTGAATAACTGTGGTGAAAGTGGGCATCCTTGTTATGTTCCCAATCTTAGAGGACAGGATTTCAGTTTTTGTCCATTCAGTATAATACTAGCTATGGGTTTGTCATATATGGCTTTTATTCTGTTGAGGTATGTTCCCTCTATACCCATGTTTTTGAGGGTTTTTTGTCATAAAGGGATGTTTAATATTATCAAATGCTTTTTCAGCAACAATTAAAATGATCATGAGGTTTTTGTTCTTCATTCTGTTGATATGATGTATCTCATTAATTGATGTGTGTATGTTGAACCATTCTTGCATCACTGGAATAAATTGCACTTGGTCATGATAAATGATCTTTTGTTTTGTTTTTGTTTTCACTTTTAAGTACAGGGGTACATGTGCAGATTTGTTATTTAGGTAAACTTGTGTCATGGGTGTTTGTTGTACAAATTATTTCATCACCCAGGTATTAAGCCTAGTACCCATTAGCTATTTTTTTTTCTGAGTCCATGTATTCTCATCTTTTAGCTGCCACTTGTAAGTGAGAATGTGTGGTATTTGGTTTTCTGTTGCTGCATTAATTTGCTAGGGATAATGGCTTCTAGCTCTGTTCATGTTCCTATAAAGGACATGATCTCATTCTTTTTTAAAAAAGTGACTTTATTTTATTTTAGTTACATAAATTACAAAATATCACTAAGTGAAAATAAAATCAATAAAAATCATCCATGATACCACCCACTTTAACATTTATGTGTATAGCCTCTTATGCTTTATTTCCTCACATATATAGATAAATACATTCATCAAAAAGAGGTTATTTCATATATTAAGTTGGTACAAAATTAATTGCGCTTTTTGCCATTACTTTTAATACATTGTTTTGCAAACTATTTTTATTTCACAATATATTATGAATTTATTTCTATAACATTAAATATATTATCTGTATGTATGTGTGTCTTGGTTTCTTATGACTAAAATTTTTTAAAATTAAGGCGTTGTTATGTTGAGATAGTTGAAGATTCACATGCAGTTTTAAGAAATAATACAGAGAGATGCTGTGTGCCCTTTACCAAGTTTCCCTTAATGATAACATCTTGTAAAACTATAGTATGATAAGAAAACCAGGACATTATTGACATTGATGCAGTCAGATACAGAAGATTTTCATCACTACACAGATCCGTGTTGCCCTTTTAAAGCCACATCCACTTGTGTCTCATCCAGTCCCTCAACCATTAATCTCTTTTCTGCTTTGATAATTTTATCATGTCAAGAATGTTACGTAAATGGAATAAAACAGTATATCACCTTTTGGGATTGTCTTTTTTTTCCCCACTCAGCACAATTCCCTGGAACTTCATCCAAGTTGTTGTGTGTATCAACAGTTTGATCCTTTTTATTGCTGAGTACTACTCCATGATACTGATATGCCACAGTTTGTTTAATTATTCAGCTGTTGAAGGACATTTTGGTTGTCACTAGTTTTGGGTTATTACAAACAAGGCTGTATAAATCCTCTTTTACAGGTTTCTTTATGGACATAAGTTTTCATTTCTCTGAGATAAATGCCAAAGGGTCTAGTTGTTTGGTCGCGTAGCAGCTGCATGTTTAGATTTGGAAGAAATTGCCAAAGTGCTTTCCAGTGTGGTCATACTATTTTACATTAAAACCAGCAATATTTCTGTGCATTCTTACCAGCATTTTGTGTTGTCACTATTATTATCTTAACTATTTTGAAAGCTGTGTAGTGACATTTTATTGTTTAAATTTGCATTTCCCAAAAGGCTAATAAAATTGAACATTTTGTCTGCTTATTTGTCATCTGCATGTCCTCTTCAGTGCAATGTCTGTCCATGTCCTTTGCTCATTTTCTTTTTTCCTTTTTTATTTTAGAGTATTTAGTTGGCAAATAAAGATTGTATATATTCAATGTATACAACACAATGATTTTGTTTCTTTTTAAAAAGAATTATTTATTTTTCAATGGGTTTTTGGGGAACAGGTGAAGTTTGGTTACATGAATAAGATATATAGTAGTGATTTCAGAGATATTGGTGCATCCGTCACCCAAGCAGTGTACACTGTACCCAATGTGTAGTCTTTTATCTTCACTCCCCCACCCCTTTCTCTGAGTCTTCAAAGTCCATTGTATCATTCTTATGCCTTTGCGTCCTCATAGCTTAGCTCCCAATTATAAGTGAGAACATACCATGTTTGGCTTTCCATTCCTGAGTTACTTCACTTAGAATAATAGTCTCCAATTCCTTCCAGGTTGCTGCAAATGCCATTATTTAGTGCCTTTTTATGGCTGAGTAGTATTCCATGGTGTGTGTATGTGTGCATATATATATATATATATATATATATATATATATATATATATATATCACATTTTCTTTTTTATTATACTTTCAGTTCTTGGATGCATGTGCAGAACGTGCAGGTTTGTTACATAGGTATACATGTGCCATGGTGGTTTGCTGCACCCATCAACCCGTCATCTAGGTTTTGGGCTCCACATGCATTAGGTAATGCTCTCCCTCTCATTTCCCCCCACTCCGCAACTGGCTCCAGTGTTCCATGTGTTCTCATTGTTCAGCTCCCACTTATGAGTGAGAACATGTGGTGTTTGCTTTTCTGTTCCTGTGTTAGTTTGCTGAGAATGATGGGTTCCATCTTTATCCATGTCTCTGCAAAGGACATGAACTCATTCTCTTTTATGGCTGCATAATATTCCATGGTGTATCTGTGCCACATTTTCTTTGTCCATTCTATCATTGATGGCCCTTTGGGTTGATTCCAAGTCTTTGCTCTTGTAAATAGTGCTGCAGTAAACATATGTGTGCATGTGCCTTTATGGTAGAATGATTTATAATCCTTTGGGTATATACCCAGTAATGGGATTGCTGGGTCAAATGGTATTTCTGATTCTAGATCCTTGAGGAATTTTCACACTGTCTTCCACAATGATTGAACTAATTGACATTCCTACTAACAGTGTAAAAGTGTTCCTATTTCTCCACATCCTCTCCAGCATCTGTTGTTTCCTGACTTTTTAATGATTGCCATTTTAACTGATGTGAGATGGTATCTCATTGCGGTTTTGATTTGCATTTCTCTAATGATCAGTGATGATTAGCTTTTATTCATATGATTGTTGGCCACATAAATGTCTTCTTTTGAGACGCTCATATCCTTCACCCACTTTTTGATGGGGTTGTTTGGTTTTTTCTTGTAAATTTATTTAAGTTCCTTGTAGATTCTGGATATTAGCCCCTTGTCAGATGGATAGATTGCAAAAATTTTCTCCATTCTGTAGGTTGCCTGATCACTCTGATGACAGTTTCTTTTGCCATGCAGAAGCTCTTTAGTTTAATTAGATCCCATTTGTCAATTTTGGCTTTTGTTGCCATTGCTTTTGTTGTTTTAGTCATGAAGTCTTTGCCCATGCCTATGTCCTGAATGGTATTGCCTAGGTTTTTTTCTAGGGTTTTTATGGTTTTAGGTCTTATGTTTAAGTTTTTAATCCATCTTGAGTTAATTTTTGTATAAGGTGTAAGGAAGGGGTCCAGATTCCGTTTTCTGCATATGGCTAGCCAGTTTTCCCAGCACCATTTATTAAATAGGGAATCTTTCCCCATTTCTTGTTTTTGTCAGGTTTGTCAAAGATCAGATGGTTGTAGATGTGTGGTGTTATATCTGAGGTCTCTGTTGTGTTCCATTGGTCTATATATGTGTTTTGGTACTAGTACCATGCTGTTTTGGTTACTGTAGCCTTGTAGTATAGTTTGAAGTCAGGTAGCATGATGTCTCCAGCTTTGGTTTTTTGTTTGTTTGTTTTTGTTTTTTGTTTTTGCTTTGGATTGTTTTGGCTATACAGGCTCTTTATTGGTTCCATATGAAATTTAAAGTAGGTTTTTAAAAATTATTATTATACTTTAAGTTTTAGGGTACATGTGCACAACGTGCAGGTTTGTTACATATTCCAATTCTGTGAAGAAAGGCAATTGTAGCTTGATGGGAATAGCATTGAATCTATAAATTACTTTGGGCAGCATGGCCATTTTCATGATATTGATTATTCCTATCCATGAGCATGGAATGTTTTTCCATTTGTTGTGTCCTCTCTTATTTCCTTGAGCAGTGGTTTGTAGTTCTCCTCAAAGAGGTCCTTCACATCCCTTGTAAGTTGTATTTCTAGGTATTTTATTCTCTTTGTAGCAATTGTGAATGGGAGTTCACTCATGATTTGGCTCTCTATTTTGGTTGTATAGGAATGCTTGTGATTTTTGCACATTGATTTTGTGTCCTGAGACTTTGCTGAAGTTGCTTATCAGCTTAAGGAGTTTTTGGGCTGAGACAATGGGGTTTTCTAAATATGCAATCATGTCATCTGCAAACAGATACAATTTGACTTCCTCTCTTCCTATTTGTATATGCTTTATTTCTTTCTCTTGCCTGATTGCCCTGGCCAGAACTTCCAATGCTATGTTGAATAGGAGTGGTGAGAGAGGGCATCCTTGTCTTGTGCCAGTTTTCAAAGGGAATATTTCCAGCTTTTGCCCATTCAGTATGATATTGGCTATGGGTTTTTCATGGATAGCTCTTATTATTTTCAGATACATTCCATCAATAACTAGTTGATTGAGAGTTTTTAGCATGAAGGTATATTGAATTTTATCGAAGGCTTTTTATGCATCTATTGAGACAATAATGTGGTTTTTGTCATTGGTTCTCTTTACATGCTGTATAATGTTTATTGATTTGCATATGTTGAACCAGCCTTGTATCCCAGGGATGAAGCCAACTTGATCATGGTGAATAAGCTTTTTGATGTGCTGCTGGATTCAGTTTGCCAGTATTTTATTGAGGATTTTCACAACAATGTTTATCAGGGATATTGGCGTGAAATTTTCTTTTTGTGTGTGTGTCTCTGACAGGTTCTGGTGTCAGGATGAAATTGGCATCATAAAATGAGTTAGGGAGGAGTCCCTCTTTTTCTATTGTTTGGAATAGTTTCAGAAGGAATGGTACCAGCTCCTCTTTGTACCTCTGGTAGAATTTGGCTGTGAATCCGTCTGATCCTGTGCTTTTTTGGTTGGTAAACTGTTAATTGCTGCCTCAATTTCAGAACTTGTTATTGTTCTATTCAGGGATTGACTTCTTCCTGTGTCCAGGAATTTATGCATTTCTTTTAGTTTTTCTAGTTTATTTGTGTAGAGGTGTTTGCAGTATTATCTGATGGTAGTTTGTATTTCTGTGGGATGAGTGGTGATATCCCCTTTATCATTTTTTATTGTGTCTATTTGATTCCTCTCAGTTTTCTTCTTTATTAGTCTGGCTAGCAGTCAATCTATTTTGTTCATCTTTTCAAAGAACCAGCTCCTGGATTTATTGATTTTTTTGAAGGATTTTTCGTGTCTCTATCTCCTTCACTTGTGCTCTGATCTTAGTTGCTTCTTGTCTTCTGCTAGCTTTTGAATTTGTTTGCTCTTGCTTCTCTAGTTCTTTTAATTGTGATGTTAGGCTGTTGATTTTAAATCTTTCCCGCTTTCTGATGTGGGATTTTAGTGCTATAAATTTCCCTCTAAACACTGCTTTAGTTATGTCCCAGAGATTCCGGTACATTGTGTCTTTGTTCTCATTAGTTTCAAAGAACTTTATTTCTGCCTTAATGTCGTTGTTTACCCAGTAGTCATTCAGGAGCAGTTGTTCAGTTTCCATGTAGTTGTGCGGTTTTGAGTGAGTTTCTTAATCCTGAGTTCTAATTTGATTGCACTGTGGTCTGAGAGACTGTTTGTCATGATTTCCATTCTTTTGCATTTGCTGAGGAGTGTTTTACTTCCAATTATGTGGTCAATTTTAGAATAAGTGTGATGTGGTGCTGAGAGGAATGTATATTCTGTTGATTTGGGGTGGAGAGTTCTGTAGATGTCTATTCGGTCTGCTTGGTCCGGAGCTGAGTTCAAGTCCTGAATATCCTTGTTAATTTTCTGTCTCGTTGATCTAATGTTGACAGTGGGGTGTTAAAGTCTCCCACTATTATTGTGTGGGAGTCTAAGTCTCTTTGTAGGTCTCTAAGAACTTGCTTTATGAATCTGGTTGCTCCTGTATTGGGTGCATATATATTTAGGATAGTTAGCTCTTCTTGTTGCATTGATTCCTTGACCATTATGTAATACCCTTCTTTGTCTTTTTTGATCTTTGTTGGTTTAAATTTTGCTTTATCAGGAACTAGGATTGCAACCCCTGCTTTTTTTTTCTTTCCATTTGCTTGGTAAATATTCCTCCATCCCTTTATTTTGAGCCTATGTGTGTCTTTGCACATGAGATGGGTCTCCTGAATACAGCACACTGATGGGTCTTGACTCTTTATCCAATTTGCCGGTCTGTGTGTTTTAATTGGAACATTTAGCCCATTTATATTCAAGGTTAATATTGTTATGTGTGAATTTGATCCTGTCATTATGATGCTAGTTATTTTGCTCATTAGTTGTTGCAGTTTCTTCACAGTGTCGATGGTCTTTACAATTTGGTATGTTTTTGCAGTTGCTGGTACCGGTTTTTTCTTTCCATGTTTAGTGCTTCTTTCTGGAGCTCTTGAAAGGCAGGCCTGGTGGTGACAAAATCTCTCAGCATTTGCTTGTCTGTAAAGGATTTTATTTTTCCTTCGCTTATGAAGCTTTGCTTGTCTGGATATGAAATTCTTGGTTGAAAATTCTGTTTTTAAAGAATGTTGAATATTGGCCCCCACTCTCTTCTGGCTTGTAGGCTTTCTGCAGAGAGATCTGCTATTAGTCTGATGGGCTTCCCTTTGTGGGTAACCCGACCTTTCTCTCTGGCTGCCCTTAACATTTTTTCCTTCATTTCAACCTTGGTGAATCTGATGATTATGTGTCTTGGGGTTGCTCTTCTCGAGGAGTATCTTTGTGGTGTTCTCTGTATTTCCAGAATTTGAATGTTGGCCTGCCTTGCTAGGTTGGGGAAGTTCTCCTGGATAATATCCTGAAGAGTGTTTTCCAACTTGGTTCCATTCTCCCTGTCACTTTCAGGTACACCAGTCAAACGTAGGTTTGGTCTTTTCACATAGTCCTATATTTCTTGGAGGCTTTGTTTGTTTCTTTTCATTCTTTTTTCTCTAATCTTGTCTTCATGGTTTATTTCATTAAGTTGATCTTCAACCTCTGATATCCTTTCTTCCACTTGATTGATTTGGCTATTGATACTTGTGTATGCTTCACGAAGTTCTTGTGCTGTGTTTTTCTGCTCCATTAGGTCACTTATGTTCTTCTCTATACTGGTTTTTCTAGTTAGCAATTTGCCTAACCTTTTTTCAAGGTTCTTAGCTTCTTTGCATTGGGTTAGAACATGCTCCTTTATCTTGGACGAGTTTGTTATTACCCACTTTCTGAAGCCTACTTCTGTCAGTTTGTCAAACTCGTTCTCCATCCAGTTTTGTTCCCTTGCTAGCGAGGAGTTGTGATACTTTGGAGGAGAAGAGGCATTCTGGTTTTTGGAATTTTCAGACGTTTTGCACTGGTTTTTCCTCATATTTGTGGATTTGTCTACTTTTGGTCTTTTATGTTGGTGACCTTCGGATGGTGACCTTCTGTGTGGACATCCTTTTTGTTGATGTTGATGCTATTCCTTTCTGTATCTTAGTTTTGCTTCTAACAGTCAGGACCCTCTGCTGCAGGTCTGCTGGAGTTGGCTGGAGGTCCACTCCCGACCTATTTGCCTGGGTATCACCAGCAGAGGCTGCAGAACAGCAAAGATTGCCTTCTGTTCCTTCCTCTGGAAGCTTTGTCCCAGAGGGGCACCTGCCAGATGCCAGCTGGAGCTCTCTTGTATGAGGGGTCTGTCGACCCCTGCAGGGAGGAGTCTCCCAGTCAGGAGGCACGGGGGTCAGGGACCCACTTGAGGAGGCAGTCTGTCCCTTAGCAGAGCTTGAGCACCATGCTGGGAGATCCACTGCTCTCTTTAGCACCAGTAGGCAGGAACGTCTAAGTCTGCTGAAGCTGCACCCACAGCCACCCCTTCCCCCTGGTGTTCTGTCGCAGGGAGATGGGAGTTTTATCTATAAGCCCTGACTGGGGCTGCTGCCTTTCTTTCAGAGATGCCCTGCCCAGAGGGAGGAATCTAGAGAGGCAGTCTGGCTACAGCGGCTTTGCCGAGCTGCAGTGGGCTCTGCCCATTTCCAGCTTTCTGGTGGCTTTGTTTACACTGTGAGGGGAAAAGAGCTTACTCAAGCCTCAGTAATGGTGGACACCCCTTCCCCTACCAATCTGAAGCATCCCAGGTCGACTTCAGACTGCTGTGCTGGCAGTGAGAATTTCAAGCCAGTGGATCTTAGCTTGCTGGGCTCCATGGGATGGGATCCACTGAGCTAGACCACTTGGCTCCCTAGCTTCAGCCCCCTTTCCAGGGGAGTGAATGGTTCTGTCTCACTGGTGTTCTAGGCACCACTGGGGTATGAAAAAAAAAACTCCTGCAGCTAGCTTGGTGTCTGCCCAAATGGCCGCCCAGTTTTGTGCTTGAAACCCAGGGCCCTGGTGGAGTAGGCACTGGAGGGAATCTCCTGGTCTGCTGGTTGCGAAGACTGTGGGAAAAGCATAGTATCTGGGCCAGAGTGCACCATTCCTCACGGCACAGTCCTTCAAGGCTTCCCTTGGTTAGGGGAGGGAGTTCCCCGACCCCTTGTGCTTCCTGAGTGAGGTGACGCCCCACCCTGCTTTGGCTCACCCTCCTTGGGCTACACCCACTGTCTAACCAGTCCCAATGAGATGAGCTGGGTACCTCAGTTGGAAATGCAGAAATCACCTGCCTTCTGTGTTGATCTCGCTGGGAGCTGCAGACCAAAGCTGTTCTTATTTGGCCATCTTGCCAGCCCCCAGTTATTTCTTTTGCTATACAGAAGCTTTTTCATTTAATTAATTCCCATCTATTTAGCTTTGTTTGTATTGCATTTGCTTTTGGGTTCTTGGTCATGAAGTCTTTGCCTAAACCAATGTCTAGAAGAGATTTTCCAATGTTTTCTTCTAGAATTTTTATGGTTTCAGGTCTTAGATTTAAGTCTTTGATTCATCTTGAATTATTTCTGTATAAGGTGAGAGATGAGGATCCAGTTTCATTCTTCTACATGTGGCTTGCCAATTATCCCGACATTATTTGTTGAATAGGGTGTCCTTTCCCCACTTTATGTTTTTGTTTGCTTTGTTGAAGATCAGTTGGCTATAAGTATTTGGCTATATTTCTGGGTTCTGTATTCAGTTCCATTGGTCTATGTGTCCATTTTTATACCAGTACCATGCTGTTTTGGTGACTATAGCCTTATAGTCTAGTTTGAAGTCGGGTAATGAGATGCCTCCAGATTTGTTCTTTTTGCTTAGTCTTTCTTTTGCTATGTGGGCTTTTTTGGTTTCATATGAATTTTAGAATTGTTTTTCTAGTTCCGTGAAGAATGACAGTGGTATTTTCATGGGAATTGCATTGAATTTGTAGATTGCTTTTGGCAGTATGGTCATTTTCACAATATTGATTCTACCCATCCATGAGCATGGGATGTATTTCCATTTGTTTGTGTCATCTATGATTTCTTTCAGCAGTGTTTTGTAGTTTTCTTTGTAGAGGTCTTTCACCTCCATGGTTAGGTATATTCCTGAGTTGTTCATTTTATTTTATTTTTTGCAACTATGGTAAAAGGGATTGAGTTCTTATTTTATTCTCAGCTTGGTCACTATTGGTATATAGGAGAGCTACTGTTTTGTGTACATTAATTTTGTATCCTGAAACTTTGCTGAATTTATTTACCAGTTCTAGGAGCTTTTTGGATGAGTCTTTAGAGTTTTCTAGGTATACAAACATATCATCAGCAAACAGGAACAGTTTGACTTCCTCTTTACCAATTTGGATGCCCTTGATTTTTTTCTCTTTTCTGATTGCTCTGGCTGGGACTTCCAGTACTATCTTGAATATAAGTGGTAAAAGTGAGCATCATTGTCTTGTTCCAGTTCTCAGGGGGAATGCTTTCATCTTTTCCCTGTTCAGTATAACGTTGGCTATGGGTTCGTCATAGATGGCCTTTATTACCTTAAGGTATGTTTCTTCTCTGCCAATTTTGCTGAAGGTTTTAATCATAAAGAGATGCTGGATTTTGTCGAATGCTTTTTATGTATCTATTGAGATGATCATGTGATTTTTGTTTTTAATTATTTCTATGTGGTGTATGACATTTGTTAACTTGCAGATGTTAAACCATCCCTGCATCCCTGGTATGAAACTCACTTGATCATGGTGGATTATCTTTTTGATATGCTGTTGGATTTAATTAGCTAGCATTTTGTTAAAGATTTTTGCATATATGTTCATCATGAATATTGGTCTGTAGTTTTCTTTTTTTATGTCCTTCCTTGGTTTTGGTATTAGGGGGATACTGGCCTCCTGGAATGATTTAGAGATAATTTCCTTTTTATCCAATGGAATAGTGTCAATAGGATTGGTACCAATTCTTCTTTGAATGCCAGATAGAATGCAGCTGTAAATCTGTCTGGTCCTGGACTTTTGTTGTTGTTGTTGGCAATTTTTAAATTATCATTTTAATCTTGCTGCTTGTTATTGGTGTGTTCAGAGTTACTATAACTTCCTGGTTTAATCTAGAAGATCTTTGTATTTCCAGGAATTTATCCTCTTCTCTAGGTTTTCTAGTTTATGCATGTAAAGATGTTCACAGAAGCCTTAAATAATTTTTTTGTATTTCTGTCGTATCAGTAGTAATATCTCTCATTTCATTTCTAATTGAGTTTATTTGGATCTTCTCTCTTCTTGGTTAATCTCACTAACTGTCTATCAATTTTATTTATCTTTTCCAATAACAAGCTTTTGTTTCACTTATCTTTTGTGTCTTGTTTGTTTGTTTCAATTTCACTTAGTTCTGCTCTGATCTTTATTTCTTTTCTTCTGCTGGGTTTGGGTTTGGATTGCTTTTGTTTCTTCAGTTCTGTGAGGTGTGACCTCAGATTGTGTATTTGTGCTCTTTCAGACTTTTTGATGTAGGCATTTAATACTATGAGCTTTCCTTTTAGCACCACTCTGATGGTTAATACTGAGTGTCAACTTGATTGGATTGAAGGATGCAAAGTATTGATCCTGGGTGTGTCTGTGAGGGTGTTTCCAAAGGAGATTAACATTTGAGTCAGTGGGCTGGGAAAGGCACACCCACCCTTAATCTGATTGGGCAGCATCTTATTAGCTGCCAGCATGGCTAGAATATAAAGTAGGCAGAAAAATATAAAAAGATGAGACTGACTTAGCCTCCCAGCCTACATCTTTCTCTCGTGCTGGATACTTCCTACCCTCAAACATTGGACTCCATGTTCTTCAGTTTTGGGACTTGGCCTGGTTCTCCTTGCTCCTCAGCTTACAGACAGCCTATTGTGGGACCTTGTGATCATGTTAGTTAATACTTAATAAACTAATAGGATATATATAATATATATCCTGTTAGTTCTGTCCCTCTAGAGAACCCTGACAAATACAGCCACTTTTGCTGTATCCCAGAGGTTTTGATAAGTTGTGTCACTGTTATCGTTCAGTTCAAACAATTTTTGATTTCCATCTTCATTTCATTTTGACCCAACAATCATTCAGGAGGTTATTTAATTTTCAGGTATTTGTGTGGTTTTGAGGATTCCTTATGGAGTTTATTTCTAATTTTATTCCACTGTGTTCTGAGAGAATACTTGATATAATTTTGATTTTCTTAAATTTACTGAGACTTGTTTTGTGCCTTATCATGTGGTCTATCTTGGAGAATGTTCCATGTGTTGATAAATAGAATGTATATTCTGCAGTTGTTGGGAAGAATGTTCTGTAAATATCTGTTAAGTCCATTTGTTTTAGGGTATAGTTTAAGTTGATGGTTTATTTGTTGACTTTCTTTTTTGATGACCTGTCTAGTGCTGTCAGTAGAGTCTTAAAGTCCCCCACTATTATTGTGTTACCATCTATCTCATTTCTTAGGTCTAGTAGTAATTGTTCTATAAATTCAGGAGCTCTGGTGTTAGGTGCATATATATTTAGGATTGTGATATTTTCCTGTTGGACTAGTCCTTTTATCATTCTTTAATGTCTCTGTTTGTCTTTTTTAACTGCTATTGCTTTAAAGTTTGTTTTGTCTGATATAAGAATAGCTACTTCTGCTCACTTTTGGTGTCCATTTGCATGGAATATCTTTTTCCTTTACCTTAAGTTTACCTGAGTCCTTATGTGTTAGGTGAGTCTCCTGAAGACAGCAGAAACTTGTTTGGTGAATTCTTATCCATTGTAGAATGGATTCTATATCTTTTAAGTGAGGCATTTAGGCCATTTACATTCAATGTTAGTACTGAGATGTGAGGTACTATTCTATTCATCATGCTATTTGTTGCCTCAATACCTTGGTTTTTTTTTCATTGTGTTATTGTTATATAGATCCTGTGAGATTTGTGCTTTAAGTAGGTTCCATTTTGGTGTATTTCAAGGATTTGTTTCAAAATTTAGAGCTCCTTTTAGCAGTTCTTGTATTGCCAGCTTGGTAGTGGCGAATTCTCCCAGCATTTGTTTGTCTGTAAAAGACTGTATCTTTTCTTCATTTATGAAGCTTAGTTTCACTGGATACAAAATTCTTGGGTGATAATTGTTTTGTTTAAGGAGGCTAAAAATAGGACCCCAATTCCTTTTAGCTTGTAGGGTTTCTGCTGAGAAACCTGCTGTTACTCTGATAGGTTTTCCTTTATAGGTTACCTGATGCTTTTTCCTCATAGCTCTTAAGATTATTTTGTTTGTCTTGATTTTAGATAACCTGATGACTATGTGCCTAGGCAATTATCTTTTTGTGATAAATTTTCCAGGTGTTCTTTGAGCTTATTTTATTTGGATGCCTAGATATCTAAAGGCTGGAGAAGTTTTCCTTGATTATTCCCTCAAATATGGTTTTCAGACTTTTAGATTTCTCCTCTTCCTTGGGAACATCAATTAGTCTTAGGTTTGGGTGTTTAACATAGTTCCAAGCTTTTTGGAGGCTTTGTTCACTTTTTTTGTTTTTTAATTATTTTTTTCTTTGTCTTTGAGGGATTCAGTTAATTTGAAAGCCTTATCTTCAAGCTCTGAAGTTCTTTCTCCTGCTTGTTTGATTCTACTGCTGAGACTTTCCAGTGCATTTTGCATTTCTATAAGTGTGTCCTTAATTTCCAGAAGTTGTGGTTGTTTTTTATTTATGCTATCTATTTCATTGAAGATTTTTGCTTTCATATCATTGAAGATTTTTCCTTTCATATCCTGTATCATGTTTATGATTTCTTTAAGTTGGAGTTCACCTTTCTCTGATGTCTCCTTGATTAGCTTAATAATCTACCTTCTGAATTCTTTTTCTGGCAATTCAGGTATTTTATCTTGGTTTGGATCCATTGCTTGTGAGCTGGTGTGATCTTTTGGGAGTGTTAAATTACCTTGTTTTGTTGTATTACCAGAATTGATTTTCTAGTTATTTCTCACTTGCTTAGACTATGTCAGAGGGAAGATCTGGGAGGGGCTGTTCAAATTCTTTTCTCCCACGGGGTGGTCCCTTGATTGTTGTTCTCACACTTCCTCTAGAATTCGGGCTTCCTGAGAGCCGAACTGCGGTGATTGTTTTTGCTCTTCTAGGTCTAGCCACCTAGCGGAGCTACTGGCTTCAGGCTGGTACTGGAGAGTATCTGCAAAGAGTCCTGTGATATGACCCATCTTCATGTCTTTTGGCCATGGATACCAGCACCTGCTCTGGTAGAGATAGCAGGGGAGTGAAGTGGATTCTGTGAGAGTCTTTGGTTGTATTTTTATTTAATGTGCTGGATTTGTATTGGTTGGCCTCCAGCCAGGAGGTGGTGCTTTCAAGAGCACATCAGTTGTAGTAGTCTAGGGAGGAAGCAAACTTTCCCTAGGGTCACCTGGTTAAGTATTCAGGTTTCTCGGGTGGTGGGCAGAGCCATAGAGCTCCCAAGAGATTATGTCCCTTGTCCTTGCAACCAGGGTGGGTAGAGAAAGACCACCAAGTGGGGGCAGGGTTAGGCATGTCTGAGCTCAGACTCTCCTTGAGTGTAGCTTGCTGTGGCTGCTGTAGGGGATGGGGGTGTGGTTCCCAGGCCAATGGAGTTATGTTCCCACGGGGATAATAGCTGCCTCTGCTGAGTCATACAGATCACCAAGGAAGTAGGGGAAAGCTGGCAGTCACAGGCTCATCCCGCACCCATGCAGCCTGCAGTCCTAAAGGCCAGTCTTACTCCCACTGTGCCCCCTCAACAGCACCGAGTCTATTTCTGGGCATCTGGTGATCAAGGCTGAGAACTTGCCCCAGACCACCAGCCTCCCAGCTAAAAAGCAAGGAGACTCACAGTTTTTCAGCATCTCAGGGAGCATGCAGCAGTGCTCCAGTTCCTTCAAAGGGTCTGTGGATTATCTCAGCTTCCCTGGAATGTTGCTGTGGTACTTCTTGGAGCAAAAGATCATGATGTGAGCCTCCTCACCTCTCTGTCTGTCCAAGTGGGAGCTGCAAGCTAGTGCTGCCTCCTATCTGCCATCTTAATTATCTTATTCTTTTTTATGGCTGCATCATATTCAGTTGTGTATATGTACCACATTGTCTTTATCCAGTCTACCATTGATGGGCATTTAGGTTGATTCCATGTTTTTGCTATTGTGAATAGTGCTGCAGTGAGCATGTGTGCATGCATCTTTATGATAAAATAATTTATATCTCTTTGGGTAGATACCCAGTAATAGGATTGCTGGGTAAAATGGTAGTTCTATTTTTAGGTCTTTAAGAAAATGTCACACTGCTTTCCACAATAGTTGAACTAATTTAGACTCCCACTTAACAGTGTCTGTGTTCCTTTTTCCCTGCAACTTTGACAGTAGTTTTGTTTTTTTTTTTTTTTTTTGCCTTATTTATATAGAGAGGTGGCATTTTGCTATGTATCCTGGGCTGGTCTAGAACTCCTGGGCTCAAGTGATCCATCCTCCCTCCGTGGCATCCCAAAGTGCTAGGATTGCAGGCATGAGCCATGGTGCCCAGCCTATTTTTGACTTTTTAATCATAGCCATTCTGACTGCGTGAGATGGTGTCTCATTCTGGTTTTGATTTGAATTTCTCTAATTATCAGGGGTGTTGAACTTTTTTTTCATACGCTCATTGGCCACATGCATGTCTTCTTTTGAAAAGTGTCTATTCATGTTATTTGCCCACTTTTTCATAGGCTTTTTCTTGTAAATTTGTTTAAGTTTCTTATAGATGCTGGATATTAGGCCTTCATCAGATGCATATGGAAAAACATTCCATGTTCATGGATAGGAAAAATAAATATCATTAAAATGGCCATACTGCCCAAAGCAATCTATAGATTCAATGCTATTCCTATCAAACTACCAATGACATTCTTCACAGAACCAGAAAAGACTATTTTAAAATTCATATGGAATCACAAAAAGAGCCCAAATAGTCAAAGCAATCCTAAGCAAAAAGAACAAAGCTGGAGGAATCACCTTACCTCACTCAAAACTATACTACAGAGCTATGGTTACCAAAACAGCATGGTACTGGCACAGAAACAGACACATAGAACAATGGAACAGAATAGAGAGCCCAAAAATAAGGCCACACACCTACAACAATCTGATCTTTGACAAGCCTGACAAAAACAAGCATTGGGGAAAAGACTCCTTATTCAATAAATGGTGCTGGGATAATTGGCTAGCCCTATGCAGGAGGTTTAAAATGGACCCCTTTCCTACACCATATACAAAAATAAACTCAAGATGGGTGAAGTACTGAAATGCAAAATGCAAAACTGCAAAAACCCTGGAAGAAAACCTAGGCAATACCATTCTGGACATAGGAACAGGCAAAGATTTCATGATGAAGACACCAAAAACAACTGCAACAAAAGGAAAAATTGACAAATGGGGTCTAATTAAACTTAAGAGCTCCTACACAGCAAAAGAAACTATCAACACAGTAAACAGACAACCTACAGAATGAATGATCATTTTAATATGTTGTTGAATTCAGTTTGCTAGTATTTTATTGACAATTTTTGCAACAATAATCATATGGTTTGGCTGTGTCCCCACCCAAATTTCATCTTGAATTGTAGCTCCCATAATTCCCTCATGTTGTGGGAGGGACCCAGTGGGAGATAATTGAATCATGGGCACAGTTTCCCCCATACTGTTCTCATGGTAGTGAATAAGTCTCACAAGATCTGATAGTTTTATAAGGGGAAACCGCTTTCCCTTGGCTCTCATTCTCTTCTCTTGTCTGCTGCCATGTGAGATGTGCCTTTCACCTTCTGCCATGATTTTGAGGCCTCCCCAGCCACAAGGAACTATGAGTCCATTAAACCTCTTTCTTTTGTAAATTGCCCAGTGTCGGGTATGTCTTTATCAGCAGCATGAAAATGGACTAATACAGTAAATTGGTACCAAGAATAGGGTGCTACTTAAAAGATACTCAAAAATGTGGAAGCAACTTTGGAACTGGGTAATAGGCAGAGGTTGGAACACATGGGAGGGCTCAGAAGAAGACAGAAAAATGTGGGAAAGCTAGGAACTTCCTAGAGACTTGTTGAATGGCTTTGACCAAAATGCTGATGATATGGACAATAAAATACAGGCTGAGGTGGTCTCAGATGGAGATGAGGAACTTGCTGGGAACCGGAGCAAAGGTGACACTTGTTATGTTTTAGCAAAGAGACTGGCAGCATTTTGTCCCTGCCCTAGAGATTTGTGGAAGTTTGAACTTGAGAGAGATGATTTAGGGTATCTGGCAGAAGAAATTTCTAAGCAGCAAAGCATTCAAGAGGTGACTTGGGTACTGTTAAAAGCATTCACTTTTAAAAAGGAAACACAGCATAAAATTTCAGAAAATTTGCAGCCTGACAGTGTGATAGAAAAGAAAATCCCATTTTCTGAGGAGAAATTCAAGCCAGCTACAGAAATTTGCATAAGTAACAAGGAGCAGAATGTTAATCACCAAGACAATGGGGAAAATGTCTCCAGGGCATGTCAGAGACTTTTGTGGCAGCCCCTTCCACCACAGGCCCTGAGACCTAAGAATGAAAAATGATTCTGTGGGCTGGGCGCAGGGTCCCTCTGCTGTTTGCAGTCTAGGGACTTGGTGCCCTGCATCCCAGCCACTCCAGGCATGACTAGAAGCGGCCAAAGTATAGCTCAGGCTGTGGCTACAGAGCATGCAAGCCCCAAGCTTTGGCAGCTTCCATGTGGTGTTGAGCCTGCAGTGCACAGAAGTCAAGAATTGAGGTTTGGGAACCTGTGCCTAGATTTCAGAGAATGTATGGAAATACCTGGATGTCCAGGCAGAGTTTGCTTCGGGGTGGGGCCCTCATGGAGAACCTCTGCTGGGGCAGTATGGAAGGGAAATGTGGGGTTGGAGCCCCCACACAGAGTCCCCACTGGGGTGCTGCCTAGTGTAGCTGTGAGAAGAGGGCCACCATCCTCCAGACCCCAGAATGGTAGATCCACTGACAGTTTGCACCATGTGCCTGGAAAAGCCACAGACACTCAATGCCAGCCTGTGAAAACAACCAGGAGAGAGGCTGTACCCTGCAAAGCCACAGGGGCAGAGCTGCCCAAGGAAACAAGGTGAGAAAAATGCAAATGCAAGTGTCAGGATGGACCAAGTGGCCAGGGCATAGCCAATCCATTCAGTGATCTCACTGGGGAAATTGGCTTCAGAAACATACATAAACAAGCCACCTTGTGGATTCCTATAGGTTATTTCTCCAGGCTTCCTGACCTGGCACTATATACAGTCACTATAAATGTTGATTTCCATTCCCAAAATAAACAAGAAGACACCTAAGCTAAACCTTATAAACCCAAGACAATGGGAACCCATCTCTCAAGCATCAGCATGACCCAGATGCAAGACATGAAGTCTAAGGAGATCATTTTGGAGTTTTAAGATCTGACTGCCCTGCTGGATTCCAGACTTGCATAGGGCCTGTATCCCCTTTGTTTTGGCCAATTTCTCCCATTTGGAATGACTGTGTTTACCCAATGTCTGTACCCCTCCATTGTATCTAGGAAATAACTAACTTGCTTTTGATTTTACTGGTTCATAGATGGAAGGGACTTGCATTGTCTCAGATGAGACTTTGGATTGTGGACTTTTGAGTAAATGCTAAAATGAGTTAAGACTTTGAGGGACTGTTGGGATGGCATAATTGGTTTTGAAATGTGAAGACATGAGATTTGGGAGGGGCCAGGGGCAGAATGATATGGTTTGGCTGTGCCCCCACCCAAATTTCATCTTGAATTGTAACACCCATAATTCCCTCATGTTGTGGGAGGGACCCAGTGGGAGATAATTGAATCATGGGGACAGTTTCCCCCATACTGTTCTCATGGTAGTAAGTCTCATGAGATCTGATGGCTTTATAAGGGCCCCTTTCACTTGGCTCTCATTCTCTTCTCTTGTCTGCTGCCATGTGAGATGTGCCTTTCACCTTCTTCCATGATTGTGAGGCCTTCCCAGCCACGTGGAACTGTGAGTCCATTAAACCTCTTTTTATTTTTATTTTTTTTGTAAATTGCTCAGTCTCATGTATGTCTTTATCAGCAGCATGGAAACAGACTAATACAAATATTTATCAGTGATATTGGCCTATAGTTTTCTTTTTTGATGTGTCTTTGGTTTTGGTATCATGGTAATACTGGCCTTGTAGAATGATATTAGAAGTATTTTCTCCACCTATAATTTTCAGAATAGTTTGAGTAGAATTGGTGTGAGTTATTTTTATTTTTTTATTTTTGAGACAGGGGCTCACTCATGTTGCCCAGGCTGGAGTGCAGTGGCACAATCTTAGCTCCCTTCAACCTTGACTTCCCAAGCTCAGGTGATCCTCCTACCTCAGTCTCCTGAGTAGCTGGGACTACAGGCACGTGCCACCATGCCTGGATAATTGTTTATATTTTTAGTAGAGACAGAGGGTTTTTTTTACTTGTATCTTATTGTACTGTCTATGTCTCAAAACATTGTTGTAGTTATTATTTTTGATTGGTTCATCATTTAGTCTTTCTACTTAAGAGTAGTTTACAAACCACAGTTACAGTATTATAATATTCTGTGTTTTTCTGTGAGTTTTATGCCTTCTGGTGATTACTTATTTGTCATTAACCTTATTTTTTTTCTGATTGAAGTACTCCCTTTAGCATTTCTTGTAGGGTATATCTGGTGTTGATAAAAAGCCCTCAGCTTTCATTTGTCTGGGAAGATTTTTATTTCTCCATGTTTGAAGGATGTTTTTGCTGGATATACTATTCTAGGGTAAAAGTGTTTTTCTTTCAACACCTTCACTGTGTCATGCCACTCTCTCCTGACCTGTAAGATTGCCACTGAAAAGTCTGCTTCCAGACGCACTGAAGTGCCATTGTATGTTATTAGTTTCTTTTCTCTTGCTGCTTTAAGATCCTTTCTTTATCCTTGACCTTTGAGAGTTGGACGTTAAATGCCCTGAGATAGTCTTTTTTGGGTTAAATCTACTTGGTGTTCTATGACATTCTCGTACTTGCATATCAATGTCTTTCTCTAGGTTTTGGAAGTTCTCTGTTGATATCCCTTGAATAAACTTTCTATCCTATCTCTTTCTCTACCTCCTCTTTAAGGCCAATAACTCTTAGATTTGCCCTTTTGAAGCTATTTTGTAGATTTCATAGGCATGCTTTATTCTTTTTTATGATTTTTTTCTTTTTTCTCGTCTGTGTGTTTTAAAATAGCCTGCCTTCAAGCTCATTAATTCTTTCTTCTGCTTGATCAATTCTACTATTAAAAGACTTTGATGCATTTTTCGGTATGTCAGTTACATTTTTCAACTCCAGAATTTCCACTCGATTCTTTTAAGTTATTTCAATCTCTTTGTTAGGTTTACCTGATAGAATTCTCTGTGTTATCTCAATTTTTTTTTAGTTTCCTCAAAACAGTTATTTTGAATCTTTGTCTGAAATGTCACGTATCTCTGTTGCTCCAGGATTGGTCCCTAGTGCCTTATTTAGTTCATTTGGTGAGGTCATGTTTTCCTGGATGGTCTTGATTCTTATGGATGTTTATCTACATCTGGGCATTAAAGAGTTAGGTATTTATTGTAATCTTCACAGTCTGGGCCTGTTTGTACCCATCGTTCTTGGGAAGGCTTTAATTTGGCTTTCCTGCTCCACCTCTCCTCTCTTTTGCCCAATTTATTTTAAGACAGAGTCTCACTCTGTTGCCCATGCTGGAGTAGAGTGGCATGATCTTGGCTCACTGCAACCTCTGCCTCCAGGGTTCAAGCAATTCTCCTGCCTCAGCCTGCCAAGTAGCTGGGATTACAGGAGCCCACCACCATGCCCAGCTAATTTTTAGTAGAGATGGGGTTTCATCATGTTGCTCAGGCTGGTCTCGAACCCCTGACCTCAAGTGATCTGCCTGCCTCAGCCTCCCAAAGTGCTAGGATTACAGGCATGAGCCACCACACTTGGCGTCTCTTGCCCATTTTTAAAGTTGGGTAGTTAGTTGTTGAGTTGTGTTCTTTATTTGTATTTTTATATGTTATAGATACAAGACTTTTTTATTTTCTTAATAATTCTTTTGAAAAGCAGGACATTTTATTTTTGCTCTATCCCAGCTTATTGAATTTTTCTCTTCTCTCCCTCCTCTGAATTCCAGTCACATTGACCTTCTTTCAGTTCTTTATACATGCCATGCTCAAGCCTATTGCAAGACCTTTGCACATGTTATTCCCTGTTTAGAATGCCCTCTTCGTGCCCATTCATCTAATTAACTGTTACTTATCCTTTGAACTTAGTTTAAATGCTACTTCCTCAGGGAAGGCCTTCCCTGACAGACCCCATATAGATTTCTCAGAGTTTCTCTGTTATACACTCATAAAATGCACTTCCTTTCTTCAAATAATTTATCTCTGTTTAAAACTGAGAGTTAATTTGGGGGAATATTTTTATTTTAATATCTGGTGTGTATATATATATGTATATGTCTGGTATATGTTACACACATAATTTGTTCAGTGAATATTCATTGGGTAAGTAAATGAGTAAGTGAAGAAAGAGGGTCCACCAATAAACTCAAGTGCATATAAAATTTCAAAGCAGAAAAAGTGTTTTCAATCAGTAGAAAAAATGATGGCTGATATAGTTTAGATATTTCTCCTTGCCCAAATCTCATGTTAAATTTTAATTCCCAATTCTGGAGGTGGGGCATGGTGGAAAGTGTTTGGATCATGAGGGCAAACCTCTCATGGCTTAGTGCTGCCCTCATGATAGTGAGTGAGTTCTCATGAGATCTGGTTGTTGTAAAGTGTGGCATCTCATCCCCCACTCTCTCTCTCTCTCTCTCACTCCTGCTTTCGCCATGTGAAGTGTCTGCTCCCAGTTCAATTTCTGCTATGAGTAAAATTTCCCTGAGGCCTCCCCAGAAGCTGAGCAGATGCTGGTGCCATGTTTGTACAGCCAGCAGAACTGTGAGCCAATTAAACCTCTTTTCTTATAAATTATCCAGTCTCAAGTATTTCTTTAGAGTAATGCAAGAGTGACCTAATACAATGATGTATCAGGCTGTGTTTGCAATACTATAAAAAAAATCTGAGCCTGGGTAAATTATAAAGAAAAAAAGTTTAATTGACTCATAGTTCTGCAGATATTACAAGAAGCATGGTGCTGGCATCTGATTCTGGTGAGGGCCTTAGGAAGCTTACAATCATGGTGGAAAGTGAAGAGGGAGCAGGTGTCTCCATGCTGAAAGTGGGAACAAGAGAGCAAGGGGGGAGGTGCCACATACTTTTAACAACCAGATCTCGAGGGAACTAACTGAGCAGGAACAAACTTATTAACAAGATGATGGTGCTAAACCATTAATGAGGGATCCGCCCCCAGGATCCAATCACCTCCTACCAGGCCCCACCTCCAACATTGGAGATTACATTTCAACATGAGATTTGGAGGGGACAAATATCCAAACCATATCAGATGGATTTATTTAATGAAAGGCATAAGACTATTAACTATTTGTAAAAATTTAAAAATACTAAAGAAGTCCTCATACACTTCTTACACCAAAACAAAATCCAAATAAATGAAACAAATGCAAAAATTAAACCATGATGGTACTAGAAGAAAACGTGATAGAAAATCCTTATGGTAAATCAAAATATAAAAATAAAGTAAGGAAATATGTTTTTTGTAATCTTGATGTATATAAGCAGATCAGAAAAGCCAGACCACGTAGAGAAAAAGCATGGTAGATCTCATGTAAATTTAAATTTTACATAATCCATGTTTTTAAAATTACATGTAACATATATCACAAAGAGTTAATGTCTTTAAAATACAAATAATTTTTCCAAACAATAAGAAAAAGTCATTACCTTCATAAAAAAATTAAAAACTGTCATAAACAAACAATTCACAAAATAAGGAAATGGCCAATGGCCATATGGAAAGGCACCTTTCAGAAAGGAAATTTGGTGGAGGGAGGAGCCAAGATGGCCGAATAGGAACAGCTCCGGTCTACAGCTCCCAGGATGAGCGACGCAGAAGACGGGTGATTTCTGCATTTCCATCTGAGGTACCGGGTTCATCTCACTAGGGAGTGCCAGACAGTGGGCGCAGGTCAGTGGGTGCGTGCACCGTGCGCGAGCCGAAGCAGGGCGAGGCATTGCCTCACTTGGGAAGAGCAAGGGGTCAGGGAGTTCCCTTTCTGAGTCAAAGAAAGGGGTGACAGATGGCACCTGGAAAATCGGATCACTCCCACCCAAATACTGCGCTTTTCCGGCGGGCTTAAAAAACGGCGCACCACATATCCCGCACCTGGCTCGGAGGGTCCCACGCCCACGGAGTCTCGCTGATTGCTAGCACAGCAGTCTGAGATCAAACTGCAAGGTGGCAGCGAGGCTGGGGGAGGGGCGCCCGCCATTGCCCAGGCTTGATTAGGTAAACAAAGCAGCCCAGAAGCTCGAACTGGGTGGAGCCCACCACAGCTCAAAGAGGTCTGCCTGCCTCTGTAGGCTCCACCTCTGGGGGCAGGGCATAGACAAACAAAAAGACAGCAGTAACCTCTGCCGACTTAAATGTCCCTGTCTGACAGCTTTGAAGAGAGCAGTGGTTCTCCCAGCACGCAGCTGGAGATCTGAGAACGGGCAGACTGCCTCCTCAAGTGGGTCCCTGACCCCTGACCCCCGAGCAGCCTAACTGGGAGGCACCCCCCAGCAGGGGCACACTGACACCTCACACGGCAGGGTACTCCAACAGACCTGCAGCTGAGGGTCCTGTCTGTTAGAAGGAAAACTAACAAACAGAAATGACATCCACACCAAAAACCCATCTGTACATCACCATCATCAAAGACCAAAGTAGATAAAACCACAAAGATGGGGAAAAAACAGAACAGAAAAACTGGAAACTCTAAAAAGCAGAGCGCCTCTCCTCCTCCAAAGGAACGCAGTTCCTCACCAGCAACAGAACAAAGCTGGATGGAGAATGACTTTGACGAGCTGAGAGAAGAAGGCTTCAGATGATCAAATTACTCTGAGCTACGGGAGGACATTCAAACCAAAGGCAAAGAAGTTGAAAACTTTGAAAAAAATTTAGAAGAATGTATAACTAGAATAACCAATACAGAGAAGTGCTTAAAGGAGCTGATGGAGCTGAAAACCAAGGCTCGAGAACTACGTGAAGAATGCAGAAGCCTCAGGAGCCAAAGCGATGAACTGGAAGAAAGGGTATCAGCAATGGAAGATGAAATGAATGAAATGAAGCGAGAAGGGAAGTTTAGAGAAAAAAGAATAAAAAGAAATGAGCAAAGCCTCCAAGAAATATGGGACTATGTGAAAAGACCAAATCTACGTCTGATTGGTGTACCTGAAAGTGACGGGGAGAATGGAACCAAGTTGGAAAACACTCTGCGGGATATTATCCAGGAGAACTTCCCCAATCTAGCAAGGCAGGCCAACGTTCAGATTCAGGAAATACAGAGAACGCCACAAAGATACTCCTCGAAAAGAGCAACTCCAAGACACATAATTGTCAGATTCACCAAAGTTGAAATGAAGGAAAAAATGTTAAGGGCAGCCAGAGAGAAAGGTCGGGTTACCCTCAAAGGGAAGCCCATCAGACTAACAGCGGATCTGTCGGCAGAAACCCTACAAGCCAGAAGAGAGTGGGGGCCAATATTCAACATTCTTAAAGAAAAGAATTTTCAACCCAGAATTTCATATCCAGCCAAACTAAGCTTCATGAGTGAAGGAGAAATAAAATACTTTACAGACAAGCAAATGCTGAGAGATTTTGTCACCACCAGGCCTGCCTTACAAGAGCTCCTGAAGGAAGCACTAAACATGGAAAGGAACAACCGGTACCAGCCGCTGCAAAATCATGCCAAAATGTAAAGACCATCGAGACTAGGAAGAAACTGCATCAACTAACGAGCAAAATAACCAGCTAACATCATAATGACAGGATCAAATTCACACATAACAATATTAACTTTAAATGTAAATGGACTAAATGCTCCAATTAAAAGACACAGACTGGCAAATTGGATAAAGAGTCAAGACCCATCAGTGTGCTGTATTCAGGAAACACATCTCACGTGCAGAGACACACATAGGCTCAAAATAAAAGGATGGAGGAAGATCTACCAAGCCAATGGAAAACAAAAAAAGGCAGGGGTTGCAATCCTAGTCTCTGATAAAACAGACTTTAAACCAACAAAGATCAAAAGAGACAAAGAAGGCCATTACATAATGGTAAAGGGATCAATTCAACAAGAAGAGCTAACTATCCTAAATATATATGCACCCAATACAGGAGCACCAAGATTCATAAAGCAAGTCCTGAGTGACCTACAAAGAGACTTAGACTCCCACACATTAATAATGGGAGACTTTAACACCCCACTGTCAACATTAGACAGATCAACGAGACAGAAAGTCAACAAGGATACCCAGGAATTGAACTCGGCTCTGCACCAAGGGGACCTAATAGACATCTACAGAACTCTCCACCCCAAATCAATAGAATATACATTTTTTTCAGCACCACACCACACCTATTCCAAAATTGACCACATACTGGGAAGTAAAGCTCTCCTCAGCAAATGCAAAAGAACAGAAATTATAACAAACTATCTCTCAGACCACAGTGCAATCAAACTAGAACTCAGGATTAAGAATCTCACTCAAAACCGCTCAACTACATGGAAACTGAACAACCTGCTCCTGAATGACTACTGGGTACATAACGAAATGAAGGCAGAAATAAAGATGTTCTTTGAAACCAATGAGAACAAAGACACAACATACCAGAATCTCTGGGACACATTCAAAGCAGTGTGTAGAGGGAAATTTATAGCACTAAATGCCCACAAGAGAAAGCAGGAAAGATCCAAAATTGACACCCTAACATCACAATTAAAAGAACTAGAAAAGCAAGAGCAAACACATTCAAAAGCTAGCAGAAGGCAAGAAATAACTAAAATCAGAGCAGAACTGAAGGAAATAGAGACACAAAAAACCCTTCAAAAAATCAATGAATCCAGGAGGTGGTTTTTTGAAAGGGTCAACAAAATTGATAGACCGCTAGCAAGACTAATAAAGAAAAAAAGAGAGAAGAATCAAATAGACGCAATAAAAAATGATAAAGGGGATATCACCACTGATTCCACAGAAATACAAACTACCATCAGAGAATACTACAAACACCTCTACGCAAATAAACTAGAAAATCTAGACGAAATGGATAAATTCCTGGACATATACACTCTCCCAAGACTAAACCAGGAAGAAGTTGAATCTCTGAATAGACCAATAACAGGAGCTGAAATTGTGGAAATAATCAATAGCTTACCAACCAAAAAGAGTCCAGGACCAGATGGATTCACAGCCGAATTCTACCAGAGGTACAAGGAGGAACTGGTACCATTCCTTCTGAAACTCTTCCAATCAATAGAAAAAGAGGGAATCCTCCCTAACTCATTTTATGAGGCCAGCATCATTCTGATACCAAAGCCAGGCAGAGACACAACAAAAAAAGAGAATTTTAGACCAATATCCTTGATGAACATTGATGCAAAAATCCTCAGTAAAATACTGGCAAAACGAATCCAGCAGCACATCAAAAAGCTTATCCACCATGATCAAGTGGGCTTCATCCCTGGGATGCAAGGCTGGTTCAATATACACAAATCAATAAATGTAATCCAGCATATAAACAGAGCCAAAGACAAAAACCACATGATTATCTCAATAGATGCAGAAAAAGCCTTTGACAAAATTCAACAACCCTTCATGCTAAAAACTCTCAATAAATTAGGTATTGATGGGACGTATTTCAAAATAATAAGAGCTATCTATGACAAACCCACAGCCAATATCATACTGAATGGGCAAAAACTGGAAGCATTCCCTTTGAAAACTGGCACAAGACAGGGATGCCCTCTCTCACCACTCCTATTCAACATAGTGTTGGAAGTTCTGGCCAGGGCAATTAGGCAGGAGAAGTAAATAAAGGGTATTCAATTAGGAAAAGAGGAAGTCAAATTGTCCCTGTGTGCAGACGACATGATTGTAGATCTAGAAAACCCCATTGTCTCAGCCCAAAATCTCCTTAAGCTGATAAGCAACTTCAGCAAAGTCTCGGGATACAAAATCAATGTGCAAAAATCACAGGCATTCTTATACACCAACAACAGACAAACAGAGAGCCAAATCATGAGTGAACTCCCATTCACAATTACTTCAAAGAGAATGAAATACCTAGGAATCCAACTTACAAGGGATGTGAAGGACCTCTTCAAGGAGAACTACAAACCACTGCTCAAGGAAATAAAAGAGGTTACAAACAAATGGAAGAACATTCCATGCTCATGGGTAGGAAGAATCAATATCGTGAAAATGGCCATACTGCCCAAGGTAATTTACAGATTCAATGCCATCCCCATCAAGCTACCAATGCCTTTCTTCACAGAATTGGAAAAAACTACTTTAAAGTTCATATGGAACCAAAAAAGAGCCCGCATCACAAAGTCAATCCTAAGCCAAAAGAACAAAGCTGGAGGCATCACACTACCTGACTTCAAACTATACTACAAGGCTACAGTAACCAAAACAGCATGGTACTGGTACCAAAACAGAGATATAGATCAATGGAACAGAACACAGCCCTCAGAAATAACGCTGCATATCTACAACTATCTGATCTTTGACAAACCTGAGAAAAACAAGCAATGGGGAAAGGATTCCCTATTTATTAAATGGTGCTGGGAAAACTGGCTAGCCATATGTAGAAAGCTGAAACTGGATCCCTTCCTTACACCTTATACAAAAATCAATTCAAGATGGATTAAAGACTTAAACGTTAGACCTAAAACCATAAAAACCCTAGAAGAAAACCTAGGCATTACCATTCAGGACATAGGCATGGGCAAGGACTTCGTGTCTAAAACACCAAAAGCAATGGCAACAAAAGACAAAATTGACAAATGGGATCTAATTCAACTAAAGAGCTTCTGCACAGCAAAAGAAACTACCATCAGAGTCAACAGGCAACCTACAAAATGGGAGAAAATTTTCGCAACCTACTCATCTGACAAAGGGCTAATATCCAGAATCTACAATGAACTCAAACAAATTTACAAGAGGAAAACAAACAACCCCATCAAAAAGTGGGCAAAGGACATGAACAGACACTTCTCAAAAGAAGACATTTATGCAGCCAAAAAACACATGAAAAAATGCTCATCATCACTGGCCATCAGAGAAATGCAAATCAAAACCACAATGAGATACCATCTCACTCCAGTTAGAATGGCAATCATTAAAAAGTCAGGAAACAACAGGTGCTGGAGAGGATGTAGAGAAATAGGAACACTTTTACACTGTTGGTGGGACTGTAAACTAGTTCAACCATTGTGGAAGTCAGTGTGGCGATTCCTCAGGGATCTAGAACTGGAAATACCATTTGACCCAGCCATCCCATTACTGGGTATATACCCAAAGAACTATAAATCATGCTGCTATAAAGACACATGCACACGTATGTTTATTGCGGCATTATTCACAATAGCAAAGACTTGGAACCAACCCAAATGTCCAACAATGATAGACTGGATTCAGAAAATGTGGCATATATACACCATGGAATACTATGCAGCCATAGAAAATGAGGAGTTCATGTCCTTTGTAGGGACATGGATGAAATTGGAAATCATCATTCTCAGTAAACTATCGCAAGAACAAAAAACCAAACACCGCATATTCTCACTCATAGGTGGGAATTGAACAATGAGATCACATGGACACAGGAAGGGGAATATCACACTCTGGGGACTGTTGTGGGGTGGGGGGAGGGGGGAGGGATAACATCAGGAGATATACCTAATGCTAGATGACGAGTTAGTGGGTGCAGCGCACCAGCATGGCACATGTATACATATGTAACTAACCTGCACAATGTGCACATGTACCCTAAAACTTAAAGTATAATAATAAAAAAAAAAGAAAGGAAATTTGGTAAGATCTATCAAAATGGGAAATGTGCATACATTTTACTGACCATTTTCATTTTAAAGATTAACCTTAAAGATATAATCTCAGAAGTGGAAGAAGCTATATGCCCAGAAATGTTTGTTTCTGAAGTGCTTAGAGTAGTAATAATTTTGGAATATCTTAAATGTCTATCAATAGGAAAATTATATAAATTCTGATAATATATAAAATTTATTATTATTATTATGTACCCATCACAGTTGTAACTTTACATATAATGAGATTATTTGCTTCCCTATATCTCTCTGTCCATAGATGATGGAGTACATGAGATTAAGAATGTCCATGTTTGTCTCTAGCAACTGGCTCATTTCCTATTAGGAACTAAATACATACTTATTGAACAAACAAATGAACTGAGGTCTCTCTTTATCTTAATAGGCTGGAAGTGATGGAGAGAGTATTGGAAACTGTCCCTTTTGCCAACGCCTTTTCATGATCCTCTGGCTTAAAGGAGTTAAATTTAATGTGACAACTGTTGACATGACCAGGTAAGAGAAATCAGGACATGTTAAATTCTAGGAATTGAGATTGGTAGATACCAATAAAATATTGGTGTTTATTTAATGTGTACTTTATCTAGAGACCTAACTCTGCTTATTTTTAATAATCATAGAAAGCCTGAAGAACTAAAGGACTTAGCCCCAGGTACCAATCCTCCGTTCCTGGTGTATAACAAGGAGTTGAAAACAGACTTCATTAAAATTGAGGAGTTTTTAGAACAAACCCTGGCTCCTCCAAGGTACAGCATTTACAAGATACTATTTTGCTGAAGATAATCTATTTTACTGGCTTGTTTATTGCAGATTTAGTATTCTTACCAATTTAAGTACTTTTGGATTTCTGGGCCTACATGTCAAATGACACACATGCATAAACATACCCCTCCAACTTCAAATACAAAAAGATGATATGTGTAATATTTCAAATAATTTTTAAAAGCTGCATAACATACATAACACAAGAAGGTAAGTTCTCTGTGCTCTAGAAATAGAGTAGGAACATATAGTGAGATGGGAGTGAGGGAATGGGATACTAACACTATGTAATTCATAAGGATTGGTCATGACTGGTCCTTAACACCACTGACGAAATGACAGAACATACCCAACACGAGGGCTAGTGGCCAGGACATAGACTTCAAGCAGTTAACCAGAGGCCAGAACTGTACTGCCTACACTTGAATGACAACCGCACATCTCTGTCTACCCAGGATAGGTCTAGAAACAAGAAGCATGCTGTATTAATTTTCTATTGCTGTGTAACAAATTACCACAAACTTAGTATCTTAAAACAACAGCTATTTATTATCTCACAGCTTCCATTGGTCAGTTGTCTGGGCATAGCCTGCTAAGGTCCTCTGCTCAGGGTATCAAAAAGTGGCATTCAAGGTGTTGGTCGGGAACACAGTTATCATATGGGGCCCAGGTGACTCTTCCATCTTCATTCAAGTTTTTGGCAGAATTCAGTTCCTTGCAGCTATATGACTGAGGTCTTAGGTTATTGGGTAGCTGTTTGTTGGGGTTGGGTTGGCATTCAATTACTAGAGGCTGCCCCTCTGTATAGGCATTTCGCAACATGGCTGATTGTTCTCTTCCTCTAAAACCTGCAGGAGAATGTCTCTCTGATGGTTCACCTTCTTTTTTTTTTTTTTTTTTTTTTTTTTGAGACCGGAGTCTCGCTCTGTCGCCCAGGCTGGAGGGCAGTGGCACATGTTGGCTCACTGCAAGCTCCGCCTCTCGGGTCTCGGGTTCACGCCATTCTCCTGCCTCAGCCTCCCGAGTAGCTGGGACTACAGATGCCCGCCACCACGCCCGGCTAATTTTTTTTTTTTTTTTTTGTAATTTTAGTAGAGATGAGGTTTCACCGTGTTAGCCAGGATGGTCTCAATCTCCTGACCTTGTGATCCACCGGCCTCGGCCTCCCAAAGTGCTGGGATTACAGGCGTGAGCCACTGCGCCTGGCCTGATGGTTCACTTTCTTTTAAATTTTTTTATCAGTACAAATTATGGGATACATATGAAATTCTATTATGTGTATGTAATGCATAGTGATAAAGTCAAGGTATCTACGGTGTCCATAACCCAAATACAATACATTTTTGTAACTATAGTCACCCTGCTCTTCTATCAAACATTGAATTTATTCCTTCTATCTTATTTATGTGTGTACTTTTTAACACACTTCTCTTCATCTTCCCTTCTCCTCCCAATCACCCTCCCCAGTCTCTGTTATCTCTCTTTCCATTCTCTATCTTCATGTGATCAACTTTTTTAACTCCCACATATAAGTGAGAACATGCTATTTTTGTCTTTTTGTGCCTGGCTTATTTCACTTGACATAACAACTCCAGTTCCATCCATGTTGTTCCAAATGACAGGATTTCATTCTCTTTTATGGCTGAATACTATTTCATTGTGTATGTATACCACACTTTCTTTATCCATTTATCTGTTGATGGACACTTAGATCGATTCCATACCTTGTCTATTGTGAATAATGCAATAATAAACATGAGAGTGCAGGTATCCCTTTGACATACTGATTTCTCGTGCTTTGGATAAATGCCAATTAGTGAGATTTTTGGATCTTATGGTAGTGCTACTTTTGGTTTTTTCAGAAATCTCCATGCTGTTTTCCATAGTGGCTATATTTATACTCCCAAAAACAGTGTATAAGAGTTCCTTTTTCTCCACATCCTTGCCAACGTCTGTTAATTTTTTTTTTGTCTTTTTAATAATAGCAATTCTGACTGAGGTGAGATGATATCTCATTTTGGTTTTGGTTTGCATTTCTCTGTTGATTAGTAAAGTTGAGCATTTCTTTATGTACATTTTGGCCATGCCCTTTGCCCATATTTTATGAGATTTTTTTTATTGTTGAGTTGTTTGATTTCCTTGTATATTCTGGATATTAGTCCCCTGTTGAAGTTTGCAAACATTTCCTCTCATTCAAAAGGTTGTCTCTTCACTCATTTCTTTTGCTGTGCAGAAGCTTTTTAGTTTACTTGAGTCCTATTTGTCTATTTTTGTTTCTATTGCCTGTGCTTTTGACATCTCAATCATAAATTATTTGTCTAGAACAATGTCCAGAAGAATTTTCCCTAGGTTTTCTCTTATTATTTTTATAGTTTTGAGTATTATGTTTAAGTCTTCAGTCCATTTTGAGTTGATTTTTGTATACAGTGAGAGATAAGGATCAAGTTTCATTCTTCTGCATATGGCTGTCCAATTTTCCCAGTACCATTAATTGAAAAAGGTGTCCTTTCCCCAATGTTCTTGTGAACTTTGTCAAAGATCAGCTGGCAGTAAATATGTGAATTTATTTCTAGGTTCTCTATTCTGACCATTGCTCTGTGTGTCTATTTTTATACCATAACATGCTATTTTGGTTACTATAGCCTTGTAATATATTTCAAAGTCAGGTAATGTGATGCCTCTAGCTTTGTTCTTTTTGCTCAGAATTGCTTTGGCTATATGGAATCTTTTTTGGTTACATGTGAATTTTAGTATTCTTTTTTTGTAATTCTGTGAAAAATGACATTGGTATTTTGACAGGGATTGCATTGAATCTGTAGGTTACTTTGGGAAAATCACAATTTTAATAATATTCATTCTTCTGATCCATGAGCATGAGATGTTTTCCCATATATTTTTATCATTTTCAATTCCTTTCATTAGCATTTTGTAGTTTTCATTGTAAAGATCTTCCACCTCCTTGATTAAAATTATTCCTAGATATTTTAATTTTTAGCTATTGTAAATGGAATTGCCATCTTCATTTCTTTTGTGGGTAGATCATTATTGGTGTATAGAAATGCTACATATTTTTTAGTGTTGATGTTTTTAACCTGGAACTTTACTGAATTTACTTATCAAATCTAAGAATTTTTTGGTGGAGTTTTTAGGTTTTACTAGATACAAGATCATGGCACCAGTAAAAAGGGACAATTTTACTTCCTTTTTCCCAATTTGGATGCCTTTTATTTCTTTCTCTTGCCTGATTGCCATACCTAGGACTTCCAATACTATGTTGAATAGGAGTGGTGAAAGTGGGCATTCTTGTTTTTTTTCCATTTCTTGGAGGAAAGGCTTTCAATTTTTCCCTATTCAGCATGATATCAGCTGTGGGTTTATCATATATAGCCTTTATTATTTTGACATATTTTCCTTCTATGCCCCATTTGTTGAGAGGTTTTATCATGAAGGGGTGTTGAATTTTATCAAATGCTTTTTCTGTATCTATTGAGATGATGATATGTTTTTTGTCCTTTATTCTATGGATGTCATATATTGAGGTTATTGATTTGCACATGTTGAACCATTCTTGTATCACTGGTATAAATCCCACTTGATCATGGTGTATTATCTTTCTGATATGCTATTGGATTCAGTTTGCTAGTATTTTGTCAAGAGTTTTTGTATCTATGTTCATCAGAAATATTGGCCTGTAGTTTTCTTCTATGTGTGTGTTCTTGTCTGGTTTTTGTATCAGGGTGGTGCTGGCCTCATAGAATGAGTTAAGGAGAGTTCTCTCCTCTTCCATTTTTTAGAATAGTTTCAGGAGAATTGGTATTAGTTCTTCTGGTAGAATTTGTCAGTGAATTTGTCCAGTCCTGTGCTTTTCTTCATTGGGAGACTTTTTTATTACTGACTCAATCTTGCTACTCATTATTGGTCTGTTCATGTTTTCTATTTCTTCCCAATTCAGTCTCAGCACATTGTATGTTTCCTGGAACTTATCCATTTCCTCTAGGTTTATCAGTTTGTCAGCATACAGTTGTACATAATGGTCTCTGGTAATCTTTTGTATTTCTTACATATATGACTTAATGTGTCCTTTTTCATTTCTAATTTGTTTGTTTGGGTCTTCTACTTTTTTGGTTAGTCTAGCTGGCAGTTTATCAATTTAACAAAAACCAACTTTTTCAATCATGATGCTTTGTATTTTTTAGTCTGTATTTCATTTAGTTCTGTTCTTTATTACTTCCTTTTTCTGCTAATTTGGTATTTGGTTTGTTCTTGCTTTTCTAGCAGCTTCACATACATTATTAGATTGTTAATTTGTCATTTTCCTACTTTTTTCATGTAGGCATTTATTGCTATAAGCTTGCCTCTTAGTGCTGCTTTTGCTGTATCCCACAGGTTTATGTATGTTATGTTTCAATTTTCATTTGTTTCAAGAATTTTTTTTCTTCTTAAATTCTTTATTGACCATTGGTTGTTCAGGAGCATGTTGGTTAATTTTTATGTATTTATGCAGTTTCTAAAGTTCCTCTTGGTGTTTATTTATAGTTGATTTGATTTCATTGTGGCCTGAGAATATCCTTGGTATGATTTTCATTGTGTTAAATTTATTGAGACATTTTGTGGCCTGACATATGGTCCATCCTGGAGAATATTCCATGTGCTGATGAATGTATATTCTGTAGTTGTTGGATAGAATGTTCTGTAAATGTCTGTTTGGTTCATTTGGTCTAAAGTCCAGTTTAAGTCTAATGTTTATTTGTTGATTTTCTGTCTAGATTATCTATCTAATGTTGACAGTGGGATGTTAAAGTTCCTTCCTATTATTGCACTGCAGTCTGTCTCTACCTTTAGATCTAGTAATGTTTGCTTTATGAATCTGGATGCTCCAGTATTGGGTGCATATATATTTAGGATTGTTATATCTTTTTTGCTGGGTTGATCTGTCATTATATAATGATAGTTTTAGTCCTTTTTTCACTTTTTTTGATTTAATGTCTGTTTTGTCTTATATGATTATAGCTAATCCTGCTCACTTTTGGTTTCCGTTTGTGTGAAATATCTTTATCAACCCATTTCAGTCTATATGTGTCTTTACTAGTGAGGTGAGTCTCTTGTAAGTACTATGTAGTTGGATTATGTTTTTTAAGTCTATTCATCCAGTGTATGTCTTTTAAGTGGAATATTTAATCTGTTTATGTTTACATGTGAAGACTTATTTCTGTCATTTTGTTATTTTTTTCTGGTTGTTTTGTATATTCTTTGTTTTTTTTCTCTCTCTCTTGTCATTTATCATTACAGTTTGGTGGTTTTGTGTAGTGGTAATATTTGAGTCCTTTATTTTCTTTATATCCAGGCAAGAAGGATGGCCACTATTCTCACACTGGGAGCAGTGTATAAGTGATTCAGCCTTTCCTTTCTTGTTGGACTCCTTACCCTTCAGACAAATTCCACATATAGCATTTGGAATGACTTTGGGCTTGTACCCAGGAACTGAGTTGGACAGTACAGAACGTTTGGGAGCATCTTTTCTTGGAGTGGCAGCTTTGTCTTTTGATTTCTGTCTTCCCTGGAAAGAGTCCTCCTGGCTGTCAGGAGAGCTTTCCCCTTCAGATACCTTGCCAGAGGAGCTGTCCGAAGTGCCTTTATTTTTCCGCTTCTCATCACCTCAACCATCTTCGCCGTCATCTGAATCACCGTCACTGTCTAGAGCAGGGAGCTCAGGATCCAGAGTGGCCTCGTACAGGGCTGTGTTTAATGGCAGATACCACAGCTCATCTGGTGAGTACCTCTTATAATATTCCTGGAACTGTCCGGGGATGAGAGCCACTGGGTAAGAACTGACCTTTGTTCGCCCTGTTGGCAAAACTTCCTACTTCCCTTGAGGCACCTGGATAACGTGTCTGCAAGTCAAAATAAGCTCTTCTTTCTTCCATGCGTTCCCGGTTTAAGTTGCTGCTTTTTTTGGCAGCTTTTTTATTTGTTTGTTTGTTTGTTTGTTTGTTTGTTTTGAGACGGAGTCTCGCTCTGTCGCCCAGGCTGGAGTGCAGTGGCGCGATCTCGGCTCACTGCAAGCTCCGCCTCCCAGGTTCACGCCATTCTCCTGCCTCAGCCTCCCCAGTAGCTGGGACTACAGGCGCCCGCCACCACGCCCGGCTAATTTTTTGTATTTTTAGTAGAGACGGGGTTTCACCGTGTTAGCCAGGATGGTCTCGATCTCCTGACCTCGTGATCTGCCCACCTCGGCCTCCCAAAGTGCTGGGATTACAGGCAGCTTTCTTAATATACTCAGGCACTTTACTGGCTTCAACTTTCTGAGTATTCTGTTGTTACATTTGGGAATACTCTTTGTAATGGTCTGTAATTCGTTGACGTTCTTTTTCTTGTAGAATAACAGAATACTCAGCATGTTTGGCTGGATATTCCTTTATCGTTAAAACAATCACTTCATCACTGCTCAGTTAAACCTAGAGTGCATTGAGTTTCAGTAATGACATTTGGCTCTCTCAGGTAGAGTTTCTCCTTGTGAGACAAATCTCGTCTCTCTAAATCTGGATATTTCCTTTTAAAGGAGGTCACACCCAAATATTAACTGACTTGTTCTTGAAGCATATAGTATTCTCCTGTTTCATCAGGTGGCCATTTGTACTCTATCAAATTTTATGCTGGATAGTAACTAAAGCCAAGATCTTGACTTGAAGTTTCACAGCTCCTAGAACCATCTCCTGAGCCCATTCGCCTCTTTTTGGATGCCTGGGTCCGGTCATTTGAATTATCTTCAATTTCATCCTTCGAGGACTGCGCTCCGGGGGTGGCTGGGTCGCTGTCGCATGGCCGCGGGGCTGCGGGCGGGAATGGAGAAGGTCCTGCGGCGGCGGCAGCGCTCCTGACATCCGTCCGACCCCATTTTTTTAAATATCTGTTTTATTCAGCATACTCTTTCCCAACATATCTGTAATACTAGGCATTAGCACTCTTTTTACATCTGTGCCAATATAACAGGTGTAGTGACATCTCATTGATACTTAACTTGTATTTCCTTGAATGATAGATACATTTAAGCATCTTTACCTATGTTGTTTGATCATTTGGTTTTGTTCTCCTGTGAATCATCTTGTCAAATCCGTCTGATTTTCTATTAGCTTCATACTGAATAGGCAAAAGCTGGAAGCATTCCACTTTAAAAGAGGCACAAGACAAGGATGCCCTTCTTACCACTCTTATTTAAAATAGTATTGGAAGTTCTAGCCAGAGCAGTGAGGCAAGAGAAAGAAATAAAGGGCATCTAAATAGGAACATAGAAAGTCAAACTATCCCTGTTTGCAGACGACATGATTCCATATCTAGAAAACCCCATACTCGGCTGCACTCAGCATCGGAGCCAGGAGCTAGTGGCCGCCGCCACGTCCCACCAGACCTGCATCCAAGCAAGTGAAGATGTTAAAGAGATCTTGCCAGAGCCAGAAATGGAAAGTACAGACCTCTGAAAATATCTATTGAAAATGGGCAACTTATGATTGGATCATATATAGTCAGCCTTCAGATTCCTGGGATAACGATTATGATTCCTTTGTTTTACCCCTGTTGGAGGACAAACAACTGTGCTATATATTATTCAGGTTAGATTCTCAGAATGCCCAGGGATATGAATGGATATTCATTGCATGGTTTCCAGATCATTCTCATGTCCGTCAAAAAAGGTTATATGCAGCAACAAGAGCAACTCTGGAAAAGGAATCTGGAGGTGGCCACGTTAAAGATGAAGTATTTGGAACAGTAAAGGAAGATGTATCATTACATGGATATAAAAAATGTTTGCTCTCACAATCTTCCCCTGCCCCACTGACTGCAGCTGAGGAAGAATTATGACATTAAAATCAATGAGGTACAGACTGACGTGGGTGTGGACGCTAAGCATCAAACACTACAAGGAGTAGCATTTCCTATTTCTCGAGAAGCTTTTCAGGCTTTGGAAAAAATAAATAACAGCTGAACTATGTGCAGTTGGAAATAAACATAAAAAATGAAATTATAATTTTGGCCAACACAACAAATACAGAACTAAAAGATTTGCCAAAGAGGATTCCCAAGGATTCAGCTCGTTACCATTTCTTTCTGTATAAACATTCCCATGAAGGAGACTATTTAGAGTCCATAGTTTTTATCTATTCAATGCCCAGATACACATGCAGTATAAGAGAACGGATGCTGTATTCTAGCTGCAAGAGCCCTCTGCTAGAAATTGTAGAAAGACAACTATGGATGTTGTAATGGATGTAATTAGAAAGATTGAGATAGACAATGAGGATTAGTTGACTTCAGACTTCCTTTGTGAAGAAGAAGTACATCCCAAGCAGCATGCAGGAAAAAGAAGAATTCGAAGACTAATTAGGGGCCCAGCGGAAAATGAAGCTACTACTGATTCAAGTCATCACATTAAACATAGCAATACTAGTTTTTTAAAAGTCCAGCTTTCAATACAGGAGAACTGAAATCATTCCATGTTGATATAAAGTAGGGAAAAAATTGTACTTTTTGGAAAATAGCACTTGTCACTTCTATGTACTTTTTAAATTAATGTTACATAAGAGTCATGATTTCTATTTTTGACTTAAAGCTAGAAAAGAGTTCAACATAATGTTTAATTTTGTCACACTGTTTTTATAGTGTTGATTCTACACTTTCACATACTTGTTAAAATTTTATACAATTGAGCCAGTTCTAGAAAGTCTGATGTCTCGAAGGATAAACTTACTACTTTCATGTAGGACAGAAAGACCTTAAAATATTCTTATCACTTAATGAATATGTTAAAGACCAGGCTAGAGTATTTTCTAAGCTGGAAACTTAGTGTGCCTCGGAAAAGGCCAGAAGTTGCTTATTCTGAGTAGCTGTTCTAACTCTGTCAGACTATAGGATCATCTCTGCAACTTTTAGAAATAGTGCTTTATATTGCAGCAGTCTTTTATATTTGACTTTTTTTTAAACAGCATTAAAATTGCAGATCAGCTCACTCTGAAACTTTAAGGGTACCAGATATTTTCTATACTGCAGGATTTCTGATGACATTGAAAGACTTTAAACAGCCTTAGTAAATTATCTAAGGCTCTGTGAAGCCAAACATTTATGTTCAGATTGAAATTTAAATTAATATCATTCAAAAGGAAATAAAAAATGTTGAAAGAGTTTTAAAAATCAGGATTGACTTTTTTCTCCAAAACCATACATTTATAGGCAAATTGTGTTCTTTGTCACTTCTGAACAAATATTCAGATTTAAAATTACTTTAAAGTCCTAGTATTTAACAGGCTAGCACAGATAAACACCTTAATAATCTCCTTTCAATTAATATTGTATTTCAAACCACATTTAACTGTCTTCTAATGCTTTGCATTTTCAGTTACAACCTAGAGAGATTTTGAGCCTCATATTTCTTTGATACTTGAAATAGAGGAAGCTAGAATACTTCATGTTTAGTCTGTTAAACCTGCTACAAAAACCATAACTTTGAGGCATTTTCTAAATGAGCTGTGGGGATCCAGGATTTGTAATTTATTGATCTAAACTTTATGCTGCGTAAATCAGTTATCAGAAATGCACATTTCATAGGGTGAAACACTCATTTTTTTTTTTTTTGAGACGGAGTTTTGCTCTTGTTGCCCAGGCTGGAGAGCAATCGCACGATCTCCGCTCACTGCAACCTCTGCCTCCAGGGTTCAAGTGATTCTCATGCCTCAGCCTCCCAAGTAGCTGGTATTACAGGCATGTGCCACCATGCCTGGCTAATTTTGTATTTTTAGTAGAGACGGGGTTTCTCCATGTTGGTCAGGCTGGTTGTGAACTCCCGACCTCAGGTGACCCGCCCGCCTTGCCCTCCCAAAGTGCTGGGATTACAGGTGTGAGCCACTGCGCCCGGCCAAAGCACTTATTTCTAAACCTTATTATCTAAGGTAATATATGTACCTTTCAGAAATTTGTGTTCAAGTAAGTAAAGCATATTAGAATAATTATGGGTTGACAGATTTTTTATATAGAATTTAGAGTATTTGTGTGGGGTTTTGTTTGTTTACAAATAATCAGACTATAGTATTTAAACATGCAAAATAATTGACAATAATGTTGCACTTGTTTATTAAAGATATAAGTTGTTCCATGGGAGCACACATGGACAGACATACATACACCCAAACTATTGCATTAAGAATCCTGGAGCTGTGTTGCAGACCATAGCTGAAGCAGTTATTTTCAGTCAGGAAGACTACCTGTCATGAAGGTATAAAATAATTTAGAAGTGAATGTTTTTCTGTACCATCTATGTGCAATTATACTCTAAATTCCACTACACTACATTAAAGTAAATGGACATTCCAGAATATAGATGTGATTATAGTCTTAAACTAATTATTATTAAACCTATGATTGCTGAAAATCAGTGATGCATTTGTTATAGAGCATAACTCATCATTTACAGTATGTTTTAGGTGGCATTATCATACCTAGACAATGAATAACATATTCCCAATAAATTTATATAGCAGTGAAGAATTACATGCCTTCTGGTGGACATTTTATAAGTGCATTTTGTATCACAATAAAAAATTTTTCTCAAAGAAAACCCCATACTCTCAACCCAATAGGTCCTTCAGCTGATAAACAACTTTGGCAAAGTTTCAGGATGCAAAATCAATGTACAAAAATCACTTGCATTTCTATACATCAACATCAGCCAAGCTGAGAGCCCAATTGGGAAGGCAATCCCATTCACAATTGCCACACACAAAAAAATAAAATACCTGGGAATACAGCTAACTCAGGAGGTGAAGGATATCTACAATGAGAATTACAAAACACTGCTCAAAGAAATAAGAGAAGACACAAACAAATGGAAAAATATCCCATGCTCATGGATAGGAAGAATCAATATCAACAAAATGACCATACTGCCCAAAGCAATCTAAAGATTCAGTGTTATTTCTAACAAACTAACAATGACATTCTTCACAGAACTAGAAAAAACTATTTTAAAATTCTTATGAAACCAAAAAAGAGCCCGAATAGCCAAGGCAATTCTAAGCAAAAATAACAAAGCTGGAAGTATCGCATTAGCCAACTTCGAACTATACTGCAAGGCTACAGTAAGCAAAACACAGCATGGTACTGATACAACACCTGTAATCCCTGCACTTTTGGAGGCCGAGGCAGGTGGATCACCTGAGGTCAGCTGTTCCAGATCAGCCTGGCCAACATGGTGAAACCCCATCTCTACTAAAAATACAAAAGTTAGCCAGGCTTGGTGACACACGCCTGTAATCCCACCTACTCAGGAGACCAAGGCAGGAGAATTGCTTGAACCTGAGAGATGGAGGTTGCAGTGAGCCAAGATCACGTCATTGCACTCCAGCCTGGGCAACAGAGTGAAACTCTGTCTCAAAAGAAAAAAAGAAAGAAAGAAAGAAAAAAACAGGCACATAGACCAATGGGACATAATAGAGAGCCCAGTAATAAGGCCGCACACCTACAACCATGTGATTTTTGACAAAGCTGACAAAAGCAATGGGGAAAGCACTCCCTGTTCAATAAATGGTGCTGGGCTGGCTAGCCCTATGCAGACGATTGAAGCTGGACCCGTTCCTTATACCATATACAAAAATCAAGATGGATTAAAGACTTAAGTGTAAAACCCAAAACTACAAAAACCCAGAAGACAACCTAGGCAATGCCATCCTAGACATAGGAACAGGCAAAGATTTCATGACAAAGATGTCAAAAGCAATTGCAACAAAAGCAAAAATTGACAAATGGGATTTAATTAAATGAAAGAGCTTCTACACAGCAAAAGAAACAATCAACAGAGTAAACAGACAACCTACAGAATGGAAGAAAATTTTTACAAACTATGCATCTAACAAAGGTCTAATATCCAGTGTCTATAAGGAGCTTAAATAAATTTACAAGAAAAAAATCGCATTCAAATGTGGGCAAAGGACATGAACAGATGAACAGACATACATGGGGCAAATTAGCATATGAAAAAAGCTCATTAGTGATCATTGGAGAAATGCAAATCAAAACCACAATGATATACCATCTCACACAAGTCAGAATGGCTAAAAATAAAAATAAAAAGTCAAGAAATAGCAGATGCTGGCAAGGTTGTGGAGAAAAGCAAACACTTATACACTGTCAGTGGGAGTGTAAACTAGTGCAACCATTGTGGAAGATAGTGTAGTGATTCTTCAAAGAGCTAACAGCAGAACTACCATTTGACCCAGCAATCCCATTACTGGATATATACCCAGAGGAATATAAATCATTCTACCATAAAGACACGTGCATGAGAATGTTCATTGCAGCACTATTCACAATAACAAAGACATGGAATCAACCCAAATGCCCATCAATGACAGACTGAATAAAGAAAAGGTGGTACATATATACCATGGAATAGTATGCAGCCATAGAAAAGAATGAGATCGTGTCTTTTGCAGGAACATGGATGGAGCTACAGGCTATTATTCTTAGCAAACTAACACAGGAACAGAAATCCAATACTACATGTTCGCATATATAAGCGGGAGCTAAATGATGAGAACTCATGAACACAAAGAAGGGAACAATACACACTGGGGTGTTCTTGAGGGTGGAGGGTTGGAGGAGGGAAAGGAGCAGAAAAGATAACAACTGGGTACTGAGCTTAATACCTTGGTGATGAAATAATCTGTACAGCAAATTCCCATGACATGAGTTCACCTATGTAACAAACCTTCACATGTATCCGAAACTAAAATAAATTTTTTTAATGAAATAAATATGGTTTTTGGGGGGCCTCCTCTTTCGGCTTTGGAGCCCCCCTCCCTCTGTCTCGGTATGGGGGAGTTTCTTCCTTCTGTCTTCTCCCTTCCTTCTTGCCTATTAAACTCTCCGCTCCTTAAAACCAAAATAAAAAAAAAAGAAAGAAAGAAATATGGTTTTTATTTTTCTCACATAAGAAACTCAGAATGAACCTAGGATGATAGCTCCGTAATTTCATTAGGGATTTCAACTCCTAATCTTTCTTCTCTGCCATCCTTCAAGTGAGGCTTCCAGTCTCAAAGTTAACTCATGGTGACAATATGTCTGCTGGAACTCCAGGCAACAGATCTAATATACAAGCCAGCTCTAAGGAGTTTTCACAGAAGCCACACCCAAAAATTTCCATTTACAGCTCATTGTCCAGAGGTAATTCATGTGGTTAGATCTAAGTAGTGGTATATAAGTGTGTTATCTGCCATAGTTTGCCCCTCTGACCACCCAAATAAATGTATGTATCCCTCTTCTCACATATGGAACACACAGTTACTACAGTCGGCTTAAAGTCCAGTACCTTTGGATGATGTGCAATATCTCCATTAGATACTAATGGTCAGGCAGTCAAATATATTAAAAATTATCTCCACCCACTCTTTGACACACCCATTTTTAAAAGTGAAGATTCGATAACACACAACAACCACTGGTTCATACTAGTTCATAATAGTTACCATGACTTGAAAAAGGACTGAAATATTGTTTCTACGTTTTATTGTTACAAACACTGCTAAAAGGAATTGTCTTTTTACAAGGCCCTCCACAACGGTTAGTCTTCCATATTGCTGGATATGGGAACCCTTCCATATGAACTTTGTTTTATCTACTTTTTAAAAGCCTTGTAAACACCCACATTAATGGAAATGGTGGAGTAGGGAATTCCAGAACTCCATTCTTTCATAAAAGCAATGAATAGGCTGGCAAAACTGTCAGAAGCAACTTTTTCAGAACTCTGGAATCTAAGCAAAAATTACAGCAGCCAGGAGAACACTTAATGAATAAAAAATTTAAATTTCAGTGAGAGTTCTGTGGCATTTTTGGTTACCTTGAGACCATCCTCCAACCCTCAGCCCATCAATAGTCTTAAAAATGGCAGCTTATATTGCAGGTGCAGGTTACTGGTACCAGAGGAAGCGATATTGACCTTATTTTCAATGAACTGTGATTGTGTAGTTTGACCTATCTGGTGGTTCCCTGAAGGATTACCTCAATGGTTTACCTTTTTATCACCTGCACTAGAGCTTCCCCAGGGCTGAGGCACCTTCCCTGGTGCTGGTTGTGGAAAGAATTTTAAAGCAAATGTATTAGTCACAGCTACACAGAACAAGGAATAACATCTGGGAAAAGCAATAGACAAATGGAAAAATCCCAGGAAGGGCCAGGCGCGGTGGCTCATGCCTGTAATCCCAGCACTTTGGGAGGCCGAGGCGGGCAGGTCACCTGAAGTCAGGAGTTCGAGACCAGCCTGACCAACATGGAGAAACCCCATCTCTACTAAAAACACAAAATTAGCCAGGCGTGGTGGTGCATGCCTGTAATCCCAGCTACTCGGGAGGCTGAGGCAGGAGAATCGCTTGAACCTGGGAGGCAGAGGTTGTGGTGAGCCGAGATTGCGCCATTGCACTCTAGCCTGGGCATGGACAACAAGAGCAAAACTCCATCTCAAAAAAAAAAAAAAAATCCCAGGGAGAAAGAGGCTGAGATACTTGGGGGATGCTTAGGGAAATAATGGCTTCAAAACATTTTATGTATTCTGAGGACTATAGAAGACTATGCATGGACCCATTTCTAGATGTGTGCTCACAAAAGAACTGAGAAGACTAGGCTCTCAATTCTGGCTAAATTTCAGGCACTGCACAAGCAGAAAATGAAGGCAAAGGCAGAACTTTAAACTGTATAGCTAAGCAATGAAGGAGAGCCCCAACACAGAACCAACCCTCAAAAACTAAGAAAGCTTTTTGTTTTCATAGTTTGTTTCTTTGTTTTGCTTCCAGGAGTTTAATAAAATCTCTGTAAAATCAATAACTGACTAAAGCTAATGGAACAAATATTTCAGAGGCCACACATACCAAAAAAATATAGGCTTTACAAAATTAGTTAAGAAAATTAACTAAACCAACAACAACCACAATAAGCAGCAACAACAAGACCAGGGGACTGGGAGAATCAATCAGATTTCCAGAGTTTCTACATTATAACATTCAAAACATCTGGTTTTCAAGAAAAAAAAAAAACTGAGGCATGTGAGGAAACAAGAAAGTATGGCAAGGACAAAAAACCAAACACCGCATGTTCTCACTCATAGGTGGAAATTGAACAATGAGAACACTTGGACACAGGATGGAACATCACACACCGGGGCCTGTCGGGGGGTGGGGAGGGATAGCATTAGGAGATATACCTAATGGGCGCAGCACACCAACATGGCACATGTATGCATATGTGACAAACCTGCATGTTGTGCACATGTACCCTAGAACTTAAAGTATAATAAAAAAAGAAATGAAAAAAATACATTGCATAGAAGAAATACGATCATACATTTATAGCATTTAGCACAATTCCTGACATAATAAAATACTCAATAAAACAACAACAACAAAAAGAAAAACCCACAGCTGACATTGTACTCAATAGTGAAGGACTGAAGTTTTTCCCCTTAAGATCAGAAACAAGACAAGGATGTTCATTGTGGTTGGAAAAAATAATTGATGTAATTTCAATCTTCTTAAGTGGTTAAGAATTGTTTTGTGGCCTAACATATGATCTATCCTGGTGAATATTCTGTATGCACTTGAAAATAATGTGTATTCTGCTACAGTTGCCCAAAATCTGGGGTTGAAGAAGCCAGCTTAGTTCTGGGTCGGGCCTGAAGCCTGGGGCTCTGTGGGTCAGCCTTTTTTGGACTCGGTTGGAGCCTGGTCTGGGCCTGAAGCCTGAGCTTGAATGGGCCAGCCTGAAATCTGGGGCCACCAGGGATGGCCTGGAGTCTGTACCCATGAGGGCTGTATTGGAGGCTGAATGTTTGGATGCTGACCTGGTACCTGTGGCCATGGGGGCCAGCCTGGAGCTGAGGTCCATGGGTGTCAACGTGGCACTGGGACAGACCCAAAGCCTGGGAGTGTGAAGGCCAGCCTGGAGCTGAGTTGGTCTGGATACTGGGTCTGTGGGTATTGGCCTTAAACTGGGGTCCAAAGGTGCTAGTCTTGTGATGGAGAGGGCCTGAAAGCTGAGTCTGGGGGTACAGTGGCTGTCCTGAAGCAAAGGGGCTGTCTTGGAGGGGTGCAAGCCTGGAGGTATGATCTGGTGCTGAAGGAAGTCTGGAGTCTGGGGCTACTGGCCCAGGGCTGGGAGACTACATCTGCAGGGATGGCCTGGACATTGGGGCTACAAGGGCTGGCCTACTGCCCAAGTCTGTGGGGACCAGCCTAAAGTCTGGGGTAATCATGGCCTGTCCAGGGCTAGACTTTACTGTGTTGGGCCCAGTGTTTGGGTCTGAGGCAAAGTCTGGTGTTCACTTACCTCTTCTTCTCCCAAGCAAAGGGCATCTCTCTCCATACTGTGGGTTGGAGAAGGCATAACACAGGTAATTTAAAACTGTCCTGCTAAGGTGAAAAATAAAGCAAAAAAGAGAAGTAGTGATGTTAGGGAAAGGAGTGATGTTGCAACGTTACAATTGAGCGTCCAGAGAAAGGCTTCACTTAGAAAGAGATACCCATGAAAAAGACCTGAAAGAAAAGTGGGAGCAAGGGATGTCCATGTGTCCCCCTCACCTACGGGCAGACCAAGTTAAAAGGCTCTGGGGTAGGAGCTTTCCAGGCCTATTTGAATGGTAGCAAGAAGGTCTGTGTCATAATTGAGCGAGTGAGGGATATGAGAGAAGAGAGGTAAGGTGGGATCACATCATGTGGATCCTTATAGGCTACTGTAATGAGTTAGGCTGTGACTCGGTAAGATGAGACGACTGCAGACTACTGAGTAGGGGAAAGCCATCACTCTGGCTTCTGGGTGGTTAATAGACTGGGTGGGAAAGAAGGTGGTTCATATCATGTGGGTCCTTGTAGACCACTATGAGCACTTGGGCTCTAACTCTGAGATGAGGACATTGCAGGCTAATGAGTAGGGGAAAGACATGACATGACTTACATTTTAACATGATTGCTCTGTCTATGGGTGGAGAATATTCCAGGTGTATGAGGGACAAGTATGGGAATAGGGAGAATAGTCAGGAGGCTGTTACAGTAATATAGGCTTTGGACTGGGCAGGGGCGCGGGGGTGGACAGATTCTGGATACATTTTGAAAGGTAAGCTGACCAGAGTTGCTAATAGATCAAATGTGGAGTTAGAAGGAAAGAGAGGAATCAAGGAAGATACCTAAGTTTTTGACCTGACCATTTCTAGCTTCCAGTGAATTTTTTTTTATGAAAAGGAATTGAGTGTTTTAGCCTTTGTTTGTATTGTATATATTTAAGGTATATCACATGATGTCTTGATATACATATATATAGTGAAATGATTACTACAGTCAAGTAAATTAACATATCCATCGCTTCATATAGTTATCTTTTTTATATGGTAAGAGCACCTAAAATCTACCCTTTGCAAATTTTCAGTATACAATATTATTAGTCCTCATATTATACATTATATCTCTAGACTTACTCATTCTACATAACTGCAACTTTGTACCCTTCGACCTACATCTCCCTCTTTCCTCCCCCCACTGCCCCGGTAATCACTGCTCTATTCTTTTTTCTATATATTTGACCTCTTAAAGATGCCACACATAAGTGAGATCATGGAGTATTTGTCTTTCTGTGCCTGGCTTATTTCACTTAACATAACGTCCTCCAGGCTCATCCACGTTGTTGCAAATGACAGGATTTCATTCTTTTTAAGGCTGATTAATATTCTATTACATATATATATATATATATATATATCTCACAATTTCTATATCCATTCATCTGTTGATGGGAACTTAGGTTGTTTCTATATGTTAGCTTTTGTGAATAATGCTGCAGTGAACATGGCAGCACAGATATCTCCATGAGGTGCTGATTTTTTATTGAATACTTTTCTGCATCTAGTCATTATCAAATGGGTTTTCTTATTTGATTTGTTAATGTGGTGAATTATATTGGCTACTTTTTTCCCATTTTCTCCATCCTATTTATTCCACCATTTGTTTTATAAGTTGTAATATTTGAAACCATATTTTTCTTTTTCTTTTTCTTTTTTTGAGACTGAGTTTCACTTGTCCCCCAGGCTGGAGTGCAATGGCGCAATCTCAGCTCACTGCAACCTCCACTTCCCAGCTTCAAGCAATTCTCCTGCCTCAGCCTCCCAAGTAGCTGGAACTACAGGCGCCCGCCACCACGCCCAGCTAATGTTTGTATTTTTAGTAGAGACAAGGTTTCACCATGTTGGCCAGGCTGGTCTCAAACTCCTGACCTCAGGTGATCCACCCACCTCAGCCTCCCACAGTGCTGGGATTACAGGCGTGAGCCACTGCGCCTGGCCAAAACCATATTTTTCTACTACTCATGTCTGCAAATGTATTGTACTGACATTATATCTTCTGACAAATAGGCTTTTAGGAGCAAGTATGGAAACCACCATTTGAAACATTGTTTCTACAGATAAATGAGCTTTGGATTCCAGACAACTGATTACCCTGTGAACTTTAGAAACCAAAGTGTTCTGAGATTGGAAAAAATATAAACTTCTACTGAGAGACTTCTAAGGGTGTTTAGTTTCCAGCACAATGTTCCAGAACTTCCATTTTCAGTATAGTGCAAGCTAGGGCACCTGGTCTCTGTCATGTTATGTGCAAATGATAGTTGACGCATGTTTCTTTTTAAGGTACCCTCACCTGAGTCCCAAGTACAAGGAGTCTTTTGATGTGGGCTGTAACCTCTTTGCCAAGTTTTCTGCATACATTAAGAATACACAAAAGGAGGCAAATAAGAGTAAGATACCTTTCTTTAAATCTCTATTTTTCTCTCACTCTTCATCTTCTCACTCAGCAAAAATAGAATTTTCCTGAATATATAGTATATTTTGGGGACTGGCCTAGTCTTCCCCTCATTCTCTATACTCTCCTCTGAAATTCCCTCGCATGAAGTTGTATTAGATTTAGAACTCAAGATTCAATATAGCTATTACCAACCATAGCTCAATTAGAATATTGACATACTAGGTGTGAACTAACTGCAGGACTGTGTACCTTTAAGGTTTCTTAAACTGTGGCACCTACCATTTCCCACGAACATTCTTAAATAGATTTATTATCCTCTGAGTCACAAGAACTGTGTTTTTTCTTTCACTTTCTAACTCTTCTGATCACTTTTCTTTCTTTCTTTTACTCTCCTGCCAATGCACCTCCCTAAGAAAAGCCCAAAAGATTAACACTCACTATTTCATCTTACTTTGTCTTATCAGTGAGTAGCTGAGCATTCTAAATAGTTAACTAGATATTGAAGAGCCAGTGTAAGTAGTATGTATAGATAGAGGTGTCTAAATGTGTGGAAAGCATATTTAGAATGTATTTAGTCAAAAGACAATACATTTACAAGTAACTCTATTACTTCATTGCCTCAGATTTTGAAAAATCTCTGCTCAAAGAATTCAAGCGTCTGGATGACTACTTAAACACCCCACTTCTGGATGAAATTGATCCAGACAGTGCTGAGGAACCCCCAGTTTCCAGAAGACTATTCTTGGATGGGGACCAGCTAACACTGGCTGATTGTAGCTTGTTACCCAAGCTGAACATTATTAAAGTAAGTCTTTATAAGGCAGGCTGAATGGGTGGGAGGGGTTTGCCAGTTGCCAGCACAAAGCATAGTGACCTTCCAGTGCGGTATTATTATATTATAGCTTTGTCATTATCATCATCATCATGTGTACTATATACATCTCTTTTCTCTTTAGAGGGAAGATCCATAATGTTCTCTTCTGGGAAGTATTAAAACTTGTTTCTTTTTTTTTCTTTTTTGAGATAGGGTCTTGCTCTGTCACCCAGGTTGGAGTGCAGTGGCATGATCAAGGCTTATTGCAACCCCCACCTCTGAGGCTCAAGCAGTCCTCCCACCCCACTCTTGAGTAGCTGGGACTACAGGTGCGTGCCACCACGCCTGGCTAATTTTTTGTACTTTTTGTAGAGACAGGGTTTCACCATGTTGCACAGGCTCGTCTTGAACTCCTGGGCTCAAGTGATCCGCCTGCCTTGGCCTCCCAAAGTGTTGGGATTACAGGCGTGAGCCACCGTGCCCAGCCAAAACTTGTTTCTTTCTTTCTAAATCAGAAGGTATTTTCCACTGTCTTATTTTGTAATAATATTACCTATTTTACAGAATTGTTAAGAGAATTAAATAAATTAAAGCATTTAAAATGCTTAGAACAGTGCCTAGATCATAATAGGGAATAACCAATTTGGGCTATTAGTATTATGATGAATTAATCATAAATTTAATAAATATTTATTGCATAGACTTACACAGAATTTACTCTTTGAGTCCTATGCCAAACACAGAGAATATGTAAAGAAAGAAGACATAGGACTCTAAATAAACTCTTAGTCTAGTCGTGGTGGATATGTGCTCATTTTCTGTGGTTCCTTCCTCTAAATATAGTCATAATTAAATACAGAATCAATATCAACATGATTGTAAGCATGTAGTTTTGTCAACATTTGTAGACAAAACATCAAAATAGTCCAAGATTCGTGTCTACTTCATAGTTTATTTTATAGTGCTTTTTGTGTCGATAAGATGCCTTTGATAATCTTGACTTCTAAGAAACATTTCTACATAGTAGGCATATTACTGATGCCTTCTTTTTCCTCTTTTTTTTGCAAAATTCTAGGTTGCTGCCAAGAAATATCGTGACTTTGACATTCCAGCAGAATTCTCAGGAGTCTGGCGTTATCTCCACAATGCCTATGCCCGTGAAGAATTTACCCACACGTGTCCTGAAGACAAAGAAATTGAAAATACTTACGCAAATGTGGCTAAACAGAAGAGTTAGGAGAGCTCTTACAGGAGACAAGGCTATATTTGTGATCAGATTTTACTTATTGACATATTAGAAAGGTTTTTGCAAATAAGAATATGAAAAATACTGTTTCTTCTATCCAACTCTCTTATGAAAAGGAACTCTGTATTTTCTATTAGCCATAAATAATCTGTCCACTGTATTTTACAGGTCTTCATACTTTTACTTAATTTTCTTTATCTGTATGGCAAACCACTGCAATCCTGAATGACATGGAAAGCATCACAATCTTTTGCCCTTTGCTTGAATTCCTGGAATGCATACATATAAGCTAAACAGATGTCTGCAGTTATAAATGTCATAAGTAGAGGTACAATCTCACCCTGCTCCTTAGAAACATTTCCATATAAATCGCTAAAATAATTTCACATTTTTGTTAGTTTAATATATACATGAGTTTATTTCTGATATAAATAATAAATACAGAGAGTGAGCATATCAGAGAGGCAAATTCTTAAAGAATGATTTTTAAAATCAGCTCTAGGAAGAGCTCAAGATCAATTGGTCATAGAACAGCATTTGACGCCTAGAACTATGACCACCTCATGGTCAGAGATGAGAATGTAGCCTTTGTGACCAGATTATATTATTTTTAAATGAAGAAGCACTCATTAAATAAAACATAATTTTAAAAAACAATATAAGAAACAAAGTCAACTGAATCTTTTATTCATAGAAATGAAAAGGAAAATAAAAACTGTGGCTGACCAAAAGGTCTTCTTGTTGTCCATAAAAGGATAAGGTAAACAGTCCTTAGATAATTACAAAACTTTCTACAAAAGTTAAAATGTTACATTACTATACGTATTCAGATTCACTTGTTAAAGTACTCTTAAATCATTCAAATCTGGAAACAAAAGCTGAACTTAACTCTTGCTCCCTCAAAAGAGAAACACAAGCATAAGTGCAGCTTCAAAAAAGGAAAATATTTTAGGCTTTGGTGGAAGGGTGGAGTTTAGATAAAATTTAAATGAAGTAGCGTTTTAATAGGTTCAAAGAAAAGTAAGGCAATGAGCAAACTCAAAGTACTGTCCTTGAAAACCATAGAGTCAAGATAAATGTATAGTGTATGGTTAGGTGGCAGAGAAATGCAATCATGTTGATAATCTTTGAGATACATCCTGTCATCAGTATATTTCAGAATACATGCAATGCACTAGCAAGTTACAATTGATAGAATACATTTGAAATGTTAAATGAAATAAGCCAGGCACAGAAAGACAAACACCACATGATCTCACTCATATGTGGAATTTTAAAAAGTTGATCTCACTCATATGTGGAATTTTAAAAAGTTGATCTCACACAAGTAGAGGGTAGAATCGTGGTTACCAGGGGCTAGGGAGAGAAAGAAGGCAGAGGCACTGAAAGATGTTGGTCAATGGGTATAAAGTTACACCTAGGAAGAATAAATTTTGGCATTCACCACAGTAGGGTGACTATAGCAAATAATAATGTAGCATGTATTTCAAGATAGCTAGAAAAGCAGGTTTTTAAATGTCACCACAAAGAAATAACAAATGTTTATAGTGGTGGATATGGTAATTACGCCTATTTGATCATTATACTGTGTGTACATGCATTGAAACACCACATTGTATCCCATATATATGTACAATTATGTGCCCATTATACATTTAAAAAATAAATTTTAAAAACCTTCAATTAACTCTTGGTTTAAAAGAAAAATATAAACCAAAACTACATGATCTCTAAAACAAATAATGATGATGTAAACACTTCATATCAGAATCCATGGGATAAATATAAAGCAGTGATCAGAGGAAATTTTATAACTAAACACTGCTATTAGTAAAAATAAAAGATTGAAAATAAATTGATTAAATATTGAACTAACAAAAATTTTTAAAATGTGCACAACAATGTGAATATACTTGACACTTCTCAACTCTCTGCTTCAAAATAGTTAAGGTGATGAGTTTTAAGCTATGTGTTTTTAACACAACTTAAAAAAAAATGTCCAAATGGATCTTGGTAGAGCACCAGCAAAAAACAGAAAGAAACTTAGAATAAGTACAACAAATTAAGTAAAAGAACACAAGAGATTAACAAAAAAAGTAAGAATTAACAAAAGAATAGAAATAGCATAGACCTAGTTAACGAATCAAAACCTTTATTTTTTAAAAGATTGATAATACAGACAAACCATTAGCTACATTAATTGAAATAAAACAGAGAAAGCAAAAGTATGCAAAATAAAGAATGGGGAAATAACTATTAGAAGAAATTTAAGACATTATAAGAGACTACTTTGCAGACCTCTGTGCAAACAAATTTCAAAATCTAGATGATAGAGATAATTTCCTAGCAAAGTAAAGATTACGAAAAACAACTTTATTAGAGATATGAAAATTGAAGAGCTCAATCTTCATAGAAGAAAGAGAGAACATTTTTTAAAAAGAAGAAATAGAGAAAATTATAAGGAACTACTTACCAAAAAGTATCAATCCCCAGATAGTTTCACAGGGAAATGCTACCAAACTTTAAAAGACCATATAGTCTCAAAGTAACTTTGCGAAACAGTGTTTCTTCTGGAAAATATAAAACAAAATATAAAGAAACTATACATAAATATTGTACTCTAATTGGCAAAGTTGTTTCTCAAGGGGATATGTGTAGACAATTCTGAAACAGCCATACATGTATACTAAGATTGAAAAAATAAGTAAATGAACTGTAGGTGGGAAGTACAAATAATCAAGAAGGCTAGGATGAACTATGTGGTACTGGATTCGATTCAGAGACATCGGTATGTACTCAAGTTTAACTTAATATTGATAGAGGTGAATAGATACAAAAATAATTACATGTGCGTATATACATGAGTCAGTATACATATGTATAGTTCCTAGCCCTGTGTCCTGAGAGGGCCTAGAAGCAATAGTACCCTAGTAGCAACAAGCACACCCAATGCTAAGACCTTGGATTCTAATATCATTCTCCAATAAAAGGAACTAGAGCTACTTGGAGAAATAACTGATTCTAGGACCAAGGCAGGGGAAATACAAGATGGGCCTGGAGAATCTCATAGCACCAGAAAGTAAGGAATTGAGGAAAAAAAAAAAAAAAAAGATGAAGGCATGGCAAAGGAATAGAGGAGTCATCCTGAAAGATTGCCAAATTTGGAAAAATTGCCTCAATAAAATATAGATACTCCTCACCTTCTGATGGGGCTATGACTTAATAAACCCATCATAAGTTAGAAATATTGTAAGTTGAAAAGGCATTTAGTACCCCAACAAACCCATCATAAAGTCAAAAAATCATAAGTCAAACCATAAGTCCAGATGCTCCTCAGCTTACCACGCAATTACATCCCAATAAACCCACCATAAACTTGAAAATTTGTAAGTCAAATGGTCATAAGTTGAGGTTTGTCTGTAATGCAGTATTAGATTATAACACAAAGTATAAAATAGAGGAGTCCATATGGACACAAATGACTTAATTAATAATTAATTAATTAATGGAGGAAAAGAGGCAAATCTCCCATTACAGAGGAATTTATTTATCCAATCCTCTGTTGATGGATACTTAGGTTGATTTCATGTCTTTGCTATTGTAGATAGTACTATGATGAATATACAAGTGCAGTATCTGTTTGCTAAAATGATTAATTTTCCTTTGGGTAGATACCCAGTAATGGGATTGCTGGGTCAAATGGTAGCTTGTTTAAGTTCTTTGATAAATCTTTAAGCTGCTTTCCACTGTGGCTTAACTCATTTTCATTCCCATCAGCAATGTATAAATCTTCCCTTTTTTCCACAGCCTTGCCAGCATCTGTTATTTGACTTTTTAGTAACAGCCATTCTGACTGGTGTGAGATGGTATCTCACTGTGGTTTTGATTTTTATTTCTCTAATGTGATGTTGAGCTTTATTTCATATGATTGTTGGCCATATGTATATATTTTTTTGAGATGGAGTCTTGCTGTGTTGCCCAGGCTGGAGTGCAATGGTACGATCTCAGCTCACTGCAACCTCCGCCTCCTGGGTTCAAGTGATTCTTCTGCCTCAGCCTCCCAAGTAGCTGGGACTATAGGTGCATGCCACCATGCCTGGCTAACTTTTGTATTTTTAGGAGAGGTGGGGGGTTCGCCATATTGGCCAGGCTGGTCTCGAACTCCTGACCTCGTGATCCACCTGCCTCGGCCTCCGAAAGTGCTGGGATTACAAGCATGAGCCACCTCGCCCAACCGTATGTCTTCTTTTGAGAAGTGTCTGTTCATATCGTTTGCCCACTTTTTAATGGGGTTATTTGGTTTTAGCTTGTTGAATCGTTTAAGTTCCTTATAGATTACAAGTATGAGACCATTATGAGATAGTTTGAAAATATTTTCTTCAATTTTGTAGGTTGTCTGTTTAATTGCTTATTAATTTATTTATATTTCAATAGCTTTAGGGGTACAAGTGGTTTTTGGTTACATGGGTGAATTGTATAGTAGTGAAGCCTGGGCTTTAAGTGTATCTGTCACCTGAATAGTGTGCATTGTACCGAACAGGTGGTATTTTTTATCCTTCACCTCCCTCCAGCCCTCCCCCACTTCTGAGACTCCAATGTCCGTTATACCATTCTGCAAACCTTTACATACCCATCACTTAGCCCCTACTTATAAGTGAGAACATGTGGTATTCGATTTTCCATTCCTGAGTTACTTCACTTAGGATAATGGCCTCCAGTTTCATCCAAGTTGCTGCAAAACATATTATTTCATTTTTTATGTCTGAGTAGTATTCCATGGTGAGATATATATATGTATATATATATATACTTAACCAAAGAAGTGAAAAATCTCTACTATGAAAACTGTAAAACATTGATGAAACATTGATGAAAGAAACAAAAAAATGAAAGGATATTGCATATTCATGGTTTGGAAGAATAAATGTTGTTAAGATATCCATACTACCCAAAGCAATCTACAGTTTCAATGCAATCCCTATCAAAATTCCAATAACATCTTCACAGAAATAGAAAAAATAATCCTAAAATGTATATTAAACCATAAAAGACCAAGAATAGCAAAAGCCATCCTGAGAAAAAGAACAAAACTGGAGGAATCACAGTACCTGACTTCAAATTATACTGCAGAGCTATAGTAACCAAAATAACAAGGTACTGTCATAAAAACAGACACATTGACCAATAGAACAGAAAAGAAAATCCAGAAATAAATCCATGCATTTACAGTCAACTCATTTTTGACAGAAGTGCCAAGAACATGCATTGGGAAAAGGACAGTCTCTTCAATAAATGGTGTTGGGAAAACTGGATATCTATTTGCAGAAAAATGAAACTACCCCATATACAAGAATCAAATCAAAATAGATTAAATAATTAAATCTAAGACCTGAAACTATGAAACTACTACAAGAAGACATTGGGGAAACATACCAGGGCATTGGTCTGGGCAAAGATTTCTTGAGTAAGACCTCAAAAGCACAGGCAAGCAAAGCAAAAATGGACAAATGGGATCACATCAAACTAACAAGCTTCTGCACAGCAAAGGAAACAATCAGCAAAGTGACAAGACAACCCATAGAATGGGAGAAAATATTTAAGAATACTCATTTGACAAGAGATCAATAACCAGAATATATAAGGAGCTCAAACAATTCAATAGGAAAAAAACAAATAGTCCAATTTAAAAACGGGTAAAAGATCTGAATAAACGTTTCTCAAAAGAAGACATATAAATGGCAAAAAGGTATATGAAAAAATGCTCAACATCACTAATCGTCAGAGAAATGCAAATCAAAACTGCAATGAGATACCATCTAACTCCAGTTAAAATGGCTTTTATGCAAAGGATGGGCAATAACAAATGCTGGTGAAGATGGTGAAAAAGGGGGAACCCTCATACACTGTTGATAAGAATATAAATTAACACAACCACTATGGAGAACAGTATGGTGGTTCCTAAAAAAAAAAAAAAAAAAATAGAACTACCATATGATCCAGCAGTGTCACTGCTGGGTATATATCCAAAAGAAAGGCAATCAATATATTGAGGAAATATCTGCAATCCCATGTTTATTGCAACACTATTCACAATAGCCAAGATACAGAAGCAACCTAAGTGTTCATCAACAGATGAATGAATTTTTAAAATGTCTGACAGGTACACAATGAAATAGTATTTGGTTATAAGAAAGAATGAAATCTTGTCATTTGCAACAACATGAATAGAACTGGAGGATATTATATTAAGTGAAATAAGCCAGGCACAGAAAGACAAAAATCACATGTTCTCACTCGTATGTGAGCACTAAAACAAAATTGAACTAATGGAGATAGAGAGTGTAATGATGTTTTCCAGAGGGTGGGAAGAGTAGTGGAAGGGGAATAAAGCGGGGATGGTTAGATAGAATGAATAACATCTAGTCTTCAGCAGCACAATAGGGTGACTACAGTTAACACTAATTTATTATGTTCTTCAAAATAACTAAAATAGTAGAATTCTAAGTTCCTATCCCAAAGAAATGATAAGGGCTTCAGGTGATGGATACCCCAATTACCCGGATTCAATCATTACACATTGGATACCTGTATCAAAACACCACATGTAACCCATAAATATATACAACTATTATGTACCATAAAAATTAAAAATAAAAAATGAAAAGTGGGAAAAAATGATTTATCACTTACAAGGGAACCCTAATAAGATTAACAAATGACTTGTCAGCAGAAACAATGGAGGTCAAAAGCAATGAGGTAACATATTCAGAGTGATCAAAGAAAAAAGTCACCCAAGAATTTTATATCCAGCAAAGCTATCATTCAAAAAAAGAAAGCAAATAACAACATTCCCAGATAAACAAACAAAAACTGAAGAATTTGTTGCTAGCATGTCCACCTTACAAGAAATACTGAAGTTATTCAGACTGAAAGCAAGTGATCTCAGATGATAATTCAAATCCACAGAAACAAATAAAGAACCAGAACACTAGTAATTATGTAATTATAAAAGACTGCATAAACGTATATTTTTCCTTTTTTTCTATTAATTGATTAACAAAGCAATTCCATAACATATGTATAAAATGTATTTTTCAGTCTATAACATAGAATGCAGTATATTTGCCAAAAGCAACACAAAAGAGGTGGCTGAGAGCAAAGCTATATTTGGATAAGGAAATATAGATGATAAAGCAATAATTATAACAATGCATTGATAGGTTTGTAACATTAATAGACATAATATGCATAACAATAGTACTATAAAAAGACAGACAAGACAATAGAACTATACAGGAGTCCGGGCATGGTGGCTCATGCCTGTAATCCCAGCACTTTGGGAGGCCCAGGCAAGTGGATCACTTGAGGTCAGGAATTCAAGACCAGCCTGGCCAACATGGTGAAGCCCCATCTCTACTAAAACTACAAAAATTGGCCAGGTGTGGTGGCTCAGGCCTGTAGTCCCAGCTACTTGGGAGGCTGAGGCAGGAGAATTGCTTGAACCTGGGAGATGGAGGTTGCAGTGAGCTAAGATCACGCCACTGCACTCTAGCCTGGGTGACAAAGCTAGACTCCATCTCAAAAAAAAAAAAAAAGAACTATATAAGAATAATGTTTCTATATGTCACTAGAATAAAGCTAGTATAAATCTGAAGGTGATTCTGATAAGTCAAGATATATATGGTAAGCTCTAAAGAACCACTAAAAAATACTTCAAAATATAGTGAAAAAATTTTAATCAAGAATTAAGAAACTCAAATGGTACATCAAAAAATATTCACTTAGTGCAAAAGAAAGCAATAAGAGAAGACTAGAGGAACAAAAATATTAAGACATACAGAAAAACAAATAAATGGCTGACATAAATCCCACTATATCAATAAATAACATTAAATGTGAACAGATTAAACAATCTGTTTAAAGAAAAGCAAAGATTATATGGCTAGATGTTTCGAATGGTACAACTATATGCTGTCTACAGCAGACACTTCATATTCAAAGATACAAAGTGATTGAAAGTAAAATGATGAAAAATACATATCATGAAAACACCAATCACAAGAAAGCTGAAGTGACTATACTAATATCAGAAAAAATAGACCTCAAAACAAAAACAGCTACTAAAGACAGACAATTCATAGTGATAAAAGGGTCAATCTATCAGAAAGATACAATTACAAACATATATGCATCTAACAATACAGCTCCAAAATATGTGAAGCAATAACTGACAGTTAAAGTGAAAAATCATTCTACAAGAATAGTTGGAGGCTTCATTCTCCACTTCCAATAATATGTAGAACAACTGTACTGAAGATCAACAAGGAAACAGTAGACTTATGTCTAAGTCTTTATAAGCCAACTAGACATAACAGTTTATACATATATATATTATATATAATATATAATATTTTATATATAATATGTTATATATTATATATAATATGTTATATATATTTATTATATATATATATATATAAAACAGCAGAGGATATATTCTTTTCAAGTGTACATGGAGCGTTATCCAGAATAGACTATATACTATGCCAAAAAAACAAACCTCAAGAAATTTAAAAGGATAGAAATAATACAAAGTATGTTTTCTGACCACATGGAATGAAATTAGAAATCAATAGTAGGAAAAAGATATAAGAAACTCACAAATATGTGAGAATTAAACAAAATACTAATAAATAACAAATGGGTCAAAGAAGAGATCAAAAGGAAAATCAGAAAATACTTTCAGATAAATGAAAATGAAGACACAAGAAAGATACCAAAACTTATGGGGTTCAGATAAAGCAATGCTCAGAGGGAAATGTATAGCTATAAGTGCCTGTATTAAGAAAAAAAATCTCAAATCAATAACTTAACCTTCCAACTTAAGAAACTGGAAAAAGATGAGCTAACTAAAAGAAAATCAAGCAAAAGGAAGAAAATAATAAAGATTAGGGCAGAGATAAATGAAACAAAGGGAATAGATTAACAATAGAATCAATGAAACCAAAAGTTGGTTCTTTGAAAAGAACAACAAAATTGCCAAACTCTTTTTTGGTTCCATATGGAATTTAAAGTAGTTTTTTCCAATTCTGTGAAGAAAGTCAATGGTAGCTTGACTGGTCATTAGAGAAATGCAAATCAAAACCACAATGAGATAACATCTCACGCCAGTTAGAATGGCAATCATTAAAAAGTCAGGAAACAGTGGCACGTGCCTGTAATCCCAGCTACTCGGGAGGCTGAGGGAGGATAACTGCTTGAGCCCAGGAGATGGAGGTTGCAGTGAGCTGAGATCATGCCACTGCACTGGAGCCTGGCCCACAGAGCGAGACTCTGTCTCAAAAAAAAAAAAAAAGGAAACAACAGATGCTAGAGAGGATGTGGAGAAATAGGAACACTTTTACACTGTTGGTGGGAGTGTAAATTAGTTCAAGCATTGTGGAAGACAGTGTGGTGATTCCTCAAGGATCTTGAACCAGAAATACCATTTGACCCAGCAATCCTATTACTGGGTGTATACCCAAAGGATCATAAATCATTATACTATAAAGACACATGCACACATATGTTTATTGCAGCACTGTTCACAATAGCAAAGACTTGGAACCAACCCAAATGCCCATCAGTGACAGACTGTGTAAAGAAAATGTGGTACATATACACCATGGAATACTATGCAGCCATAAAGAAGGATGAGTGCATGTCCTTTGCAGAGACATGAATGAAGCTGGAAACCATCATTCTCAGCAAACTAACAGAAGAACAGAAAACCAAACACCACATGTTCTGACTCATAAGTGGGAGTTGAACAATGAGAACACATGGACACAGGGAGGGGAACATCACACACCGGGGCCTGTTGGGGGGTGGAGGGGTAGGGGAGGGATAGCATTAGAAAAAATACCTAATGTAGGTGACAGGTTGATGGGTGCAGCACATCACCATGGCGCGTGTATACCTATGCAACAAACCTGCATGTTCGGCACATGTATCCCAGAACTTACTATTTAAAATAAATAAATAAATAAATAAAAACTATTAGGACTAATAAGCAAGTTCAGCAAGGTTGGAGGATATAAAATCAATATGCAAAAATTAATTCCATTTTATAAACTTGCAAGGAGCAATCTAAAAATGAAATTAAGAAAACAATTCCATTCACAATAGCATCATAAATAACAAAATACTTGAAGTACAAAACTTATACACTGAACACTATGAAACATTGTTAAAACAAGTTTTAAAAACCTAAATAAATGGAATGATATCCATCTTGTGCTCATGGATTGAAAGACTTAATTTTAATAAGACAGCAACACTCTCCAAATTGATCTACAGAGTCAAATCAATACCTATTAGCATTCCAACTGCCTTATTTGCAGAAACTGATAAGCTGTTCTTAAAATTCATATGAAATTGCAAAGGGCTCCAAATAACCAAAACAATCTTTGAAAAGATTGGATCCTCCACAGTAGGAGGACTCACACTTTCTGATTTCAGAACTTTCTACAAAGCTACAACAGTCAAGAGAGTGTCATACCAGCATAAGGGCAGACATATAGACCAATGTGTATTGACCATTTCATTTCCTCTTCTGGGAATTGTCTCTTTATATACTTTGTATTTTTTATGTGTAATCTTTTATCATTGCCTTACTGTTTTAAAACAAATCAGCTTTATTAACATAGAAATAGAAAGTCCAAAAATACATCCATACATCCATGGTCAATTGATTTTCCAGAGTGTCAAAATCATTCCATAGAGAAAGAATAGTATCCTCAATAGAGTGCTGGGATAGCTGGATATCCACATGCAAAGGAATGAATTTGAACCCCTTCCTCACACCATGCATAAAAACGAACACAAAATGGATCATAGACCTAAATGAATGAACTACAACTATAAAACTCTTAGAAGAAAGAATGAGTAAACCTTCATGACCTTGGATTGGGCAAAGTATTCTTAGACATGACACCAGAAGCATGAGCAACAAAATAGAAACTCGATAAATTGTACTTCTTAAAAATCTAACTTTGTTTTTCAAAGGACACCCTCAAGAAAGTGAAAAAAAAGAACACACTGAATTGGAGAAAATATTTGCAAATCATATATGTGATAAAGGACTTGTGTCTAGCATATATAAAGAACTCTTATAACTCAATAATACAAAGACTAGTAATCCAGTTTAAAAATGGGCAAAAGATCTAAGTCAATATTTTTCCAAGGAAGATACACAAATGGCCAATAAGAATGTAAAAATATGCTTGAAGTCATCAGTCGTTAGGGAAATGCAAATCAAACTAGAATAAAGTACCACTTCACATCCATGTTAGAGAGAATGTGGAGAAATTGGAACCCCATAGGCTGCCAGTGGGATGTAATATGGTACAGCCACTGTGAAAAAGTCAGGCATTTCATCAAAGGGTTAAACATAGAGTTGCCACAGGACTGAGGAATTCCGTTCTTAGGTATAAATCCCAAAAAACTGAAAACAGATATTAAAAAAAAAAACCTGGCACATGAATATTCGATGGTAGGATTATTTAGAATAGCCAAAAGGTGGGAACAACCCAAATGTCCCTCAATGAATGAATGGATAAACAAGATATGGTCTATCCATATGATGGAATAGTATTCAGCCACAAAAAGGAATGAAGTACTGATACTTGCTACAGTGTGAATGAACCTTGAAAACATTATGCTAAGTGAAAGCAGCCAGTCACAAAAATGCACATATTATATGATTTCATGTATATGAAATGTTCAGAATAGGGAAATTTATAGAGACAGAAAGTACATTAATGGTTGCCAAAGGCTGGAGGAACATGGGATAGAGAGATGATAGCTAAAAGGTTCTGGGTTCCTTTTTTTAAAAAATATATATACATATTTTATTATACTTTTAGTTCTAGGGTACCTGTGCAGAACGTGCAGGTTTGTTACATATGTATACGTGTGCCATGTTGGTGTGCTGCACCCATTAACTCGTCATTTACATTTACATTAGGTAAATGTAATCCCTCCTAATGCTATCCCTCCCCCCTCCCCCCACCCCTCTGGGTTACTTTTTGAAGTGATAAAAATGTTATAAAATTAACTGTGGTGATAGTTGTATATATCTGTGAGTATATTAAAAACCTATGCTAAGAATTGTTCACTTTAAATGGGTGAATTGTACAGTATGTGAATTTTCATGTTAATGAAGCTGATTTTTTTTAAAGAGTAAGGCAACGATAAAAGATTACACATAGAAGGCCGGGCGCGGTGGCTCACGCCTGTAATCCCAGCACTTTGGGAGGCCGAGGCGGGCAGATCACAAGGTCAGGAGATCGAGACCATCCTGGCTAATACAGTGTAACCTTATCTCTACTAAAAATACAAAAAATTAGCCGGGCGTGGTGGCGGGCACCTGTAGTCCCACCTACTCGGGAGGCTGAGGCAGGAGAATGGCATGAACCCGGGAGGTAGAGGTTGCAGTGGGCCGAGATCGCGCCACTGCACTCCAGCCTGGGCGACAGAGAGAGACTCTGTCTCAAAAAAAAAATAAAATAAAATTACACATAAAAAATACAAAGGATATGAAGAGACAATTCCCAGAAGAGGAAATGAAATGGTCAATACACAAGACTTGGTATTGACCTCATCAGTAGTCAGAGAAATGTAAAAATAAAGCAATGAGACATATTTTTATTTAACTAAATTCTATTGAGAAGAATTAAGAAAGAATAAAACATACATATGATGCTTGAAATAATGCAGAGCGATGGTCTTTTCACACATTGCTGGGTAGAATTTAAACTGTTAAATAGTTTTGGAAAGTAGAATGCCCATGTCCGTTAAATTTAAAATACTTATACTCTTTGAATTCATGGCCCCTTTTTTAAGACTGTAGCTCACAGAAATAAAATACTTGTGGCTACACTTTAAAATAAGTTATGACAAAAGGGAAATTAGGTGGAAATGGAAAGATATTTATGTTGCTTTATTAATTGCAAAAAGCAATTATTAATTGAAAGTAAGGCCCCAGTTTAATTTTTGTAAAAACAAACAGCAATAAATGCATATAGGAATACAAACACATATAATATTTGTGTGTTTATGTGAGCATGGAAACACTTGTAGACTAATATATAATTATGTGCCTTCCCTTTTTTGTGCAGTTTTGTATTGCTTTGCTAGTTTCAATGAAAAGGTATGACATTGGCAGTTTGAACGACAGAGAACAGTTTTAATGAACAGAGGGTGGGTGGGGTAGTTAGAAAGGGAGGGATCGCGCTAATGTTGCAGCCATTTTGTGTGCGCTCCTCTTACAGATAGTGCGGCGGCCCAGGCGTCGCGTCTACGCGGGGGATTACAGTAACCCGGTTGTCAGTGATGAGTCAGAGTGCGTGGTGCTGATGCTGCTGCCATTTCATCACCTTTGCGAGCGCAGCATCCATCCCTCCGCTCTCCCGGCGCCTGGGCCTACCCAGCTTCGGGCTCCCAGGCCAGCGATGCGCTCGCGGCTGAGCTAGATCCTGCCGAGCCGCGCTCTCTGAGGCGTCGGCGGGGCGCCCCCTCCCGCCGTCCCCGGTCCGGGCCAAGGAGACCTGCAGAGCCGCGGCCATGGAGGCCATCTGGCTGTACCAGTTCCGGCTCATTGTCATCGGGGATTCCACAGTGGGCAAGTCCTGCCTGATCCGCCGCTTCACCGAGGGTCGCTTTGCCCAGGTTTCTGACCCCACCGTGGGGGTGGATTTTTTCTCCCGCTTGGTGGAGATCGAGCCAGGAAAACGCATCAAGCTCCAGATCTGGGATACCGCGGGTCAAGAGAGGTTCAGGTGGGAGCGCAGTCCGGGCCCGCAAGCAGTGGGAGGGTCTTCGGGGTTTGCACCGCCTCTGGGGAGAGAGGACTTCCTGGTTCTAGGTGCGGTCCAGGAGGGCAACACCAAGGGTCTTGAGGATTCTGCCGAAGCCCACCTTCGGCTAACCCGGAGTTTAGTGCAAGGAAAGAAGCGCCCTGGCAGGGAAGGCCGGTCAATAACACATATTGCTTGCACCACAACTCCACCAACCTGCCCTTTGGTGGCTAACAAACTAGCTGGAATTGATCTCTGTATCTGTAATTCATCAATCTCAGTCCCTATGTTACATACTTTCAAAAACGTTCCCAGGTCATCCTAACATAACTGACAGAGATTTAAATACATAAATACATGTGTATTATGTTTTATTTCCACATCTGTGTGTGTGCACATATATATGCTAACATATGTTCTAACATGAAATAGATACGATTGATTCCTTCTTGCAACCAGCACACATTCAGTGATCATCTACTATGTGCCAGACTCTGGGCTTGTTCCTGGGAAAACAGTGTGAGGAGACTCACACAAGGGGATGCCATGTAATCTAAACAGACAAAGCCCCTTCATTCTTGGAACTTCTGTGCTAACATAGTTGAGGGAAATAGATAATCAGCAATTACGAAAGTGTGTCTTGCTCATATTTGTATGCCCACTCCCTACTGTAACACTTGGCACAAAATGAACATGCTTAATTTCAATCAATGAATTCATTGAATAATCAATGAATATGTTTACTTTCACTCAGAACCCTTTGCTTTTCTATTGTAGCATGTATTATTTGTAATTATATGTATGAACACAGAGGAGGAAAGGTTAACTGGAGAAGATGAGACCGGATGAGTATGACTGCCTAAGCAAAGACAGGAAACGCCCAGGGATAGGAAACAGCATGAATAAAGACAGAAGTGAGAGGGAGCAGAGTGTACACAGAAAACTTTGCAGAGAACAATTTGAACTAAAGTAGAGCAGCAGGAACCAGATCAAGAAAACTCAATAGCCCAAGTTTATGATCATTTACTCATTTATCTATTGAAAACTAACTAAGCATAGAAGATACTGGTTGGGTAATTGAAGAGGGGTAAGGAGAAGAAATAATTACAAACTTAAGTTACCTCCAGCTCCCCACTTCCACAAACACCACTGTGGAAAATATCCTTGTACAGGTTCACTTTGAACTTGCGATTGCATTTCTCCTAAGCAAAGAAAGGTATCTTTTATGTGTTTGTTGGAATTTCTTTCTATATGAACAGCCTGTTCATATCCACTGCTTATTTATTTATTGGGCAATATGGACTTGTAAGAGTACTTTATAGATTAAGAATATTAACCCTTTCCTGTCATGTATGTTGTAAGATATATTCCTAGTTTATCATCTGTCTTTTCACATTATTTAAGATTTTTTAATGTAGGGAAGAATTTAAGGTTTATGTAGCCTTATGTCCATGCTTAGAAGGCCTTTGTCACTTTCTTTGCTAAGTACTCACAAACAATTAATGTAATAATATATTCCAGAGTTTTGACAGTGATCTACAGCTTGCTTGTTGATTTCTTGAATCAACCTTCTCACAAATCAAAACCTTTGTTTGTTCATGTCTAAATTTTCTGGTAAATCTACCATTCTCCATGAATCTTCAAACCTAAGAGACGAGAAATGCTTTCAGTCCCCAGGGCTGATTTGCCTGATTTTGGAGACTTAAAGTCATTTGTAAGTTTTACTTTTACCATCATCTAGCTTGGACTGTAGGTCCCTGGACAATGCTTGTTCTGCTAACATTGAGCCATTTTCTCTAAGCTATTGAGTCCTTCGTTGTCTATCTTCTTTATCTGAGGAGACAGAAAACCTAAAAATAGACATAGGTAAAAAAAATCACAGTAGTCTAAAGCAAGTGACTGCAGAGACAAATAGGTCCATACCCTGTAATAAGCTTTAATACACTGTAAGCAAAGTGCCATAATGTATATTTATAATGAGGTTCCTCAAGTCAAGAAGTTAAAACATGTGAAGTTTCTTCTGATGGCTCCTGAGTTGAGTTGGCCTCTCTGAAATGTGTCAGGAAACAGGGCTGAGAGGCACTTTGCCTGAACCCTTCGCCATCTCTCTTTTTCCCATTCCCACAGGCCTTGAAAATAAAAAATAAAATTGTGTTTCTCCTCACAGAAGAGATTGAGGATCCCTGTTAGCTAATAATAATAATAATAATAATAATAAACAATAATAATAATGGAAAGAGAAAAAAACATGGTAATGATAAATGGAAAAAATGGAGTAGCAAGATACCTACTTTAAATATTTTGTTAACTATCATAAATTCATTTCTATGTTTTAAAAATCCTGTTTCAACTGCTAGCATTTGTAATGAACTCTCCACGTCACAGAACACTTTAATATCCATTGTTTCATTTTGCCTCATGGTAACACTGTGACTTGGGTATCCTATTTTGCAGAAAAGGAAGTCTCTGTCAGTTATTCAGATTTGGGGGGTGGGAGAGTTAGTTGTAGTTTTACCTGAAGGCAAGAAATAGAACTCAGTTATGTCCCAGGGTCACTCTCCAGTGCTGAATCCATGGAAAATGCCTAAAAGTTCATGAACATTCGTTTCTAGAAGATGCCCATCTCAAAGTTTGGCCCAATTGGAAACTCACATATTAGTAGTAGTATGGAATGCCATTTGTATTCCTTTGTTTTTTTAAAAAAAAAGAAAATCATTTTTATTAAAGGACTGTGTCACTAACCAGGAACACTTGAATATACTGAGTTCATTGACATGCAGAAGTTTGGGCACAGCCTTTACTCTTTACTTCTTTCTTGTGTTTTAGATCCATCACTCGCGCCTACTACAGGAACTCAGTAGGTGGTCTTCTCTTATTTGACATTACCAACCGCAGGTCCTTCCAGAATGTCCATGAGTGGTTAGAAGAGACCAAAGTACACGTTCAGCCCTACCAAATTGTATTTGTTCTGGTGGGTCACAAGTGTGACCTGGATACACAGAGGCAAGTGACTCGCCACGAGGCCGAGAAACTGGCTGCTGCATACGGCATGAAGTACATTGAAACGTCAGCCCGAGATGCCATTAATGTGGAGAAAGCCTTCACAGACCTGACAAGAGACATATATGAGCTGGTTAAAAGGGGGGAGATTACAATCCAGGAGGGCTGGGAAGGGGTGAAGAGTGGATTTGTACCAAATGTGGTTCACTCTTCAGAAGAGGTTGTCAAATCAGAGAGGAGATGTTTGTGCTAGTCAGTTCTTTTATTTCCAAAACATGCTCTCCTACTTGAACTGAAAAGTAAGAGAAATAAATAGAATCTTTGTGTAACTGATGAGAACTCAACCTCCATTTGGATACCAAGTGAGCCTCCCTCTCAGGGGGACTCTGACAGACTCGTGTGCGGGTGGATGGGGGTGCCTGAGTGCTGTGACCAAGGGACTGAATTGCTGACATGGGCCAGGCCAGGCACTGTTTTGTGGCCCATGCTAGGCAGTGGCTGCTCCATGAGCCCTTTGTGGACCACATGTTAAAGGCCTGGGGTTTAGGAAGCTAAGTCCCAGGAAAACATACCTACAGACAGGACAACTGTTCCTTGGTATTTGAGCTCACTTATAGGCCATGAACATAAAGAAATACATAAAGGGGAAAAAAGTTTCACAATGGGGACAATTAGCATAACTAAACAAAGATTATGAGCTCTACTTATTCCGTGAGAATACCCTGCACCAAAGGTGTTTGCTGGGTTTGGTTAAAAGGTACCAATTAGCTTTTAACAGCTTTCTGTAAAATGAGGAACACAGACCAAAAGGTCTGGTGTTCAAGTAAAAATGATGTGACTATGGAAAGGAAGGCAATCGACACAGTTATTAGCACATTTCAGAAAATGAACACCCTTGTGATAGAATTACCAGCTGTATGAAACAAATTGTCCCATGCAAATTACCCTATAACTAGGAAAGAGACACTATAACCCAAATGCCATACCCCCTTTTTCCTTTGACCATGCCTGGGGTTTCAATGCCTTGGCACCTGCAATCTGGAAGTAAACAGTCTGCTTGCTTCTTCAGGCACGTGACAGTGACAACACAGTGACTGCCTCTGAAAAGAGCCCTGAGGCAAACACTCTCTCCTGCTGAACAGGAGGCACTGTAACCCTTACAAACAGCTTACAGTTACTTGGGCTACTTATTTGATCATCATAACAGGCCTACGAGGTTTTTGCCCCATTTTACAGAATAGTAAACTAAGAGCCATGAAAATCACTTGGCCAGGGTCAAGGACTCGTGACTCCTAGCTCTTTTCACTGCATCATACTGCTGTCAGATGAATAAATGATTATGAATTTGTTTACTTGGGAAGAGATATGACTATAAATAAATGTTCTCTACATGTTAGGATATGTTTTCCTTATTGATTACAACTCAGCTATAATCCTGAGGGAACATGGGAAGGAATCAAAGGTAAAGCCCATTCAGGCATTATTGACAAGAGGGCTTTAAACAAGTGAATAATTGCACAACTAAAAAGACATTAGAACTGTGTGGGCTATAAGTGTTCTTATCACTGAGACACAGTGGATTTTTATTGAAAGGAACCACGTACAGCAATGCGGAGTGGGATAGGGATAAAATACCCACCCCAAAATGACCTTGGCCACCTGTCTGCCATATACGTACACTGAGTTCCTGTCTACCCAAGAGAGTCAGCCCTTAATTCTCAGGTGAACAAACAGCTAACTGCATCAGCAAATTGGAATGGCTGGCTTGAAGTTTCCATTATTTTCTTGAAGAGAGGTGATGCTTTAAATTACTTTTTGGATTGTAGCCAGTTCAGCTAGGCAAAAGCCATACTTTTCACAATTAAAAAAAAAAACTATTCTGACTAGAGTCAGGTTTCTCATATCCATTGTGATAGGAAGGCCTAAGAATGGCAAATCGCTTTGAGATATAATATTGAACTTCAGTATGAATGTGACCGAATCTGAAACTTTGGGAATTTGCTTTAGCCAGAATAAAGAAACCAAATCATGAAAATTATGGAAGACTATTCTGCCACCTGTGCCCCAAGTTGGATGAGCAAACCACTTTGGATCAGTTCACAGCATTAACTACAAGTGAACTGATCATCTTCTCTATATTCATTTCACAAGAGCTGGCTTAGGTGGGGTAATTAAATTGCCACCTTCGTGGTTGTAAAAGACAAACAAAACATGGCAAATTTCATTAACACAAAATTTCATCAACTGCTATACTGAATTATGTTTAGAAGATTCTGAAAGCAAGATTATCCAGTGGGTAAATGAGAGTCGACTGGATTCTGTCAGTTCAAAAAAGGAAAGAAACAAAACTTCCCTACAATTTTCTTCACTAAAATTTATTATATGTACAGTATTCCCACTCCTGGCATTTTCTGGCAGGTTTAAAAATATTCAGCATAAATCCAGCAGAGGTGGCTGAGCTTAATTGCTTAAATAAGTTCTAGAAAATTTAAAAATCATTTTAGTAGAATTCAGTACCATTGTCACTGCAATAAGTGGGTTTTAGAAAATAAGTGTGAAAAGAATCAGGTGTTAATATAATACTAAGGATAAAGCTTTAGAAGCTATTTTACTACATAGGTAAAGAAAAGATAAACTAACTTGTAACAAAGACCACAACTGCATGTTGGATTAGATTGTCTCATATTTCAGAATAAAATGTACTGTATACTTTTCCTCACTTTGTTGTGCACTGTAATGAAATGTGAAAAATGCTTTATTTAGCTGTATGTGAATGAAAATATGCTTGTATTTAGTAAAATGATTGATTATGTGACTGTGAGATTCCAAGTGTGTGTTATAGCTATTTCCAGAATCTGTTACTACAGCGTAGCAACTACTACCAAGGATATCAATAAGATGTGACATATACCATACACAATCGTATTCACCATTACCTTAAAGCCAGAAAGAGAATATAATTTTTGAAAGTTATCTGACCATCATATCAAAAGTCCCTGGGACCTCAATACTTCCTGGTGAGCATATGCCACTTTGAGAAAAGTTGGTTCTGTCAAGCCTAAATCTTCATCATGATGATTTTTAATCAAGAGTCTTAATTCTGTTGCCAAGTAGTTGATTACAACTATTATGTTCCCTGGAAAGTCTTCTTTTTTCCAGGCTAAGTTGCCTCAGCTTTTTCAAATCCTACTACGGCATGCTTTTTATGCCAGGATCACTTACAGTGTGGCACCAACATAAGAACACAATAGTTCAGCACATTTCCCAGGATTGATAGTACACATGAGGGTGGGGGGAGGGTTAAAAAAAAAAGGAAAGATAATGGATTCTGAGTCTGGGCATAAGTAGATAGGTAGCCTAAGTTCTGTACAGCTTTATCACATTTATATTAATTCTCTTATAGATTTAAGAGACGTGGCTCCAAAAGTCATTGCTGACAGCTCAACCTAGAGTCTTACTCTTTAGTCTTCCCTGGGTAACAATAAAGTGTAGGGCACACAGAAAAGGGAAAGGAAACTTACAAGGAGACAATGAAATCCTGGAGAGTACAGTTTTATAGGATGGTGTGAACAGTAGTATCAAAATGCAGCAGTCGATTCAGAAAGATAAAAACTAAAATGAATCCGCAAGATTTGAGAGAACAGGAAGTCATGAGTGGCCTTTGCCGGCATAGTGTTGGTGGAATGATTGCTGCCTATATTAAGCCTCTCAGGAACTTGGTGTTCTCAGTTCTGTCAGAGGACCAATTCTCTTCTCTCTTTCTTCTCTCTATCCTCTCCTCTCCCTAGACAATCTTACCCACTCTCGTGACTTCAGTTACCATCTTTCCATTGCTGATTCCAAAATCAGTAACTCTAGCTCACTTTTCTGAACGTTATATCAATACAGCCAACTTGCCTACTAAACAAAGCCACAGATTTCTCAGACTCAACATATCCAATACTAAAATCAATGTCTTCAACGTCTATCAAAATGTGCTCCAACAACCCCGGTCTTCCTCAGCTCTATAAATGACACCACCATTCACAGAAATTGGGAGTTATTCTTAATTCCTCACTCCCCCTCATTTCTCATATCAAATCCATCATCTAGCACTGTCAACTCTAACTTCAAAATATGTGTCTGACCCTGGGCAACACAATGAGACCCCATCTCTCCTAAAAAAAAAATAGCCCAGCATGGTAGCACATGCCTGTAGTCCCAGCTACAAGGGAGGGTGAGGTGGGAGGATCACTTCAGTGAGCTGTAATCACACCGCTGCACTCCAGCCTGGGTGACAGAGCAAGACCCTGTCTCAAATAAATAAACAAATATATAAATAAATATATGTACGTGTGTGTGAGTGTGTGTGTGTGTGTGTCTGCCACTTTTCTCCATCTCCATTGATACCACGTTTGTCCAGGCCACTATGAACTCTTACTTCGCTATCTTCCTAACTAGCCTCCCTAGTCCTTGTTCCCACTCCCATGATACATTCTCAACCTAACAGCCAGAGTGATCTTTTCACAACGTAAGTCAGATCAAGTAATTCCTCTGATTAAAACCCACTGATGGTTTATTGTCACATTTAGAACAAAATCCAAATAAACCCTACATTTCTTAACATGGCTACAAATCTTACTCATCTTGTTCACCAGTATTTCTCTAACTTGTAGCAAGTTAGGTGCTTGAATCATCTATACATACTTGAATGAATGATTGTTTTCTTGCTCTACTTTAATCCAATGACCTTGATTCTTACTTCACATCAGTAAAATACACACATGTCCCTATCTTGAAGCATTACCAAATTTTATACAGCCTCTAGAGTTCTGATTATAAGTTCTGGTTGCTCACTCTCTCCTATGAGACCTGCTTTTAAATGTCTTCAGGACGTTTTAGGCAATCAACCAGTCCCCACTGCCAGTCTATCAATGTACCCCTGGATTTTGTTTTCCTCCCCGTTTTTCCTGGCTCTTGTAGTCAATAGCATTCAACCATAAGTTCCTGAAGAAAATGACTGTTAAAAGCTTGGTCTATTTCTTTCTATATATTTTTATTTCCATTTTCAAAAGGTTGTTTAACATAGTGGTTAAGAGTACGGATTTTGGAATAAAACAGACATGAGTTCAAATTCTGACTACCGGTTATGTGTGATTCAATCTCTCTGAGTCCCAGTTTACACATATATAAAATTGGATAATAATAGTATTAATTCATAGAGTTGTGAGGATAAAATGAGATAATCCATATAAAGTACTTAGCACAGGCTCTGGCATTTGGTGAACATCACATAACAATCTTACCAGAAAAGGTTACATACTATAATATGTTTGCCCCGAAATGAATCTTTTTCATAAAGGGTATCATGTAACACATACTATGCCATTACCTTTTTCACATGTTGTATATTCCCTGTAAATACACAAGGACAGAAACTATGTCTGTTTTTGCTAATCATTATATCTTTACAGTTTATCAGTACCTGTACATATTTGCTAAATGTGATCAAGAGTTAGTTGACATACTAAAGATGACAGAGCAAAGATAGAAGAAAACTGGGTCCTTGATAATGTCATTGAACTACAGATTTAATTACCCTGGAGTCACCCTATATTAAGATTCCTTGTTACAGGAGTAATAAATCCCATTTTAGTTTGTGCAGTTTTTTTCCACCTATAGCTGAAAGTCTCTTGATACAATAGTATTCCACTGTATGGATATACAAGTTATATAATCAATCCTCAGGTTATGTGCAAATTTTGCTGTTATAAAGCAATTCTATGATGCATATATATCTTTGTATATTTGACTAATTATGTCCTCAAGTCAAAATCCTAGAAATAGAATTTATGAATCAAAGAAAATATACATTTAAAATTTTGATATAATTGATTAGATCAATATTTTTTAATGTGCATATCTTGGTTACTGGTTTTCTGTGGCTTGCAGCTGAAGTAGTCCTATTTATTAGTATGATCTCCTTATATATGTAAATTAGTTTTTTATTCATCACATATGTTGCAATTTTTTTTAGGTTTTTCTGATTTCTTAAGCTTTCTGGTGGTTAATACAGAAGTCTGTCATATATAGGTGATTAAATCTGTTGTCTACAATAAACTGGAAACAGTCTTTGTCTCAGAATTGGGGAACTGATGCCTGGAAGACAAGCTGTGAGGAAGACTTAATTTCCATTGGATAACATTTTGTATCTTTTGATTTTTGTGCCATGTAACTTATGTTATCTTTCTTGTACAGTATGTTGTCTTAATGTTTTTTGGCAATGATGTTAGGTTGAGATAGGCCTTCCCCACTCAAAAACTAGAAAACGGTTTTCCTATGATTTCTTATAATGGATTTGGGATTCCCTTAGGAATTGACTTAGGTATAGGAAGTGGAGATAGGGATAAGAACTATTTTTCCCAAATGACTAGCTATTTGTCCCTCCACCATCTGGAGAATATTCCATTGTTCCTTTAATAATTGGAAATTCTACCCTTTTCAAATATTAAACTGTCATATATACATGGGTCTGGTTTTGGACTTAGCTTTTTTAGTTCATTAATCTAGTTTTCTATCCTTGCCTACGTTGTTTTAGTTACAGTAACTCTGTAATATGTTTTTATTATCTTTTGTCACTTCAAAATTGTCTTTGTTATTCTCATGCAGTATATTAGAACCTGAAGATGTGTCAAGTTTCCCCTAAGGTAATATTGGGATTTTGATTGAAGTTGCATTAATTTACTGACACTGATATATGGCAGGAACAAGTATCTTTACAATATTTGCCCAAGAATATGTCATTCAATTATTTTAATCCTTGTTTATGTCCATCAGTAACTTCTTATAGTTCTAAGTTTAGCCATTTTCTGTTTATTCCTAATTTATAACTTCTGCTATCATTGGAATGACTCGTTTTCTCATTATATGTTCTAATTGATCATTGCTAGCATGTAGGAAATCTGTGGATTGGTTTATATCTTGTAGCCAGACACCTTACTAAACTCTCTTATTACCTCAAATAGTTTTTCAGTTGATCTCTTCTGCTTTCCAGGCAGACATTATAATCTACAGGTAATGATAATGTTCTCTCTTCCTTTTAATATTTATACTTCATTTCTTTTTATTGTCTTTTTACACTGGCTAGATCTTAGAGTAAAATGGTAAATAACTGCAGTGGTGGTGGGCACCTTTGTCTTTTTCCTGCTGTTACGTGCTTCTAGCATTTTGACCTTAAATTATCTTTAATAGTCTATGGAACTTTTCGCTGCATTATTATTTTACTAAGTGCTTTTAGAAAGAATGCATATTGACTTTTTCAAATGTCTTTCTGGTACCCGTTGAGGAAATCAAATGGTTTTCTTCCCTTAACCTGTGAATGTAATTAATTATATTAGTAAATCTGTTTATGTTAAACCATATTTACTTACATTCTTGGAATAAACTCTACTTGTTCATAGTGTATTTTTTAAATACTGCTTAATTTAATTTACTAACATTTTATTTAGGATCTTTGCATTTAAATTCATGCTTCAGATTGGTTCATAATACCATTTCCAGAAATGTATTCCATGGGGATTACAAAGAATCTAGGTGTGTGTTGGGGGGCACCTACAGTCAAACAAATTCAGAAAATTGTGGATTAAATAAAGCAAAATAGTATTCTGTAGGACTACTGAATACTATGGTATATTGGGACTCTCCATTGGGAGGTAATTTTATACAGCATCTCCTCAACTTATATGACAAAATAACTCACTTTCTGAAGCATCTTAACAGACATTTCAGTGAATAACACATTGGAAAATGGTGATCTTTTGTGCTTTCTGTCAGGTTTTGATATCATGGTTATGCTGGCCTCAGGAATGATGAAACTATTAGAAATCTGTCTTCTTCTATACACTAGAATATTTTAAATAACGTGGGGGTGGTCTGTTTATTGAAGGTTTGATAGAATTCACTCATAAGAGCTTTTTGGTCCAGCATTCCTTTTTTTGTGTGCGTGGAAAGGGGTATAGATCTTTGACAATCTTTCCATTTATTTCATGGTAATGGTTAGATTCAGTTTTCAACCATAATATTGACCGTTTTCATAATATTGACCGTTTTCATATATGTTCATTGCCCTTCCCTGAAACAGGATTATATTTCCCTCTCATGATGTAGGTTTGGCCATGTGACTGGCAATGTCCCAGCTAGGGGCTTTTCTATTAGCTTGGATTCAGGAGTAAAGTAAACATGGAGCAGAGCAATCCTTGACCTATAATGGACATGTAGCCCCCAGGACTGGGAATGACTACCACAGCAAGTCATAGCCAATCTAGATTAACACGTACATCTGGCTGGGCGTGGTGGCTCAAACCTGTAATCTCAGCACTTTGGGAGGCCAAGGCAGGAGGATAGCTTGAGGCTGGGAGTTCGAGACCAGCCTGGGCAACATAGTGAGACCCTGTCTCTACAAACAAAAACAAAAACAAAAACACTGCATACATCCTCATGAGTAAATTTTGGTAATTTGTGTTTTCCCTGAAAATTATCTATTTCAGGTAGATTTCCAAATGCATTGGTGTACAGTTGTACTTAGCATAATTTAAAAATTTCTGTAATGGTGGATAGAAACCTCTCTCTCATTTGTAGTCTTGTGTGTTTTCTCTTCTTATTACTTATTTTTATCGGTATTTTCAAATAAACAGCACTTGGTTTTATCAATTTTACTTCCTCTGCATTCTAATTTATTGATTTTTAATGTTATCTACATAAAGTCATACTTTGTCCTTTTTTGTGTGAATGAATATTTTCCTGGTTCTTCATATGCCAACTAATTTTTTATTGTACTCTGAACATTTTGAATATTATGAGATTCTGGGTCTTGTTTAAATCCTATGGAGGATTTTGATTTTTTGCTTTAGCAGGCAATCAACCTGAGTAAATTCAAGTCACACGTTCCAACCTGCAGTGGTCTATCCTTTTGTTCACTTCTTAGTCTTTGATATACTAATTAGGAACACATCCAAGCTCGTGCAGCTATGTGGTTGCTTTTCAGAGCAACTCCCTCTCCTTGTCCTCCATCTCCAGCACTTTCCACTTCCCTGGAAATTCCCTTTTGGGTGCTCTAGGCAGAAATCTTGGGCTTTAGCTATCCTGCTCTGCTGTGCAGTGTCAGGGGCCATGCGGCAGGAAAACTAGAGGAAAAAATGGTAAATTCACTGTGGGTTCATCGGTACTCCGAATTCAGTTGTTCTTTCCTGATAGCCTACTGGTATTTTATTTTCTGTGTCTTTAAATAGCTGTTCCATGCATTCTGCCTAGGTTTTATAGCTGTACTCAGCAGGGGAGACAGAGGAAGTGTGCTTCCTCCATCCTATCCACAAATCAAATTTTACTCAATGTATTTTTACAAACGTGCCAAGGATTTAATAATTTAATGGGGAAAGGATAATATTTTTAACAAATAGTGTTGAAAGAATTGGACATACATATGCAAATAAATGAACCTGAACCCTTACTTCACATCATACACAAAAATAAACTAAAAGTAGATCACACACCTAAATATGAGGGCTAAAACTTTTTTTTTTATTTTTAAGTTCCAAAATATATGTGCAGAATGTGCAGGTTTGTTACACAGGTATACTTGTGCCATGGTGGTTTGCTGCACCTATCACCTGGGTTTTAAGCCCTGCATGCATTAGCTATTTGCCCTGATGCTCTCCCTCCCCTGCCCCCACCCCACAGGCCCTGGTGTGTGTTGTTCCCCTCCCTGTATCCATGTGTTCTCATTGTTCAACTCCTACTTATGAGTGAGAACATGCAGTGCTAAAACTAAACTTCTACAAATTTAGATAGGATGAAAACTTAAAAACAGGTTTTAAAACTGATAATATGATTTCATCAAAATTGGAAACTTTTTGCTTTTCAAATGACAATTAAGAAAATGAAAAGTCAGGCCACTGACCTGGAGAAAGAATCTGCAATATCTGATAAAAGATTTATATGTCTAGATTATCTGAAGAACTCTCAAAACTCAATAATACAAAGATAAACAACCCAACCACAGTACACAGGCCACAGAAGAGACAGGTATACTTCTTGCTATTCACTAAAAATGCAATTTTCTTTCACAGCTATATTTATATATATATAGCACTCCCTATGCCATCAAATGCTTTTCCCTTTCTAACCTTTTAAACAAATTGCTATTCAAACTATAATATTTAATTCAAGCATCACCTTCTTAGAAAATTTATCCACCTGATTTAAGTAATATCAAAAGGTCTCTGCTTTGTGGAGATTGTATATGGAATACAAATACATATTTCTCTGTTAAAGCAGATATCACATTTTTTTTATAATCGCATCTACTATACATTTGATTTTCTTATAAAAATACAAGTTTCTTGAAGGTAGAATCTTATTCTTAATTAGGGAGGTAATAGAGCTGAAACCTGAAAATAAATCTGATTTCAAAGAGGCACTGACAAACCACAATGGAAATAATTAATTTTGATTTTTAAGAAGTCTCACCTTTTCCTTGGAACTTCTGCACTTTAAATCTCCACTAGTTTCCAACAGCAATTTCACAAATATGTTTTTTTTACACCAATAGCAATTTTGACGACATCTGTCCTCATAAACTCTTCTTAAAGGGGCCAGACTTATTTTTAAACATTTGAACATATTTTATCATAAAACAACAGATTTTGCCAGGCGTGGTGGTTCACACCTATAATCCTAGCACTTTACGAGGCTGAGGTGGACAGATTGCCTGAGCTCAGGAGTTCAAGACCAGCCTGAGCAACATGATGAAACCCCTATCTCTACAAAATATACAAAAATTACCTGGGCGTGGTGGCACGTGCCTATGGTCCCAGCTACTTGGGAGGCTGAGGCAGGAGGATCACTTAAGCCCGGGAGATGGAGGTTGCAGTGAGCCAAAACTGCACCACTGCACTCCAGCCTAGGTGACAGAGGAAGACTGTGTCTCCAAAGGAAAAAAAAAAAAAAAAAAAAGAACAGATTTTTTTTTTTTTTTTTTTTTTTTGAGACAGAGTTTCACTCTTGTTGCCCAGGCTGGAGTGCAATGGTGTGATCTCAGCTCACTGCAACCTCTGCCTCCCAGGTCCCAGTTCAAGCAGTTCTCCTGCCTCAGCCTCCTGAGTAGCTGGGATTACAGGCACGCACCACCACGCCCAGCTAATTTTGTATTTTTAGTAGAGACAGAGTTTCACCATGTTGGCCAGGCTGGTCTCGAACTTCCGACCTCGTGATCCGCCCGCCTCAGCCTCCCAAAGTGCTGGGATTACAGGCGTGAGCCACCACACCTGGCAAAAGAACAGATTTTTAAACAATGTTTTGTTCATGCATGCAATATATGAATCCTCACTGTATGCAAAGCACTGTTGTAGGTACTAGGGATAGGTGAAGATTAGAACAAAAATTTTTGCCCTTATACAACTTAAGTTCTAGAGTAGGGACACAGACAACGAGTAATATAAATATATAGCATGTAAAATAGTGATGAGGAGACTAACCACATAGTTTATCATCCAAGCTGGGCTTCTACTGAAAGTAGAAAGAGGAGCTAAAAATAATTAATAGCTGTGAGCAACAGAAAAAAAAACAGACTGTCCCTGGCAAACCATGGCATAAAATTACCCTAGAGTTAAGCACTAAAGGGAAAACAAAGCAAGGAAGAAGGATAATGATATGCATTTGTGTGAGGGAGGGGGGTAGTAATGAAGCTTATATTTGAAGTTATATCTGAGTGAAGATCTGAAAGTGTTAAGGAGTAAACCATGTAGATATCTATACATTCCAGGAAAAGAGAGTAACAAGTAGAAAAGTCCTGTGGCAGGAGCAAAACGAGTATGTTTCGAGAACAGCAAAGGAACTGGTGTGCTAGAGCAGAATGAGCCAGGGAAGAATGAAAGGGGGGTAAATGAAGAAAGAGAGAGAGAGAGAGAGAGAGAGAGAGAGAGAGAGCGGGGTGGGGGGGGGCAGGGGCTGACTCACATAGATTAATTTAGAGAGGGGGTGTGGGACCCAGATCAGGTAGGGCTTGTACATCATTGTAAGGACTCTGGCTTTGCTCTGAATCAGATAGAAGTCACTGAAAAGTTTTAAGCACAAGAGACACTTGATCTGACTTACATTGTACCAGAATTCCTCTGGCTTCTTGTAGAGAATGGTCTGAAGGAGAGCGACTGTGGAACCAGGGAGACAAATCAGGAGGCTGTTGCAGTGACCCACATGAGAGATGTTGGTGACTTGGACCAAGATGGTAGCTGAAGAGGTGATGAGAGGTGGTCAAATTTTGGATAAACCATGAATTTAGTCAGGAATTGCTGATGAACTGAATATGACGTATAAGAGCATGGGTGGGATTTGAGGTGAGGAGAGGAAGGAGGAAGAATCAGTTTAGTTTTCAACACATTCAGTTTGAGATGCCTATTAAGTTTCACATATGGAGATGTCAAGTAGGCAGTAGGATATGAGAGTGTAAAATTCTGAGGTTTAGAGGTCCAAGCTGGAGATAAAAATCTGGGCATTATCCGTGCAGGGAGGACAATCACTGACATGAGATTGGATGAGTTCCTCAAATACACAGAAAAGAGGTCTGAGGAGTAAGCCTCAGGGAACACTAGAATTTAGAGGTCATAGAAGATAGAACTCCTACATGAAACTGAGAAGGAGCAGGCAGGGAGGTGGGAGGAAAACCAGGCAAATATACTAGAAACCAAGGAGGCAGAGTTAAAAGGAGAGAGCAATCAACTGTGTCAAATGCTGCTGATAGGTCTAATAAGATGAAGATGAAGACTGGCCATTGGATCTCGCAATGTGCATGTCTGGAGACCCTGACAAGAGCAGTTTCTGTGGAGTATAGCATAGAAAAACCTGGTTAGAAGAGAACAGGAGGGAAAAAAAGAAAAGTGAGTACAGAATACTTCCAAGCAATTTTCTGTGAAGACAAGTAAGGATGGCAGCTTGAGGGGATGTCAGGCCAAGAGAGTTTTGTTTGTTTGTTTGTTTGTTTTTGTTTTTGTTTTTTAAGATAAGAAAGATTCAGTGGAGAAAGACTGAGGATTCAGGAGAGAGACAAGTTGCAGGGGAGAACCTTTCTTCTCTTTAAGATTGCAGGGACACTTCATCAATGGAAACGAGAAGTAAAGTACAGAGTGTTCTGCTGTGTACTATAATGCAATGCATGCGCTCCTAAAACTTTAAAATTCTGCAAAATTGCACAGCAGCTGTTGTAAGTTGAATTGTGTCCTCCAAAGATGTCAACGTCCTTGCCCTCAGTACCTGTAAATGTGATTCTATTGGGGGAGGGGGTGGCGGTCAAATTGTAGATGTAATTAGTTAAGATGAGGTCATACTGGAGTAAGGTGGGCCCCAATCCAATGACTGGTGTCTTTATAAAAAGGGGAAATGTGCGCACAGGAAAAACACCAGGTGAAAATTGGAGTTCTGCTACCACAAGCCAAGAACTACTAGAAGCTAGGAGAGAGGCTTGGAACAAATCTTTCCATACAGCCTTCAGAGGGAGCATGGCTCTGCCAACACTTGACTTTGGACTTCAATTCTCCAGAAATATGAGATGATATATTTCTGTTTATTGTTTATCATACTTTGTAACAGCAGCTCTAGCAAATTAATATACTAACAGTAACAAGGCCTAAGGGAAAAATAGGTTTGGGGTGTATCACTTAAAATCAATATAATTTTGTGGCCAGAGCACTCAACAGAAAAGGTCATTGGTACTTAGGAAATAACATGTGCACTGCCTAGGCCAGAACTCCTCTAACTGGAGGCTGAGCCAGGCAATGTTACAAATATACCATACATTGCCCTGGAAATGTTTACAATGCTTTGGTTAGGGCAAGACTGGGGGCCAAGATGAGGAGGATGAAGCAAAGGCTTATGAATATGGGCAGATGGTGGGTAGATGTGGGGTGGAGTGCATGGAGAGTCCTATCGTTACTTCAGTCTTCTTGGCCAACTAGAAAGCAGGAACATCAGCTGTGAGCAACAACCAGAGAGGGAGTGTCAGGGTTTGAGACCAGGAGAGAGGGTATGACACTGTCTTGCAAGGGGAATGAATGGATCACTGCACAGCATCACTGCCCTCTTGAGACTTGCAGTGGTGACCTTTCTTTGGTTACATTAAGCTGCCTGGGAATTGACAGAGTTGGTCTGAACCAAGACAGTGACTCAGCCAAGTCAGTATAGCAAAGCTGGATGACAAGAACATTGACAACATGTACAAAGAATGAAACACAAAAGAAGAGAAGTAAGGATGTGCAGGGCAGTGAAAACCTGAAAAGGTAGGAGGTGGTGGTCAGGGAGCAGAATGGCTTGAGGCTGAAATTAGGAAGGAGCGGCAGTGGTTGGTAATGACAAGGTCTCAGGTGTGACCATGGGAATAAGTGACTAAGGAGTGGGGAGACAAGATCACCAAAGGAAAGAATGCCAAGCTATTAGAAGGAGTCACATAAATACTGACAGAGTTAAGACAGAAGACACATAGTATTATCCTAAGAGACTGATTATCCTTACTTTTAATGATGAAGGAAGCAAAAGTTACTGTTGGTCACTTGATTTGTATTTTATTCTTTTGAGTTTAGCAACAAAGGCTTATATTTTAATCTGAATCCCCTGTTCTTAAGCTTATTAGTGTTCTCATTGCATCAAATTCTAAATAATTTTGTAATTATAATTTTGACCTGAAGTTCTTTAACATAGTGCTTAATTTTGAAATGTTAAATATTTTTCTCATTTAAACCATTATTCATTCCGATTTTACCTGCATTATGGTCAGAAAATGTGGCCCAGACTATTTGCACTTTTGGAAATTTGACATTTTCTTCATTAGCTTAATATGTGCTCACTTTTTGTAAATGAGTTTTGAGAATTGGGTTTGTAGGTGCTAACATTTATTAAATTAGCATTACTAGCAGTCTTGCCTAATTAACCTGTAAATGACTGCAATTAATATATTAGGACTCCTATTAATGTTTCTGTCCATTTTCCTTGCATTTCTAACACTTTATACATTTTCACGTAATGTTATTCATCAGATACATGTTCACGAAGGTTTCATCTTTGTCATAAATGGTAGTCTTTACCAATGCAAATACATATATGAAAAGAAAAAGAAAAATTACCTTAAGAAAACAGCAACTTGAACTTCTACCACAAATTCTCAGGTGACCTGACACTTTGGAACCCACAACAGAATGAAAGCTCGCAACAGATATTTACACTTTAATAGAAGACCCAAAGATTGCTTGATTTTCCAAAATATCCAATTGCCATCTCATTTGAAGTTTTGAAAACATTTCCTAACATGTATGTTGCTCTGAAGTACTTTACATATACTAATTATAATTCTGTAGAAATATTTTCTGGGGTTGGAAGGAGACTTCCCTGAAGGGGGCAGGTTAATAAAAGTCATATTAAATCATGTTTATAATATTTAATATGGTTGATAATTGCCATAAGCATTCAGTATTTCAGTATATCCTGCCGCTTTTAAGTACTAAAATACTGATATCTATTTGCCATTATTCAGTAATAATCTAAATAATTTTGTCTCATCACATATGTAGTCATGCATGAAAAGTTTGAGCTGCCCAGTACTCTGATCATATTCCTCCCCCTTTAAAAAAAACTCTTTGAAGGTGTATTCTTATTATCAGCTTTTTAAATGATCCTTTCCTTGGTCATTAGTATCAGTAATCCGTTTTCCCTACAGTTACTAGATTTCTCCCAGAACCAATTTGGGCCCTATCTACTTTCAAAAGTTCCTGATGTAACTAACTTTTCACCAAGGAGAAATGGGACAGGTGGAGGTTAGGGGCTGGCGTAGAGAGATGGGCCATTGGATACATAAGGAGGAGGGTGTGGTAGGGACCAGAGAAGAAGGGAAGGGGATCAGTCCTTAGTTTCCAGCTTTCCTGCCTCTATTTTCAGGGCCAGATTCCCATCTCTGCTTGCCTTTTGTCTTCCAGAGTCATCTTTGTTTTGGGACTTGTCCACTCCTTCCCTAGGATAAAATTTATTTTCTCTGGACCTTCTTCCCCTATCATCTGACCTGCACAAACTCTAGCCAGAAAAGTTAAAAGAGAAAGTCCTAGACCATGGTCATCTCTCAGATAACCAGGGTAATGACCCTTTCCTTGGTCATTAGTATGAGTAATCAGATTTCCCTATAGTTGCTAATTACCTGGATTTCTCCCAGAATCACTTTGGGATCTGGTGGCTGAGGACCAAGTGGAGAAGAAAAAGGCAACTACAGTCCACTTTTTCTTTCTCTTTTTAAAGGTTCAGAGGGTACATGTGCAGGTTTGTTACATAAATATATTGCATAGTGGTGACGTCTGTGCACCATACTTTTTAATGCATCACTGGTATCAGTGTCTCAGTGTGACACACTGAGTGTGACACACACACACACACACACACACAAAGCCAGCATTGCCATTTTACTCTGGTATTGCAACCAGTTGCTATAGTAAAGTTGAAAATTAGTTAAAAATCTAATTTTTTATGAAATTAGAATTTAAATACCTAGGAATACATTTAACCAAGGCAGTGAAAGATCTCTACAAGGAGAACTACAAAACACTGATGAAAGAAATCAGAGAAGACACAAACAATGTGGCAGACGTGCTAGATAAAGCAATTAGTAAAGTAAAAGAAATAAAAGGCATCCAAATCAGAAAGGAAGAAGTTAAACTGTCTCTGTTTACAGATGACATGATCTTACATATTGAAACTGTAAAGATCCCACCAAAAACTGTTAGAACTAATAAATAAGTTCAGGAAAGTTGCAGGATACAAAGTCAACATACAAAAATCAGTACTATTTCTATATGCTAACAATGAACTATCTGAAAAAGATATCAAGAAAACAATCACATTTACAATAGCCAAAAAGTACTTGGAAATAAACTGAACCAAGAAAGTAAAAGTCTATACACTGAAAACTGTAAAATACCAATGAAAGAAATTGAAGAAGACACAAGTAAATGAATAGATACGGCATGGGCATGGATTGAATAATTAAAACTGTCAAACTGTTCATACTTCCCAAAGCAATCCACAGAATCAATACAATCCCTATCAAAATTCCAATGACATTTTGCACAGAAATAGAAAACAATCCTAAAATTCATAAAATCACACTCTCTGATTTCAAAATCAACTACAAAGCTACAGTAATCAAAACATCATGGTACTGGTGTAAAACAGACACATAGACCAATAGAACAGAATAGAGCCCAGAAGTAAATCTACACATTACAGCTAACTCATTTTCAATAAAGATGCCAAGAACACAAAATGGGGAAAGGAAACGCTCTTCAATTAATGATGCTTGGGGAACTGGATATTCACATACAGAAGAATGATATTGGACCCCTATCTCATTCCATATATGATAATCAACTCAAAATGGATTAGACTTAATCATAGGGTCTGAACCTGTAAAAACTACTGGAAGAAAACATAGGGAAAAAGCTTGATAACATTCACCTGGGCAATGATTTTTTGGGATATGACTCTAAAAGCACAGGTAATACAAGCAAAAATAGACAAATGCAAGAGATTGTTATCCACTGACCTTTTACCTTTAAATTTTTTACTTTTACTCTAGAATCCACAGCTTTGATCTAGGGAAAATAAACTGATTCAGTCTAAGATGGGTGTACTTGGAAAATCTGGAAAAAAAATCCTATTTGGTCATTGCCTACCTGTATATCAAATATCCACAGAAGGCAAATAGAGTTGTCACACAATCAACTAACACATAAAATTATTTGAAAACCATAATCAAGAGGCATGATCCTTTATAAACTGCTCAAAAATACTGTGCACACCAGGTCTATCCTTTTTGATGTGACTACAGCTAAATCTGACATCAGACAAGAGAGGAACACAAACACAAGTATATTCTCTAGTTGAACTTTAGGGCATAATCCATATGAATTTTCATGTGCAGATGAGATCCTGGGCCATCTTCTCCTAACCAAACAAGAAAAGCAACTCTGTGCACATAATACGTGAATCAATTTCTCCAGCCTTGGACACTTCCAATCTCAAACTGGTACCTTCTCACAACTGGTCATACAAGCAGTTCTCCCTGAGTACAGAAAAGAGTATGAATATATAGGAAATATGGTTAATTAGCAGGCCTAACGATGACACTGGTCATAGTTACAAAATTTCAAAATAAAAAGTGTGAAAATGAAACTTTTAGTTATTGCCTAGTTTGGGCTACAAGCCTTAAAAGCTTGCACTCTGCAATGACTTCATAGGTTCACTAAATTTATAACATCACTTGGTTTTGAGTTGAGAAAAACGTTTTCAGATCCATTTATTAAGGAACTTTGGAGATTAACTACTTGGACCTCCTGGCTGATTGTCTTTCACCTAACCCAGACAGAAATGTTTCCATCTGACCCTTAAAATTTACTGAAGACAATATTACTACATTTTCTGCAGTTATTAGCTAAGAGGCCTTACAAAAGGAACTGAAAAGGGAAGCAGGCCAATGACAAAAACTGGGCCATGATTATGCAAGATTCAACAGGTTATGAGTGAGGTGTTTCAAATCCCTTTCTCTTTTAAGATTTGGCACTGACGTTGGATAGCTTTCTAGCTTGGTTCCCCTGGAAACCTGACGAAGGGAGACCACCAGCTGTGTGACGAGAGACTGCTTCTGGTAAAACGCTCAGCGAAGTATCCTGTGTCCAAGCTAGGAGAGCTGCAAATGAATGTAAATACCTGCTAAGAGTCACAGCTTGGGCTCCAAGAGCGCAGTGTACAACTTGTTCCTGGGCTTTGTCCCTAGCCGGAACCCAAGGATGCTACATGCACAGGGAACTGTTAAAAAGAGGGTGGTCCCTTATGGCTTCTAAAGCCAAGGTGACTCCTATGTCCTTTTGTGCAGTCTGTGGGGACTGCCAAGATAATTCTCATAGAACTCTGCCTAAAGCCACCCTCTGGCATGCTGTCTTGCCTGTCCAATGTCCTTCAGAGCAAACTGGTAACAGAGGAGGCCTTTCCATGTTGTGGGAGTTTGTGTAGTTGAACCCAACACCAGCTGTGACGGGCGCTGCCCTAGCACTCTGGAGTGTCTTCAGAGGCAACCCCATCCCACATTGGCACCAAATTGTCATAGCCATGACTATCACAAGAGTATGGGATTAGAACCAATGAAGGCAAACCTTCAAAAAATGGTTTAAGATCTTTAAAGACATCACTGAAGTTTAAGGCTGTGAATAGCAAATATATAAAGGCAGAGTGTTCACTCATTAAAAAATGGACCTTAACATTTTCCCCAAACTTAGCTATTACTAAGTAAAGGAGCAAAGTATCATGGTATAGAGGGGTAAATTTTCCCAGAAGCAAGGAAATGTGGCTGTCATTCTGGCTGTGCACATAGCCGCTGTATGGCCTTGAATAAGGTGCTTCTCCCTACAGATGTCAGTGTCTTTATATTGAAGAGGATGGGTAGGGGGAGCAGGGGATGATGGAAAGCACAATTGAAGTACAGGAAAAACACGAATTTAGAAAAATGTTACATTAATAACAGCTGGAAAAAAGAAAACACCAATTTGGCTTGTGTGTTTTAAATTGTAAAACCTGCAAACAAACACCTATGATTCTGGGCTTTTAAGGTGAGAACAAAAACAATTTCTTAAGTTTTTGCCTGTTGATGCTTCACTCAATTCTCAACATACCTGTTCGAAAACTCATCAGCCTCACAGCCTCTGTGTCAAACAAGTTCTATCTAACTAAACAATACTTTCAGTTAACCCCAGGTAATGATATACTATGATCATTGACTCCATAATTCCACTGGTAATCTAGTCTCAGAAAAAACCCTAAATATAAGAAAAAGTCTTATGTAAACATAAACTGCTCAGTTCTCTACTTACAATAGAGAAAAAGTTTTAAAAACAACCCACAAATTTCATGCTAAGTGAAGAAAGTAGGATTAAGACAAAATCATTTCAGCTATGTTTTCAAAAAACCTATGCACAGAAAAAGAAACAGAATACACAGAAATATCAAGGGGGACTGCAAATAGAACATCTTTTTTTCCTGTTTTCTAAATTTTCTTAACTGAACATCCATTTTATAATGAAAAGCAGTTCAATTTAAGTTGCATTTCCAACACATTTCTCAGCATCAAGTTCTGTAGTCAATCTTTTGCCCATATCCTCTCCTAGTACGCTATACTAATATTAAACTTCAAAATATGTCAAATCAGGATGGTTATGTTATTCTGAAAATGTAAACCACTCTAACAGAAATTATCTGGCAGAGGTAAGATTTAAATATCTTTATTTAATTAACAGAGCCTAACACAGTTCCTGACCCATAATGGGTGTTTTTAAATATGTTAAATAATTACCTTAATTTTTGGCCTGTAATTCATATCTCGAAAGAGTTTTGTTTCTTCATAGTCCTTGTAATTACCTAAAAATCCATATTTATACTTTCAAAGACAAAATGAAGATCTTCGGAGCAAACCATTCCTGTTCTAACATTAACAGGAACATTTCATACCAATATATACTTACCATAACAAAGTTTGGGGAAAATGAGCACATACAATATCTCAAGATGTTTACAAACCTCAAATTCTAAAATATGAGAATTTAAAATTATGAAAGAAAAATTCAATCAAGGAAATTCTGTTATCTTTTCAATGAACTTCTCAATTGTTTGCAGATCTGTATTCCTTCCACAGGGATTTTATGGTGTTTCTAGAAATATAAGTTGTTCTTGGAACATGCTAGTATATGTACAAGTAAACTTTACAAATACGTGAAAAGACCCATGTTAACTTTAAAAAGGTGTTATTGTCTGAATCTTTGTGTCACCCCAAAATTGTTATGTTAAAATCTTAACCCCCAAGGTGATGGTATTAGGAGGTGGGGCTTTTGGGAGGTGAGTAGGTCATAAGGGCAGAGCCCTCATGATGAGATTAGTGCCAAATTAAAGAGGCCCAAGGGAGCTCCTTGCCCCTTCTGCCACATGAGGGCACAGTGAAAAGGTGCCGTTTACGAACCAGGACACAGCCCTTACCAGACACCAAATCTGCCAGCACCTTGATCTTGGACTTCCCAGCCTCCAGAACTGGGAGAGATAAATTTCTGCTGTTTATAAGCCCCCCACTCTGTGGTATTCTGTTATAGCAGCCCAAACATAGTAAGACAAAGAGTAACATGAAAAAAGTGCTCTGCCATAGTTTTAGCATCACTGTTTTAATTTCATGAAATACAAGTACAAAACATTGTATAAGTATACTTTTTACTACATGGAGATGAACTAATACATTTATGTTTTTATCAGAATCTGTATCACCCAGCGCTGGTCAATGTACTAGTAGCTTTCCACAGGGATTTTTTATACTATTCCTATAAGGTTTTATCATGAATAAAAAAGCTCACAACTCTTTTCAGCCATTGCAGATTCACATTTATCTTAATATTCCTGTTCAAGATGCTCTGGAGAACTGTTAAGAACTACAAAATCACCTTAGGCAGAGTTTTGAATGAGTAATTTTATTTCACGTTGGCCAAGATCTCCCTTATGTTGGCATTGCAAAGACACTGCACTTATCTGAGGTTAGAAAAAATGTAGTCTTAATAGCCCTCTTAATGTGTAGCAAGGCAAATTACCATTTCCTAAAATGTCCAGAATATCATAGTAGTTAGTTATTCGTTAAGCAGTAAGTCATGAAACTCCACTTATAGAAGACAATAGCAACAGAGGACCACTAAGTCCTAAATATACCAAAGAAAAACAAGTTTACAAATATTCAAACTGTCTGTCTTCTCTACCTCTAAAATGGTTTAACCACATCAAGTGAGAGTAACATCAGCCAATTAGAAAGGGAAAAAGTAAACTGTGCTAGCGTCCGGCATTCAGCTTCCATAGCATGTCTCACAGTTTTCGGCCATTTCAGCTAAGAGTTTTCTTATGACAGGCAAAAATAATGATTAAAATACCATTAGCTTTGCTGAGAAATGTGGAAAAAAAAATCACAATGTCAAAAATATTTGAAACTAATTTTGTTTTTATAAATAAATAAAATGGTGTTTATCTTTTCTTAAAATTCTTGCTGTTAAAACATTCAAAGTTATGTCAACCTGTAAGGATAAAGGGGTATTTAAGATAACATGTTTGGAAAACTAAACCACATTTTTAATTGCCAGCATTATGCTTTGTTCTTGGTAGAGTCATCCTTGTTTCTTCTTTTTACATCCCAATTATAAACCCTGGCCATATCTGCAAGAATTGTCAAAGAAAATGCAAATGCAATTCTAAAGATAATGCATGCAATGACTAAGTATTCACTCCACTCACACAATGAATCAAAGACACAGAAATGAAACATATACAAATACTGGTAACAAATAGTATTGTAAGACATCCTGCTATAATGTCAATTGTTAGGAAAATACTATAATTAAACTCTATCAAAACTAAGGACTCAAATTAATTGTTAACCCATTGTTTACTATGGTATTAGTCAACTGTCAGCTAGTCAACTATGATATATTTAACAAATATGTACTAGACACTCTCGATAGTTTTAAAGACAGTCCCTCATCCAAGAAATCTGAAAGATCACTCAACCCATATCCTGCCATGTAATATTTATATTATTACAATTATCAATAATTTTATCTCTTACCCTCCCTTTGGCTTAACAAGTTTATTAAGCATCTACTGTATTTTTGACTAGGCACTGTACAAAGCCCTGACCTGAATAAGACAGGTGAAGTTCTTTTCCTCGTGGAGCTTAGACTCCAGTAGAATGTCAATGTAACAGAGACTGTCCACCCTAGCTCCCTCACTTGTCTGCACACCTTCCTTTCCTACCTTTTGCAGTACTAGCAATAACAAATGGCATTTAACTAAGCTTGTAGGACTCATCTTAGAGGATTTCCTCACTTTTGGCTCCTGTACCCATCTAAGTCACTGGATCCTGTTTTTTTCTCACACGTTTAATATCTTTTCCTTTCCACAAGCCACCCGTCCTAGGCCCTCGTCATCTCATAGCTGGATGAAGTTTCCACACTACCCGTCAGATGATGATGACCACTGCACTAGGCCCCAACAGGCCTGCCTTCCCTCAGCCAACCATAAACAACTGCCACATGCTGCACACTGGAAAAGAAGAGAAAGTGCAGCTCCTACATCTGAAGAGCTCACGGTTTGGCAAGGTAAAACTAAGCAGTATGTGTTAAGCAAGCACACAAGAAACACTCTGAGGATCAGAAAATGTTCAGGAAAGCTCTGATGCTTGGACTGAGATATTTAGGGTAAAAGGGTAAAAAAAGAGCACATCCTGTAAATATGGGAAAGTCATTCCAGTTAGGAGGAACAAAGTGTAGAAATGCAAAGGGTGTGGCACAATTGGGGAGTGTGTACAATAACTGACTGGGGTTATCTGGAACCTGGAATGCACTGGGGAAAGGCAAGAAGAGGTCAGTGGCATGAGGTGAGACAAGCTGGGGGCACTTCACAAGAGTGCCTATATGTATATCTTGTAAGTAACAAGGAACCGTTGAAATATTGTAACCAGAGGAATAAAAATGAGTGACCTAGTAAATTCATACTAGAGATAGTGGGAAGGACAGATGGAATGAGAGGAACCTAAAAAGGTTCTGAGTGCAGGTTTTGGAGCCCCAGAACGAGAACAGTAATGGGCAGAGAGATTTATGAGGGAAATTTGATGTGAATCTGGCGACTGATTTATTATTGGTAGTGAGGAAGAGAGAAGTGTGAAAGGTGACTCCCGTGATTTTGTCTTGAGTGACTGTGACAGGAAGTAGGAGGAAAAGACAGGCCAGAGAAGAAAGGCAAAGAGCTTGCCTTCCCCCTTGACCAGAATACCCCACTCCCACCTCTTCTCTCTGCTGATCTTTAAACCCTACGCCGCCTTTAAAAAAGCAGCCTAACTTTTATCTTCTCAACAAAGCCTTCTTTGAACTAAGTCCAGCCTACATCTATCTTTCCCAAAGTTTAAATTGCCTTGGTGTTGCATATGTTAACTTACTTATAGTTTGCTATGAATTATCATTCAGCTGTTTTACATGTACAGTTCTACCAGAGAAAGGCACTGCCACTCTTTTCTAAAATTGATTTTCATGCCCCATATGTCTTAGCACAGTTGCAGGAACATAGGAGACCCTTAAATGCTTGTGAAATTAAACTATTTAACCAGTTATAAAGTTGTCTTGGGAAAATATTTGGAAGAAAAATACTTACTCACCTATGTGAATTTGCTGTTTCCACATCACATTTCAAAATCACTAATCTATCTACAAACTTATTTAAGTACTAGTTCCGAATATCTTATTTATTATCTTATAAAATCTATAACCTTTATATTAGCCTAATAAGGAAATTCTTCCCACTAAAGCAATGTAAGAAAGAATGTGGGAGGTTTTTTGTATTCTAATTTTTTTTTAGTTCTAGGGTACATGTGCAGGATGTGCAGGTTTGTTACAAAGGTAAACGTGTGCCATGGTGGTTTGCTGCACCTATCAACCCATCACCTAGGTATTAAGCCCAGCATGCATCAGCTATTTTTCCTAATGCTCTCCCTCTGCCCATGAAAGAATGTTTTTTTAAAAAAATCTTTCTCCTTTTTTCCCTTGCTTTTTGTTTTAAGAAAGGATACTGACTTCTGTGGTAGTAAATTGATCTCGAAGAAAGTCAAGGTCTTCCTCCAGGGAATCAAGATTCTTTGTGGCAGTCGATAAATTCTTTTCCAACAATGCCTGAGCTTCATCAATATCATATTCAAGCATTACATTAGCCTGAAGAGAGAAAGTCATGACAATTACTCAATATTTACACAGAGCTTTATAGGTTAGAGTAAAGTGTGGGCAAACTACAGCCCTCAGGTCAAATCCAGCTTGCTGCCTTTTGTTGTAAGTTAAGTTTCACTGGAGCCCAGCTATTCTCTACTCAGGCTTTCATACCACAATGGCAAAACTGAGTGGTTGAGACAGAGACCATGTGATCTACAAAACCAAAAATATTTACCATTTGACCTTTTACAGAAAGTTTGCTGACCCCTTGGTTAAAGAATATATTTACATACATTGTATCATTTAATCCTCAACCCTGCTGAGGCCAAAGTTGTCTTCTTCACAGTTAAAGAAATGAAGGCTCAGGTTTCCTTAGCTGGCATAGCTAGTGGGTAAATGGGAGAATCAGGATAAGAAACCAGTATGTTTAGATACAAAATCCTATCTTTCTACTACCTCCATCGTGAAACTAAATAGTGTTGTTTGTATCAATTTAAATAAATTCTGAGCTTGAGATATGATATTAATTTAAAATTTTTCAAAGACATTTATTATCATCTATATTTGACCAGGTAAAAAAGACAGCTAGCTTTTACCTGTCCCTTCCTACTACTTCTGACAGATGTTAGGGATTAAGACAAGGTAATGTGTCTGTCATTCTGAAGATCTAGTGTTACTGCCAACATTCAGGGATGCATGTACCCTGGAATTGGGAAGCCACACCTTTTACAGCTTTGAACTCTCCCTATCACCTGACTTACCACTGGCATTTCCTAAACCACTTTCCTCATCTCACAAATGCAATTTTAAAATTACTCAAAGGATTGTTGTAAGGATTAAACAAGACAACATGAAAGTATTTGGCACAAAGTAAATGCCAAATAAATACTTATTGACCAAATAATCCAATCCATAATTAGAAAACTGTATTAAAATTCAGATAGGACAAAAATATTCAACATAAGCAAAGACTGAACATAAATATAACAAGAATCCACAAAGAAAAAAAAACCAAAGCAGGGGACCAAAAAAATTTCTAAATCCTTCATTTCAACAAAATGTTCCTGAAATGTGACACATGCACATACTACACACACACACACACACACACACACACATACACACACACACACTGGGTGAAATGACACGCAAAATGAAATGAAAGGGTACTTTGTATACCTGGGGGAAACTGACCCAAAAGTCCTTTGAGCATCCAGGCAAAAAGAACACATCACTCATAGAAGAAAGAAATCAGTTTGCCCTCACACTTTTTGACAGTGATGCTTTACAACAAAAGAAAATGGGGCACTGTATAAGATGCTCAAGGAAATAAAATGTGAGTTTAAGATATTATATCCAGCAAAACTGAATTTCAAGTACAAAGGCCACAGACAAGTTGTCAGCAACATGAGATAACTCAGGGAATATCATTCCCATAAATCTTAAGGCAATCTACTTATCAGACGAATGAGTAACATACAATCAAAATGACTGGATGATGACTGGGGGGACATCAACATAAAGACTATGATGTGCATTCAATATTTACACGAAGAACTAGGATAAATGAAAGATGAGAGAGAGAAAGAGAGAGAGCAAACAGTATATAATGGCTCTGTGCTCCAACAATGTGGGAACAACCTTATAAAGAATGTGTAAGGACAGGAAGAACATATGCAAAAATGTCAGTGGTAACAGTGTTGGGTGGTGTTATTCTAAGAATGCTTTGCGTGTGAATAGTAATGTTGTCTAGCTTAATTCTATCACCCTTGGTATTTCTGAAAACCAGGATTCTTGATATAGAAGAAACAGGGGGGCCAGGCGCGGTGGCTCACACCTGTAATCCCAGCACTTGGCAGGCTGAGATGAGTGGATCACTTGAGGTCAGGAGTTCAAGGCCAGCCTAGCCAACATGGCGAAACCCCGTCTCTACTAAAAATACAAAAATTAGCTGGGCGTGGTGGCACGTGCCTGTAATCCCAGCTACTCAGGAGGCTGAAGGAGGAGAATCACTTGAACCCAGGAGGCGGAAGTTGCAGTGACCCAAGATCACGTCACTGCGCTCCAGCCCGGGCGACAGAACAAGACTCTGTCTCAAAAAAAAAAAAAAAAAAAAAAAAAAAAACAGAGGAACAACTAAAGTGAAAACTCTGTTGTCCTGAATTTGAATTGGAGGTAACAGTATGAAACCATGAGGTACACACATATTAACCTGAACCTTTGCACACAAGTTTATGCAGGTTAGCTATATCCTACTGGTTCTATTTCTCCGGTTGAACCCTGACAACAGATTCGTTCACTTACACTTTGCTTTATGCAGTTTTCTGATTTTTTTGTTTATATTTAATATTATATACATATAGAAAAGTATTCATATCATAAATATATAGCTTGATGTATTTTCACAAACTTAACACACTCATGGAACCAGCATCCAGATCAAGGACAGGTTATCACCAACACCCCAAAGCTTCCTTGTGAACATTTTCAGTTACCACCAGCACCCCCACCGCAAAGGTAACCATTAACCTGACTTACAGCATAGTTTTGCCTGTATTACAACTTTACATAAACAGAATGACACAGTATATGTGCTCTTTTGTGACTGACTTCTATAGTAGGCAAGAATTATGGCTCCCATAACAGCTGTCTCATTCTAATCTCTGGAATCTGTGACTCTGATGAGATATTTACATCATTTGTCAGAGCTGACCTTAATATACAGACTGCCTAGGTAGGCCTAATCTAGTTATATGAGCCCTTAAGAGCAGAGAACTTTTTCTGGCTGGCAGCAGAATGAGAAGTTTGAAAGATCTAAAGTGTAAGAAAGACTAGTCATATCACTGCTTTGAAAACAGAAAGGACCATGAGCCAAGGATTGCAGGTGGCCTCTAGAAGCTGAGACTGACTCCTGGACGACAGGCAGCAAGGAAACAGGGACCTCAACCACAGAGAACCGGATTTTGCCAATAACGTGAATAAGGCTGAAATCTAATTCTCCCCCAGAGATGCTAGTAAGGAATACAGCCCTGTTGACAATTTAATTCTGGCTTTGTGGGACCCTGCACAGAGGACCCAGCCAAGCCCATCTGGATTTCTGACCTATACAGCTAGGAGATAATGGATATTGTTTTAAGCCTCTGAGTTTGTGGTAATTTGCTATGCAGTTTCTTTCACTCAACCTTGTTTGTGAAAATCACCCTTGCAGTGCTGGCGTGTAGCAGCAGTTCATTCCTCCTCTGTACTGTATAGTATTCCACAGTCTGAACACATCATGATTTACTCATCCATTCGACTATGATGAACATTTGGGTTGTTTCCAGGTTTTGGTTACTACAGAGTTGATATGAACATTCTTATACCTTTCTTTTAGTTAATATTTATACATTTCTTATATACAGCAAGAGGCAGAAAGAGATAGAGACAGGCATGGAACTGCTATGGCATAGGCAATGCATATGTTCTGCTTTAACAGATACTGCCAGTTTCCCCAGTGGCTGTGTCCATTTACACCTTCACCAACAGTAAATCAGTGTTCTCACTATTCCATGTCCTACCATCACTTAGTATCACCCTACCATTCCGGTGGGTACACAGTGAGATCACATTGTGCTTTTAATTTGCATTTCCCTGTTTACTAATGAAGTGGGACAACTTTTCATATGTTTACTGGCCATTGGGAGGCCCTCTTTTTGGAAGTCACTCACCCATTATCCTGAGGAGTTGCTTATCTTTCCATGTTATCCTTAACAAAAAAGTTTTCTAAAAAATTTAAGTATATAAATATTAGGAAAAAAATGTTTGCAGATTTGGTGAAAGGAGTACACTGTTAAGATAAAATTATAAATATCTGATAAAGTCGATTACATTAAAATTTAAAACTTCTAAGAGCTACCACAAAAGACAAGTGACAGATGAGAAAAAGTATCTGCAATATTAAGAGAAGACTGTGCATCCGAAATACATAATATATAAAGAAGACCTAAATGTCTATCAAAAAAAAAAAGAAAAAGAATCCAACAGAAAAATGGAGCAACAACATAGTCAGGAAGGGAAACAGAAGAGGAAATACAAATGAGCATTTTGTCATACAAAAACCTATAAGATGATACTATTTTCACCTATAAAACTAGCAAAAATCTAAAAATGTGGGTGAGACTGTTAATAAAAGGGTATTTTTATATACGGTTGGAGAAAATGAAAATTGGTAGTCTTTTCTGGAGAGCAATTTGATAGTATCCATCAACATGTTAAATGTGCATACTCTTAGACACAACAATTCCATTTCAAAGCAGCATACAAAAATATGCCTTTGTATACAAGTCTATATGTGCAAAAATATTTACTACAGCACCGCTCACTGTACAAGAAATTTTAAAACAATCCAAACACCCCTTGACTTGGGAATATTATCACATAGCCCTACCACAGAATAGTAAGCCAATAAAACCAAGGAGGCAAACTCTGTGTCTACTCACAAATAAAGACATCTGTGCTGAACAATATACAATATATATCCCATTTTTGTAAAAACAATTAACAAAATTCCAAATATTTAGGTACATACAGATGTACAGACATGATTAAAAGTGGGTGCATCTGGGGATGGAGCAGTAGCCTGCTGCTTTCTATTTGCTCTTTGAACCATTAGCATGTATGAACTCTGATGAAAAACTAACAAAAATGTCATTCACCCAAGAAAAATTTTTACTGAGCACTTATTATGTGTCAGGGAACTGGTAAATACACCAATCAATAACATATCAGGGAGTGCTAAGTACTTTGAAGGAAAACAATACAAGATAAACAGTACAAGTGAAACCAAGAAATGCTGACAGACAAGTCATAGCAGGTCCCTGGGGGAGCTAACAATCAGAACTGAGAACTCAAAGGATTGAGTGTGAAGAACACAGAAGTAGAAATGTGGGGCCACACTGGCAGGTTCCAGGAACAGTTAGGGGGCCACCATGGCTACAGCAGAGTGAGCAAAAGAATGAGCATAAATGAGTGCTGAGAGGGAGTAGGGCTGTCCTGTGGAAAGGACACCTCTGTATTCCACCCTTGGTGACAGGGAAACCACTGGGGTCTTGAGCAGAAAAGCGGAATCATCTGACATGTTTTAAAAGCACTACTCTGGCAGCTTAAGCAGAAGAAAGAGCTAGAATAAAGGTTCTGAGGCAGGGCCATTCCCAGCATGCTCTAAGTCTGGCAAGAAGTCCAAGTGTGGCCAAGCGAGGAAGTAAGAGAAGAACAGAGAGACTGGACACGGTGGCTCATACCTGTAATCCCAGCACTTTGGGAGGCCAAGGTGGGCAGATCACCCGAGGCCAGGAGTTCGAGATCAACCTGGCCAAAATGGCAAAACCCCGTCTCTACCAAAAAATTTAGCTGGGCATGGTAGCACGTGCCTGTGATCCCAGCTATTCAGGAAGCTGAGGCACAAGAATCGCTTGAGCCCGGGAGACAGAGGTTGCAGTGAGCTGAGATCACAACACTGTACTCCAGCCTGGGCAACAGAGTGAGACTCTGTCTCAGAAAAAAAAAAAAAGAGAGAAGTAACAGAGAGTACCAGGATGTATAGGAACTTGTCAGCCACTCAAAGAACTTGGACTTTTCCTCGGAATGTGATAAGAAACCATTCAAAGATTTTGGGCAGAATAATGGAATGACCTGATTGAGATTTCAAAGGATTAATCTGACCACTGTGCTGGAAAGACTTTAGGAATTCCAGCAAGGGCAGAAGCAAGACAGTGAATTAGGGTATTATTATGGGTTAAACAGTGTCCCCAAAAAAGATACATTTAAGTTTTAACCCCTTATACTAGCGAATGTGACCTTACGTGGAAGTAAGGTATTATGGATTGAATTCTGTCTCCCCAACAAAAAATAAGTTGGACTACTAACCCCCAGTAGCTCAGAATGTGACTTTATTTGGAGATAAGGTCTTTCAAAAGGAGAAATTTGGACACATGCATGCACACATGTGAAGATGAAGGCGGAGATCACAGTGATGCTTCTACACATCAACATGCCAAAGACTGTCCGCGAACACCAAAGCTAAGAGAGGAGGCTAGAACAGATTTTCCCTCACAGCTCTCAGAAGGAATCGACCCTGATTCTGGGGCTCATCACGGACTTCTGGCCTCCAGAACCATGAGACAGTCCATTTCAGTTGTTAAAGCCACCCAGTTTGTGGTAATTTTATTATGGCATCCCTAAAAACTAATAGACAGTATTCCCACAGTCCTGGCAAGAGACAAAGGTGGCCTGGACCATGGTAACAGCAGTAAGGAAGTGAGAGATAGTTGGCTTCTCAATCTATTCAGAAGAAGGAACCAGTGGGGTTTGCTGAAGGACTGGTTGAGAGATATAAAATAAAGAAGAGTCAAAGAAGACTCAAAGATTTTTGTTCTGAGCAACCAGGCAAAAGATTCTGCCATTTACTGAGATGGAGAAGATTGTGGGAAGTGCCAGTCTATGAGTGGTGAAATGAGGATTTAAACATTCAAGAGGAATGAAAGAAGAAAAACATGAAAAGAGCAAGAAGAGCTCAGCAAAGAAAATGAAGAGAAAGAGAAACAGAAGAACAGTTACAAAAGACAGAGTAAAAGCAACAAAACAGAATAACTACCAGGGAAAACACAAAGTCATGGGGAAGCAGCCAGAGGAAATCACACAGAATGAAACACATCGAATAACTGAAAACAGAGAACATGATAGGTACTGAAAACAGATAAAGGAGATCGAACATATGCATATTTATTATTCCCAAAAGATAATAAAAGAAATGGGGCAAAAGTCACATTCAAGTACACAACAGAAATTATCTTTCCTGAAATAAAGTAACACTTGAATTTGTGAATCAAAAGGTCATGCAATTTCTACAAAAAAACTGAATACAGAAAATCATTGAATCCTTGGACACTCAGGTGTAGTTGCTATGCTTCAAAGTTATTTTTTAAAAAGCCTTAGTGATAAATTATAAAAGATAAATACTGAAATGCAGATTGTAGAGTGAAATATAAATGTTGTACAAACTTTGAGCAAACCTCCTTGGGCTAATCTAGAGTGCCTCTCCAGAGTGATCCTACAGGACAGCAGCTAGGGGAAATCCTCCCCGTAGGACAGCTGGTAGAAGTACACTTGGCTTGCTACTTTGTATGAGAACTTGCCTGAGGTAACAAGATCCACAGACAGGTAGCTGGATAGTCAGAGGACTGAGAAGAGCAAAATAGGTAAATCACAGATAAGCTCAATGAAATCATCTAAAACTGAAATACATGGTTTTAAAAAATAAACTCTAACCTCAAACTTTTTGCAATACTCTTTTTCCCCTTAAATTGAGAGGGATCTTTCTAGAATTATTAAACTCTTATGGGAAGAAGCGTTTATCTAAAGTTCAGCAGTACCTTCTATTTTACTTCTATTGCTCTTCCTCCATTATATTTAAGAGAGATAAAGCACTAACTGGAAGAGAAGCAGGGTTTGTTTGATCAGTTTTATCTTGATTGGGAGAGACTTCAGTATGTTTTTACTGCGATCTTCATCGCACTTCTGATTCTAGTCAATTTCTAATATGAACCACTTGGACTCTGTCCCTTTGTCCCTTCCACAATCAAAAGGAGATGAACACTTTACATATCTCGAGCAATACTACTAAAATACTAGCAAATACTAGCAAAACCAGTGTGTTTGCTACAGAAAACACACTGGTTTACAAATATATCAGCTGTGGCTATAACATTTACTTACCCCCAACCACAGACACACTTTATCGGTAGGAGGAACTGAAGCTTTGCAATACAGGTTATCTGCCAGCAAGAATCTGGTCTCCATTGAGTTGGTGGACTCCTTCAAAACAAAAAAAAAAATGACAGTACCATAAACAGGCCAGTTTGATACCAAGGTTATAAAGGAGAGATTGCACAGTTGAACCTAGGACATTTAAAACAGTACCATCATGCAGGCTAAGTGTAGTGGTAAAAGAAATGAATGCTAGACCCAGGTGGCTGGGTATGGACTCTGGCTCAGCTACTCACTAGCTGTACAAATCTGGCATCTCACTTAACTTCTATATCTCAGGTTCTTCATCTGTAAAATGAGGATTACAACAGTCCCTACACCTATGAAGTCAGTGGTAAGCACTGAGTATACACAGACACACACACACCCCCGAGTGCCTGACATACAGAGAAGGCATTATTGTAAGAATTAGCCATTCTTCTATTATTTCATTGGTGCTTCATGCCCAATCAATCAGTTGCTGAAGTCTTACAAAGTTCACCACATATTAAAATGTACTAGAAATAGTTATTCTACCAGTCAAGCAAAATCATAAGCATACACACAATCTTTTAAATACAATATGCTTATGAGATTTAATCTTTACAACCTGCTTTTATTTAATGAATACTGGATTAAGACTTAGAAGACTCTCAAATTTAGTTCTGCCAGTAACTAACTACATAGACAATGGTCGAGTATAACCTCTCCATAACCATTTCCTCAACTATGAAATGAGAACCTGTAACAGATGATCTCTAAGATTCGTTCCAGCTCTATAAATCTTGGACTAACTCCTTATTCTTAGGGAGAAAGACAACAACAAAGAAAAAACCCTAGATGCTGCTAGCACAGAATAAGACATTTTCTTTGTACACCTAAAACAATTTCAAATTGCATTTAAGTTTCACAAGCACTAAAGATAAGCAAAGTAATCCAAGTGTGGGCCCTAGAATTAAACTTGACTTTTGGGGGAAGGCCACAAAGCCACATTTGCTACAGAAGCACATCATAACATTAGTGTATGTGCTTAAGAAGGCAGACTGGATTCCACAGCACAGATCAAATATCAGTGACCAAAGAGTCAAAGAAGACGAGTTTCTGCTGACATATCCTAGCTTGCTCATATTTACAAACAAAAATGCACTTACTTTTTTCTTCTGCATGTATTTTAGAATTTCCAAAGTCTGTTTAATTTCAGGAATCTGACCTTTTAGCCTGTGAACAAGAAAAAGAGTAACTTAGTATTTTGCAGGCAAAAATAAACAACAGGACACGGTCTTACTAACTTTGCATTTTCTACTAATGTGTTCTTGAGGACTATTTATAGATATAAAATACTTAAGATATTTTTAGATATGAGATAAAATAAGATATAAATATTTATAAAAATAAAATATTTAAAGAAATATTCACCAAAAGAAAATATATTTAGTAAAATATTCATAAAATATTTAAAGTATAAATACTTAATAAAAATATTTAAGATATACTAGTGAATGTTTATGGAATGCCCATTCCATGAAGACAAAGCTCTGTTCTATTATGTCAAATACCCCATGGCTATTTAACATTTCTAGAGCAGACTATATTCCACAGAGGTGATTCATAGGTTCTGCATTTGATTAGAATGAAATTTTAAATAGATTAATTTTAAAACTAATTTTAAAAATAACATGGATTCAAAAGTTACATTCTAAAATAGAAGACACCAATCCCCTATCCAGTGATGCACATAGCTACTCCTGGTGTGTGCATTGGGTATACACACATGTACATCACAGTCAGCTAAATGCCAGGCAAAGCACAGTGACACCTTCTCAGTATGTGCACTTGTCACACTGTGAAAAATGTACAGAATCATCTGAATGCCAAACACACCACATTATGATACAGTATAATTTAGTGATTCTTTTAAGCTTTGGGTATTTCTTCCTTAACTTTTATGTTGATAAATGCTCTTCTTTTCAAATGAGGTAACGATCGTTCTTAAAATTATAAATGGATCACTGATTTAAACACAAGAAATTTAAAAAAACAATGATGGACATGATACAACTGATCCGACTTAATGGATAAGTTATATGATAGCTACTAGCAAAATGCTAGTAAGTGACTCCCAAATGCAATCAACCTCACTGACAAGAACATAAGAGAAAAACAGTATGCTAAAAACATTCAGTCAATTAAAGAGAGAAAACAATGATACCGTTTTTGTCACTGGGGTTTAGCTCTTTATGGTAATTAGATGCATGTGTTTTGCATGGAGATATATGCAAAACAGTTCTAGGGTCTCTGTCAAATGTAATTTCTAGCAAAACAGACTAAGGATATAAAAACGAAGCTCTGGTTCTTTCGAGGTAAATTTACTAAATATTATTAGAGACCAAAATGTAAACAAAATATAAACACAACAATGAAAATGAACTTATTGCGTCACATAAAAGAAGTCACTCCATGTGTGCAGCAGGTTGGCAGGGCAAATTTACTACACCCTGTGCTACTGACCTGGCAAGAAATGTGTTAAATGAGCCTGCTGCTTAAGAAAAAAACATAGTGTCATCATTTGATAATACAGTCCAGTGAATAATCTAGAAACACCTAGCATTCATTTTTTCACTACAATTCAATCTGGATGCCATAGATTGCTCAAGTTTGCTTATTTTTGCATGATATGTTCATATAGGTAAACAGAAAGATGTTATACATTTGTAAAATATGTGATACACACACAACATAAGGAGTATGTTCAGATCAAGATTTTTTGTCATGTAAATGACTTTTAAGATGCATTCTGTATATATAAATATTATATGTAATATGCTATAAAGCATATTAATGAATCAATCAGATGCAGCCCTAGCTAACTTAGGAACCAGACCACCAATGACACAGCACATGCCCAAGCAATACACTCCTCCCTACCCTGCTTCACCTGAAGAGAAAGTAGCTTGGCTGGGCACAGTGATTCACGCCTGTAATCCCAGCACTTTGGGAGGCCGAAGCGGGTGGATCACCTGAGGCCAGGAGTTCGAGACCGGCCTGGCCAGCATGGTGAAACTCAGTCTCTACTAAAAAAAAATACAAAAAAATTAGCTGGGCGTGGTGGTGCATGCTTGTAATCCCAGCTACTTGGGAAGTTGAGGCGGGAGGATCCCTTGAATCCAGGAGGTGGAGGTTGCAGTGAGCCGAGGTAGCGCCACTGCTACCCACCAGGAGTGACTTAAATTACCCCCACCTCCACGTACATTACTGGCCAAAGTAGCTGATATCCCTGAGGGAATCTAAGCTGACAGGGAAAAGACATTATAATTTGATCATTATAATAAATAAAGACAATAAATTCAACAACCTCTACCATATGAAACAAAATTAACAAATACCAAAAGATAAAACTATACATTAAATACTTAAAGATACCACAAAGAGAAAAGAAAGGATATTGGTAATATGAAGAGGAACCAACCAGAACTACCAGCTATAAAAATCTTAACAGCTGAAACAAAGAACTCATGGCTATCCATCTAATTGCCAAAAGATAAATGACAAAGACAGAAAAAAGGGAAATAATATAAATAAATGGAAGGCAGAATTAGAAGTGTCAACATCTGTAAACAGGAATCCCAGAAAGAAAGAGGAAAAAAAATTAACAGACGATAGAAAAAGTGATAATCACAAAATTTCCAATTAAAGAAAGATAAAAGATCTCAGATTCAAGTGTCGAAAAAGAGATTAACACATGAAATACTAAGGAACTTTTACACAGCTTGAAGGGTAAAGTTAAATGACAGGCTGCAAGATTTACAACACATACAAAGAAAAAGGCTAGCCTCACCCTCACCCTCGCCCTCGCCCTCTTTGCATGGTCTCCCTCTGATGCCGAGCCGAGGCTGGACTGTACTGCCGCCATCTCGACTCACTGCAACCTCCCTGACTGATTCTCCTGCCTCAGCCTGCCGAGTGCCTGGGATTGCAGGCACGCGCCACCACGCCTGACTGGTTTTCGTATTTTTTTGGTGGAGACAGGGTTTCGCTGTGTTGGCCGGGCTGGTCTCCAGCTCCTGACCGCGAGTGATCTGCCAGCCTCGGCCTCCCGAGGTGCCGGGATTGCAGACGGAGTCTCGCTCACTCAGTGCTCAATGGTGCCCAGGCTGGAGTGCAGTGGCGTGATCTCGGCTCGCTACAACCTCCACCTCCCAGCCGCCTGCCTTGGCCTCCCAAAGTGCCGAGATTGCAGCCTCTGCCCGGCCGCCACCCCATCTGGGAAGTGAGGAGCGTCTCTGCCTGGCCGCCCATCGTCTGGGATGTGAGGAGCCCCTCTGCCCGGCCGCCCACTCTGGGAAGTGAGGAGCGCCTCTTCCAGGCCGTCATCCCGTCTAGGAAGTGAGGAGCGTCTCTGCCCGGCCGCCCATCCTCTGAGATGTGGGGAGCGCCTCTGCCCAGCCACCCCGTCTGAGATGTGAAGAGCACCTCTGCCCCGCCGCCACCCCGTCTGGGAGGTGAGGAGCGTCTCTGACCAGCCACCCCGTCTGAGAGGTGAGGAGCCCCTCCGCCCGGCAGCCGCCCCATCTGAGAAGTGAGGAGCCCCTCCGCCTGGCAGCCGCCCCGTCCGGCAGGTGGGGGGCAGCCCCCGCCCGGCCAGCCGCCCCGTCCGGGAGGTGGGGGGGTGCCTCTGCCCGGCCGCCCCGTCTGGGAAGTGAGGAGCCCCTCTGCCCGGCCGCCACCCCGTCTGGGAGGTGTACCCAACAGCTCGTTGAGAACGGGCCATGATGACGATGGAGGTTTTGTCGAATAGAGAAGGGGGAAATGTGGGGAAAGGAAGGAGAGATCAGATTGTTGCTGTGTCTGTGTGGAAAGAGGTGGACATGGGAGACTCCATTTTGTTCTGTACTAGGAAAAATTCTTCTGCCTTGGGATGCTGTTAATCTATAACCTTACCCCCAACCCCGTGCTCTCTGAAACATGTGCTGTGTCCACTCAGGGTTAAATGGATTAAGGGCGGTGCAAGATGTGCTTTGTTAAACACATGCTTGAAGGCAGCATGCTCGTTAAGAGTCATCACCACTCCCTAATCTCAAGTACCCAGGGACACAAACACTGCGGAAGGCGGCAGGGCCCTCTGCCTAGGAAAACCAGAGACCTTTGTTCACATGTTTACCTGCTGACCTTCCCTCCACTATTGTCCTATGACCCTGCCAAATCCCCCTCTCCGAGAAACACCCAAGAATGATCAATACTAAAAAAATTAAAAAAAGAAAGAAATAGGCTGAACTCACTTATGAACAGAAATTCAAAAATCCTAAATAAAATAATAGCAAATTGAAAAAAAAAAAAAACAAAAAGGCTAGCATGTAAACTACATAGAGCCATCTGCTGCAAAACAACTAGATCATGACACAAAAATAGTTTTGTTGCATAGCTGACATCATAGGAGTGAGAGAAATTCCAGAAAAATAAAAAGAGAAAAGTAGCCCTCCAACTACTTGGGAGGCTGAGATGGAAGAATTGCTTGAACCCAGGAGGTCAAGGCTGCAGTGAGCTGTGATCACACCACCGCACTCTGGCCTGGGCAACAGAGAGAAAGCCTGTCTCAAAAAAATGACCAACCCACTATTAAAATAGGTAAAACTCAAGAAAATTTTCCTAACTCACTATCTCCAACTCTACCATTCTCTTTTAAAACACTAGACAAACACTGTTCTCATCCAGAACACCAACGTTCACTGATGTTTCCTAAGTGCTTTGAATTTTTACCCCTTCTCCCCACATTTAGGCCTAGACCATATGTTAAGCTAGAGTGAGTATCCTGCTACATACCACAGTTGTAGAGTTAGCAATATAACTTTTTTCTTTTTTTTGTTTTTGTCTATCATTAATTTACTAGTTAGAAGAGCAATTTAAGTTTGATACGCAAATTTCCCCCTCTCCCAGGACTTGGTCCCAAGGCCCATTTTCTTTTCCTTTTTTTCTTTCTTGAGACGGGGTATCATCACTCTGTTGCCCAGGCTGGAGTGCAGTGGCACACTCACAGCTGACTGCAGCCTCAACCTCCCTGGCTTAAGCAATACTCTCACCTCAGCTTCCCTAGTAGCTGGAACTACAGGCATGCACCACAACACCTAGCTAATTTTTGTAGATATAGGGTTTTGCCACGTTGCCCACACTGGTCTTGAACTCCTGGGCTCAAGCGATCCGCCCACCTTGGCCTCCCAAAGTGCTGGGATTACAGGCATGAACCACTGCACCCCGCCCCAAGGCACATTTTCTTCTCTATCTGTAACCTCCCTGTAGGTGATCTCAAATCCAATGGCTTTATTTTTCTTTTTCAAATAAACTTTTACTATCACAAAAGCAGTACATGTACATTGTAAAAAATTAAGAAAACAGCTAAGCAAAAACAAGAAAAATGCCATATTCTAACTACCCAGAGATTACCACTGTTAATATGCCTTTAGTGTGGATTTCTCCAGATATTCCTGTGCATACATACATTTTTTTCCAAAACGAGAGCACACTGTTCTTAATGTTTTCTATCTTGCTTCTGTCCATTAACACTCTCCATCTTTCCATGTCAATGACTTTTCATCTCATCTAATACTCAGTACATATTCAACTTTGTACAACTGTCACCAAAATCAAATGAGAAAATATACCTACAAACTTCTGTACCTTTGCATAAATGGTGCCTTAGGCCCAGACTACCCCTTCCTCACTTTAGTCTGCCTCCAAACTCACAACTAATCTTTGAAATTCTACACAGCTATCTGTTCCTCTTAGAAGCTTCCTCTGAACCTCCTTGGCCCCTCCAGGTTAATGAGGTGCTTTGGTACAAAGTAATGAGTTACCATCCCCCTGTACCTCTACTGTTCTACTTTGTGTGCTAATTTTATTTATATACCTATAATTTCCACCAAACTGTGTCCCTAGTTTTTTGTGTGGTTTGTTTGCTTTTTAGACTGGGTCTCGCACTTTTGCCGAGGCTGGAGTGCAGGGGCATGATCACATCTCACTGCAGCCTCAACGTCCTGGGTTCAGGCGATCCTCCCACCTCAGCCTCTAGAGGAGCTGTGACCACAGATGCATGCCACCATACCCAGCTAATTATTACTATTATTATTTTTGAGATGGAGTCTCACTCTGTTGCCCAGGCTGGAGTGCAGTGGCACAATCTCGGCTCACTACAACCTTCGCCTCCCGGGCTCAAGCAATTCTCCCAACTCAGCCTCCCGAGTAGCTGGGATTACAAGCGCATGCCACCACGTCTGGCTAATTTATTTGTATTTTAGTAGAGACGGGGTTTCACCATGTTGCCCAGGGTGGTTTCAAACTCCTGAGCTCAGGCAATCTGCCCACCTCAGCCTCCCAAAGTGCTGGGATTACAGGTGCGAGCCGCCGGGCCCAGCCTAATTATTTTTTAATTATTTGTAGAGACGGGGGTCTCCCTATGTTGCCCAGGCTAGTCTTGAACTCCTGGACTGAAGTGATCCTCCCACCTCAGCCTCCCAAAGTGCTGGAATTACAGGTTTGAGCCACCATGCCCAGTCCTGTGTCCTTGTTGAAAGCAGATACTGGATGTTATTTCACCCAAAACAGTATGTGGCATCTAGCTGGCATTCCATAAATATTTATCTTACAGAAGAATGCTGGCACATGCACAAAACAGAGATCTATAAATATTTATTACAGTGAATTGACTTTATAAGCTATATAAAATAATGTAGGGAAATAAAGAGTTGAGAGTAAGGATAGCTTTTTTCCTATGCCTATTAGTTATGAAATCTTGGGATTTCATAACTAATTAAGTCTTATGCCCAGACTCTGTGGGTCTCTAATCTCACTGGCAAAATTAGAAGGATGAACTAGACATATAAGACGTTATGATTTTGAAAGCTTTGGAATACAGTCTTTAACAACCATTCTATTATGTTTTCAAAACCACATTTAGACTGGCAATACCAAGTGTTGGCAAGGATACGGAACAACTGGAACTCTTGTACGTTGCTGGTGGGAATTTCATATGGTACAGCCACCTTGGAGGACTGAACACTTGACATCTGAATATTTTATTATATGTAAATTATATCTCAATTTTTTAAAAGTTCAAGTCATATAAGATTTTCAAAACTTAGAAATTTTTACACTTACCTTCTTTTCTTTTGAGCAAGGTTGAGTTCCATAAACTTATACTTCTGGTACTGTTCATCCAGCTTCTTTAATACTGTATCTGCAGTCTCATTCCCAGGCTGTTTCATGAAGGAATCTACATCTTCCTTTAATATCAAAAATAATACTTTACAAATTTTAGAATTCATGCCACTCAGATTTTTTGACTGCTTTGTTTTTAAAACATAGAAGAAAAAAAAGCTTTGTTTTTCTCCAAAGGTTTGTTTTTAACTAAAAGTACAGGTTAAGCACCCTTATCTAAAATGCTTGGGACCAGAATTGTTTTGGATTTTAGATTTTTTTTTTTTTTTTAGATTTTGGAATATTTACATTATACCAGTTGAGCATCCTCAATCCAAAAATCCAAAGTCCAAAATGCTCCAATGAGCATTTCCTTTGAGCACTATATTGGTGTTCAAAAAGTTTTGGATTTTAGAGCATTCTGGATTTCAGATTTTCAGATTTAGGATGCTCAACCTGTAGTTATAAAAAGTTAGAGACAATTTCAGATGGTACATATATATTATATAGCTAATTTATTCTTTCACTTTCCTCTTCATTTTTTATTCAAAAATAGGAAAAGAAGAATGACCTTGCCCACCACTTTATGCATTTCCCATGCATCCCTAGTAGTAAATATGAAACTAACAATCAAATACATTGCCTATTCATGCATCCTATTCACAAAATGATTTTACAGGTTGCATGTCAAGATTATCAATTTTATTACTTATTTTTAATTCAACAAGTTTTACCATAGAAATCATACTAAATATGGTTACTGGGTTCCCAAGGCAATCCACAAATGCTTCCTTCAGTATCAAATAACTGAAACAAAGTAAACCTAAAAGGCAAACAGAATAATCTTTTGTAACAGTAATAACTGATCAAAAGAAAAGCAGTAAAACTGATGTTAAAATATTTTTTATACCACATGCTGATCCTTGAAGAAAGGCTAGTTAATTAGATAAGGATCAGAAACAAGATGAAAATATATGAAACTTAAAAGAGATGCTACAAGAGTCGTCTAGTACTTTACAGAACTCTAGTTCTTTATTATAAGTAACTTCAATTATCTTATAGCTTCTAAGATCTTCACATCATTATTCTTATCCATATTTACTAGCTACCAGAGAATATCTTAGCTGAAACAAGGAAGAAAAAGGAAGAGAAACACAGCAAGGGAGTGAACTAAGAAGCCATCAAACTAGACAGTAAAGGAAATTGAAAAGGTGAGGCTGAGAGATAATGGCTGAGTTCTGTATGTTAAAGAGAGATGCCATCTTCCTAGAAGGGTCACTGCAGGGAAGAGAAAGAAGTGTAAGTTTCTGGCACATGATACATGTTATCAGGTGCTGGAGTTTAGCAAGAATTAACTATAGCGGCATAGGCTGTGGTTAAGAGACAGGAGGTGCCTGGTTTGAATCCCAGCTTCGCCACTCATTAGATGAGTTGACCTTAGGGAAGTTATTTAACCTCTCTTTGCCTCAATTTCCTCATCATCTGTACAAGTACCTTTTCGTCACCAGGGATTAAATGAGTTAGCATATGTGAAACGCTTATAAGAGTACGTGACACCTATGTATAGCATAATGTGCCACAGGGACACAAAGTGCCAGGGATTTTGTTTTGGGGTAGAGGTCAGAGAAAACTACAGGGAGATGATATCTGAACTAGATGTGGAAAGATGAAGAGGTCATGAAATGGACAAGGGTGAAACAACAATTCAAGCAGAGAAAGAAAACAAATTACTGCCTCAGCGGGGTTGGGGAATGGACTGGGTCTGACTTCTAACCACTATGGTATATTGCTTCCTATCATCATGAATATTAATACCTATTCGACACCTACTACACTGCAATACTGCAAGCATGTTCTCTGTTTCCCATAACAACTCTCTAAGTATTGTCATCCCTATTTCAGTTAAAGAAACTCAAGCTCAAAGTGGTAAAATAATATGCTTAAGGTTAAGCAGCAACTGGGAAGCAGAGCCAGGATTCAGACCCTGGTCTATTTAGAGGCCAATAATCTTTCTACAATACCATGTCACTTCAATTATTAATAGTTTGGAAACATAAACAGTTATATAAAATTTGGGTTGCTTATTACATTATGTTGGTAGAAATTTTAAGGTCTAGAAAAAAATAACCACGACATTGTAGGGAAAAAGCATTTCAAGACATTATAAAGCCCTCAGATAAAGTGTCTCCTCCCGAGTTAGATTTCTGACGCCATCTCTAGCTGAGCACCATGAATGTAACATTTAAGGCCCTATGGAAATTCAATTAGACACTTAGTTTGAGCTTATACTATGTGTGAGGCACTATGCTATGACCAGGAGAAGTAGGGCGATTCATGAGAACTACCTCACCTCCTCCCAGTAGCAGAGCATGAGGGGTAAGCTGCCAGTCTGGACCTCCACGGATTGTCCAAGTTCAAACCCTGGATACCTCACTTACATCCTGTGTGGCCTGGGGCAAGTTACTCAAGTGCCCCGTACCTCAGTTTTATCATCTAAAAAACGGGCATAACAGTAGTAGCTACCACCTCGAGTTTTGTAAAATCATTAAGAAAGTGCCTGGCACTCAACAAATTTTATTCCTTGTTATGGTTAGATAATAGATCAATGTAGAGAAATAAATGACACAGCTCATAAAAACACAAAATAATAACCAATTACGAAATTCAATCAGCAAATGCGAATATACAATATCAAGTGTGGTATAAATAAATGAGTCTTTAGAAGGATATAAGACGTAGTTAGTAAAAAAAAGGCAGAGGTAAGGTAAGGTACAAACCAAAAGATTGAGAAACTTCCATGAAGATTTTATAGTAGCTAAGTGGGGACAGACAGATGACCTGGCCTGGAGGGCCAGTCAGATGTTTTCTCTCATTAGTCAAATAGTTTTCAACTACTATTTCTAAATTAAATAAATAAAATAAAATTTTTAAAAAGCCACCCAGCACAGGCAGCGCCCTCCAGAACGGCCTGTGGAGCAACCCGATCCCCTCTAGGACACTAGCGAACCTGGGACCTAGCGCCATCAGGAGGGTTCAGCCTCCTCTCTCAACAATTCATTCTCCACTAAGTTGTTAGAATGATGTAGTTAAAACGAAAGGCCTTCTGATGACAGCCCGTTGCCTACTGGAAAACCTCAATTCCTTAGCAAGACACAGAAGGACTTTACACTCCCAACCTATCATCCTATTTTCCCATCGGTCTCTTCTTCCATTTCCCGAGGCAACATTCCCGAGACCACTGCATTCCTTCAACAGACAAAGTGATATTCCCGGTTTTCACATCTTAGCACTGGCTGTTCTGCCTATTCATTGTACTGTGTCTCCAGCATCCATGCTGAGTCGAGAGCTCCTCACCACCTCCCCTTTTCCAACCAGCAGGGGGACGAAAACCGGCGGCAGCCCGGAGGTCCCTCAGGCCGCCCTGCCCTGCCACCCGCCGCCCCTCGCCCCTCGCCCCTCGTCCCGGCCCCGCACCCCGTTCTCTTCTACGGCCTTCTCGAGCTACGTTTCTTCCGGGCGGGCCCCCAGCAGAGCTCAATCTGTCCAGGTGCGAGGGGTGAGAGCAGACCGAGCGCCCCCTCCCTGAACACTTGGCTCAGCTCCTTCCAACAGTCGAGGCCTGGGTGGGAGCCGGGAAGAAAGGGGCAGTCCAAGGCCTCAAGCCAAGATGCCAGGGAACAGCGTGCCTCTTACCACAAACACGGCCTCAGGAATCCCCAGGTGGAGCCGCCGCCCATTCCCTGTGGCCATTTCTCCTTTGCCACAACTGTCCTTAACGGCCGCCATCTTGGGGATGCGAGCGCGCGACTGCCTCCCGGGCCGCCGGCCGCCGGGATTCCGTGATTGGCTTGTTCGCACTTGCAGGCCCGCCTCTCCATCTCCATGCACATTCATTGGTGCGCAGGGAGCGTCCCCCACAAGTCCCCGTTCTCCTTTGGCCGAAAGTAGCCCAACCTCTAGGTGCTGATTGGCTGCGCTCAGGTAAGTGACAAGCGTGGAAGGGCCGCGAAAGAGAAGCTGGAGCGACAGGAAAAACCCATACGTCCTCCTGGGAAAAGGGGTCTTGTGAGTGAGCGGTGCTAAAGCCCTAGGAATAGGGACCTAGCCTGACCCCACCCCGACCCTAGAACTGGCAGCAGCCTTCGCAATGGCCTCTGGAGCGACCCAATCCCCTCTCTCGGATGCTAGCGAACCTGGGACCTAGCGCCATCACGAGGGTTCAGCCTCTGTGCCTTTCTGGTCTCACCATCCCAGGGAGCTTCCTGCCCCTTGAAGGGAACTTACTTTGTGTCTGTTTCAGAGTGGTCACTGGCCTCATTCTAATAAATACCCTGCCTGTCGCACCAGCCTTTCCTGAAAGCCACCTTTGATCAGAATGTCTTCTCTCCAGCTCAAACGTTTCCAAAACTTCATAGTCTACATACAAAATCCTAAGAACTCCACCTAGGCTTCTAGGCCCATGGACTTACCCAATGTCATCCTACACTACAACCCTTTAAAAGCACATGTGTCATACAGAACCAAGTAATTATTCTTCGGGCTCTTTTCTGTGCTTTATTTCACTGGAGTGTTTCCCAGTGAGGCAGTGCTTCATCCACTTGCACAAATTCTACCATGAGCCTAAGAATTACGCAATGGAAAGTAAGTCTCTCTTCTCAGAGGCAATCACTGTTACCGGTTTATCTCCGCACATAATGTACGATCAAGCATATAGACATAGATATGTCTTTAGATATAATATGAGGAAGAAATTGGTATCGTCATATTGTGAATGAGGAAACTAAAGCTCAGTGAACCTGTACAGCTCCTCCAAAATCCTACAACTACATAGTAGTGAAGCCGGAATTCCAAACTAGTTCTCCAGTGGCTTCTATGCGATTTGGCTTGGGAGGATGAAGACATGTTAGCTAACCATGACTCTGACCTTTTCTGGTCAGCAGTTTTGTAAGATAATGTCTCTGTTCCTGGAGAGAAAAGTATATGGGAATTCTATTCTTCACCACTCTCCCCCACCTCAGTGCCTTCCAAAAAAAAATTTTGTTTTTGAAAAGTAGGTAACGTTTCTACAGAAAAACATTGAGATATCAGATACACATGCAAATTTTGTTCAACTTCACTGATCCCTATCTATATTAATCATTGTTAGAACCAATCAAGGACTTACTTCAAACTTTAGGAAATATTTCTCCAAATTATCACTAATTTTAATTTGGAATAAATCCCTCTAAGAGATATAGTATTTGACACTTCGGGCCAGGTTTTTCTTTTGGAGCCAAAAGCCTTATCAGCTTATCGCTCATGTTTTACTCCCTTACAGGTACAAACAGAAGATTCCCTTATTTATACTGCTGAATATATTTCCTTTCTAGTGTTCTCTTAATTAGAAAGTTGTATACCAATTCTTTCCTTCCTGCCATGGCTGCAGCAGCTTTTCCAAGAGTACACTAACCTTATCAACTCTATAGGTGGTCATTTTCTTATCTCTTAGCAAAAAAAAAAAGGAAAAGAAAAAAAAAAAAACCTTCCTCTTGCCAGATCCAAATCTAGCTATTACCTGACTAAATATGATTGGTCTTTAGCAACCCTTCAGTAGCCCACACCTTTTACAGCTTATCTTTAGATTGCTTTAATAAAAGCATTTTTTAAAACAGACTTTAAAAGGTTGTAGTTTTTCACCATGGACACTTTTGAAACAAAACAAAACAAAATGTAAAGAAAATACGCATACAACAGGAAACAGAACAACTTAAACAATCATTTCACGTAGTGTTGTGCTGATAAATGTTCAACTAATTCTCTTTAGAAAGGGGGTATATATTTATTATAAATTGTATTGATGTAAAAGGTGTATAGCACACAATTTCATAAGTGATAATAAAATATACAATACTCTTTATCGTTAATTCTGTATAACCAATTCTGACAGGATGCTTTTGATTTTTGCCAAATACATATCTCCCTAGACAACCTACAGTTGCAATTGATGAACTAGTGTAGTTCTGACATGAATGTTGCTTGATATTTTCATTTATGTTAAGTAATAAGAAAAAAGTAATTCAACAATTATTTTTATATTGGTACTTGGATCATTCATCAACAATGTGAGTGATTTATTTGCTGAATTGGATAATGGTTTTCAAATACCAGAAAAATATTGCCTCATTTTATGGTGCTGTTCACAATAATGGCTACAGACACAACTCACTTTTAAGCTGAATCTGCATTAGTAACATTTTCTCCATTGCTTTCAAGTCTAGAGTGACAAACATAGATCAAGCCGTAGTTTGTAGCATCTACCAATTTCTGTAGCCTGGATACTCCCACAATGGCTGATTTCAATCCATGTCGAGTTGGGAGGACATGCCCAGTAGCACACAGATACAATCGATGTAAATAACCTCAAGAGCATAGGTAACATTCAAATGTCGAAAAATAATTAGAAGGTGATAAATTTTGAATATTTATTACCTTTGCCTTTAAAAGAATTTAATTGTAAATTTTTATAATTTAATTTTAAATGATGGCTGTGTTTAACAACCATCTTGCAGAATTTCTAGAAATTTAACAATTGGTTCTCACAAGCTGGTACAAGCCAGCTCTGGTGCACCACTGGCTCATATTTTGGGAAGCCAGAGTTTAATGACTTCAGTGAATAGTACCTGTAAATGTCACACTAATGTGCTCTGCAGAGAAGGAAGAAAATGATGTGACATACAATTGGAGTCCCCTGGAAGAAGAGGGTGATATCCTTAGCAACTTCCAGAACCCAGATAACCAAGAGTTGACTTAAATTTGTACAGCCGGGAACCGACAACAACTCTCACTCCATCTTTGCCTGGAAGCTTTGTGCAGGTAACAGGTTCTGTCCCAATCTCCACAAGCCTCTGAAATTACTCTGAAGAGCTGCAAATCCTGAGGCTGGGGGAATGTGTCTCCTTTTTCCTGAGCCTGGTCACTGGGGTCATTTCCTCCCAGGAAGCCCACTGGGAAAGAGCCCAAGGCCTTCAGAGAGATGCCAAGCATTTCAGGATGTTCTGAGACAGCCTCTGCTCGACCTTCTGATTCAGTTTCTAATCCTGACTTCTGAGAGCAGAAAGTGCAGTTTCCCCTAGGGGCTTTGGAACTCCCCTGGAGGGCACTCAACTGTGATAGTGCTCCTGCATGCTAAGCCACCCCAGCCTCTTGGGGCTATTTCCTAGTAAGTCAGAATACATGTGTATTCTATTTCCAGACATGCCAATGGGCCTCCATACTCACTACCCTGGGTTGTTGAGTGTGCTGGTAGTGTTCTCACTGTGTATTGTTATTGTATCTTCAGTGTTTTTGCTCTGTTTATACAAGAGAGGACAAGGTAGGATTTTCCTAGACAAGGTAAAATGTGGCAATGTGATTTCCTTTTTCCTGGGACTGATGTTATTTATCCAAGGTGATGTGGAGAGGTCCTTTGTTCAGGGAACTAACCCTTCTGCAACCCCCACCCCACCACCTCATCTGCCAGAATGATGGCCCTGGGGACTCCCAGACATTACCCTGCTTTATTTCCAGAATCCATTTCTAGGCTTGCCACTGTGTAATAGGCCCTAGAACTTGGGTTCTAGTTTAACCCTGTCATTTAACAGGCTGTGCCTCATTAGACAAGTGTCTTCACCTATCTAGCTCAGTGTCCTCACATGTGAAATGTGAGCTTTGGACTAGAGGATCTCCAGACTCACTTCTAGTGCTAATACATTTTGACTACGACCTCTGGTGAGTCATCAGGGCACTAGTACTAATTCTGCATCCCATGGTTGTCACTAGATCCCACTGGATCCTCCGGGTTCCTTCTGTAACTATGCAATTCTCAATTTAGAAAACCTGATCTTGGGCCCCAAGGTGAGTAATTACACCCTCCAAATCCCTCTGCCCCCATGTCCACCCAAGCTCTTCCTTTCCAACCAAACCCAATAAAAAGCATGGATGTAAAAAGGTTCAAACTCTGCTTTCATGTTCCTGAATCTCCTTTGGGCCGGACTCCTTAGGATACATGAAGACCTTCAGTATAAGCCATGGTAAATTCCCAGTCACAAGTTTTCCTGTATAATAATTGGGAGAGATGGTGCATTTCCAGCACAATGGTTAAGGCTAAGAGCATGCACTTTGCAGTCAAGCTTGATTATTTATTGGCTATGGGATATTAGGTTAGTTACTTTAACACTGTCTCAGTTTTCTCCATTGTAAAATAACCATAATAATAGGGCTTTGGGCACATATTATTAAGTAGATTGAATGGAATTACACATAATAACATACTTGATACTGTGCCCAGTACCTAGTAAGCCCTCAATAAATTTCAGCTACTGTCCTGATAATTGAAAGGCATGGATATGGCACAGAATAAGAAACTCAAGGGTTTGAGACATGAGCCATAACATGTCATGATAATGGCCTCATGATGGGGAGAAATCACACAGCCTGCTCATAGCATGGGAGATCTGCAGGGTCCCTCAGATAGACATCTGTTTTAAATCCCTCACAGCCTCCTGGGGAGGAAGAAGGGCTATTCTTCACATATACAGATAAGAGAGAGCATTCAGTCTGGCTCAGGACTAACTCCTAAAACATTGGAGCCCCATGATATTGCACAGCTCACTGGGCCTGCTATTTGTGGATATGTTGAAATGCCTTGAAATATGAAAGCCCAAAAATACGACCAACTCTTTTCAACTTGACTCTAAAATGTCTGATGTCAGTACCAAAGAAAAGGAGAAGCTGAGACGAGTGCCTCTATCAGCCTATAAATACTTAAGGGTATGGACTTGTTTCTCTTGCCTTTGCTTCTCTGGGCCTCACACTGAGCTTGATAACTGATCATTATTTATTGATCAAGTTGATCAATATTTATTGCTTGATCATTATTTATTGACTGTGTGAATCAAGCAACAAATGTTTGTGGAGCATGTACAATGTGCTCAACATTGAGGTAGTGAAGATAAATTACACTAGAAGAATCCGATGCAGTGTATAACTGGAGATAATAAATCTAGTTAAGAAACTAAGACACTCACATGAAAAACCACCTAGCTGGGCAAGACAGTTAATGCTAAGTGCCAGAGACACTAAGTGTAGTGGGACTCCATCTTGCATGGAAGACCTGCTTTTGCCTACACATTGGAAAAAATTCTGGATTTGGAGCCAAGAAACCTTGGAAGTCATCTCTCTTAGGGCCTCCATTTCCTCTTCCTAAAGAGGATTTTGGAATTGCTAATCTCTAGAAAATTCATCACCTTTCACATATTGTAGTCTCTGTTTATTTGTGATACAGATGATGGCTCAAAAATAACGGTGTGTGGGCACATTACAGTTTCAAGAAAGCCAAGCCAGCAGAGACCAGAATACTTGATGAAATTTCCCATGGCAAGGTGAGTTTATGTTAGTTACTCAGGGATCACACTCCCTGCCCAAGACAAGGAATCATAGGCAACCATTGCTCTTGCTGTTACTTAGAGAGCAGCTACAGCAATTACATGCTGGGAGTCTGGAGAGTCTGCTCAGGAAATCAATTTCAGCAAAATGATGCCATCAGCCTTGCTATGAGGACAGGAAGGAAGCGAATTGTCACTCCATGGCAGTCTTCAGGGGATGAAGTCCTGAGATTTTACCTAGGGACCTGGCTCTGGATTAGATGAGAGTCATGACTAGATCTGTAGCAGTCCCTAAAGGGGCCAAACAACTGAAGAACACCTGGTATGAAGTAAGGCTTGTACTGTGGCTACTGAGGGCACTCAGAGGGCCCAGAACTGCGCCTGTATGACACATGGCATATGTGCTTTTTTTTAGAGACAGGGTCTCTCTCTGTCACCCAGGCTGGAGTGCAATGGTGCAATCATAGCTCACTGCAGCCTCAAACTCCTGGGCTCAAGCAGTCCTCTTGCCTCAGCCTCCCGAGTGGCTAGGAGTATGGGTGCATGCCACTATATCCAGCTAATTTCTTTATTTTGTAATTTTGTAGAGATGGGGCCTCGCAATGTTGCCCAGGCTGGTCCAAACTCCTGGCTTCAAGTCATCCTCCTGCCACCTCAACCTCCCAAAGTGCTGGGATTACAAGCTTGGGCCACTGCACCGGGCTGACACACGTGCTTTTAGGAACTTGTTAGGGAAGGGGTGTGGTTGGAAGACTAGAGTGGGTTAGGTGAATTATTAACCATTAAAATAAGAAAAATAGAGTACATAACCTCCAAACGTCAAATTAAAGAATTTCAAGAGTATTGAATGTCTTCCAAGTAAACGTTTATTTTACTTGGAAGATGTGGAGGATTCAGTTCAGCCTGTTGAAAGATCTTTTTATTCACTTCTGAATCTGAATCTTTTTGCTTTGGGACCTCTACTTGGACTGCGTCTGAATGAGAGACAGATCTGTAAATATTTAATCATTTATACATATTTTTATTTGTAGTTATGAAATAAATTACAAATATTTTAATACAAAACTCTCGTCATTTTTCTCATTATCTAACACCTGAAGCTTTGTCACTCCTCCTAAAACAAATGTTCAGGTATCAGGGGGCTCAGCACATCAGCTGAAGACTGAAAGAAGAAACCTTGTAAAGTCTTCTAGAAAACAATACTCTGAGACAATGGACACCTGGATCATGACACTCTCCCATACACTTCAGCTATACTCACTCATATTACCACTGCCTACTTCCACTTCTTTGTTCAACCTATTCTTTCTGCCTGTAATGCCAAACTTCTTCTATCCGCTATACATCTACTATTTGAAATCTTCTTTATCATTCAGTACTTGAAAGCTTCCTTTGCTAAATTAATTATTCCGTTCTTTGAGTTCCCATGGTGCTTTGTGCTTCCCTCTCTGTGTCTGTGTTTATCTGGAGCACGCTTTCTCACTCTGTTAACTCTCTGTCTATTTTTAAATCTTATCATTAAACTTAAGTATCAGTTCTCTGGTAAGTCATCCTTGAAATCTCCAGACTGAGTTAGCCACTTCTCCAATACTAATCACAGTTGGGTTTGTTGACTGAATAAACAAATAAATGAATAAAAGGATGGCTGAATAAATATAAGAAGCCAGTTGAGGCTTAACAACACAAGTTTATAGAGGTCTGCACCAGGTCTGCACAGTTCTGTGTCTTTCTATGATGATGAAAATGTTAGAACTATGCTTTCTTCTATGAGAGACCAACAGTATACAAAAGATGGCTATGTTGCAAAACTCCATTATAACACTGATCCTGCCTCCAGTGACTGCCTATCTCTGCCAAGGCCCTTAGCAACAACAGCCCAAACGTACCTGATGCTCTGGGGATGGAGTGGAAGGACTACTGGTCCTTAGGCCTTGCTGGGTATGAATCATGGGTTGAGGTGCCATTAGAGAAGGAGCTCCCAATGGAGTTGGAACCTATGAATTGTAAAAGAAAACAATCAGTTAAAAATTAATTAGTATTTAATTGCTCTCCTAATACAATAGTACCATGAGAACAAGTAGCCCCCTAGAGTAAATATTATATTAATATTTAATAAGCATCAATTGAAAGGAATGCTAAATGCCAGATGCAAAGAAAAAGACGAAAATGTATCTGTGAAGGGGCTGCTAGTGATAAAGTGTGACAGACCAAAGAGTGTGGAAAACCTAAAGAATAGTTATTGAAAAGCAGGGATGAATTAGCCACAAAGTAAGGCCTACAAATGACTCTTTTCAAGACAGAACTCCAACATCTCAAGGCCAATAATACTCATAGGAAAAAGAAAGGAAGTTTGTAGGTGGACATGGAACATGTTAAATGTATACTGGTATGTATGTATCTTTCATGAAATACTTTAGTATGAACATATGATTTGATATGGCGATCTACAGGTTAAATGTGAAGGATGTATAGAAATTTGCCAGATGAAAGTAGTGAAGGAAGCGCAAGCACATCAGGTCAAGGACGTAGGTGGAACTAGAAAGGCTTTGACATCTCTTTAGTTTGTTTTACTCTTCTAGTTACTTTATGAGCTCAGATTTTAAATTATATTCAAAAGATGAAAGAATAGCAATTAATGAAGAACAAACTAAGGAGGTTGCACAGACCCATTAATATAAGACTGTGACCATCTCCCTCCACTGTTTAAAACCATTAAATGGACCCTCATTGACTGTAGATAGTGTGTAAACTCCTTGGCATGGCTTACCAAGCCTACTGCTTCCTCCTCTTGATCTTTTCCCTCACTTCTCCCTCACTGATTGAGGAAATATGGGCTTACTTAAGAACAACTGGGTAAATTAGAAACTGTTCAAATGACTCATAACCAAAGGCTAAGGGTTAATATGTTGACCTGCTGAGAGGTTTCTGGTGATACACTACAGGGTTATGTTCTTGATCTTCTTGTTCATCTTCATCTATCAATGAAAATGTTGTAGAGGACATGTTCACTGAGCATGTGAATAACATACACATTGGAAAGGATAATGAATATATTAAATATAATCAGAAACATTAATTTTCTCGACAGACTAGAGATAGGGTCCCAACTGAATAAGAGGAAGGTTAACAGAGTCTAGCACTTGGATCTTAAAAAAATACCCACATATATATAGAATGGATGAGAAGTGAAAATGAAGTTAAAAGAATTTTAGTTGATAGTAACATTTAAGTTTTCCAGTCCTTCCTCCTGTCTCAGCCCCATGCCAGCAATTTGGAAGCAGTTCCTAGCTATCTTCAGTGTGCAGGGATGCCACTTCTGCAGTATCAAACAAAGGGCCTAAGTGAGCAAGGTACCAAGACCTCTTGCCTTACAAACCAGTGCTGCCTAGAAATCCTTGAAATTGCTCTTGCCTGAGGATGAAGATCTTGGTCTACTTCTGTGATGCTATCAGATAGTACACCCTGGAATAGCCCCATGTGGTGACTAGACTGAGCACCTAGTCCTTTTAGGAAACCTAGGTGAATATACCTCCTTCAGTCCACCTGGGTCCATAGTTATTCATGCCTGAGGAGTGGGATTCTCATTCTGTAGTCAAGTCAATGCTAGGATCTACTTTTTACCCGATTCCTGTCAGCTTCTCTCCCTGGGAAATGGGCCCTGTTCTGTTCACCATTGTTTGGAAAGAATCTGAAATAGCCTGGCTTTTTACGTAGCCCTTCATAGTTTTTTCTGCAACCCATACTTTTGCCTCAAGCCCTGTTATACTAATAAATGGACTTTGGTTACTGATGCCTAACCTGGAATCTACCACACTCCTTTGGTACTTGGACCCTGACCTGTGGAGTATCTCAGTTCTACTCCTTCTACCTTAAATTCTTACTAAGTCTATTTTTTCTGGGCTTGGGTTCACTCATAGTTCTAACATGCATGCACACCTAGTATCATATTATACTCGAATCCTCTTCTGGAAACTAACTGGCACATACAGTATATTATTATAGAGGATGTATAGAGAAGTCCACAAACAGGACTCAAAAGAGATATGAGGTAGGAGGAAAACTAAGAGAAAATGGTGTTTCTAACTCTAGGAAGGGAGAGTGTTTCCTCCTCTCTCACTGGCCACTCCTTTTCCACCTCTTTTGCAGGTTCCTTCTCATTTCCTTGCCCCAGTGACAGACGACCCTTGGGCTCATTCTCCACTCACCCCTAGTTGATTTCATCCATTCTTTCTCTCAGCACACTCTTACTTCAAGGTGTTTGCACTGATTATTCCCTCTCCTGGAATGCTCTTCCACTTGACTTGCTCCTTCTACTCTTTAAAATTTCTACTCAAGGCCAGGCACAGTGGCTTACACCTGTAATCCCAGCACTTTGGGAGGCCGAGGCAGGCAGATCACGAGGTCAGGAGATTGAGACCATCCTGGCTAACACGGTGAAACCCCATCTCTACTAAAAATATTAAAAAATTAGCCAGGCGTGGTGGCAGGTGCCTGTAGTCCCAGCTACTCGGGAGGCTGAGGTAGGAGAATGGCGTGAACCCAAGGGGCGGAGCTTGCAGTGAGTCGAGATTGTGCCACTGCACTCCAGCCTGGGCAACAGAGCAAGACTCTGTCTCAAAAAAAAAAAAATTCTACTCAAGACTGAGTCACCTTTTCAATAGAGTTCCCACTGACCAGCCTATTTAAAATGGAAACCTACTCCAATACTCTTAATTCTTCTTCCCTGCTGCAAATTTCTCCATGGCACTTGTCACCTTATTTATTTCTTCCCTCCACTAGAATGTACATCCCACAGGGACATGGGTTTTTGTTTCTTTTAATTATTGCCATATTCCTAGAATTAGAATATGTGCTAGTTGAGTGATAAGACAGAAGGACTAAGTAAGACAAGGACAGAGAAGTAGCTATTAGATTCAGTCACATGAAAGTCATTAGAGACCTTTACGTTAGCAGTTTAGTGGAACAGTGGGGATAGAAGTCACATTAAAGTGAGTTGAAAAGTGAACCGGGGAGACAACCTCAATGTCCTTTAATACAAACATGGGTTGTTCCTGCCTTACTTCAAGAATATATACCGAGTAGCCCTGTGCCTAGAAAGAACTAAGCAAGGCAGGAGTGTCAGGAGATGGAAGCAGAGAGGAAGCATGGAGGATCTTGGCTTTTGCTCTGGGAGAAGTGGGGGCAATTGCAATGAAGTTGCTTGATTTGACTTAAACTGTAAGCCAATCACTCTGGCTGCAGTGTGAAGAACACTGTAGGGAGCAAGGGCAGAAGCAGGGAGCCCAGGTAGGAGGCTACTGCAGTGACCCAGGTGAAAGAAAATGGATTAGGAAAAAGTTAGGATGCATTCTGAAAATAAAGGCCATTGCATTTGCTCATGAATTGTATGTGGAGTGAAAGAAAGATGTATTAAGGAGGACTGCAAGGCTTTTGGCCTGAGCAACTGGAAGGATGGAGATGTCATCAGCTGTGATTGGGAAGGCTGCAAGTAGAACAGCTTTGGGGAGATCAAGGGTACAGTTTTGGACACGTGCAATTTGAGATGTATCAGAAACATGAATATTTGTTATCCTCTGTATGTTCCTGTATATTTACCATTTTCTGGAATGGACCAACAGCAAAAACAACATGAGCTAATTGGTGTGTGGCTGGAGCAACTAAATGACTTCAGAGTTTCCATTACCTGTATTGTATTGCATAAAATTTATGCAGTGCACTGAAGCTACAAATAGAACTAGTGATTACAAACAATTTTTAACTAAGAAAAATTTTAAATCATGAAAATTTGCCAAATAAGCAGAATATAAACAATAAACTAAAAATGAGTTAAAAGAAAGTTGGAATCAGAAAAATTCCAGATATTCTATCTGTATTAACAATGTCTCCCATTAGAAGCTTTATATGATAACAGCAAAATCAGTTCAACTTTTTAAACCTGATTAATATAGACTAGAAGTGATCCCAAACAGCAAAATGGCAAATAAAACAAAACAAAATGAGACAACAATAAAATCCTTCAGAAGGGGAGAAAAACCAGCAGCAAACAGTAGTTCATAACTCTTAGAATAAACCAAGAATGTAACCTAAACTAAACCATATTAATACTTGAATCTCTATTATGTGCATGTTGATAATTCCTATTTTGGATTATCTATTAATTCTGAAGCAGCTTTCTCTTGACTATTCCACTTCTGTGCATCTCTTTTCATCCCCATTTCCAGGGTTCCTTTCTTTATTACTGTTAGCCATCTCACAAGGCATGTGCTATATTATTTTTCAGAGAGCTGCCATTTTTTCCAATGCAAGAAAAGAATGTGGATGGATTACCTTCCATTTAAAAATATCTGTATAATTTTTTTCTGTTCGTAGTTGTAACCATATATCCAACTCTTGATATCTTAAAAGAGGCTTTTCTGGCCGGGTGTGGTGCCTCACACCTGTAATTCTAGCACTTTCGGAGGCCAAGGCGGGCGGATCACCTGAGGTCAGGAGTTCAAGACCAGCCTGGCCAACATGGCGAAACCCCATCTCTACTAAAAATAAAAAAATTAGCCTGGCGTGGTGTCAAACGCCTGTAACCCCAGCTACCTGGGAGGCTGAGGCAAGAGAATCGCTTGAACCCGGGGGGCAGAGGTTGCAGTGAACCGACATCGTGCCACTTCACTCCAGCCTGGGTGACAGAGTGAAACTCCATCTCAAAAAAAAAATGTTTTCAAAACCCTTCTTTATGGTTCTCTAGCAAACAGCTGCACGAGATAAAGTGAACAATCATACAGTATAGATGTTCTGTGCAGAGCCTAAATAAAACAAGCTACAAAATCGATGAATTCCTTCACAAACCATTTCTAACACATAATGCATAATCCATGTGTTACACCACAAGGTCCGATAGCTGTGCAAATCATTAGAATTTGATCTTGATCCCAGGGTGTTTCCAATCTTGTGATATAGTCTTTCCACCGTATTACTCAAACTATCTTTGTGTTATATACTTTGTATACTATGTCCTCTTTGACTACTCATGCAAGGTATAGCATGATAAATTGGAGAAATTTAACAGCAATTGGGTGTAATTGATTCCAAGCATTCTTTTTTTTATTTTATTATTATTATACTTTAAGTTTTAGGGTACATGTGCACAATGTGCAGGTTAGTTACATATGTATACATGTGCCACGCTGGTGTGCTGCACCCATTAACTCGTCATTTAGCATTAGGTATATCTCCTAATGGTATCCCTCCCCCCGCCCCCACCCCACAACAGTCCCCAGAGTGTGAGGTTCCCCTTCCTGTGTCCATGTGTTTTCATTGTTCAATTCCCACCTATGAGTGAGAACATGCGGTGTTTGGTTTTTTGTCCTTGCGATACTTTACTGAGAATGATGATTTCCAATTTCATCCATGTCCCTACAAAGGACATGAACTCATCATTTTTTATGGCTGCATAGTATTCCATGGTGTATATGTGCCACATTTTCTTAATCCAGTCTATCATTGTTGGACATCTGGGTTGGTTCCAAGTCTTCGCTATTGTGAATAGTGCCACAATAAACATACGTGTACATGTGTCTTTATAGCAGCATGACTTATAGTCCTTTGGGTATATACCCAGTAATGGGATGGCTGGGTCAAATGGTATTTCTAGTTCTAGATCCCTGAGGAATCGCCACACTGACTTCCACAATGGTTGAACTAGTTTACAGTCCCACCAACAGTGTAAAAATGTTCCTATTTCTCCACATCCTCTCCAGCACCAGTTGTTTCCTGACTTTTTAATGATCGCCATTCTAACTGGTGTGAGACGGTATCTCATTGTGGTTTTGATTTGCATTTCTCTGATGGCTAGTGATGGTGAGCATTTTTTTCATGTGTCTGTTGGCTGCATAAATGTCTTCTTTTGAGAAGTGTCTGTTCATGTCCTTCGCCCACTTTTTGATGGGGTTGTTTGATTTTTTATTGTAAATTTGTTTGAGTTCATTGTAGATTCTGGATATTAGCCCTTTGTCAGATGAGTAGGTTGTGAGAATTTTCTCCCATTTTGTAGGTTGCCTGTTCACTCTGATGGTAGTTTCTTTTGCTGTGCAGAAGCTCTTTAGTTTAATTAGATCCCATTTGTCAATTTTGGCTTTTGTTGCCATTGCTTTTGGTGTTTTAGACATGAAGTCCTTGCCCATGCCTATGTCCTGAATGGTAATGCCTAGGTTTTCTTCTAGGGTTTTTATGGTTTTAGGTCTAACGTTTAAGTCTTTACTCCATCTTGAATTAATTTTTGTATAAGGTGTAAGGAAGGGATCCAGTTTCAGCTTTCTACATATGGCTAGCCAGTTTTCCCGGCACCATTTATTAAATAGGTAATCCTTTCCCCACTGCTTGTTTTTCTCAGGTTTGTCAAAGATCAGATAGTTGTAGATATGCGGCGTTATTTCTGAGAGCTCTGTTCCATTCCATTGATCTATATCTCTGTTTTGGTACCAGTACCATGCTGTTTTGGTTACTGTAGCCTTGTAGTATAGTTTGAAGTCAGGTAGCATGATGCCTCCAGCTTTGTTCTTTTGGCTTAGGATTGACTTGGCAATGCGGGCTCTTTTTTGGTTCCATATGAACTTTAAAATTTTTTCCAATTCTGTGAAGAAAGTCATTGGTAGCTTGATGGGGATGGCATTGAATCTATAAATTACCTTGGGCAGTATGGCCATTTTCACAATACTGATTCTTCCTACCCATGAGCATGGAATGTTCTTCCATTTCTTTGTATCCTCTTTTATTTCATTGAGCAGTGGTTTGTAGTTCTCCTTGAAGAGGTCCTTCACGTCCCTTGTAAGTTGGATTCCTAGGTATTTTATTCTCTTTGAAGGAATTGTGAATGGGAGTTCACTCATGATTTGGCTCTCTGTTTGTCTGTTATTGGTGTATAAGAATGCTTGTGATTTTTGCACATTGATTTTGTATCCTGAGACTTTGCTGAAGTTACTTATTAGCTTAAGGAGATTTTGGGCTGAGACAATGGGGTTTTCTAGATACACAATCATGTCATCTGCAAACAGGGACAATTTGACTTCCTCTTTTCCTAATTGAATAGCCTTTATTTCCTTCTCCTGCTTAATTGCCCTGGCCAGAACTTCCAACACTATGTTGAATAGGAGTGGTGAGAGAGGGCATCCCTGTCTTGTGCCAGTTTTCAAAGGGAATGCTTCCAGTTTTTGCCCATTCAGTATGATATTGGCTGTGGGTTTGTCATAGATAGCTCTTATTATTTTGAGATACGTCCCATCAATACCTAATTTATTGAGAGTTTTTAGCATGAAGGGTTGTTGAATTTGTCAAAGGTCTTTTCTGCATCTATTGAGATAATCATGTGGTTTTTGTCTTTGGTTCTGTTTATATGCTGGATTACATTTATTGATTTGTGTATATTGAACCAGCCTTGCATCCCAGGGATGAAGCCCACTTGATCATGGTGGATAAGCTTTTTGATGTGCTGCTGGATTCGGTTTGCCAGTATTTTATTGAGGATTTTTGCATCAATGTTCATCAAGGATATTGGTCTAAAATTCTCTTTTTTTGTTGTGTCTCTGCCCGGCTTTGGTATCAGGATGATGCTGGTCTCATAAAATGAGTTAGGGAGGATTCCTTCTTTTTCTATTGATTGGAATAGTTTCAGAAGGAATGGTACCAGTTCCTCCTTGTACCTCTGGTAGAATTCGGCTGTGAATCCATCTGGTCCTGGACTCTTTTTGGTTGGTAAGCTATTGATTATTGCCACAATTTCAGGGCCTGTTATTGGTCTATTCAGAGATTCAACTTCTTCCTGCTTTAGTCTTGGGAGGGTGTATGTGTCGAGGAATTTATCCATTTCTTCTAGATTTTCTAGTTTATTTGCGCAGAGGTGTTTGTAGTGTTCTCTGATGGTAGTTTGTATTTCTGTGGGATCGGTGGTGATATCCCCTTTATCATTTTTTATTGCATCTATTTGATTCTTCTCTCTTTTCTTCTTTATTAGTCTTGCTAGCGGTCTATCAATTTTGTTGATCCTTTCAAAAAACCATCTCCTGGATTCATTAACTTTTTGAAGGGTTTTTTGTGTCTCTATTTCCTTCAGTTCTGCTCTGATTTTAGTTATTTCTTGCCTTCTGCTAGCTTTTGAATGTGTTTGCTCTTGCTTTTCTAGTTCTTTTAATTGTGATGTTAGGGTGTCAATTTTGGATCTTTCCTGCTTTCTCTTGTGGGCATTTAGTGCTATAAATTTCCCTCTACACACTGCTTTGAATGTGTCCCAGAGATTCTGGTATGTTGTGTCTTTGTTCTCGTTGGTTTTAAAGAACATCTTTATTTCTGCCTTCATTTCGTTATGTACCCAGTAGTCATTCAGGACCAGGTTGTTCAGTTTCCATGTAGTCGAGCGGTTTTGAGTGAGTTTCTTAATCCTGAGTTCTAGTTTGACTGCACTGTGGTCTGAGAGACAGTTTGTTATAATTTCTGTTGTTTTACATTTGCTGAGGAGAGCTTTACTTCCAACTATGTGGTCAATTTTGGAATAGGTGTGGTGTGGTGCTGAAAAAAATGTATATTCTGTTGATTTGGGGTGGAGAGTTCTGTAGATGTCTATTAGGTCCGCTTGGTGCAGAGCTGAGTTCAATTCCTGAGTATCCTTGTTAACTTTCTGTCTCGTTGATCTGCCTAATGTTGACAGTGGGGTGTTAAAGTCTCCCATTATTATTGTTTGGGAGTCTAAGTCTCTTTGTAGGTCACTCAGGACTTGCTTTATGAAACTGGGTGCTCCTGTATTGGGTGCATATATATTTAGGATAGTTAGCTCTTCTTGTTGAATTGATCCCTTTACCATTATGTAATGGCCTTCTTTGTCTCTTTTGATCTTTGTTGGTTTAAAGTCTGTTTTATCAGAGACTAGGATTGCAACCCCTGCCTTTTTTTGTTTTCCATTTGCTTGGTAGATCTTCCTCCATCCTTTTATTTTGAGCCTATGTGTGTCTCTGCACAAGAGATGGGTTTCCTGAATACAGCACACTGATGGGTCTTGACTCTTTATCCAATTTGCCAGTCTGTGTCTTTTAATTGGAGCATTTAGCCCATTTACATTTAAGGTTGATACTGTTATGTGTGAATTTGATCCTGTCATTATGATGTTAGCTGGTTATTTTGCTCGTTAGTTGATGCAGTTACTTCCTAGCCTCAATGGTCTTTACAATTTGGCATGTTTTTGCAGTGGCTGGTACTGGTTGTTCCTTTCCATGTTTAGTGCTTCCTTCAGGAGCTCTTTTAGGGCAGGCCTGGTGGTGACAAAATCTCTCAGCATTTGCTTGTCTGTAAAGGATTTTATTTCTCCTTCACTTATGAAGCTTAGTTGGACTGGATATGAAATTCTGGGTTGAAAATTCTTTTCTTTAAGAATGTTGAATATTGGCCCTCACTCTCTTCTGGCTTGTAGAGTTTCTGCCGAGAGATCCGCTGTTAGTCTGATGGGCTTCCCTTTGAGGGTAACCCGACCTTTCTCTCTGGCTGCCCTTAACATTTTTTCCTTCATTTCAACTTTGGTGAATCTGACAATTATGTGTCTTGGAGTTGCTCTTCTCGAGGAGTATCTTTGTGGCGTTCTCTTTATTTCCTGAATCTGAATGTTGGCCTGCCTTGCTAGATTGGGGAAGTTCTCCTGGATAATATCCTGCAGAGTGTTTTCCAACTTGGTTCCATTCTCCCCGTCACTTTCAGGTACACCAATCAGTTGTAGATTTGGTCTTTTCACATAGTCCCATATTTCTTGGAGGCCTTGTTCATTTCTTTTTATTCTTTTTTCTCTAAACTTCCCTTCTCACTTCATTCATTCATTTCATCTTCCATCACTGATACCCTTTCTTCCAGTTGATCGCATCAGCTCCTGAGGCTTCTGCATTCTTCACGTAGTTCTCGAGACTTGGCTTTCAGCTCCATCAGCTCCTTTAAGCATGTCTGTGTATTGGTTATTTTAGTTATACATTCGTCTAAATTTTTTTCAAAGTTTTTAACTTCTTTGCCTTTGGTTTGAATTTCCTCCTGTAGCTCGGAGTAGTTTGATCATCTGAAGCCTTCTTCTCTCAACTCGTCAAAGTCATTCTCTGTCCAGCTTTGTTCCGTTGCTGGTGAGGAACTGCGTTCCTTTGGAGGAGGAGAGGTGCTCTGCTTTTTAGAGTTTCCAGTTTTTCTGCTCTGTTTTTTCCCCATCTTTGTGGTTTTATCTACTTTTGGTCTTTGATGATGGTGATGTACAGATGGGTTTTTGGTGTGGATGTCCTTTCTGTTTGTTAGTTTTCCTTCTAACAGACAGGACCCTCAGCTGCAGGTCTGTTGGAGTTTGCTAGAGGTCCACTCCAGACCCTGTTTGCCTGGTATCAGCAGCAGTGGCTGCAGAACAGCGGATTTTCATGAACTGCGAATGCTGCTGTCTGACATTCCTCTGGAAGTTTTGTCTCAGAGGAGTACCCCGCCGTGTGAGGTGTCAGTCTGCCCCTACTAGGGGTGCCTCCCAGTTAGGCTGCTCGGGGGTCAGGGATCAGGGACCCACTTGAGGAGGCAGTCTGCCTGTTCTCAGATCTCCAGTTGCGTGCTGGGAGAACCACTGCTCTCTTCAAAGCTGTCAGACAGGGACATTTAAGTCTGCAGAGGTTACTGCTGTCTTTTTGTGTGTCTGTGCCATGCCCCCAGAGGTGGAGCCTACAGAGGGAGGCAGGCCTCCTTGAGCTGTGGTGGGCTCCACCCAGTTCGAGCTTCCTGGCTGCTTTGTTTACCTAAGCAAGCCTGGGCAATGGCGGGCGCCCCTCCCCCAGCCTCGCTGCCACCTTGCAGTTTGATCTCAGACTGCTGTGCTAGCAATCAGCGAGATTCTGTGGGCATAGGACCCTCCAAGCCATGTGCAGGATATAATCTCCTGGTGCGCCGTTTTTTAAGCCCATCGGAAAAGCACAGTATTAGGGTGGGAGTGACCCGATTTTCCAGGTGCCGTCTGTCACCCCTTTCTTTGACTAGTAAAGGGAACTCCCTGACCCCTTGCACTTCCCAAGTGAGGCAATGCCTCGCCCTGCTTCGGCTTGCGCACAGTGCGCTGCACTCACTGTCCTGTGCCCACTGTCTGGCACTCCCTAGTGAGATGAACCCGGTACCTCAGATGGAAATGCAGAAATCACCCGTCTTCTGCGTCACTCACGCTCAGAGCTGTAGACTGGAGCTGTTCCTATTCGGCCATCTTGGCTGCCAGCTCTCAAAATTTTCTAATAAACTCAAATGAATGATTAAAAAAGAGCGTTTTTTCTTACCATTCTATACATAGGCATTTGCTGGGGAGTCACTGGAGGTAGAACCTTGACAAAAAGTAAATTTTCTACTAGTATTTAATAAGCAATATTAAAAGATACAGAACATTTTCTGCTATATGTTTAACATTGAGAACAAATTCATAGTGAACTTTTTATAGCCAAGACAGTGATCTTTCCTTAAGCAATTATCTTTCCTTAAGAGGTTTAAAGACATCTAATTATTGCTGTGTTGTTTTAGAAGGCAGAGCAGAGTTCACAATAGCTCAAATTTCCTGAGGAACAGGAATTTGCTTGGAAAACATTGCACATCAGAGAGTAATGTGAACTTAGCTAAGAAAGAAAGAGTTGTGACTTTTCTGTACTGCATAAACAAAACAATAACAATAGACAAATTAAATAAAAATTTCAACCATAATCACATTACCTCCAACAAATAAAACTTTCTCAGTTTTTCAGTTTTCACTTCCAGTCTTCGTTTATGATGTCTTTTAGATGTATACAATAATGTGAAAAATGATAAGTTGGCTTTCAACACAGCAGATGAAAAGCTGAGTAATACCAGTCATAACTTTAATCCCTGTCTTTGTTTCTTTGTCCATTACTAGGTGATATAACATGAGACACAGTTATATCACCTGACCTCAGGTGATCTACCCACCTCGGCCTCCCAAAGTGCTGGAATTACAGGTGTGAGCCACCACGCTCAGCCCAGACTGCCTCTTTAGGCTGGACCCTAACCCAACCCTCCTCATTGGGTGGGGCCTTGCTGCAGGAATTTCAGCAACTCCAGCCAGGGGTTTATGGACAGAACTCTGATCTCCCTGGAACAGAGCCCCTGGGGGGAGGGGCAGCCACAGTCTCCATGGATCAGCCGACTTAGTCTTTCTCCCTGCTGGCTCTGAGGAATCCAGGCAGTGTGGACGAGTAAGATTTCTCCCCAGCACAGTGCACCCCTTCCACCAAGGGGCAGCCAGAGTGCTTCCTTAAGTGGGTCCTTGATCCCATGCCTCCTGACTGGGTGAGAGCCCCCCAATAGGGGTCGCCAGACACTTTATACAAGAGCATTCCCACTGGCATCAGGTTGGTGCCCCTCTGGGACAGAGCTCCCAGAGGAAGGGGCAGGAAGCCATCTTTGCTGTTCTGCAGCCTCCATTGGTGATACCTCCAGGTGCAGGAGGGACCCAGGTGACTAGGATCTGGAGTGGACCCCAAGCAAACTGCAGCAGCCCTATGGAAGAGTAGCCTGACTGTTAAAAGAAAAACAAACAGGAAGCAACAGCAACAACAGCATCAACAAAAAAGTCCCCATAAAAACCCCATCTAAAGGTCAGCAGCCTCAAAGATCAAAGCTAGGTAAACTCATTAAGATGAGAAAGAATCAACAAAAAAAATGCTGAAAGCTCAAAAAGCCAGAGTGCCTCTTCTCCTCCAAGTGATCATAACACCTCTCCAGCAAGGGCACAGAACTGGGTGGAGGCCAAGATGGATGGACTGACAGAAGTAGGCTTCAGAACGTGGGTAATGATGAACTTCACTGAGCTAAAGAACCATGTTCTAACCCAACGCAGAGAAGCTAAGAACCATGATAAATCATCACAGGAGCTGTTTACCAGAATAACCACTTTAGAGAGGAACAGAAATGACCCAATGTGTTGCGGGAAGTCAGGGACCCTGAATGGAGGGACCAGCTGGAGCTGCGGCAGAGGAACATAAATTGTGAAGATTTCATTTTAATATGGACATTTATCAGTTTCCAAATAATACTTTTATAATTTCTTATGCCTGTCTTTAATCTCTTAATCCTGTTATCTTCGTAAGCTGAGGATGTATGTCACCTCAGGACCACTGTGATAATTGTGTTAACTGTACAAATTGATTGTAAAACGTGTGTTTGAACAATATGAAAGCAGTGCACCTTGAAAAAGAACAGAATAACAGCGACTTTTAGGGAACAAGGGAAGACAACCATAAGGTCTGACTGCCTGCGGGGTCGGGCAAAAAGAGCCATATTTTTCTTCTTGCAGAGAGCCTATAAATGGACGTGCAAGTAGGAGAGATATCGCTAAATTATTTTCCTAGCAAGGAATATTAATATTAATACCCTGGGAAAGGAATGCGCTCCTGGGGAGAGGTCTATAAACGGCCACTCTGGGAATGTCTGTCTTGTGCAGTTGAGATAAGGACTGAGATATGCCCTGGATTCCTGCAGTACCCTCAGGCTTACTAGGGTTGGGAAACTCCACCCTGGTAGATTTGTGGTCAGACTGGTTCTCTGCTCTCAAACCCTGTTTTCTGTTGTTTAAGATGTTTATCAAGACAACATGTGCACCGCTGAAAATAGACCCTTATCAGTGGTTCTTGCTTTTGCCCTTTGCCTTGTGATCTTTGTTGGACCTTTATCAATAGTTCTGCTTTTGCCCTTTGCCTTGTGATCTTTGTTAGATCCTTATTAGTAGTTCTGCTTTTTGCCCTTTGAAGCATGTGATCTTTGTACCTACTCCCTGTTCTTACACCCCCTCCTCTTTTGAAACCCTTAATAAAAACTTGCTGGTTTGAGGCTCAGGTGGGCATCACAGTCCTACTGATATGTAATGTCACCCCCAGTGGCCCAGCCGTAAAATTCCTCTCTTTGTACGGTCTCTCTTTATTTCTCAGCCAGCCGACACGTATGGAAAATAGAAAGAACCTATGTTGAAATATTGGGGGCGGGTTCCCCCAATACTGATGGAGCTGAAAAACATAACATGAGAATTTCACAATGCAACCACAAGTACCAATAACCAAATAGACCAAGCAGAGGAAAGAATTTCAGAACTTGAAGACTATCTTGCTGAAATAAGACAGACAAGATTAGAGCAAAAAGAATGAAAGGAACAAACAAAAGCTCCGAGAACTATGGGATTATGTAAAAAGACCAAACCAACGAATAATTGGGGTACCTGAAACAGAGGGGAACAATGGAACAAAGTTGGAAAACATACTTCAGGATATCATCCAGCAGAACTACCCCAACCTAACAAGACAGGTCCAACATTCAAATTCAGGAAATCCAGAGAACTCCAGTAAAATACTCCATGAGAAGATGAACCCCAAGACACATAATCATCAGGTTCTCCAAGGTCAAAATGAAGGAAAAAATGTTAAGGACAGCCAGAGAGAAAGGCCAGGTCACCTACAAAGGGAAGCCCATCAGACTAACAGTGGACCTCTTTTCAGAAACCTTACAAGCCAGAAGAGATTGGGGGCCAATATTCAACATTCTTAAAGAAAAGCATTTCCAACCCAGAATTTCCTATCTGGCCAAACTAAACTTCATAAGTGAAGGAGAAATAAGATCCTTTTCAGACAAGCAAATACTGAGGAAATTTGTCACTACCAGGCCTGCCTTGCAAGAGCTCCTGAGGGAAGCACTAAATATGGAAAGAAAAAACTGTTATCAGCCACTACAAAAACATACTGAAGTACAAAGACCAATGACACTATGAAGCAACCACATAAAAAGTCTGTGAAATAACCAGCTAGCATCCTGATGACAGAATCAAATTCACACCTGAAAATATTAACCTTAAATGTAAATGGGCTAAATGCCCCAATTAAAAGACACAGAACGGCAAGCTGGATAAACAGTCAAGACCCAGTGGTGTGCTGTATTCAAGAGAACCATCTCATGTGCAAAGGCACATATAGGCTCAAAAGAAAGGGATGGAAGAAAATTTACCAAGCAGTGGAAAGCAGTAAAAAGCAGGGGTTGCAATTCTGGTTTTTTTTTTTTTTGTTTTTTTTTTTTTTTGAGATGGAGCCTTGCTCTGTCGCCCAGGCTGGAGTGCAGTGGCATGATCTCAGCTCACTGCAAGCTCCGCCTCCCAGGTTCATGCCATTCTGCTGCCTCAGCCTCCCGAGCAACTGGGACTACAGGTGCCCGCCACCATGCCCAGCCAATTTTTTGTATTTTTAGTAGAGACGGGGTTTCACCATGTTAGCCAGGATGGTCTCGATCTCCTGACATCACGATCCGCCCACCTTGGCCTCCCAAAGTGCTGGGATTACAGGCGTGAGCCACTGCACCTGGCCACAATTCTAGTTTTTAACAAAACAGACTTTAAACCAACAAAGATCAAAAAATACAAAGAAGGGCATGATACAATGGTAAAAGGATCAATTCAACAAGAAGAGCTAACTATCCTAAATACATATGCACCCAGTACCAGAGCACCCAGATTCATAAAACAAGTTCTTAGAGACCTACAAAGAGATTTAGATTCCCAGATAATAATAGTGGGAGACTTTATCACCCACTGTCAATATTAGATAGACCATCAAGACAGAAAATTAACAAGGATATTCAGGACTTGAACTCAGCTCTGGATCAAGTGAATCTGATAGATATCTACAGAAGTCTCCACCCATAAACAACAGAATATACATTCTTCTCAGTGCCACATGGCACTTACTCTAAAATCAATCACATAACAGGAAGTAAAACAATCCTCAGCAAAGGCAAAAGAACTGAAATCATAACCAACAGTCTCTCAGACCACAGCACAATCAAATAAGAACTCAAGATTAAGAAACTCACTCAAAACCACAGCAACTACATGGAAATTGAACAATGTGCTCCTGAATGACTCCTGGGCAAATCATGAACTTAAGGTAAAAATCAAGAAGTTCTTTGAAACCAATGAGAACAAAGAGATAACGTACCAGAATATCTGGGACGCAGCTAAAGCAGCGTTAAGAGGGAAATTTATAGCACTAAATGCTCACATCAAAAAGCTAGAAAGATCTCAAATCAACACCCTAATATCACAACTAAAAGAACTAGAGAACCAAGAGCAAACAAACCCCAAAGCTAGCAGAAGACAAGAAATAACCAAGATCAGAGTGGAACTGAAGGAGATAGATACACACACAAAAAAAAAAACCTTAAAAAATCAACAAATCCAGGAGCTGTTTTTTTGAAACAGTTAATAAAATACACTACTAGCTAGACTAATAAAGGATAAAGGGAGAATAATCAAATAGACACAATAAAAAATTATAAAGGGGATATCACCACTGACCCCACAGAAATACAAACAACCATCAGAGAATACTTTACAGTATTATTTATAGACACATTATTTATTTATAGACACCTCTATGCAAATAAACGAGAAAATCTAGAAGAAATGGATAAATTCCTAGACACATACACCCTCCCAAGAATGAACCAGGAAGAAGGTGAATTCCTGAATAGATCAATAACAAGTTCTGAAATTGAGGCAGTATTAAATAGCCTACCAGCTGAATTCTACCAGAGGTACAAAGAGGAGCTGGTACCATTTCTTCTGAAACTATTCCAAACAATTGAAAAGGAGGGACTTCTCCCTAACTCGTTTTATGAGGCCAGCATCATCCTGATACCAAAACCTGGCAGAGATACAACTAAAAAAAAGAAAACATCAGGCTAACATCCCTGATGAACATCAATGCAAAAATCCTCAATAAAATACTGGCAAATAGAAACCAGCAGCACATCAAAAAGCTTATGCACCACAATCAAGTTCACTTCATCCCCAGGATGCAAGCCTGGTTCAATATATACAAATCAATAAATGTAATTCACCACATAAACAGAACTAAAGACAAAAAACACATGATTATCTCAATAGACACAGAAAAGGCCTTTGATAAAATTCAACATCCCTTCATGTTAAAAACTGAATAAATTAGGTATTGATGGAACATACCTCAAAATAATAAGAGTCATTTATGACAAACTCACATCCAATATCATACTTTATGGGCAAGAAGCTGGAAGCATTCCCCTTGAAAACCAGCACAAGACAAGGACGCCCTCTCTCAGCACTCCTATTCAACACAGTATTGGAAGTTATGGCCAGGTCAGTCAGGCAAGAGAAAGAAATAAAGCCTATTCAAGTAGGAATAGAGGAAGTCAAACTGTTTCTCTTTGCAGATGACATGATCCTATATCTAGAAAACCCTGTCATCTCAGCCTAAAAGCTTCTTAAGCTGATAAGTAACTTCAGCAAAGTCTCAGGATACAAAATCAATATGCCAAAATCACAAGTATTCCTATACACCAACAACAGACAAGCAGAGAGCCAAATCATGAGTGAATTCCCATTTGCAATTGCTACAAAGAGAATAAAATAACCAGGAATACAGCTAACAAGGGAAGTGAAGGACCTCTTCAAGGAGAACTACAAACCACTGCTCAAGGAAGTTAAAGAGGACACAAGCAGATGGAAAAACATTCCATGCTCATGGATAGGAGGAATCAATATCGTGAAAATGGCCATACTGCCCAAAGTAATTTATAGATTTGATGCTATTCCCATTAAGCTACCATTGACATTCTTCACAAAATTAGAAAAAACTATTTTAAAATTCATATCGAATCAAAAAAGAGCCCATATAGCCAAGAAAATCCTAAGCAAAGAAACAAAGCTGGAGGCATCATACTACCTGACTTCAAACTACAGTACAAGGTTACAGTAACCAAAACAGCATGGTACTGGTACCAAAACAGATACATAGACCAATGGAACAGAATAAAGATCTCAGAAATAAAACTGCACACCTACAACCATCTGATCTTTTACAAACCTGACAAAAACAAGCAATGGGGAAAGGGTTCCCCATTTAATAAATGGTGCTGGGAAAACTGGCTAGCCATATGCAGAAAATTGAAACTGGACCCTTCCTTACACTTTATACAAAAATTAACTCAAAATGGATAAAAGACTTAAATATAAAACCCAAAACTATAAAAACCCTAGAAGGAAATCTAGGCAATACTATTCAGGACATAGGCATGGGCAAAGATTTCATGACGAAAATGTCAAAAGCAATCGCAACAAAAGCAAACATTGATAAATGGGGTCTAATTAAACTAAAGACCTTCTGCACAGCAAAAGAAACTATCATCAGAATGAACAGACCACCTACAAAATGGGAGAAAATTTTTGCAAGCTATCCATCTGACAAAGGTTTAATATCCAGAATCTACAAGGAACTTAAATTTACAAGAAAAAAGAAACAACCCCATAAAAAATTGGGCAAAGGACATGAACAGACACTTCTCAAAAGAATGTCAAAAGCAATTTTATATGTTGTGGACAACATATAAAAAAAAAGCTCACCATCACTGATTGTTAGAGAAATGCAAATCAAAACCACAATGAGATACCATCTCACCCCAGTCAGAATGGAGATTATTAAAAAGTCAAGAAACGACAGATGCTGGCAAGGCTGTGGAGAGATAGGAATGCTTTTACACTGTTTGGGAGAATACAAATTAGTTCAACCATTGTGGAAGACAGTGTGGCGATTCCTCAAAGACCAAGAACCAGAAATACCATTTGACCCAGCAATCCCATTATTGGGTATATATTCAAAGGAATATAAATCATTCTGTTATAAAGATACATGCACATGTATGTTCACTGCAGCACTATTCACAATAGAAAAGATGTGGAATCAACCCAAATGCCCATCAATAATAGACTGGATAAAGAAAATGTGGTGCATATACACCACGAAATATTATGTGGCCACAAAAAGGAATGAGATCATGTCCTTTGCAGGGACATGGATGGAGCTGGAAGACATTATCCTCAGCAAACTAATACAGGAACAGAAAACTAAACACCACATGTTCTCACTTATAAGTGGGAGCTGAAGAATGAGGACACATGGACACAGAGAGGGGAACAACACACACTGGGACCTGCAGGAGGGGTTAGGGGAGGGAGAGCATCAGGATAAATGGCTAGTGCATGCGGGGCTTAATACCTAGGTGATGGGTTGATAGGTGCAGCAAACCACCATCGCACACGTTTACCTATGTAACGAGCCTGCACATCCTGCACATGTATCCCAGAACTTAAAATAAAATAAAATAAAAATTTAAAAATAAATTTAAAAGTTTTTTCAAAAAAGAAATGCAGAATCTCAATCTCCATCCCAAACCCACTTCATTTTAAGAATTCTAGGTGAACCGTATGAATATTGAAGCTTGAGAATAAGAAAGTATAGCAAGGTTCTAGAAAATTCTGTCAAGGGGGAACTATGCCACGTGTGTTCTCAATGCCCACAGAGCATCTTAATTGTTGTTAGGGGAAATGGTTATTCTCCTTGCCCTCTTATTTCCATATCCCTCCCTGAGGACTGAGGGGATTTAATTTAGTGGTCTATGTCTCATATATTAGTGGGCGGGAGGACTGTGCCACATAGTCTCCATCATCATCATCATCATCACCATCATCATATTACAAATATTTTTTGAGCGCTAACTGTGACCTAGGCACTATTCTGAGCATTTTACATGTGTTACCTCATTTAACCCTCATAACAACTTATAAGACAGGTGCCATATTAATCTCCATCTTACAGGTAAGAAAACTGAGGCATGGAGAGGTTCTGTACTTTGTCCAAGGTCGCGCAGATATTAAGTAGGCTCTACCTCGTTTCCAAGTCAGGCAGTCTGCTGCCAAAGCCTGTACTCTTAACCACTAAGCTACAGTATTACATAAAGTCCTCCTGGTCTAAAGCTTGCTAGCAAGTGGCATGCACTGTTACTACTTCCTTCTTAAGAGGTTGGCTCATCTTTGCAGAACTTCCTGTCCCTTTGAAGTCTCCACCATCCAGTTCTACAGTTTTCACAAGAGTGACTGGGGGAGTAAGTTCAATTTGAAGAGGTAGGTAGAAGCCCTTGCTATCTTCTCTAATCTAGCTTTACTGCAAAGTTCTATATTTTAGGTCGTAAAGCGAGATCTGAATTTTAATTCCCACCTGGTTCCTTTGTGTATTTCTTAAATTTCTGAGAACTCATAGCGGGAAACATGTTTAATCAAAAATGTTCCTAAAACACTAAGTAATACTTTCTTGAAAAAGAAATGTCACAAACAGAAAAAAAGATGGGACAAAGAAATAGCTGACAAAGGAATAGTATCCAGAATTTGTATAGAACTCATAAAGCAATAAGAGAATGACAAATAACCCAATAAAAATCAGGTGAAAACTTAAGTAGGTATTTCGTTAAAAAGGGAACTTAGTGGTTAATAAATATATGAAAAGATGCTCGAACCGATGTTTTGTTTTTCCGAGATGAGCAAAAACTGAGGGAATTTGTCACCAACAGACTGGCCTTACAAGAAATGCTCAAGGGAGTCCTGAATCTGGAAGTGAAAAGATAATCAGCATTATGAAAACACACAAAAGTATTAAAACTCATTAGTAGAGCAGATATAAAAAGAAACAAAAAAGAATCAACCTTATTACTATAGAAAACAACCAAACCACAATGACAAGCAGTAAGAAGGGAAGAAAGAAACAAAGGATATACAAAACAACCAGAGAACAACAAAATGACAGGAGTAAGTCCTCACTTATCAATAATAATTTTGATGAAACTGACTTCATCTGTAAAGACACATATAGACTGAAAGTGAAGGGATGGAAAAAGATATTTCACACAAATGAAAAACAAAAGTGAGCAAGAGTAGCTATACTTATATCAGAGAAAAGAGACTTTAAGTAAAAAACTGTAAAAAGAGACAAATAAGGTTATTATGAAAGTGAACAGGATGTTATGAAAAAGAACAGATCATAAGAATATATTCTTGGAAATTAAAAGCATAACTAATGAAATTAAAACTTTAACAGAAGGATTGAATTACAAGAACACAAACCTTCAATGGATGGGCTAAATTGCAAATTAGACATAGATGCAGACAGAATTCATAAAGTAGAATATACATTTGGAGATAATATCCAAAATGAAGCACATAGAGATAAAGAGAGAATACAGGAGAGAGGTCTTAAGAGATAAAAAGGAGGGTGAAAAGATATAAAAGAAGTCTAATTGGCTTGCCAGTGAAGACACTAGAGGGCAAGGAAGAAAGCCAATATTTACAGGTATAACAGCTAAGAATTTTTAGAACTGAGAAAAATCATAATTCTCAGATTCCAGAAGCCCCAATAAATTTTAAGCAAGTTAAATCAGTCAATCAATCTATCAATGAACCAATCTACCTGTAGAAATATCAAGGTAAAACTACTTATTAAAAAGGCAAAACCTTAAAGACAGCAAAAAAATTCAGAATCACTATATTAGTTTACCACTGCTGCTATAACAAATTACTTGAAACTTATGGGCTTAAATGATACAAATGTATTTGCTTACAGTTCTGGAGTTCAGAAGTCTGACATGGATCTCATTGGGCTAAAACCAAGGTATTGGCAGGGCTTCATTCCTTCTAGAAGCTCCAGGGGAGAATCAGTTTATTTGTTCCTTCCAGCTTCTGGAGGTCACCAACATCCCTTGGTTTGTGTCCCCCTTGCTCTATCTTCAAAGTCAGCAACTGTAGCATTAATCTTGCTTCCATTATCACATCTCTTTTTATGTCCCTCTTGCCGCCCTCTTTCACTTTTAAGGAATTTTGTGATTATATTGGGCCCACCAGGATAATCTCCCGATTTTAAAGTCATTTGATTAGCAAACTTAATTCCACCTGCAACCTCAAGGTCCCTTTGCCATGTAACCAAGCATATTCACAGATTCCATGGATTAGGACGTTGACTTCCGGGTGGCGGGCATTATTCTGCTTACACGGCTAATATAATTAGACTGAAAGTTGTTTTATCAATGGTGGTGGTAGAAGCCAGAATATAGTAGAATGATATCTTCAGAGTACTAAGAGAAAATAACTGTCAAACTAAAAGAGTATACCAAATGAAAATTGAAATTTGACAAATGAAAATTGAGTTGACCAACAATACACTCTTACCAGTGGAAATTTTAAGGATGTACTTCAGGTGATCCCATACAGAAGGTCTAAGATAGAAGAAGGAATTATGAGAAAGAAAATGGTAAACAATGTGTTTAAATCTAAACAAACACTGACTATATAAAACAATGATACTTACGCCTAATTTGTAGTGATTAAAAAAATAAACAAGATACTGACTCATGAAGAAATAGAAAATCTGAATAGATCTATAATTAGTAAAGAGGTTGAATCAGTAATCAAAAACTTCCCAAAGAGAAAAGCCCGGGACCAGATGAATATTGAAATTGATGTTTGTCGAATTCTAACAAACATCAAAAGAAAAATTAATACCAAATCTTCTCAAAGTCTTCCAAAAAATTGAAGCGTAGAAAACACGTCCTAACTTATTCTATGAAGCTGCTATATTCTGATACCAAAGCCAAAGACAATAGAAGAAAACTGTAGAGCAATATTCTTTATGAATATTAATGCAAAAATCCTCAACAAAACACCAGCAAACCGAATCCAGCAGTTTATGAAAAGGATTATACACCATGACCAAGTGGGATTTCTTCCTGGAATGCAATGATGAGTCAATATACAAAACTCGATCGATGCAATACACCACATTAATAGAATGAGGGGAAAAACATTTGATAATATCAATTAAAACAGACAAAGAAGGCCATTACATAATGGTAAAGGGATCAATTCAACAAGAAGAGCTAACTATCCTAAATATATATGCACCCAATACAGGAGCACCCAGATTCATAAAGCAAGTCCTTAGAGACCTACAAAGAGACTTAGACTCCCACACAATAATAATGGGAGACTTTAACACCCCACTGTCAACATTAGACAGATCAACGAGACAGAAAGTTAACAAGGATATCCAGGACTTGAACTCAGCTCTGCACCAAGCAGACCTAATAGACATCTACAGAACTCTCCACCCCAAATCAACAGAATATACATTCTTCTCAGCACCACACCACACCTATTCCAAAACTGACCACATAGTTGGAAGTAAAGCACTCCTCAGCAAATGTAAAAGAACAGAAATTATAACAAACTGTCTCTCAGACCACAGTGCAGTCAAACTAGAACTCAGGATTAAGAAACTCACTCAAAATCGCTCAACTACATGGCGACTGAACAACCTGGTCCTGAATGACTACTGGGTACATAACGAAATGAAGGCAGAAATAAAGATGTTCTTTGAAACCAATGAGATCAAAGACACAACATACCAGAATCTCTGGGACACATTTAAAGCAGTGTGTAGATGGAAATTTATAGCACTAAATGCCCACAAGACAAAGCAGGAAAGATCTAAAATTGACACCCTAACATCACCATTAAAAGAACTAGAGAAGTAAGAGCAAACACATTCAAAAGCTAGCAGAAGGCAAGAAATAACTAAGATCAGAGCAGAACTGAAGGAGATAGAGAAACAAAAAACCCTTCAAAAAATCAATGAATCCAGGAGCTGGTTTTTTGAAAAGATCAACAAAACTGAGAGACTGCTAGCAAGACTAATAAAGAAGAAAGAGAGAAGAATCAAATAGATGCAATAAAAAATGATAAAGGGGATATCACCACCGATCCCACAGAAATACAAACTACCATTATAGAATACTATAAACACCTCTACACAAATAAACTAGAAAATCTAGAAGAAATGGATAAATTTCTGGACACACACACCCTCCCAAGACTAAACCAGGAAGAAGTTGAATCCCTGAATAGACCAATAACAGGCTCTGAAATTGAGGCAATAATTAATAGCCTACCAACCAAAAAAAGTCCAGGACCAGAGGGATTCACAGCCGAATTCTACCAGAGGTACAAGGAGGAGCTGATACCATTCCTTCTGAAACTAATCAAATTGATAGAAAAAGAGGGAATCCTCCCTAACTCATTTTATGAGGCCAGCATCATCCGGATACCAAAGCCTGGCAGACGCACAACAAAAAAAGAGAATTTTAGACCAATATCGCTGATGAACATCGATGCCAAAATCCTCAATAAAATACTGGCAAAACGAATCCAGCAGCACATCAAAAAGCTTATCCACCATGATCAAGTGGGCTTCATCCCTGGGATGCAAGGCTGGTTCAACATATGCAAATCAATAAACCTAATCCATCATATAAACAGAACCAAAGACAAAAAATCACATGACTATCTCAATAGATGCAGAAAAGGCCTTTGACAAAATTCAACAGCCCTTCATGCTAAAATCTCTCAATAAATTAGGTATTGATGGGACGGATCTCAAAAAAATAAGAGCTATCTATGACAAACCCACAGCCAATATCATACTGAATGGGCAAAAACTGGAAGCATTCCCTTTGAAAACTGGCACAAGACAGGGATGCCCTCTCTCACCACTCCTATTCAACATAGTGTTGGAAGTTCTGGCCAGGGCAATCAGGCAGGAGAAAGAAACAAAGGGTATTCAATTAGGAAAAGAGGAAGTCAAATTGTCCCTGTTTGCAGATGACATGATTGTATATTTAGAAAACCCCATCGTCTCAGCCCAAAATCTCCTTAAGCTGATAAGCAACTTCAGCAAAGTCTCAGGATACAAAATCAATGTGCAAAAATCACAAGCATTCTTATACACCAATAACAGACAAACAGAGAGCCAAATCATGAGTGAACTCCCATTCACAATTGCTTCAAAGAGAATAAAATACCTAGGAATACAACTTGCAAGGGATGTGAAGGACCTCTTCAAGGAGTACTACAAACCACTGCTCAATGGAATAAAAGGGGACACAAACAAATGGAAGAACATTCCATGCTCATGGATAGGAAGGATCAATATCATGAAAATGGCCATACTGCCCAAGGTAATTTATAGATTCAATGCCATCCCCATCAAGCTACCAATGACTTTCTCCACATAATTGGAAAAAACTACTTCAAAGTTCATATGGAACCAAAAAAGAGCCCGCATTGCCAAGTCAATCCTAAGCCAAAAGAACAAAGCTGGAGGCATCACGCTACCTGACTTCAAACTATACTACAAGGCTACAGTAACCAAAACAGCATGGTACTGGTACCAAAACAGAGAAATAGACCAATGGAACAGAACCGAGCCCTCAGAAGTAATACCACACATCTACAACCATCTGATCTTTGACAAACCTGACAAAAACAAGAAATGGGGAAATATTCCCTATTTAATAAATGGTGCTGGGAAAACTGGCTAGCCACATGGAGAAAGCTGAAACTGGATCCCTTCCTTACACCTTATACAAAAATCAATTCAAGATGGATTAAAGATTTAAATGTTAGACCTAAAACCATAAAAACCCTAGAAGAAAACCTAGGCAATACCATTCAGGACATAAGTATGGACAAGGACTTCATGTCTAAAATACCAAAAGCAATGGCAACAAAAGCCAAAATTGACAAATGGGATCTAATTAAACTAAAGAGCTTCTGCACGGCAAAAGAAATTACTATCAGAATGAACAGGCAACCTACGGAATGGGAGAAAATTTTTGTAATCTACCTATCTGACAAAGGGCTAATATCCAGAATCTACAAAGAGCTTAAACAAATTTACAAGAAAAAATCAAACAACCCCATCAAAAAGTGGACAAAGGATATGAACAGACACTTCTCAAAAGAAGACATTTATGCAGCCAACAGACACATGAAAAACTGCTCATCATCACTGGCCATCAGAGAAATGCAAATCAAAACCACAATGAGATACCATCTCACACCACTTACAATGGCGATCATTAAAAAGTCAGGAAACAACAGGTGCTGGAGAGGATGTGGAGAAATAGGAACACTTTTACACTGTTGGTGGGACTGTAAACTAGTTCAACCATTGTGGAAGACAGTGTGGCGATTCCTCAAGGATCTAGAACTAGAAATACCATTTGACCCAGCCATCCCATTACTGGGTATATACCCAAAGGACTATAAATCATGCTGCTGTAAAGACACATGCACATGTATGTTTACTGCGGCATTATTCACAATAGCAAAGACTTGGAACCAACCCAAATGCCCATCAATGATAGACTGGATTCAGAAAATGTGGTACATATACACCATGGAATACTATGCTGCCATAAAAAAGGATGAGTTCATGTCCTTTGTAGGGACACAGATGAAGCTGGAAACCATCATTCTCAGCAAACTATTGCAAGGACAGAAAACCAAACACCACATGTTCTCGCTCATAGGTAGGAACTGAACAATGAGAACACTTGGACACAGGAAGGGGACCATCACACACCGGGGCCTGTCGTGGGGTGGGGGGAGCAGGGAGGGTTAGCATTAGGAGATACATCTAATGTAAATGATGAGTGAATGGGTGCAGCACACCAATATGGCACATACATACATATGTAACAAACCTGCATGTTGTGCACACGTACCCTAAAACTTAAAGTACAAAAAAAAAAGAATAATTTGGGCCCTTACCTCATACCAGGGACAAAAGTTAACTAAAAATTAATCAAAGACCTAACCTTAAGAACTAAAACTATAAAAATCTTCTAAGAAAAGAAAGGGGAAAACTTTGATGACACTGGATTTGGCAATGAATTCTTGGATTTGAGACCAAAAGTATAGGCAACAAAAGGAAAAATAGATAAATTGGAGTTTATCAAAATTAAAAACCTTTGTATAATCAAAGGACACTTTTAAGAGAGTCAAAAGGTAACTCATAAAATAAAAGAAAATATTTGCTAATTATATATCTGATATAGGGTTAATATCCAAAATATATAAAGAACTTCTGCAAGTCAACAACACCAAAGCAACCACATTAAAAAATGACCAAAGGATTTGAACAAAAGTTTCTTCAAAGAAGACATACAAATGGCAAGTAATCACATGAAAAGATGCTCATCATTAATCATTAGGGCAATTCAAATTAAAACCACAATGAGATACCACTTCACACCCATTAGTATGGCTATTGTTATGGACTGAATATTCCTGTCCACTCCCCCAAATTCATATGTTGAAATCCTAACGCCTAATGTGATTACCATCACATTAATAGTTGATGGTAATAGGTAATAGGTAATAGGTGATGGGGCCTTTGGGAGGTAATTAGGTTATGACAGTGGGACCCTCATGAGTGGAATATAAAGGACCACAGAGAGCACTCTTGCTCTCTTTCTGCCACGTGATGGGTACGGCAAGAAGTCTGGAAACCAAGAAGAGGACCTTCACCAGGCAATAAATCTACTAGTGCCTTAATATTGGATTTTCTAGCCTCTAGACCTGTGAGAAATAAATTTTTCTTGTTTAAGCCACCTAGTCTATGGCAACTTATTATACCAGCTCAAACTGACTAAGATAGCTGTCATCAAAATCACCCACTCCCAAAAAACACAGAATATAACAAGTATTGAGGATGTGGAGAAATTTGAACTTTCATATGTTGCTGGTGGAAATGTAAAATGGTACAGTTGCTGTAATAAATGGTATGGTGGCTCCTCAAAAAATTAAATATGAAATTACCAGATGATCCAGCAATTCCACCTCAGGATATAGAATCAAAAGAATTGAAAGATTCAAACAGGTATTTGTGCGCTAATATTCATGGCAGCATTATTCACAATTGCCAAAAGGTTGAAACAACCCAGATGTTCTTCAACAGATGAATGGATAAACAAATGTTATATATTATGGAACCATTGTTTAAAACTCAAATGTCCAAAGCAATCTTGTGCAAAAAGAACAAAGCTGGAATCATCACCCTGTCTGATTTCAAACTGTATTATAAAGCTATGATAATCAAAACTTCTATGCTATGGTACTGGCATAGAAGTAGACACATTGACCAATGGAACAGGATAAAAAGCCTACAAATAAAACTATGCATTTACAGTCAATTGATTTTCAACAAAGGTGCCAAGAACATTGATGTGGTTTGGATTTGTGTCACCACTCAAATCTCATGTCAAATTATAATCTCCAGTGTTAGAGGAAGGGCCTGGTGGGAGCTGACTGGATCATGGAGATGGATTTCCCTCTTGCTGTTCTCATGATAGTGAGTGAATTCTCATGAGATCTGGTTGTTTAAAAGTATGTAGCACCTCCCTCTCACTTTCTTCCTCTGGCTCCGGCCATGTAAGATGTACCTGCTTCCCCTTCTCCTTCCACCATGATTATAAGTTTCCTGAGGCCTCCCCAGCCATGCTACCTGTACAGCCTGCAGAACCATGAGCCAATTAAACCTCTTATCTTTATAAATTACCCAGTCTCAGGTATTTCTTTACAGAACTGTGGAAATGGACTAATACAAACATACAATGGGGAAAGGACAGTGCTTTCAATAAATGGTGCTGGGAAAACTAGATATCCACATGCGGAAGAATAAAATTGGACCGTTATCTCAAAATTTTGTCATTTGCAACAACCTGGATGAACCTGGAAGACATGTTAAGCTAAATAAGCCAGGCACAGAAAGACAAACACTTCATGATCTCACTTCCATGTGGAATCTAAAATTTTGTCAATCTCATAGAATGTTAGTTTCCAGAGATGAAGGGTGGGGAGGGATGGGGAAAGGAGATATGTTGGTCAAAGGGTACAAAGTTTGAGTTAGACAAGAGGAATAAGTTTTAGTGCTCTACTGCACTGCATGGTGAACATAGTTAATAATGTATTATATACTCCAAAATTGCTAAAAGGATATATTTTAAATGTTCTCACTGCAAAAAAAAAAAGGTTAAAAAGGTGAAGTGATGAATATGCTAATTAGTTTGATTGAATCTTTCTACAATGTGTACATACATCAAAACATCACATCATACTCCATAAATATATACAATTATAGTCAATTTAATTAATTAATTTTGAAAATGAAATTCTAATACATGCTACAACATGGATAAACCTTAAAGATATAATGCTGAGTAAAAGAAACAATAGGACAAATACTGTTCTGCAAGAGCCAACTATCTGAGGGAGGGAAACATTCATTTCCATTAGGTGGAGCTATGGCTCCATAAGGGCAGGGACAAAAAATGTTTTTTAATAAATCTGTCTCTGTCCTACCACCACTCAAAACCTTGACTTGTCTTTATCACAGAAGTGGGTGGTTTCTGACCAGGAAACTGAAAAATACCAAAGGGAAACTTTATGACTCCTTGGCTCACTACCACTGTCCCCATGCATGGGTGGTTTTAATCTTGAGCATAGCAAAGACTCTGATTACTAAACCAGTGAAGAAACCAATGTGCAGGTCCACAGCTGACCACTGAGTAGTGCACATGCAGGACAGACCTGAAGAACAGCACAGAGGCTGTGGAAACTGAGCTGACATTAGAACCAGGGACCAGAGAAGCAGCTAAAACTAGCTGCTTAGACCTAATCAGGTGAAACACCTGTTAAAACACAAATATCAACATTTTCCATAAAATTTAATAAAAGATAGAGTCTTACAAAATAACAGTCAATATGTACAAGATGCAATCCAAAATTACTTGGCACATGAAGAACCACAAAAATCTCAATTTGCATAGAAAAAACAATCAACAGATGCCAATGATGAGATGACACAGATATTGGAATTATCTGACAAAGACATTAAAGTGGTTGTTATAAAAATAATTGAATGAGCAATCATGAACACTCTTGCAACAAAAGTTAAAATAGAAAGCATTATCAAATAAATGGAAGATACAGAGAAAAACCAAATGGAAAGTTTAGAACTGAAAAATACAATAACACAATTAAAATATTCCATGGAAGGACTCAATAACAGAATGGAGATGACAGAGCAAAGATTCGGTGAACTTAAAGACAGACCAGTAGAAATCATTCATACTGAAGGACAGAAAAAAAGATTTGAAAGAACCAAACAGAGCTTCAGGGACCAGTGTTACAACATCTAAACATCTAGTATTTGTGTTATTGGAGTCTGAGAATAAGGAGTGACTAAGCGCAGTGCTGAAAAAGTATTTGAAGACATAATAGCAGAAAATTTTCCAGTTATTCCCAAGTGTGGCAAAAGACATAGAAATGAAGGATCAAGCTGAATAGACTCCAAACAGCATATGCTCCCCCAAAACCCATGCCCAGACATCATCACCAAACTTCTGAAAATGAGAGACAAAGGAAAACATCTTGAAATCAGCCCCAGAAAAAAATGACATAGGCTATAGGAGAACAATGATTTAAATGATTGTAAATTTTTCGTCAGAAACCACAGAGGCCAGAATAAAGTGGCACATTTTTCAAGTGCTGAAAGAAAAGAATTATCAATCCAGAATTCTATATCCAGTGAAAATTTGCTTTAGGAATAAAGGTGGAGTAAAGCCATCCTCAAGTGAAAGAAAAATAAGAGAAGTCATAGCTGAAATTGCTAACAGCAGAACTTCCATTGCTAATGGAAGCTCTTCAGGTAGCAAGGGAAATTATACCAGAAGGAAACTTGAAATATCAAGAAAAAGGAAGAGCAACAGAAATGTCAATTATCTGGGTAATTATACTAGACTATTTGTCCCCTCTTTTTTTTTTTTTTTTTTTTTGAGATGAAGTCTTGCTCTGTCACCCAGGCTGGAGTGCAGTGGCACAATCTCAGCTCACTGCAAACTGCGCCTCCCGGGTTCAAACGATTCTCCTGCCTCAGCCTCCCAAGCAGCTGGGATTACAGGCACCCACCACCATGCCCAGCTAATTTTTGTATTTTTGTTAGAGACAGGGTTTTGCCTCATTGGCCAGGCTGGTCTGAACTCATGACCTCAAGTGATCCGCCCATCTTGGCCTTCCAAAGTGCTGGGATTACAGGTGTGAGCCATCGCTCCTGGCCACTCTTGAGTTCTATAAAACATGTTTGATGGTTGATAACAAAAAGTGTGAGATTGTCTGCATGGTTTTTCGATGTATGTAGATGTAATCGATAGACAACTATAACATAAAGGGAAGAAGGTAAGCTGGACCCATATGGTGCTAATGTTTCTACATTCCAACTGAAGTGGTCAAATATTGATTCTAAACTCACTGTGAAATGTGTTTGGTAATTGCCAGATTAAGCATTAAAGGAAACTACACGAAGATATAATTCAAATCACAATATATAAATTAAAATGGGATACTAAAAATTGTTGTGGGCTTCCCCAGTTCCCCCAACTTTCTTTCCGAGTCTTGACAGAAAATCACAGAGTGACTTGATCACTTTGTGACCCAGCCCACTCCAGGTTTTTGCCAGGAGGCCTGAACAAAAACTGGGGCCTTGAACATTCCCAGGTGCTAATAAAGGCATCTAGGTTGTTACCCAAAACACTGAAAAAAAAAAAAAAACTGGCCCCACGACTGAGCCAAATTTGTTAAACCCTAATAAAAACTCCATCCCCTGCCCCTGTATCTGCAGACATACCAGTCCATGCTTTGGACTGATCACCCTGGCACTTAGTGCTTCTGTCTTTGGAATCCCAAACAGTCCCATCTCAGGACAGTTTGGGGCACTCCATTGTGGGAACTCCTCTGCTCCTGCTTTTGAGGTGACTCCAGCCACAGGTCCTGTGGGACAAAACAAATGTTCAAAGAACCCAGAAGGCAGGAAAGAGGAAACAGAGGAACAACAACAAAAATAGAGGGGATAAACGGAAAATAATAAAATGGTAGACCTAAATACAAACATCAATAATGAAATTAAGTGCAATTGCTCTAAATACACCAAATAAAAGACAGAGGTTGTTAGAATGGATTTTAAAAATAATCCAACTCTGCACTATAGACAAGAGACTCACTTCAAATACAATGATATAGGCAGCTTAAAACTAAAAGAATGGAGAGAAGATATAATACACAAACACTATTCAAAAGAAAGCTGTTACATTAATATCAAAGTAGACTTCAGAGCAAAGAAAATTGCCAGGAATAAAGGGGAACATTACTTATTGGTAAAAGGATCAATCCACCAAGAATACATAATAATCCTAAATGTGTATACACCAAATAACAGAGCTTCAAATTATATGAAGCAAAAACTGACCAGACTGAAAGGAGAAATGAACAAATCCACAATAACTGGGAACTTAATACTCTACTCTGATGTCTAGACAGAAGGACTTTGCAGAAATCAGCAAAGATACAGAACAATGCAATCAACCTACAGGATCTAATTGACGTTTACATACATACATAACATTTCACCCAACAATGTTCACAAAAACAGACCATCTCATGTGTCATAAATCAAAACTTAGCAATTTAAAACAATTTAAAGCATACAAAATATTCTCTCTGACCACAAATGAATTAAACTAGAAATCAATAACAGAAAGATAAGAGAATTTTCCAACACTTAGAAATTACACAACACGGCCAGGTGTGGTGGCTCACACCTGTAAGTCCAGCACTTTGGGAGGCCAAGGAAGGTGGATCACCTGAGGTCAGGAGTTCGAAACCAGCCTGGCCAACATTGTGAAACCCCATCTTCACTAAAAATACAAAAACTAGCCAGGCATGGTGCCGGGCACCTATAATCCCAGCTATTCAGGAGGCTGAGGCAGGAGAATTGCTTGAGCCTGGGAGGCAGAGGTTGCAGTGAGCTGAGATCACGCCATTGCACTCCAGCCTGGGTGACAAGAGCAAAACTCCATCTCAAAAAAAAAAAAAAAGAAAGAAAGAAAAGAAAGAAATTACACAACACATGTCTAAATAATGGGTCAAAGAGAAATTAGGAAATATTTTGGACTGAGTGAAAATGAAAATATAACATAATAAAATGTTTGGTTTATATCAAAGCAGGGCTTAGAGGGAATTTTATAAAATTAAACACTTGTATTAGAAAAATATCAACTTGATAATCTAAATTTCCACCCCAAGAAACTAGAAAAAGAAGAGCAAAGCAAACCCAGATCAAGCAGAAGAAAGGAAACAACAAAAAGTAGAAATCGATGAAATTGAAAACAAAAAAATCAATAGAGAAAATTCACTGAAACTAAAATTTATAATCCTTGTATTAGTCTGTTCTCATGCTGCTGATAAAGACATACCCGAGACTGTGTAATTTACAAAGAAAAAGAGGTTTCATGGACTCACAGTTCCACGTGGCTGGGGAGGCCTCACAATCATGGTGGAAGGCAAATGGCACGTCTTACATAGAGGCAGATAAGAGAGAATGTGAACCAAGCGAAAGGAGTTTCCTCTTATAAAATCATCAGATCTCATGAGACTTATTTACTACTGTGAGAACAGTATGGGGGGAACCACCCTCATGATGCAATTATCTCCCACCAGGTCCCTCTCACAACACATGGGAATTATGGGAGCTACAATTCAAGATGAGATTTATGTGGAGACACAGCCAAACCATATCAATCCTCTAAGCAAGGCAAAAAAAAAAAAGAGAGAGAGAGAAGACATAAATCACCAATATCAAGAAATGAAAGAGTAGAGATCACTACAGTTTGCATAGACATTGATTAAAAGGAAAATAAGAGAATACTATGAACAGCTCTATGCATATAAATTTAAACTAAATATTTATGTTATTTCTACATTTCATCTTCTTTACTGCAAACCCCTTTCTTTGCTGTACCTTTTCTAGTATTTCTTAGTCATCTGTGTCTATTTTCTAAGCATCCATTTCCCTCAAATTGCCTTACCTTGTTTTCAAATCTATTGCAGTAGCACAGCCACAACTTTCCTCAGTATGCTTCAAAGTTACTCCTTCCTTCTTCCCAAACCCTACCAAAATTTTCATTCCTAGATATAGCTCAGCTGGATATTAGAAAAAGAAAAGTCACTATCTACTCAAAAGTTAATGTACAGTTTGTTATATCTATGAAACAAGGAAGTTTTAAAGCAAAATCATACAAAAAATAGCACAGGTCCACAATCCTATATTTTAAATCCTTGGGATCAAAAGTGTTTTGAAATTCACAATGTTTTGTACATTAGAAAGACAATTTAGAAAATGCACATAAAACATATGATGTAACACCTCAGGGGGGATGGGATAGTACCCTATAATCAAATGCATTAATATTTATGCAGCAAAATGCAAACAAGATCATAAATAGTGACTATAGACTCATTATAGTTCAGATAACATTTTGCAGCCAAAAGAGTTTGTCACAAACCTTAACTAAGTAAGTAAACTTGTTGTCCAGAACTTTTTGAATTTTAAAATTGCATATAATGTATAGGGGATCTTATCTTTCAACTTTCAATCTATTAGCAAGTCCTATTAATTCTATCTGTGTATCTCTGAAATCTCTTTCTTTCAATGTCCACTGTCACTACTCTAGACCGGGCCACTTGAGACCTCCTGCTTGGATAACTTGAAAAGACTTTCTAATTGACTTCTTCGCTCTGTCTTACTTGCCTACTATCCATCTTCCATACTCTTCCCAGACTAATCTTTCAAAAATGTAAACATGATCATGTTATAGCTTTGGCTCCCCACTGCCAATAAGATAAACTCTTATACAAGTTCCTATGAGTTCTGGCCTCTATTAACCTCTCTAGCTTTATCTCTTATTGCATCTGTCATATATTATGCTACAGCCATGTTAAGCTGTTTACATTTTTCTGAATAGTCCATGTAGTTTTCTGCTCCCTCTGCTTGTGATGCCCTTGCCCTATTTGTCAACTGGTTGGAACAGGAATTAAAAGAAATTTGGCCGGGCGCGGTGGCTCACGCCCGTAATCAACACTTTGGGAGGCCAAGGTGGGTGGATCACGAGGTCAGGAGTTCAAGATCAGCCTGGCCAAGATGGTGAAACTCCGTCTCTACTAAAAATACAAAAAATTAGCCAGGCATGGTGGCACACACCTGTAATCCCAGCTACTCCGGAGGCTGAGGCAGAGAATTGCTTAAACCTGGAGGGGTGGAGGTTGCAGTGAGCCAAGATCACACCACTGCATTCCAGCCTGGGCGACAGAGCGAGACTCCATCTCAAAAAAAAAAAAAAAGAAATTAAAGAATGTGTAAGCAGAAACTCAGTTGTATGTAAGAAAACCCAATTCCCCCTGAGAAAGAGAAAGAGCTGGAGTCCTTTAAAATTAACTGTCTGTTTTTCTGTGGCTAGTGAGCCTTATCTCTCCTCCTTTCCCAGGCATTGTGAAGACCCTGTTTCTCTAGCTGTGCAGCTGCAAGGTCATTAAAAAGATAAACTCAAGTCGTAAAACATGTTTTTCCTTAAAAAGTAAGAAATGATGTAAAGCATGTCTCAATTAATTGAATAACTGTCATTGTTTCTTGCTTCTGTAATATGCTTCCCCCTGCACAGATCTCTCCCCACCCCACAAAATGCTTAAAAGGTAACTTAACTCTTTGTTCAGGGCTCAGTCCTTTGGATGTTAATCCGAACTGGGCTGGTGCACCTAAATAATAAATATCCTCCTAACCCCATTGGTCTCTCTAGTTCCTTATCAATCCCGCTACATGGTGACTATCAATTTACCTCATCTCCTTTCTGAAAAAAATTTTTATTGATACATAATAAATGTACATATTTCGGGGGTACATGTGATAACACATTCATATAATTTGTAAAGATCAAATCAGGGTAATTGGGATATCCATCACCTTAAATATTTGTCTTTTCTTTATCTTAGAACCACTCAAATTATTATTTTCTAGCTATTTTGAAATATACAATAGATTCACCTCATCTCCTTTTACCTCATGTTCAGTTTACTTGTAAAATTAATCAATATACCCTCTGAAGTGTTCCATCTTAGCACTTAAAATATTCAATGTCTTTATTTCATCTACCCTTACAGTAGCTCCTTGAGAGTAGAGCCTAGTTCCTATTTGATTCTGTGTCTTTACCACTTAGCACAGTGCATGGTACCTAATAGGTGCACAATAAAAGTAGAGCAAAATAGTGGAAGTGTAGATTCTATGATGAGAAGAGAACTGCAGGCCTTATAGAGATCCTAATGTGAATTTTCACATTTCAATTTATGAAATAGTTTAATATACTTACGAGTATTAGTGTAATACATTAAAAATGATTAAAAAGAAAACACTTCTTCCTCTACTTACATCCTTAATACAATTTTTCTATGTTATATATATATATATCAAAAAACTAGAGTAATTATACAGCACAAATTTTACCATGTAGGGAAGAGGAGCAGCAATGGAATTCCATATGGTTGATGTGCAGGTGAAGGTATTCAACTGCCAGTTTATTCCATCATTAATTTCCATCTCTGAAGGCTGACACCACTTCATGTCAGATCTAATGGGAAAAGAACAGTCTCTTCAATAAACAGTGCTGGGAAAACGTAATATTCACATGCAGAAGAATGAAATCGAACCCTTATCTCACACCATATACAAAAATCAACTCAAAATGCATTAAAGACTTAAACATAAAACCTGAAATTGTAAAAATACTGGAATAAAACACAGAGGAAAAACTATATAACATTAGTTGGGGCAACAATTTTTTGGATTTGACCCCAAAAGCTCAGGCAACAAAAGCTAAAATAAACAAATAGAATTAAATCAGACTAAAAAGCTTCTGCACAGCAAAGGAAACAATTAAAAGAGTAAGAGAAAACCTATGGATTGGGAGAAAATATCTGAAAGCCATACATCTGAAGAGGGGTTAATATTCAAAATACATAAGGAACTCAGACAACTCAATAACAAGAAAAGAGATAACCCAATTATGGCCAAAGGACCTGAATAGACATTTTTCAGACGAAGACATACAAATGACCAACAGATATATGAAAAAATGCTCAACATCACTTATCATTAGGGAAGTGCAAATTAAAACCACAAGATATCAGCTCATATCTGTCAGAATGGCTATTATCAAAAAGATGAAAGGTAAGTGTTGGCAAGGATGTGGAGACAAGAGAACGTTTGTATACTGTTGGTGGGAATATAAATTAGTACAGCCATTATGGAAAACTGTGGTTTTCCTCAAAAAGCTAAGAATAGAACTGCCATATGATCCAGCAATCCTACTTCTGGGTATATATCCAAAAGACTCGAAATCAGTATATTGAGGAGATCTCTGCACTGCCATGTTCATTGCATCACTATTCACAATAGTCAAGATACAGAATCAACCCAAGTGTCCATCAATGGATGAACTGATAAAGAGAGTGTGGTATACACATAATTAAATACTATTTCATTATAAAAAGAAGGAAATCCTTCCCTTTCAGTGGGGAACTGAAGCTATAACATGATCATGTTTACATTTTTGAAAGATTAGACTGGGAGGAGTATGGAACATGAATAGTGGGCAAGTAAGATAGAGTGAAGAAGTCAGTTAGGAAATCTTTTCAAGTCATCCAAACAAGAGGTCTCAAGTGGCCTGGTCTAGAATAGTGATAGTGGACATTTGCAACAACATAGATGAAACTGGAGGACATTATGCTAAGTGAAATAAGCCAGACACAGAAAGATAAGTACTGTATGATATCACTTATATGTGGAATCTAAAAAAAGTTGAACTCATAGAAGCAGAGAGTAGAATTGTAGTTACCAGGGGCTGTGAGGCCTGGGGAGAAAAGGGATTGGGGAGATGTTGATCAAAGGATACAAAACTTCAGCTAGACAGAGGAGTAAGTTCAGGAGGCCTATTGTACAACACATTGATTGTAGTTAATAAGAGTGTATTGAATATTCAAAATTGCTGAAAGTAGATTTTACATGTTCGCACCACAAAAAAAATGGTTTAAAATGGCCAGGCATGGTGGCTCACACCTATAATCCCAGCACTTTGGGAGGCTGAGGTGGGTGGATCACCTGAGGTAAGGAGTTCAAGACCAGCCTGACCAACATGGTGAAACGCCATCTCTACTAAATTAAAAAAAAATTAGCCAGGTGTGGTGGCGGATGCCTGCAATCCCAGCTACTTGGGAGGCTGAGGCAGGAGAATCGCTTGAACCTGGGAGGTGGAGGTTGCAGTGAGTCGAGATTGTGCCATTGCACTCCAGCCTGGGAAACAAGAGCGAAACTTCGTCTCAAAAAAAAAAAATTAAAAATATGAGGAAGCTGATATGTTAATTTGTTTAATCATTCCACAATGTATATTAAAACACCTGTTGTACAACGTAAATCATAAATATATAAATTTTGTCAATTAAAAATAAATAAATGTTCAAGACACATTTTTAAAAGAAAGATTGTCGGTAAAATAAAAACTGGAATATCTTCAGAGTTGTCAACATTAAATATAATACAGGCATACAATTTTTTATACCTAGGTTTACTAGTCAATCAAGCTTATATTATCTTTACTAGATACTTAAGATTATAAAACTATAAATGTATCATCTCAGGCAGGGTTTCATAGAGTATGCTCGAATATCAAAGAAGCAGTCTGTACAAGCAATGAATTTTTAAAATATATTCTTGGATTTTATTTGTTAATATTTTATGTAGGATTCTGCCAAATATAATGAATACGTGAGACCAGTTAGCAGCTTCCTTTCTTTGTTCATCTTCATTCAGCTTTGATATTAAAGTTATGTCACTTTCTACACTGAATTGGAGATCTTCCCTTTTTCTATGGCATAGAATTGAAATTACCTATTCTTTAAGGGTTAGATAGCTCAACTGTGAACTCATGATGCACTGGTAGATCTTCAGCTACCTTTTCAAAGACTTATGTGGTAATTGGTCTATGCATCTTTCTGCTTCTTCTTGGACGGTATATAGTAATTTATATTTTACTTGGAAATCATCCATTTCCTCTAGATTTTCAAACAGGCTGTTGCCAAACGGTTGCACAATCATAATTATTTTAATCTCCCCTCCATCTGTCAGCTCTTTTATTCCCAATGTTGTAAACTTTTGCATTCTCTTTTCTATTTAATCAGAGGAGCTTATTTTATTAGACTTTACAAGGAATTTTGTATCTGTTTTTGTTGGTAGTGTTATTAATTTAAGCTTTTAGCTTTAAAAATTTTATCTTCCTAATTATTTTCTACTTTCTTAAGATAAAAATGAAATTCTTTCTTAAAATTTATCTTTTTAAAACCATAATGATATTTAAAGCCACAAATTTTTATCTTGAGTTTTAGCTCTCTCAGTGCCCTATTAGCATTGGTATGAAGTTTTCTTCTTCATTACCTTTAGATAGTTAATAATTTTCCTTTTGATTTCCTCTTGGGCAAAAGAATTATATTTTTAAATTTCTAAATGGTTAAAATTTTCATGGTCAAATTTTTATTAATTAGTTCTAATTTTATTGAATTATGAGATATAGACTGTAAAATTCTTCAAAATTTTGTTACGGTTTTCTTTGTGGCCAAGTATATTATTGCTTTAAAGAAAATGAACGTTCTGTGTGTGTGTGTGTGTGTGTGTGTGTGTGTGTGTGTGTGTGTGTGTGTGTGTTCTGGTTTATTATTGTTATTTATTTATTATGTTTTATTCGAATTCCTTCGTCTTTACTTATGTTTTATCTACTAGACCTGTCTAATAATGAAAGAAGTGATCTGAAATTGCCATTATAATTATACTTTTCTCAAGTTCTCCATGTATTTCTAATAACTTTTGCTGTCTATATTTAGCTTAGTGCTACAGCATTAATATTGTTATGTCTTCATAAATAGTGCCTTTTACCGTTATATGATATCCCTCCTTATCCTTAAAGGAGGGATTTTTAGGTAGACCTAAAAATCCAGGTAAGAAACATCCTTATGTCTGAAGGCAAAGGATCACAGAGAAGAATCTGAAGAAACAGGCCTTGCTGTTTCCCCTAGCTGATTAACATCAGATCATGCCCTTTTTGTCAGATAAGGCCTAAAAATCCTTATCCTTATCCTCTTTACCTGGCTTTTAACCTTACATTCTATATTACTTGTTGTTAATATTATCACTTCTGCCTTCCTTTGGTTTCCATTTCCCTGTTATTTTTTTGGCTGAAATTTTAGGAGTTAACTCACTGAAGTTCACACTGGCTAACCTATGATAGATACTCAGGAGCTCCAACTAGTTGATTCATTATTTTTGCTTGATAAAATAAAAATAAGCATTATTTATTTAATAGAGTCTATTATCATAAGGAAAAGAACCAAGAATACAAAGAACTACGAGGAATGCCAATATTTAAGACATGCCTAGAAAAGAAGATCCTTCAGATGAGCCAAGAAGGATTATCAGATGGGTAGGTGGAGAACCATGTAATACAGTATACTTTAACCAAGAACTTTACCTACAAAAGTTAGGATAGTGCATAATAAATAAATTTTCCACTTTAATTATTTAAGTTTAAAAAGTCCACATGTTATAGAGTTTCATAACAAGCAATTATGATATCTAATTTGAAAATTATTTTCTAGTTCTTACTCTTACAAGCCATTTCCTCTGGCATGTATTTATTGGTTGCCTTTTTTTTTCTTTCCTGCCCAGCCCTCCCTCTCTATCTTTTTTTAAATAATAAAAACTTACCTATTGACTGGGATTTATTCGAAGTAAAAATCTGTTTCATAAAACAAACAGAAGGTTTACATTATTTTTGTGTAAATACTTTTTCTTAAAATGCATTTTAAAATATATTTAAAATATTAATTTAAAAATAGATGTTTATGTCCTACAAGGCTAGCAGGTGAGCCATTTAGGTTGTTTGCTATAATCGTTCCACCTTGCTGTCTGGCTCCAATAGGTTCGTGGGCTTGTGAAGGTAATGATGGTTGTAATGTATCATGTAGTCAAAATAATCTAAAAATAAGAGACAAAATGAGATGAAAACATAAACCAAGTTTATATCAATAGAGTAATGATATATGTGTACCCTCCCACTACAAACTAACAGGACCTCAAATTATTAGGTAAAAGAAGAGTGATTTAAAGTTATTTATTGAATAAATTTTAATTTAGCCCTTGTTATGTGCCAGACACTGTAGTAGGTGCTAAAGATACAGCAGTGAGGAAAAAAGATAAATATCCCTGCCTTCATGTGATTTACATTCTAATGGAGACAGAAAACAACCAAGATGAAGTATATGCTATGTCAGATACTGATAAGTGCTAAGGAAAAAACATCAGGGAAAGAGACATGATATGTCAGTGGGAGAGATATGTCCAATAATGAAAGAGATGGTTTGAAATTGCCCGTTATAGTAGTATTTTTCTCAAGTTCTCCATGTATCTCTAATAACTTTTGCTTTATGTATTTAGTTTGGCGCATGCAGTAATTTAAATTTTAAATAGGAATGGCTCACCGAGAAGGGTACTTTTAAGTAATGACCTAAAGGATGTGAGAAAGTGAATCACGGTGATCCTGCAGGATCTGAGTAAAATTACAATTTGTTGAATATTATAAAAGAAGAAGTACAGAATACTACATGAATGTATCAAGGAAATTTAACTTCATCTAGGGAGTCAAGAATTAGTCTTCTGTGTTAGTTAATCTGAGACTTACAGGATAAAATATAAGTTATATAGGCCATGAGGATTAGGGCCAGGGGAAGGAGAGAAAAGGATTCCAGCCTGAGAATTAGAAAGACCCTGGGGGATGTGTAAATAAGTGAAACAACTCCAGTATCCCAGAAAGTTGAGCAAGAACAACACAACATGAAGCTTGTAGGCTTTATCCTTGGATAACTGAAATTCTCTTAAAGGTTTTGATCAAGGGAATAGCATGATTATATTTGACTTTCTAAAATATCACTCTGATTGCCATATTCAGAATGGATTATAGGAGGGCAAATGGATGTGGGGGGGGCAGTTATGTAGCTATTATAGTAATCCAAGAGAGAAATGACAGTGGTTTTAGCTAAGGTTGAGGCAGTTTGGATAGAAAGAAGTGGAGAGAATTGAGAGATCATTGAGCAGTAGAATGAATAGGATTTGGTAATGTGTTGGATATGGAAGTGAGGGAGAAGGAAGTATCAAAAATAATTCCCTGGTATCAACTGAGCACCTGAGTAAATGGATAACAGTGCCATTTACTAAGCACATGCCAAAGGCAAAGGAGCAAGGTTTGGGAGACGGTAAGTGAGCCATTTCATTTTGGATAAATTGAGTTTGAGATAATTGTAGAACATGCAAGTGGAAAAGTCCATTAGACAGCTGGATATATAAGTTTGGAGCTGTAGATATAAATGTAAACAGAAATATAATTCTCTCTCTCTCTCTTTCTCTCTCCCCAGAATATACATAGTAATTAAAACCCTAAGGGAAGTATCTCCAACCAAGGCCAGAGATAGAGAAAAATCATTCAGTGAAACTGCCAAGGATAGAGCTTTTGGTTTACCATGGAATAAGTTGGTAAGAGTGATAGAAGGATAGAAGTACAAAAACAACAATAACAGCACTTACTATGGGCTAGGCACTGTTCTAATCACTCTGTGTATATCAACTCATTTAATTTTGCCAGCAATCTTAAAAGGATAAGGAAGCTGAGGTACAGAGAGGCTAAATGATCTGCTCAAAAACACAGTCTATGAATGGCAGAGTGAAATTTGAATCCAAGCACTCTGGCTCCATGGCCAGCATTTGTAAATTATAGTAATTTAAGATAAAAAGTGGTTTCAACTGGTCACAGTATTGTCAATAGAATTGGTTGAAGCAATGAGGGTGACACTACTGTGGAGATCACCAGTAGTCAGTATTGGTCTGTTGGTAATCACGCCCATAGGCCTTTAGAATACATACACATCGAACTGAATCCATAGCTTATTCTCTTAACCACTATGTTAAACTGTCTTGTAACATCTGTTGTAAGCACTAATAATACCCAAAGCACAAGGACTCAGAAAAGTGACAGTAGTTATTCTTTTGGAAATGAACCAAGTGTACAGTTTTTCTATGCATATTGTTTTACGCAAAGAACTTATGTTTATCGTAGCTTTGGTTGAACTCGCCATTAAAAATGCAGAAGATTTGTCCATTGAAAATATATATATATATAAAAGAAAAATAAAAACATTTAACATACATACAGTCTAAATATTTAAGTTAAAATAAGAACAAAATTTAATTCAAATACATATAAACCCTATGATAACACTGCTATATAAGCCCTATGATAATATTGCTCATTATTACGTGGATTTGTGTCTAGAGTAGAGATAACCAAAATATGGCTGCCTATGAGCAGTTGTGTGCCAATAAATGTATAACAAACAGCTCTCAAGAAAAACGCTGGGTGCAGTGGCTCACACCTGTAATCCCAGCACTTTGGGAGGCCAAGACAGGCAGATCACAAGGTCAAGAGATTGAGACCATCCTAGCCAACATGGTGAAACCCCATCTCTACTAAAAATACAAAAATTAGCTAGACATGGTGGTATGTGCCTGTAGTCCCAGCTACTCGAGAGGCTGAGGCAAGAGAATTGCTTGAACCCCAGGAGGTGGAGATTGCACTGCATTCCAGCCTGGCAACAGAGCAAGGCTCCAAAAAAAAAAAAAAAAAGCTTAATTTGTAGTGTTTGCCCATTTCTGTAGGATAAATACTCCCATCGTGACCAATTTCAAGTTGCCAATGTGACATCAACCAGCTAGAAATATTCCTGGAAATTTATGGCTCCTCTAAGCTAGTAGGAGTTGGCTCCAGAACACCACTTAAGTATGAAGCAAACTAAATGTAAGAAATTACAAAGGATTTCCATCTTAAGCATTACAAAGTATCACACTGTATGGATGTATATTTTTGTTTCTTTGTAAACTTTATATATTAATAATAGGTAATTATTTTCATGGTATTAATTTCAAAAGTTAGAAAATGGTATATGGTGGAGACTCACCCACCCATCTCTTTCCATGAACCACCAAACTCTTTTTGGAAGCAGCCCATTTTAACTCATTTCTTATATATCCTTCCAGAAGTATTATTTAAGACATTACATACATATTCCTTCTTTTTACTATCTTAAAAAATAAAAATGATAGTATACTATACTTTGTTTCACATCTTGCTCATTTGTCATTTAACAATACAACTTGGAGATTGTTACATTTCAGTTATATAAAAGCAAGCCTCTTATTAATTGTGCCATTGCTATTATAATGTTGCAATGAATATTCTTGATCATATATCATTTCACAATTTTGACTATATATGTTGAATAAATTCCTAGGAATGAAAGTGCTCGGTCAAATACTGCTTCAGGAAGAGGCAGTAGACACAGCTGGTAGTTTAGCAGTGAAAAAAATTAAAGATTCTATCTACAATGAACTCAAACAAATTTACAAGAAAAAAACAAACAACCCCATCAAAAAGTGGACAAAGGATATGAACAGACACTTCTCAAAAGAAGACATTTATGCAGCCAAAAAACACATGAAAAAATGCTCACCATCACTGGCCATCAGAGAAATGCAAATCAAAACCACAATGAGATACCATCTCACACCAGTTAGAATGGCGATCATTAAAAAGTCAGGAAACAACAGGTGCTGGAGAGGATGTGGAGAAATAGGAACACTTTTACACTGTTGGTGGGACTGTAAACTAGTTCAACCATTGTGGAAGACAGTGTGGCGATTCCTCAAGGATCTAGAACTAGAAATACCATTTGACCCAGCCATCCCTTTACTGGGTATATACCCAAAGGATTATAAATCATGCTGCTATAAAGACACATGCACATGTATGTTTATTGCGGCACTATTCACAATAGCAAAGACTTGGAACCAACCCAAATGTCCAACAACGATAGACTGGATTAAGAAAATGTGGCACATATACACCATGGAATACTATGCAGCCATAAAAAATGATGAGTTCATGTCCTTTGTAGGTACGTGGATGACACTGGAAACCATCATTCTCAGCAAACTATCGCAAGGACAATAAAACCAAACACCGCATGTTCTCACTCATAGGTGGGAATTGAAAAATGAGAACACATGGACACAGGAAGGGGAACATCACACTCCGGGGACTGTTGTGGGGTGGGGGGAGGGGGGATGGATAGCATTTGGAGATATACCTAATGCTAAATGACGAATTAATGGGTGCAGCACACCAGCATGGCACATGTATACATATGTAACAAACCTGCACATTGTGCACATGTACTCTAAAACTTAAAGTATAATAATAATAAAATAAAAAAATAAAGTAAAATAAAATTAAAAAAAATTGAAGATTCTAATCCTATCTTCAGTTATTACTTACATAATCATGTAATAATGCCACATTACCTGCAAACCAAGCTCTGCTTGCTGAAGCTGTCACAACTGGACTATTTGGGAAGGATGTAGTCAATGCACGTTGAAGACTTAAAAGATGACCGTAAATATGAGGCACACTGGATAATAAATAGAATTACATATATTCTGCCTGGCTGAACTTACATTTCTTTGGTTTATCCATCTATCCATCCATCTCTCCAACTATATACTAACTATATGTCTGTCTGTGATAAAGATAATTAAGAAATAGTCAATAGGCTTGTGGTCTAAGAGAAGGTGATAATATAAATAGATTACAATCAATACAACCTTAAAAAGTCTAATGAATTAATATTATGTGACCTTTGTAGTGATTGTTGAAAATATAGAAAAATACAAAAAAGAGGGGTGGAGCCAAGATGGCCGAATAGGAACAGCTCCAGTCTGCAGCTCCCAGTGTGAGCAACGCAGAAAACGAATGACTTCTGCATTTCCAACTGAGGTACCAGGTGCATCTCAATGGGGATTGTCGGACAGTGGGTGCGGGACAGTGGGTGCAGTGCACCGAGCCTGAGTGGAAGCAGGGCGAGGCATTGCCTTACCCGGGAAGTGCAAGGGGTTGGGGAATTCCCTTTCCTAGCCAAGGAAAGGTGTGACAGACGGCACCTGAAAAATTGGGTCACTCCCACCCTAATACTGCACTTTTCCGACAGTCTTAGTAAACGGCACACCAGGAGATTATATCCCACGCCTGGCTTGGAGGGTCCTACGCCCACAGAGCCTCGCTCATTGCTAGCACAGCAGTCTGAGATTGAACTGCAAGGCAGCAGCGAGGCTGGGGGAGGGGTGGCCGCCATTGCTGAGGCTTGAGTAGGTAAACAAAGCAGTCAGGAAGCTCCAACTGGGTGGAGCCCACTGCAGCTCAAGTAGGCCTGCCTGCCTCTGTAGACTCCACCTCTGGGGAGTCTAACGATCAGGCAGCAACATTTGCTGTTCACCAATATCCGCTGTTCTGCAGCCTCTGCTGCTGATACCCAGGCAAACAGGGTCTGGAGTGGACCTCCAGCAAACTCCAACAGACCTGCAGCTGAGGGTCCTGACTGTTAGAAGGAAAACTAACAAACAGAAAGGACATCCACACCAAAACCCCATCTGTACGTCACCATCATCAAAGACCAAAGGTAGATAAAACCACAAACATGGGGAAAAAACAGAGCAGAAAAACTGAAAAATCTAAAAATCAGAGCGCCTCTCCTCCTCAAAAGGAATGCAGCTCCTCACCAGCAACGGAACAAAGCTGGACGGAGAATGACTTTGACAAGTTGAGAGAAGAATGCTTCAGACAATCAAACTACTCCAAGCTAAAGGAGGAAGTTCGAACCAATGGCAAAGAAGTTAAAAACCTTGAAAAAACATTAGACGAATGGACAACTAGAATAACCAAAGCAGAGAAGTCCTTAAATGACCTGATGGAGCTGAAAACCAAGGCACCAGAACTACATGACGAATGCACAAGCCTCAGTAGCCAATTCAATCAACTGGAAGAAACGGTATCAGTGATTGAAGATCAAATGAATGAAATGAAGCGAGAAGAGTTTAGAGAAAAAAGAATAAAAAGAAACAAACAAAGCCTCCAAGAAATATGGGACTATGTGAAAAGACCAAATCTACAACTGATTGGTGTACCTGAAAGTGACAGGGAGAATGGAACCAAGTTGGAAAACACTCTGCAGGATATTATCCAGGAGAACTTCCCCAATCTAACAAGGCAGGCCAACATTCACATTCAGGAAATACAGAGAACGCCACAAAGATACTCCTCGAGAAGAGCAACTCCAAGACACATAATTGTCAGATTCACCAAAGTTGAAATGAAGGAAAAAATGCTAAGGGCAGCCAGAGAGAAAGGTCGGGTTACCCACAAAGGGAAGCCCGTCAGACTAACAGTGGATCTCTTGGCAGTAACTCTACAAGCCAGAAGAGAGTGGGGGCCAATATTCAACATTCTTAAAGAAAAGAATTTTCAACCCAGAATTTCATATCCAGCCAAACTAAGCTTCATAAGTGAAGGAGAAATAAAATCCTTTACAGACAAGCAAATGCTGAGAGATTTTGTCACCACCAGACCTGCCCTAAAAGAGCTCCTGAAGGAAGCACTAAACATGGAAAGGAATAACAGGTACCAACCACTGCAAAAACATGCCAAATTGGAAAGACCATCGAGGCTAGGAAGAAACTGCATCAACTAATGAGCAAAATAACCAGCTAACATCATAATGACAGGATCAAATTCACACATAACAGTATCAACCTTAAATGTAAATGGGCCAAATGCTCCAATTAAAAGACACAGACTGGCAAATTGGATAAAGAGTCAAGACCCATCAGTGTGCTGTATTCAGGAAACCCATCTCATGTGCAGAGACACACATAGGCTCAAAATAAAAGGATGGAGGAAGATCTACCAAGCAAATGGAAAACAAAAAAAGGCAGGGGTTGCAATCCTAGTCTCTGATAAAACAGACTTTAAACCAACAAAGATCAAAAGAGACAAAGAAGGCCATTACATAATGGTAAAGGGATCAATTCAACAAGAAGAGCTAACTATCCTAAATATATATGCACCCAATACAGGAGCACCCAGATTCATAAAGCAAGTCCTGAGTGACCTACAAAGAGGCTTAGACTCCCACACAATAATAATGGGAGACTTTAACACCCCACTGTCAACATTAGACAGATCAACGAGACAGAAAGTTAACAAGGATATCCAGGAATTGAACTCGGCTCTGCACCAAGCGGACCTAATAGACATCTACAGAACTCTCCACCCCAAATCAACAGAATATACATTTTTTTCAGCACCACACCACACCTATTCCAAAATTGACCACATAGTTGGAAGTAAAGCTCTCCTCAGCAAATGTAAAACAACAGAAATTGTAAAAAACTGTCTCTCAGACCACAGTGCAATCAAACTAGAACTCAGGATTAAGAACCTCACTCAAAACCGCTCAACTACATGGAAACTGAACAATCTGCTCCTGAATGACTACTGGGTACATAACGAAATGAAGGCAGAAATAAAGATGTTCTTTAAAACCAATGAGAACAAAGACACAACATACCAGAATCTCTGGGACACATTCAAAGCAGTGTGTAGAGGGAAATTTATAGCACTAAATGCCCACAAGACAAAGCAGGAAAGATCTAAAATTGACACCCTAACATCACAATTAAAATAACTAGAAAAGCAAGAGCAAACACATTCAAAAGCTAGCAGAAGGCAAGAAATAACTAAGATCAGAGCAGAACTGAAGGAAATAGAGACACAAAAAACCCTTCAAAAAATCAATGAATCCAGGAGGTGGTTTTTTGAAAAGATCAACAAAATTGATAGACCACTAGCAAGACTAATAAAGAAGAAAAGAGAGAAGAATCAAATAGACGCAATAAAAAATGATAAAGGGGATATCACCACCGATCCCACAGAAATACAAACTACCATCAGAGAACACTATAAACACCTCTACACAAATAAACTAGAAAATCTGGAAGAAATGGATAAATTCCTCGACACATAGACCCTCCCAAGACTAAACCAGGAATAAATTGAATCTCTGAATAGACCAATAATAGGCTCTGAAATTGAGGCAATAATTAATAGCTTACCAACCAAAAAAAGTCCAGGACCAGATGGATTCACAGCCGAATTCTACCAGAGGTACAAGGAGGAGCTGGTACCATTCCTTCTGAAACTATTCCAATCAACAGAAAAAGATGGAATTCTCCCTAACTCATTTTATGAGGCCAGCATCATCCTGATACCAAAGCCTGGCAGAGATACAACCAAAAAAGAGAATTTTAGACCAATATCCTTGATGAACATTGATGCAAAAATCCTCAATAAAATACTGGCAAACCGAATCCAGCAGCACATCAAAAAGCTTACCCACCATGATCAAGTGGGCTTCATCCCTGGGATGCAAGGCTGGTTCAACATATGCAAATCAATAAATGTTATCCAGCATATAAACAGAACCAATGACAAAAACCACATGATTATCTCAATAGATGCAGAAAAGGCCTTTGACAAAATTCAACAGCCCTTCATGCTAAAATCTCTCAATAAATTAGGTATTGATGGGACGGATCTCAAAATAATAAGAGCTATTTATGACAAACCCACAGCCAATATCATACTGAATGGGCAAAAACTGGAAGCATTCCCTTTGAAAACTGGCACAAGACAGGGATGCCCTCTCTCACCACTCCTATTCAACATAGTGTTGGAAGTTCTGGCCAGGGCAATCAGGCAGAAGAAAGAAACAAAGAGTATTCAATTAGGAAAAGAGGAAGTCAAATTGTCCCTGTTTGCAGATGACATGATTGTGTATCTAGAAAACCCCATCGTCTCAGCCCAAAATCTCCTTAAGCTGATAAGCAACTCCAGCAAAGTCTCAGGATACAAAATCAATGTGCAAAAATCACAAGCATTCTTATACACCAATAACAGACAAACAGAGAGCCAAATCATGAGTGAACTCCCATTCACAATTGCTTCAAAGAGAATAAAATACCTAGGAATACAACTTGCAAGGGATGTGAAGGACCTCTTCAAGGAGAACTACAAACCACTGCTCAGTGAAATAAAAGGGGATACAAACAAATGGAAGAACATTCCATGCTCATGAATAGGAAGAATCAATATTGTGAAAACGGCCATACTGCCCAAGATAATTTATAGATTCAATGCCATCCCCATCAAGCTACCAATGACTTTCTCCACAGAATTGGAAAAAACTACTTCAAAGTTCATATGGAACCAAAAAAGAGCCCGCATTGCCAAGTCAATCCTAAGCCAAAAGAACAAAGCTGGAGGCATCATGCTACCTGACTTCAAACTATACTACAAGGCTACAGTAACCAAAACAGCATGGTACTGGTACCAAAACAGAGATATAGACCAATGGAACAGAACAGAGCCCTCAGAAATAATGCCACACATCTGCAACTATCTGATCTTTGACAAACCTGACAAAAACAAGAAATGGGGAAAGGGTTCCCTATCTAATAAATGGTGTGGGGAAAACTGGCTAGCCACATGGAGAAAGCTGAAACTGGATCCCTTCCTTACACCTTATACTAAAATTAATTAAAGATGGATTAAAGATTTAAATGTTAGACCTAAAACCATAAAAACCCTAGAAGAAAACCTAGGCAATACCATTCAGGACATAGGCATGGGTAAGGACTTCATGTCTAAAACACCAAAAGCAATGGCAACAGAAGCCTAAATTGACAAATGGGATCTAATTAAACCAAAGAGCTTCTGTACAGCAAAAGAAACTACCATCAGAGTGAACAGGCAACCTACAGAATGGGAGAAAATTTTTGTAATCTACTCATCTGACAAAGGGCTAATATCCAGAATCTAGAATGAACTCAAACAAATTTACAAGACAAAAACAAACAACCCCATCAAAAAGTGGGCGAAGGACATGAACAGACACTTCTCAAAAGAAGACATTTATGCAGCCAAAAGACACATGAGAAAATGCTCATCATTACTGGTCATCAGAGAAATGCAAATCAAAACCACAATGAGATACCATCTCACACCAGTTAGAATGGTGATCATTAAAAAGTCAGGAAACAACAGGTGCTGGAGAGGATGTGGAGAAATAGGAACACTTTTACACTGTTGGCGGGACTGTAAACTAGTTCAACCATTGTGGAAGTCAGTGTGGCGATTCCTCAGGGATCTAGAACTAGAAATACCATCTGACCCAGCCATCCCATTACTGGGTATATACCCAAAGGATTATAAATCATGCTGCTATAAAGACACATGCACACGTATGTTTATTGCGGCACTACTCACAATAACGAAGACTTGGAACCAACCCAAATGTCCAACAATGAGAGACTGGATTAAGAAAATGTGGTACATGTACACCATGGAATACTATGCAGCCATAAAAAAGGATGAGTTCATGTCCTTTGTAGGGACATGGATGAAGCTGGAAACCATCATTCTCAGTAAAGTATCGCAAGGACAGAAAACCAAACACCGCATGTTCTCACTCATAGGTGGGAATTGAACAATGAGAACACATGGACACAGGAAGCAGAACACCACACACTGGGGCATGTTGTTCGGTGGGGGGAGGGGGGAGCGATAGCATTAGGAGATATACCTAATGTAAATGATGAGTTACTGGGTGCAGCACACCAGCATGGCACATGTATACATGTGTAACTAACCTGCACATTGTGCACATGTACCCTAAAACTTAAAGTATAATTTAAAAAAAAGAAAAATACAAAAAAGAAAATGGAAATCAACCATAATTGTTACACTTAGAGATAGCTAAGGCTGGTTGCAGTGTCTCACGCCTGCAATCTCAGCACTTTGGGAGGCTGAGGCAGGCAGATCACCTGAGATCAGGAGTTAGAGACCAGCCTGGCCAACATGGTGAAACCCCGTCTCTACTAAAAATACAAAAATCAGCAGGGTGTGGTGGCGTGTGCCTGTAATTGCAGCTACTGGGGAGGCTGAGGCAGGAGAATCACCTGAACCCAGGTGGTGGAGGTTGCAGTGAGCCGAGATCACGCCACTGCACTACAACCTGGGCGACAGAGTGAGACTCTGTCTCAAAAAAAAAAAAAAAAAGAAAAAGAAAAAAGAAATAGCTAATGTGAACAGTTTGGGGTGACATACCTCAAATTTTGCATTATTCAGTTTATATGTATATGCATATATAGCAGAGTACATGTATGTGTATGTGTAGACAGATGTGTGTATCTATACACACGTCTTGAATGTTACTATGTGTTCTATTCCATGAATGAGCACTTTGACACGTCATTAAATAATCTTCTACAATAATAGTTATTCTCACTAAAGGAGCCCCTAGGTGAAGGAATCAAATTCTTGAATATTCCCATCCCAATCTCTGACTTTGCAAATCATTCAGTTTAATAAAAGATGTTCCTTTGGGAAGCATATCATCCTGCGAAGAGTATGGAATCCCACAAAAGACTGAAAACCTCGGTCCCATATCATCATTTAAAATAGCTGAATAGTATTCCATCATATTCATAGCCCATAATTTATTTAGTCGATCGCATATCATTAAACATTCAAGACGCAGGAAATTATCTAGAGGGAAACAAAATTAACCTACATTAAGACATTTATTAACTTACCAGTAAGGAGGTAAAGTGTCATTTTTCTCTTCCAAAGAAGCTAAATACTGTTTTAGTGCTTCAAGTAAACTGTGGGGTGCCTAAAAAGTTATTATGAAACACTTATTTTCTGATAGTTTTAGCAAATTCATACTCTTCTATATTACAGTCAGCCTTCCATATCCATGGATTCCACATCCATGGGTTCCACATCCATGAATTCAGTCAACCATGGGTTGGAAGGTATTCTGAACAAAATAGATGGTTGTGTCTCTATTGCACATGTAAAGTTTTTTTCTAGTCATTATTTCCTAAACAATACAGTTTAACAACTATTTACATAGCGCTTACATTGTACTAGGCATTACAAGTAATCTGGAGAGGATTTAAAGTATACAGAGGATGTGCGTACGTTATATGCAAATGCTACACCATTTTATATCAGAGACTTGCACAATCCCACGTGGACACTGAGGGACAACTGTATAAAAATATTTTGAACAAAAATTAAGGTGCCTCATTAAAGCTAAAATTGCTACATGTAAATTCATTATTAAAAGTAGCATCTTGGTATCAAATCAGATTTTCAAACTATGATTTAAAACATATTGTTAGGCTAGGTGCAGTGTTTCACACTTGTAATCCCAACACTTTGGTAGGCCAAGGCAGGAGGATTGTTGGAGCCCAGGAGTTCGAGACTAGCCTGGGCAACAGTGAGACCTCATCTCTACAAAAAATAGAAAAATTATCCGGGCATGATGACGCACACCTGTAGTCCCAGCTACTTGGAAGACTGACGTGGGAGAATCACCTAAGCCCAGGGAAGTCAAGGCTGCAGTGAGCTGTGATTGTTCCACTGCACTGCAGCCTGGGCTGGAGAGTGAGACCGTGTCTCAAAAAAATAAAATAAAATACGTTTTTAAAAACAACAAAAAAAAGTCTCTTAAAAGATCAAAAAACTGCTAAAATATCTATCTCCTCAGAAGACACTGGGCTTCCAATAGTCTCATTAATGATAAGCTTTATTTTTCACCAAGGCACTAATTTTTATTAACATTACAGATTTCTTTCTGTATATGTTTACTGTCTGTTTCCCTGCAATAGACTATAAGCCCCATGAAGACAGGGATTTTGTCTGTTTTGTCCACTGATGAATCTTAAGTGCCTGGCACATAGTAAGTGCTTAATTAATATTTGCTGAATGAATGTGGATGTATCTTTTTATTCTGTTTCCATTAAAAATAGACTAGAGGACTATATTGCAGACACAAAATAGTGCATGAAACAACCAAAACTAAGGACCCGCACAGAGTCCATTTCTCCCTGCTGCCACCTCCACTGGAGCAGGTGCTGATATCCACAGCTGAGAGACCTGCGGACAGTTCACATCACAGGACTCTGTGCAGACAACTCCCAGTACCAGCCCAGAGCCTGGTAGACATGCTAGGTGGCTAGATCCAGAAGAGAGAACAGTCACTACAGCCCGGCTCTCAGGAAGCCAAATCCCTAAGAAAAGGGGGAGAGTACTACATCAAGGGAACACCCCATGGGACAAAAGAATCTGAACAGCAGCCTTGAGCCCCTCTGACATAGCCTACCCAAATGAGAAGGAACCAGAAAAACAATTCTGATAATATGACAAAACAAGGTCCTTTAACGCCCCCCTAAAAACATCACACTAGCTTACCAGCAATGGATCCAAACCAAGAAGAAATCCCTGATTTACCTGAAAAGAATTCAGAAGGTCAGTTATTAAGCTAATCAAGGAGGCACCAGAGAAACGTGAAGTCCAATTTAAGGAAATCAAAAAATGCTACAGGAAAGGAGGGGAGAAATCGTCAGTGAAATAGCATAAATAAAAAATAATCAAAACTTCAGGAAATAATGAATGCACTTAGAGAAATGCAAAATGCTCTGGAAAGTCTCAGCAATAGAATTGAACAATCAGAAGAAAGAACTTCAGAGCTCAAAGACAAGGTTTTCAAATTAACCCAATCCAACAAAGACAAAGAAAAAAGAATAAGAAAATATGAACAAAGCCTCCAAGAAGTCTGGGATTATGTTAAATAACCAAACCTAAGAATAGTTGGCGTTCGTGAGGAAGAAGAGAAATCTAAAAGTTTGGAAAACGTATTTGGGGGAATAATTGAAGAAAACTTGCTGACCTTGCTAGAGACCTAGACATTCAAATACAAAAAGCTCAAAGAACACCTGGGAAATTTATCGCAAAAAGATCATCACCCAGGCACATTATCATCAGGTTATCTAAAGTTAAGATGAAGGAAAGAATCTTAAGAGCTGTGAGACAAAAGCACCAGGTAACATAGAAAGGAAAACTTATCAGATCAGCAGCAGATTTCTTGGCAGAAACCCTACAAGCTAAAAGGGATTGGGGCCCTATGTTCAGCCTCCTTAAACAAAACAATTATTGACCAAGAATTTTGTATCCAGTGAAACTAAGCTTCATAAATGAGGGAAAAATACAGTTTTTTTTCAAACTAACAAATGCTGAGAGAATTTGCCACTACTAAGCCAGCACTATAAGAACTGCTAAAAGGAGCTCTAAATCTTGAAACAAATCCTGGGAACCCATCAAAACAGAACTTCTTTAAAGCATGAATCCCACAGGACCTATAAAACAAAAATGCAATTAAAAAAAAAGATATACATGCAACAAATAGCATGATGAGTGGAATAGTACCTCACATCTCAATACTAGTGTTAAATGTAAATGGCCTAAATGTTCCACTTAAAAGATACAGAATTGCAGAATGAATAAGAATTCACCAACCACCTATCTGCTGCCTTCAAGAGACCCACCTAACACATAAGGACTCACATCAACTTAAGGTAAAGGGGTGGAAAAAGACATTCCATGCAAATGGACACCAAAAGCAAGCAGGAGTAGCTATTCTTATAAAAGACAAAACAAACTTTAAAGCAAGAGCAGTTAAAAAAGACAAAGAGGGACATTATATAATGATAAAAGGACTAGTCCAACAGGAAAATATCACAATCCTAAATATATACGCACCTAACACTGGAGCTCCCAAATTTATAAAACAATTACCACTAAACCTAAGAAATGAGATAGGTAGCAACACAATAATAGTGGGGGACTTCAATATTCCACTAACAGCACTAGACAGGTCATCAAGACAGAAAGTCAACAAAGAAACAAGGGATTTAAACTATACCCTGGAACAAATGGACTTAACAGGTATTTACAGAACATTCTACCCAACAACTGCAGAATATACATTCTATTCATCAGCTCATGGAAACTTCTCCAAGATAGACCATATGATAGGCCACAAAACAAGTCTCAATAAGTTTAAGAAAATTGAAATTAGATCAAGTACTCTCTCAGGCCACAGTGGAATAAAGCTGGAAATCAACTCCAAAATGAACCTTCAAAATCAAGCAAATATATGAAAATTAAATAACCTGCTCCTGAATGATCATTGAGTCAACAATGAAATCAAGATTGAAATTTAAAAAATTCTTTGACCTGAAAGGCAACAGTGACACAACCTATCAAAACCTCTGAGATACAGCAAATGCAGTGCTAAGAGGAAAGTTCATAGCCATAAATGTCTGCATCAAAAAGCCCAAAAGAGCACAAATAGACATTCTAAGGTCACACCTCAAGGAACTAGAGAAACAAGAACAATCCAAACCCAAACCCAGCAGAAGAAAGGAAATAACCAAGATCAGAGCAGAACTAAATTAAATTGAAACCAAAAAAAATGCAAAAGATAAATGAAACAAAAAGCTGGTTCTTGGAAAAGATAAATAAAATTGATAGACCATTGGCAAGATTAACCAAGAAAACAAGAGAGAAAATCCAAGTAAGCTCAGTTAGAAACAAAATGGGAGATATTCAACTGACACCACAGCAATACAAAAGATAATTCAAGCCTACTATGAACACCTTTACACATATAAACTAGAAAACATAGAGAAGATGGATAAATTCCTGGAAAGATACAACCCTCCTTGCTTAAATCAGGAAGAATTAGACACCCTGAACAGACCTATAACAAGCAACAAGATTGAAATGGTAATTTTAAAAAATTACCAACAAAAAAAGTCCAGGACCAGATGAATTCACAGCTGAATTCTACCAGACATTCAAAGAAGAATTGGTACCAATCCTATTGACACTATTCCACAAGATAGAGAAAGAGGGAATCCTCCCTAAATCATTCTATGAAGCCAGTATCACCTTAATACCAAAACCAGGAAAGGACATAACCAAAAAAGAAAACTACAGACCAATATCACTGATGAACATAGATGCAAAAATCATTAGCAAAATACTAGCCAACTGAATCCAACAAGATATCAAAAAGATAATCTACCATGATCAAGTGGGTTTCATACCAGAGATGCAGGGATGGTTTAACATACACAAGTCAATAAATGTGATACACCACATAAACAGAATTAAAAACAAAAATCACATGATCATCTCAATAGATGCAGAAAACGCATTTGACAAAATCCAGCATCACTTTATGATAAAAACCCTCAGCAAAAATCAGCAAACAAGGGACATACCTCAATGTAATAAAAGCCATCTATGACAAACCCACAGCCAACATAGTACTGAATGGGGAAAAGTTGAAAGCACTCCCTCTGAGAACCAGAATGAGACAAAGATGCCCACTCTCACCACTTCTATTCAACATAGTACTGGAAGTCCTAGCCAGAGCAATCAGACAAGAGAAAAAAATAAACAGCATCCAAATTGGTAAAGAGGAAGTCGAACTGTTGCTATCTGCTGATGACATGATTGTATACCTAGAAAACCCTAAAGATCCCTCCAAAAACTCCTAGAACTGATAAAAGAATTCAGCAAATTTCAGAATACAAAATTAATGTATGCAAATCAGTAGCTCTCCTATACACCAACAGTGACCAAGCTGAGAATCAAATCAAGAACTCAACTCCTTTTACAATAGCTGCAAAAATATAAAATACTTAGGAATATACCTAACCAAGCAGGTGAAAGACCTCTACAAGGAAAACTACAAAACACTCCTGAAATAAATCATAGATGACACAAACAAATGGAAACACATCCCATGCTTATGGATGGGTAGAATCAATGTTGTGAAAATGACCATACTGCCAAAAGCAATCTGCAAGTTCAATGCAATTCCCATCAAAATGCTACCATCATTCTTCACAGAACCAGAAAAAAAATCCAAAAATTCATATGGAACCAAAAAAAGAGCCTGCATACCCAAAACAAGACCAAGCAAAAAGAACAAATCTGGAAGCATCACATTACCTGACTTCAAACTATACTATAAGGCCATAGTCACCAAAACAGCATGGTACTGGTATAAAAATACATGCATAGACCAATGGAACAGAATAGAGAACCCAGAAATAAAGCCAAATGCTTACAGCCAACTGATCTTTGACAAAGCAAATAAAAACATCAAGTGGGGAAAGGACAACCTTTTCAACAAATGGTGCTGGGATAACTGGCTAGCCACATGTAGGAGAATGAAACTGGATCCTCCTCTCTCATCTTATATAAAAATCAACGCAAGATGGATCAAAGACTTACACCTAGGACCTGAGTCTATAAAACCTCTAGAAGATAATGTCAGAAAAACCCTTCTAGACCTCAGCTTAAGGAAGGATTTCATGACCAAGAGCCCAAAAGCAAATGCAATAAAAACAAAGATAAATAGCTGGGACTTAATCAAATGAAAGAGCTTTCCAATGGCAAAAGGAACAGTCAGTAGAGTAAACAGACAACCCACAGAGTGGGAGAAAATCTTCACAATCTATACATCTGACAAAGGACTAACATCCAGAATCTACAATGAACTCAAACGAATTATCAAGAAAAAAAATCCCATCAAAAAGTGGTCTAGGGACATGAATAGACAATTCTCAAAAGAAGATATACAAATGGACAACAAACATATGGAAAAATGCTCAACATCACTAATTATCAGGGAAATGTCCATCAAAACCATAATGCAATACCACCTTACTCCTGCAAGAATGGCCATAATAAAAAAATAATAGATGTTGGCATGGATGCGGTGAAAACGGAACACTTCTACACTGCTGGTAGGAATGTAAACTAGTACAACCACTATGGAAAACAGTGTGGAGATTCCTTAATGAACTAAAAGTAGAACTGCCATCTGATCCAGCAATCCCACTACTGGGCATCTACCCAGAGGAAAAGAAGTCATTATACGAAAAAGATACTTGCTCATACATGTTTATAGCAGCACAATTTGCAACTGAAAAAATGTGGATCCAACCCAAATGCCCATTAATCAACGAGTGGATAAAGAAACTGTGGTATAGATATACGATGGAATACTATTCAGCCATAAAAAGGAATGAATTAACAGCATTTGCAGTGACCTGGATGGGATTGGAGACTATTATTCTAAGTGAAGCAACTCAGGAATGGAAAACCAAACATCGTATGTTCTCACTCACAAGTGGGAGCTAAGCTACGAGGATGCAAAGGCATCAGAATGATACAATGGACTTTGGGGACTTGAGAGAAAGGGTGGGAAGGAGGTGAGGGATAAAAGACTACAAATTGGGTTCAGTGTACACTGCTCGGGTGATGGGTGCACCAAAATCTCAGAAATCACCACTAAAGAACTTACTCATGTCACCAAATGCCAACTCTTCCCCAGAAACCTATGGGAAAAAAATTAAAAAAAACTAGAAACAATAGACTCCCTCTTATATAAGGCCAATTCCTCACCAGGATTCTATATTCCACCAACTCCCCTGAACCATTCACTGATTCTTTGTTCAAGAAATATTTATGATAATTTACCAATAAGAAATGGGGATATAACCATAAGCACAAACAACTTGATCCCAAGCTTCATAAGATTACAGTCTACAGATAAGGAGAAGATATATCAAACAATCACACAAATAAATGTAAAGTCATTTTAAGTTGTAAACAGTAGCATGAAAGAGAGGTACACAATACTCACTGTTGAAGCAGGGGAATCTAACCAAGTCAGGGAAGTCAGGGAAGCAAGCCCTCCTGAAGAAAGTAATAGTTTGTGCTGTGTATACTTATCCTTATGAAGGATAGCTGAGGAATAAGTAGTAGGTCAGTTCGGGAAGAAAGAGCACTGTAGACAGAGGAATAACATGTGCAAAGGCCCTGGGGAAGGCATATGGCACAGATGAACCCTGTTGCTAGAGCAGAAACAGCAGAGGGGAGCATAAGGGAGATGAAGCTGGAGAGTAGGAAAGGGTTCAACAATGCAGGACCTTAAATTAAAAGCAATGTTGAGGAGCTTGCACTTTGTCCTAAGAATCCTGGGAGACCTTCGAGGGCTTTTGAGTGAGAGGTGAAATGATCAGATCTCTATTTTGGATGTTATCAGATCTGCATTCTGGATGCACTGTGTAAAACAAACAGCAGGGGGCAGAGTATCTGGAGACAGACTGGTTGGAAGGTGAGAGAGGATGGAAGTTGAAGCTAAAATGCAGAAAAGAGGAGGCATTGCAGACAAAGTCGTTAGGATTCAGTGTTGGATTGTAAAGGCGAGTGGAAGGAGAGAGTATCAAGGATGAGAAGGGTACACAGAAAGAGAAGCAGATCTGGGCGGAAGATGGGTGATATAAGCTGCTGAGCTAGCAGGTTTAATGTACTACTTACAGAGGTGCGGACACAGCTAAGGAACAATTCTGAGAGAATGAATAACAAAAGTTGTCAGTATGTGAACAATGTTGGAAACATGTTATTTTGTCTGATTTCCTTTGGGAGAATTCATTGCCAGCTATAAATCTGTGGAAACGCTGCCACACAATCTTAGCACACAAGATTGGCAGAAAATCGCTTAGAAACACTGAAAACATGTGACAAAGTGCTTTCCGTGAAAAGGGTGGATGCGAAGCAGTAAGGACCCCCTTCATGAAGCACGCGGTCACCCTCCAGCCACCAGAACCAGAGGAACGCTGTGGTAACTGAGGGAAAACGCATCTAGGCACACGTCACGGTGGCACCTTCCAGCAGGTCCCCGGGGTTGTGCCCCTGGAGCTCTGACAAAGAGTGTGGCCCGGAAATGTGATGTTTGGACTGCAAGTTTTGGTGAGAAATAACAATGCATCAGGTTGCAGACAAAGCAGACCCTGCTCTGTGCGTTTATGGGAGCCGCGCCCAACAGGAACCACAGGGAATGATCGAAAGGAGAGGGACGGACACAAACAGACACACCAGAGAGAGGTTCTCAGGAGGAGGCTCTGTGGCCTCCAGACCACGTCAAAGCCAAGGCAGAAAGGATGAACTGAGGAAAGGAGGAAAATTTCCCCTTAAGGAAGGTAAAATCCAGAAGGGATCCCTAAAATGGTGAGCAGTTTAAACCTAGCAGTTTTGCATTAATTCACATAAAGTATAATGAAAACTGTTGGACACACAAGGAGAGACTGGCCAATCTATAGTCACAGAGGAAGACCTTCACACCCCTTCACAGGATCTCGCAGCAGATTGGCTGAAAAGTCTCCTTGAAACTGCAGACCTCTCTCAAGGAGACCCACTGAGTTGGGCAAAGGTGGGGCCGACTTAATTCTTGCCTCCCTGCTCTCCCACGTAGCCCTGCATTTCACTCCATTCCAGGGTTTCTGGGACACCCGAGAAAGCACGTAGTCCAGGGAGCACGTCTGCCAACTGAAGGCCTTGACAAATGACTTTCTGTACTGGCTGAGGGCCAGGGCCCAGCGTACTGATAAGGAAGCTCTTCCAGAAAAAGGGTTGATTTACAAAGGAATGAATCTGCATGAAAGTTTACCAACAAGATCCCTGCCTGCCTTTTGCAGGCTCTCCTGCAACCATCTACTTCATTTTTGATCTCAGGAAGACCAGAGCTGAGGTAAGGAGGAGGGTGGACTGGTGGGAAATGTGGCTCTCCATTCAGGTACTCCTCCTGGCAAATGTCCCTTAGAACTCTAAGCACAGGTGCTGGTCAGTTAATGCTCATCGGCATCCTGACAATGGCTGAGACTGTGGTTCCTAGCAAAGGTCCCCTTGCTGCCCCCACCACCTCCCTTAGGGAAGAAAGGTCAATGTAGAAAAAAGTCAGAGGACTACATTGTGATGGATACCTAGTGATTCTTCATGTGTAATTTTGGTTCAGTCTTTTTCGGGAACTCAGGGGCCGGGATTGTGTCTCATTCATTATAACTGAAAAGGAGTCAAGCATGTTTACGAATGAATGTTGATTGAAATCAACTGGTTATGTCGCCATGAGGCAATGAAACTCTGTCTTTTCCCCTACTAACCCAGACATTCTCATTGTCTCTCTCTCTTCCCACCACTGGTCATCTGAGTTCTCATTCAGGAAGCCATGCATTATTTCACCCAACAGTGGTTCCCATTGTGGACCACTTTGTGGGATTTCAGGGCTACGTGCAAGCTGCCTTTGTACTTGTCTGCACATGAAGGAACATTTGTGCTGTGTATACTTGAGAGAACATTCCTTTCCTTCAAAGATTTATAAGCCATCAGCCAAAAAATCCCTCCTTCTCTGCCACTAAACCTAACATTTTATTTGCATCTGCAACCATCCTCTCTCCCCTACATCTTCATTTTCTCTCTCTTCACAGGCTTCTTCACATACACATGACTGCCACATGAACCAGGCACTGTCTGAGCATTCCACATGTGTTATCTCAGATAATCCTTCATTCTTCTAGTCCCAACCAAGGCAGGTCTGCCACACCAGTCGCTGATATGTAGGATGAGGACAGCTGGGGAATGGCTTTGAAAGTCTTGAGTCTCCAGATTTTCCAGAAACCTCTGAGCCTCCTTTGTTGGAGATGATACAGAGGCCTCTACTCCACAAGTTACATGCCCCATCAGGATCTGCTCCCACCTCCATTCCTGTCCTCTAGGCCTATAACTATAGTTAAGCCACAGCAAAACTCATCTAGGGGCGTGCCTCTGATATAGCCCCCAATCACCCTCCAAGCAAAACAGTAGATTAAAACAAAACAAAACAAAAACGAAAACAAAAACAAAAACAGGACTACCTCCCAAGAGGATGGCAGAAATTAGCACAAATCTAAATAGCAGAAAGGATTATATTAGTGGTGATAGTCCCCATTCCCCATCAAAACCAGTTGGGTTCTGGAGATTAACAACTACAGCAAAATCAATCAAGTAGTACCCCAATTGTAGCCACTATGCCAGCCATGATAGCTTCTTTGGTAGAGGTGGAGTTAATGCAGCTTTAGGTACATAGTATGTGGCTGCTGGTTTGGTGACTGTGTTGCTTTCTATCACCATCAGAAGTGTGACTCGGAAAGAGTTCACAGGCACATGGAATGAACAACACTTTACATTTTCAGTTTTATACCCATGGCTGTGTTAACTCTCTTATCTTCTGTCATAATAAAGTTAGAAGTCTAGAACATCTGGTCACTCCTCAGAGCATGAAATTGATCCACTGTATCCATGATGTCATGCTCATAGGATCAGATGAGCAGGCAGTGGGCAGTATAGTGAAAGATACATGCAGTCTACCTTCTTTTCACACTGATAAAATTTGGGGGGTTCCAGTGGTCAGAGGCATACCAGGACATCACATCCAAAATAAAAGATAAAGTATTGCATCTTGTACCTCCCACAACAAAAAAGGATACATGATACCTGGTAGGCTTCTTTGGGCTCTGGAGACAGCATATTCCCACATGAGGGAAAACTGCTCTCATCCATATCCCAGGTGGCCTAAAATTTAGGCCTGCCACCTAAATTTGGGGGCCCAGAGTAGGAAAGGGCTCTGTAGTAGGTACAGGCTGGACCAGAAGCCGTGCTGCTCAGGCCCCATGATATATCTGGGTTGGAGCACAGGCAGGTCCAGAGGGCTAAGTAGGATCCACAAGCAGGTTGCCTGAGGCCCATCTTGTCCACACCTCCAGCACTGCCACCTCTACCCCAGATCACACCTATGCCCATGAGGGGATCCCTGAGAACTAGTTGCTGAGGAAGAAAAAAAGCCTGAGCTCCTTTGATTCTTACAACACTACTATGAGCCAGGTGGTGCATCATACCCATTTTGCAGTTGCAGAAATAAGGAACAGAGAATGGAAATGAGTTGCTTGAGACCATATACCTGAAAGGTGGACAGGGCAGTCCTCAAATCTAAGTTCTTTATTCCAAATACCCTGCTGTTTCTACTGATAATATTGAAAGCATGGTCTAGCTGTTATACACATACACACACACACATAATAAGCACACATATATATGTTACTTATGGAGAAATGAAAACGCACACACATAAGTATATAGCAAAGGATGGAGAGTCTCAGATGATGATTAATATAATAAACACACATAAACAAAGACAAAAACGTCACTTAAATACATAGGAGAGATACACTGACCTGAGTAATATATGGAATGTTGTTGCTCTGGTCAGTTCCAACTTGCTGAAACAAAAAAGAGGGGGAAAGTACACGTTACAGCAGGGAGTGGCAACAACAAAAATGTAACTGAGAGATCATTGTGTGCATGAAAGAGAAAATACCCCAAGAGTATGATGTCTTCCTGGGCTGGTACCTTATCAGGCTAAAGTATGCCTCGCACACTTAAGGACACCCTTATATTTATCCTAAGGATAGACTTTTTAAATTATTTTTATTTTTTTCATTATACTTTAAGTTCTGGGGTACATGTGCAGAACATGCAGGTTTGTTACATAGGTGTACACGTGCCATGGTGGTTTGCTGCATCCATCAACCCCCATCATCTACATTAGTTATTTCTCCTAATGCTGTCCCTCCTGTAACCCCTCACACCTTGACAGGCCCCGGTGTGTGATGTTCCCCTCCGTGTGTCCACGTGTTCTCATTGTTCAACTCCCATTTATGAGCGAGAACATGCGGTGTTTGGTTTTCTCTTCTTGTGTTAGTTTGCTGAGAATGATGGTTTCCAGCTTATTGAGTCTTTGCTGATTTAAGAAGAGCTAAGCTGCATTTTGGATATCATACAAACGTGTTCTAATTTTTCAAGTAGTCAGAAGTCAGCGATTATTCGTATTGTCATTCTCCCATGGGTAATATGTCTTTGTTCTCTTTGGTTTTCAGAAGCTTGACTATCACTCGCCTCCGTGTGGTTCTCTTTGTATTTATCCTGCTTGGGTTCTCTGAGTGTCAGGGAGAACATGGGGCTCACCTCAAGTGTTTCTGTCACTGACCACAAACCTACCTATTGTTCACTACCTAAAAAGACTTATGTCATATATATTTTGGTCTACTTTTAGAGTTGTTTCTGGTGGGAGGGTAAGCTTCATACTGGTTATCTTTATGGCTGCAAACAGAAGTCCTTGTAAGATTGCTTTTGAGTGCAAGTGCATTGGATAGTACATTTGAAGTACCTAACTTTAGTTTTAGTTTTAGTTTTACTGTTTACAAAGTAGTTAAAACAACTACCAATTTCTGTGCGTTTGTGTGGTTATGGTGGTGGAGGAAAGAGGTATAGTTTCAAGTGATACTAAATTATTGCAAAAAAAGAAACACCTTAAGTAGAAATGGATTTCTGTACCTCTGCAACTTTCAGAAACTGTGTCAATTTGGTTGTTCCTCTAAGGAACCTGATGTAAATATCCAAACTTTCCCTGCATTGGTTCTTCCTCATGTCAAAATATTTGTCTAAAAATAGAAAAAAATTACCATAAAGGAGCCAATATCTTAGCAATTTTCAAGTTTTACTCCATTCTGATTATTCTATTTTAAGCTAATTCTGGATATGAATTTAACCTGTTCAAAACAATTATAATTTTAATCAAGTTATTTTCTGTTTTAATAACAAGAAATAGCACTGCTCTATCCCCATAATCAACTATTTTTTATGGAGTAACTACTGTATACCAAATACTGGTGCTGGGTATATGGAATTTAATAGCATGCACAGATAGTTTAGATTTTAATTTCAACGACTTCTAGTCTATAGTCTTTTTGATTAATACAAAGCTCTGCAACCCTTTGAGGGAAAGAGCTGTGTTTCCTACTCTCTTATAACCCTACAAATGTATAATACTACGTATTTCTTCAGTATAAGGAAAGCTATCAAATTCCCGTCAATAAAGTTTATAGAATAATTGCAGCTAAATGAATCATTCATTAGGGCTAAATGATGACAGTAATTTCCTGAAAAGTCTAAAAATATATGCTTGTATATCATCAATAACAATTACTTATGTTATAGGCTTTACCTTCTTAGGAAAGTCAAAACTGTGTTATTTGAACTTGGTGGAAATGGGCCTTATTACCATATAATGAATAAACATGGCAACCTAGGTTGATTCCCTGACAAATTTCCCAGAAATATCAGTTAGCACTTACATAAAAGTGGAAAAGTTTTGTAGCTAATTAGCCAAATAATGTTTAACCAATGAAGCAATATAATATTTGTATTGAAAAGTATACATGACCCTGCAAAGATTTTCTATTTTGTATCTAAAACAAATGTGAGTCTAAATGTAGAGACAAGGGATTTTTACAAATAAATTATTTTACCATTTTATGCTTTAAAAAGTAATCATTTAAAAAGCTTATTCTTTATCCTACCTAGCAGATTAAGGATCCCTTCATTATAAGCTGCAAAGAGACAAAGAGAATCTTTAAAGAGGAGCATAAAAGCAGCATGTATTATACCATTAGTTAGTTCATCAGGATTTGCCTGAAAATTAAATAAAAACGTAACCAATTAACACCACAGTTAGAAAATTATTTCTCCTACCTATAGTTACAGGATGCTATTTACTATATTTTTTAACAAAATTTATAAAGCTCTTATGTTGCATTAAACTGGGTTTGAATAACTGGAAGTGTGTTTAGCAGCTCTTCAGTATTCATAGTTTCTTATCACACAATCTGTCCTATAAAAGATAAAAGAAATTCATGAACCTCAATAATTAAGAGTTTGAGAAGCTCTGTGACATCAGCATCTTGAAATAGGGCTGTTTTTGACAAACTACAAAGCAGGCCACATGTAAGCTTCAGTACTTCTTGCTTACAAACTAATGATATTTACTGACCCTCTCTTGGTTTTTGTGATGTCAGATGAGATCATTCTATATGCGAGTGACTTTTCATTCAAGTACTTGCTGTATCGTCTGATGAAGTTGACATAGTATAGCCTAAAAATGAGATATTTCGATTATTTCCAATTCAACCAACAGTAGCTTTTTACAATATGTCAATAAATGCAAAGACTTATTCCACATTCACCTGTATACTTCAACAATATCTTTGAAGCACAAAAGCTAGAATGGCCTTTATTAATCACCTACTCCAACATTCTTCCAGCTTTCTGTTAAAGATTAATTTTTATTTCCTTAGAGCTTTGATATCATCCCTTAATGGGATATTGATGGTGACATTCCTGAACAGATGAAATAATTGAACTGTATCAGCTCCTTCGACATTTTCACAGAAACTATTATAAATTGTTAGCATTTTCCTTACTCTCGTCATCCCACTGCCACCATCCCTCCTCCCCTCTCCCTCCACTCAGCAAATGACCTGCAGCCTACTTCATAGAGAAAAAGGAGAAGAAAGGCCATGGTACAAACTCAACTACTCTCTACTCGACCTCCAAATGTATGCTGATTCCCCTTCAATTTATTCATTCATTAAACAATCACTGAGTGCCTACTATAAGCCAGGCGATGTATTAAGTGCTGGAAGTTCAGCAGTGAAAAAAACAGACAAATATTCCTGCCCTCATAGGGCTTACATTTCAATGGGAAATGACAGACAATTATGTTAAAAAAAAAAAAAAAAAAGGAACACAGAGACAGTCAGGGAGAAGGGGAAAGAATAAACCCAGGCAGAGAACTGGTGTAAAGGTGCTGCAATTTTTGGTAGGCTGGACAAGGCTTCACTGAGCAAAGACCTGTAGGTCTCATTAACTTTTCTGTCTCTAGCATATGGCATATTCTGTTATTCTTAGTAAGCTCCAAATATACGTTGTATCAATGAATTTGGGGATTATTTACATTCTTAAAATGTATAGCACATCGCAGCCTTCATAATTTAGACACTTTTTTAACTAGGCACAATTTTCAGAACTTTTCCCTCTTTGGCATATGGAAATATTTCCATCAAAGAATCATCTTACCTTCTATGACACTTTTATCCAGGAAATTGTGTAAAGTGAACAAAGAGCTCTGACATGAAACATGTTTAATGAAACGCTGTCAAACAAATGTGCCAAATTCTAAAATTAGTTTCTGTACACACAAAAAGTTCCTTAATGATTGTCATTATGAATGTATACTTAATTCTATCGTTCACCTTGTATCTATTTCAGGAACATTGATTAAGTTGCGCACAATCACATCCTGTGCTGGCCAACATAAAGATTTGCAGCTGCCAACTCTCCTCTATTTATATACCCCCCAAATAAACAAGGAGTTAAACATTAAAGCTCATGTGAATACACACTGTTTCCCTCTAAGACTTTCTATTTAGCCATGCCCCACTCTTGATTTTGAGTAATTTTAAGTTACGGAAGTATACAAATAATAATATGATACATCTGTGGACCCCACTACCTAGAAATGATAACTGCTAACTTTCTGACATATCTGCTTCAAGTCTATTATTAAAATAAGAGAAAATAAATGATTACGGATAAAGCCCCATCCCTGAGATCCATTTCCTGCTTCTACCTAGAAGTAACTGGTATCATAATTTTAATGCATTATCTTTATAATCTATTTTCCTCATAGTTTCACATGTATTTGTTCCATGGACAAGTACTGTGTGTATTTTAAATTTTTTACGTAAGTAGTTTTGCACTCTAAGTGTCATTCTACAATTTGCTTCTTCTATTAGCATTGTTTTTGAGGTCTAGCCTTACTGGTATACAATCTCATTTAATGTAATACAGCATTTTATTGTATAACTACACTAAATTTTATCTGTTCTCTAGTGATGGAAATTTAGGTGATTTCTAGTTTTTCATTATTATAAACATGATGTGAGAAGTGGATTTGCTGAGTCACTGGGATGGGCATTTTCAACTTTCTAAATGTGTCTCAATGTTCTCCGCTCCACAGTGATAAACTGCAGCAGCTACATGTATCCACAGAGTATGTGAATTCCCATTACCTCAATGTCCTCCCAACTATTCATACTGTCAGAAATTTTAATTTTTGCTAATATGAGCATGTTCTCAGATGATTATTAGACATTCTGTTTTCCTTTTCTATAAACCCTCTGTTCATTTCTTTTGCTCATTAGTCTATTGTAGTGCCTTTTTCTTACTAATTATGTATTCTGAATATTAACCTTTAGTCTATAGTATATATGTTGCAAATATCTTCTTTTAACTATGGCGCCTTCCCTACCCAAATGTCATAAGCATATTCTCCTACATTTTCTTCAATTTTATCTATTTTTTGAATTTAGATATTTCATCCATGTGGAATTTATTTTTGTATATGGGGTAACATAAGCATCTCATTCTCATTTTTTCCATAGGGATGCTGCTTGTGCCAATAGGCTTTATTTTAAATTCCTTCCCCCATGCTTTTCCCCACATTTTTTAGTGCCACCAAGTTCCCATATAAGTGTAGTTCTATAACCAAGCTCTCTATTGTGTTCCATTTATATATATGTTCTATTTTTTACCAGTACTCTGCTGTGTAATTACTGTTGCTTTATAATGAGTTTCAAAATCCAGTCAATTTCTAAACCCTGATTTTTTAATACAAAACTTACTGAGGGAAAATGCCTGTGAATTTAAAGTAGAAAATAATAAGTAATTTAATGTTATGGAGCATTCCAGTTGTTCTGTAAAATATAGAGAGATGGGTAGGTGATGAGGTAATATGCTTAGGTGTAGTCTCTCCTGTCAAAGTAAAGCAAGTATGAGGTAACACATTTCTAAGGGGCTTTTTGGGGTCTAAATCCTCTAAAGAATTGACAGAAATATCCACTCTATTATGGACATTGTTATCCAGTGGCTATTTCATCAGTGACTAAAATGATACACCTCAAAGAATACTGATCACAAAGATATATTCATTAATAAAAACAGATAAAAATATTTTAAATACATACTGCTATTCACTTCTCTCACTTGCCACTAATTAAAGTAAAAGGTAGTAAGCCCTTGACAAACCAAGAACATTTTGCAATTGCATGCTTACGCTCACCTCATTTCCGTGCACCATGAGGTGATGTACAGTAACCAGGGCTTTGAACACCACCACCCAGCTACTGCTCCTAGTTTTTTCAGAAAGAACATTAGCCAGATGTTCAACGCTTATGTTAGTTTCACTGATGTACTGTATTAGATCTAAATTAGAGACAATGACAAGCATTAGAATACAGACTGAGAAATAATTTTCAAAACCAAAATTGGTAATTTTAACTTAAGTACAGATGCAATCAAATGTTGGAGAAATGACATAGGGAATCCTCAAAAACATTTTCTTCATTACATGTATTACAATTTGCACTGTTATATGTTACATGATATTTAATGCCTTTAGTTATCTTGCATACTTGATGAGGGGAGGGAATGAATCCATTTTGGTCCTCAAGGCCCAGCAAAGCAGATGGCACATAACAGGTTTTGGTCAATACTTATTAAATGAATGAACAGTACTGAAGAAGGTAACATACCCAAGATCATACAGGTAGTTAAATGGCAGGGCTGGGATTTGAAACTAGATTTGTTTGACCCTAGAGACCAAGCTATTAACCACTGTCACTACTTCTCTCAAGAAAACTGTCATTCCATGAAGGTTCAGTTAGGAACTTTCTTTGTACTGTCACTCCATCTCTGATCCTTTTATCTGCATCCCGTATCCTTTTATTTATTGCTTCTTTTTCTTGAGTCCACTACCTCATAACTTTGTACCTAGTTTATTGTGACAGCTTTTAAATTTCTGGCCTCATGCCTATAACCATTCATGAATTCATTTCATACAGCCCCTCAAAAGTTAAGTTTCATAATTTGATTTTCACATTCAAGAACATGGCAATGATTCCCTACTTTTTACCAGTTCAAAATCCTCTTTGCTTTCAAAACTGTCTACAAACTATGATTATGGCACAACTTCATCCATGGCACTTATTCATTAATGAGCATTTCTTTAGGTCTTCAGAAGCCAATTCTGGCATATATTACATAAGTATCCAGGACTGTATAATATATACAGAGAATCTAGTATGTGGCCTGCTGAGAATGATGCTTTGCAAACATATATATATATATATATATATATATATATATATATATATGAAATTAATCTCTATTTAACTTAGTAACTTGCTGTAACACATGCACATTAGCACGATGATAAGAAGATAAAACTTCAGAAGGCAAATACAGATTAAGTCAATGAATAGTTTAAGCAAAATACCAACATAAAGGGGTGATCAAAACAGTGAGCTAGCTGTGAAGCTTTCAATAGCTGTAAAATTTAAGTATACTCTGCCAATAGCACACATTGTTTATCAAGTCACTGCTCACTACAAGCTCAAACAACAGGGAATGGGGCTAGACTGGGTAGACTGGGAGTCTATCCTTTGAGCAACGGGTCACTCTAGGAATCAAAAATCTTCCTCCTAGAAACATACACAGGGCACAAAAATTGTGCCATGGACACTCTAAAGCCTATTCATGGACGTTAGGTTAGGAATACCTAAGGGAGAATCTATTCAATAGACTTTCCTTCAGAAGACTCGCTGAATGTTACAATTTATAAGGGCACTGGGGTGAACTTGGGAAATGAGACCTTTCTAAGAAGCCTGGGTTATTATTCCACCCTCTTTGTCTCCTATCTTAGTTGAATAATTTCTAAATATTTTGGAATTTGTAGTTAAAAACACCAGAGGTCGCTGTGGGAGGCTGAGGCAGGCGGATCACCTGAGGTCAGGAGTTCCGAGAGCAGCCTGACCAACATGGAGAAACCCCGTCTCTACTAAAAATACCAAATTAGTTGAGCGTGGTGGCGGGCTGCTGTAGTGCCAGCTAGTCAGGAGGCTGAGGCAGGAGAATCGCTTGAACCAGGGAGGCAGAGGTTGCAGTGAGCTGAGATCGCACCACTGCACTCCAGCCTGCAACACAGCGAGACTCTGTCTCAAAAAACAAAAAACAAACAAACAAACAACCCACCAGAGGTTCCCCTCTCTGCTCAAAGATTACTAGAAATGACAGCTCAAACTCCCCCTCCTGCAGGGACGTGGAAAAGGGGAGGGCACTGAGGGGAGGGGGAGGGGGAGGGGGAGGGGGAGGGGGGAGCGGAAGGAGAAAAGGTGCAGCCATTAGGAGGTTCTTCCCCACTCAGACTGCACTAGCTGCGTGGGCTGCCCATACCCGGCCTCCTACTCACCAGCCAGTTTCGGCTCAGGCTCCATGGGCTCATCGGTGGTCGCCCCGAGGGCAGCCTTGGACGCAGATAACCCCATGTGCGAGTCGAGGGTGATGGCGACAGAGTCCAGCCCCACCTCTTCCAGACCCTGAGCAGGGTACCGGCACCCCTGGTTTTGGACAAGGAGCCCCAGGTGACGGAAGAAATGCCTGACCCTGCAGGGAGCCCTCAGCGGGCGACCTTACTTCATGCAGCCTGACGCAGACATCCAGCATTATGAGGTGGGATTTGAACTTGCGAGGAGCTCGGGCTCTGCAAGAATGCTGGGAAAGATGGCTGCCCGGCCCAAGAAGGCAGGTACCACGCACTTGCTTGGTTTCTGAGGGCAAGTCCAGGTTTGGGGCAGGGCATCTCTGGAGGAGCTAGGGCGCTTTGCATAGTACATGCCACAGTAACAAAATAAACAACAACCATTAACGAATATTATGAGGAACGGGGACATGTTGGGGACTCCATATGAAAGCTCTCGAGATCTTCAGGTCTTGGGAAGTTAGGTGATCCTATGACAGTACCTTGGAAATTCTTGATATGGCATTGTTAGGGAAGCTTCAGTCACACATTATCAGGGCTGCAGCCTGCTTGAGGTCATGTCTTCCTACTCTTCAGGCAGCACCAGATTCACAAGTCCATAGAGTTGTTCATAGTATTTCTTTATTATCCTTCTAATATCTGTAGACTCTTTACCGATGTTACTTCTCTCACTCTTCATATTGGTAATGTATGTTCTTTTTTTCTCTTGATTGGTCTGCCTAAAGAGTTAATTGTGTTGATCTCAAAGAACCAACTTTTGGTTCCATGGGATTTCTCTATTTTCTGTTTCTATTTCATGAACTTATGCTTTTTATTATTTCCTTTCTTCTACTTGCTTTGGGTTTATTTTGCTCTTTATTTTCTGGTTTCTTAAGGTAGAAGGCTAGGTTTCCGACTTGATGTATTGCTTCTTTTATAATATAGACATTTACTGCTAAATACTGCTTTTGTTGTCTAAACACCTTTTTCTGACTTTGGTCTTTTAAAATTTGAGATTTATTTTATGGCACAGAATATGGTCTATCAAGGTAAATGTTCTTTTTTTGTTTTTTGAGACGGAGTCTCGCTTTGTCGCCCTGGCTGGAGTGCAGTGGCGGGATCTCCGCTCACTGCAAGCTCCGCCTCCCGGGTTCACGCCATTCTCCTGCCTCAGCCTCCCCAGTAGCTGGGACTACAGGTGCCCGCCACCATGCCTCACTAATTTTCTGTATCTTTATTAGAGATAGGGTTACACTGTGTTAGCCAGGATGGTCTCGATCTCCTGACCTCGTGATCCGCCCGCCTCGGCCTCCCAAAGTGCTGGCATTACAGACGTGAGCCACCGCGCCCAGCCATAAATGTTCTTTGTAAACTTGAAAAGATGTATATTCTTCTATTATTGAGTGGAGTGTTCCAATTAAATGTGTATTACACTCAGTGATTTTGTTGTTGTTGTTTTGTTAGTGAGAGAGGGTTCTGCTCTGTCGCCCAGCCAGGCTGGAGTGCAATGGTGCAATCTCGGTTCACTGCAACCTCTGCCTCCTGGGCTCAAGCCATCCTCCCACCTCAGCCTCCTGAGTAGCTGGGACTACAGCCATGTGCCACCACACCCAGCTAATTTTTGTATGTTTTGTAGAGATGGGGGGTTTTGCCATGTTGTCCAGGCTAGTCTCAAACTCCTAAGCTCAAGTGATCTGCCCGCCTGGGCCTCCCAAAGTGCTGGCATTACAGGCGTGAGCCACCACGTCTGGCCACTTCTTGATGATCGTATCACAGTTCACCAAAGCTCTGTTCATTTCCATTTTTTAAGAGCCTTCCTCCTACCCTATGCTTCAGTTTGGAGATTTTCTTTTGTTATGCCTTCAAATTCACGGATCTTTTCTTCTGCAGAGTCTGATTTGCTGTTAATCCCATCTAGAACATGTTGCGTTTCTAATATTGCATGTTTCATCTCTAGAAGTTCCATTTGGTTCTTTTTATATTATTCAACATAATGAGAGTAATGAAAGATTTTAAAAGAATGAACATTCTCCTTTAAACCCTTGTGGATATTATAATAGTTATAATGGTTATTTTTAAATATTTGCTAATTCCATCATCTTGGGCATTTCTTGGCCTGTTCCTATTGACTTATTTTTGTCTCGTGTATGGGTCACATTTTTCTGCTTCTTCCTATACCTAGTAATTGCTGATTGGATGCCAGATACTGTTCATTTTGCTTTGTTGAGTGTTGTATGTTCATGTATTCCTTTAAGGAATGTTGAAGTTTGTTTAGACATGCACACACATTACTTTTAAATCACATCTTTCTAAGGCATATTTTCTTAAATGGCTTTATTGATATTTAATTCACATATATCTTCGTTATGAGAAAAGCCTGGCACTGTAACATTCCCTCAAACTGGGCCCCCCAAACTGGGAAGGAGCCAAGGTACCAAAGAAGTCCATCTTAGGAGTTTATTAGGACTTACATACAGGGCACTCCTGGGCAGCAGCAGGACAACTCCAGAGATCTGCCCTGCCTCCCATCTCTAAGCTGCTTTTAAGCTAATTTCCTGGCTCTTTGCCTACTGTGTGCAATGAGACTGTTTGCTGTAGTGGGTTCCCAGATCCATTCCAGGATGTTTGGGTTCTCAAGGACACCTGCTCCTAGGCTGGGCACCATGGCCTTGGCTCACCGCCAAGCCTTGAAGTTTCAAGCCGTGGACATACACTCTTAAGTAACATGGTGGGGGGCCCACCACACTACAACTTTTCCCTCATTTCGTGTAAAATTCAGTAGTTTTTAGTATATTCATAGAGTTGTGCAACTATCACCAAGATCAATCTACAGCCTTTCCACCACTTGCAAAAGAAACCCCGTACCCATTTGTTTTGACAACCCCCAGCTAAATTGGGTTTCCAGTACCAGAGCAGCTAGCAACCCTGCCCAAACTCTGCAGCTTTGAAGAGCTCATTTATTAGCTCTAATAGGTTTTGTGTGTGTGTGTGCATGCATTCTTTAGGGTTCTCCCTATATAATATCAAGCCATTTGCAAATAGATACAGTTTTACATCTCCTTTCCAATTTGGGTGTCTTCCCCTGCCCTCAACTGCCCTGGCTAGAATCTCTAGTACAATATTAAAGTGGCAGGAAACAGCATCCTTGTCTTGATTCTGATCTTATGCAGAAATAATTCAGTCTTTCACCATTAAGTATGATATTAGCTGTGGGTTATTCATATATGGCCTTTATCAGGTTGGGGAAGTTCCTTCCTCTTTGTAGTTTGTTGAGTCTTTTTCTCATGAAAACGTGTTGGCTTATGTCAAATGCTTATCCTGCACCTGTTGAGATGATCATGCAGTTTTAGTCCTTTACTCATTTAATCTGGTGTATTATATCGATTGATTCTTGTATGTTGAACTGTCCATGCACTCTTAGGAAAATTGTCACATGGTAATGGGGCCTCATTCTTTTTATATGTTGCTGGATTAGGTTTCCTAGGATTTTGTTGAGGAATTTTACATCTATATTCATAAAGAATTATTGGTGTCTAGTTTTCTTTCCATATGATGTCTTTGTCTGGTTTTGGTATCAGGGTAGTATTGTTCTCATAGAATGAGTTGAGAAGTATTTCCTCTTCTGTTTTTGAAGAGCTTGTAAAGAACTGCTGTTAATTCTGAACTGGTATATGAATTCAAATGTTTGGCAGAATTCACCAGTGAAGCCATCTGGTCCTGGGCTTTTACTGGTGGAAAGTTTTAAAACCAGTAATTCAATCTCTTTACTTCTCATAAGTTTATTCAGATTTTTTGTTTATTGGTAGGTCAGCTTTGGTGGTTTTTGTTTTTCTAAAAATTTGTCTACTTCATCTATGTTATCTAATTTATTGTAATATAAACTGAATTGTTGAATTCAGTTTGTTAGTATTTTATTGAGGATTTTTGCATCAATATTCATCAGAGATACTGGCCTATAGTTTTCTTAATGTATCTTTGTCTGGTTTTGGTATCAGGGTAATAACCCAGGGATTAGAATAAAAAAATCTTAGAAATTTACCTGATGCTCTGTTCTACTGTGGTTTAGCTGGCACTTAAACCACAAGACGAAGTACTTCCCACTCTTCCCTCCCCCTTCCACAGGCAGAGGTGCCTCTCCCTGTGGCCACGACCAACCCTGTCCCTTGGGGGGCTCTTCCAGGCCATTTCCAACATTCACTTAAAGCTCCAGGGCTCTTCATTCAGCTTGTGGTGAATGCTGCCAGGTCTGGGACTCACCCTTCAGGGCAGGGGGCTCCCCTCTGGCCCAGAGCAGGTCCAGAAATGCTGTCCAAGAGCCTCCTCATTGTTCTACCACATTGTAGCTGAGCTGGTACCTAAGGAGCAAGACAAAGTTCCCTTTACTTTTTCCTCTGCTTTTCTCAAACAGGAGCCTCTCATTGTAGCCACCACAGCTGGGAATGTGCTGAGTCTTACTTGAAGACAGCACATCTCAGAGCCCAAGGCCCACAGTATATTCCCTAGGTATTGCTGCTGGTTATTCAAAGCTCAAGGGCTCTTTAGTCAGCAGGTGACGAATCCTGCCAAAACTGGATTCTTCCCTTCAAGACAGTGGGTTCCTTCTTAGCCCAGGGTGTGTCTAGAAATGTTGTCCATGAGCTAGGGCCTGGAATGGGGGCCTCATGACTGCCCAGTGCTCTATCCTACTGTGGCTGAGCTGGTATCCAAGATGCAAGACAAAGTCCTCTTTACTCTTCTCTCCTTAAACATTTCCTTGATGCTAGCTGCACTGCTTGGTGTTGAGGGAGGGGTACTGCAAGCACTCCATTAGGTATGTGTCTCACTAGGTCATGTGCCACCCTAGTCCACAGCTCAGCACTAGGACTCACCTGGGAATTGCAGTCCTTGTGTCCTAGACTGCCTTCCAAATTTACCTAGAACCCCAGAGCACTTTGGCCCATGGTGGCGAGGCCTGCAAAAACTTAAGGTCTGACCACTGGGAAGGGCAATTCCCCTCTGGTTAGGTCTGGTCCATATGCTCCCTACCTGCAAATGCATGGTCGCTACCAGGAGATGGAGGAGGGGTGCTGTCTGTGAGTCAAGACTGTCTCTCCTATCCTCTTCAATGACTCTCAGAAATATTAAGTTAAAACCAGGTACTGTGATTGCTTACCTGATTTTTGGTTCTTGTGACGATGCTTTTGTGTGTGCAGATAATTGTTAAAATTTCGTGTTTCTGTGTGGGGAGGGAGGATGAATGGCATAGGCTTCTATTCTACCATCTTGCTTTGCCCCTTTGGATATAATTCCCGTTTTCTTTTTGTAAGGTTTGTAGTATTGTCTCCTATTTCATTCCCAATTTTAGAAATTTGAATCTTTTATTCATAGTCAGTCTAGCTATAGGATTGTCAGTTTTGTTGATCTTTTCAGCAAACCAACTTTTGGTTTTATTGATTTTTCTCTATTGTTTTCCTGTTCCCTGTCATTTGTTACCACCCTAACCTTTATTATATCCTTCCCTCTGCTAGCTTTGGAATTAATTTGCTTTTTTTCAGTTCCTTAAGCTGAGAAGTTGGGTTATTAATTTGAAATCCTTTCTCTTTTTTACTGTAGGCATTTATAGATATAAATTTCCCCCAAGCGCTGCTTTCATTGCATAAGTTTTGGTTTTTTTTTTTCATTTATCTCAAAGTATTTTCTATTTTCCCTTATGATTTCTTCTTTGACCCAATGGGTATTTAGGAATTTATTGTTTAATTTCCATAACTTGGTGAATTTCCCAAATTTTCTTCTGTTATTGATTTCTAATTTTATTCCATTGTGGAGAGAGAACATACATTGTATAATTTCAGTCCTTTAAATTTATTGAAACTCGTTTTGTGGCCTAACATATGATCTAACTTAGATAATTCTTCATGTTTAGTTGAGGAGTATGTATATTCTGCTGCTATTGTTGGATTAAGTGTCTTATAAGTAAGTTGTCTGTTAGGTCTTCTTGGTTGATAATGTTATTCAGTTCTTCTATTTCCTTGTTTATCATCTACCTAGTTGTTCTATCCACTATTGAAAGTGGTGTATTGAAGTCTCCAACAGTCATTGTTGAATTTTCTATTTCTGCTTTGATGCTGTCAGGTTTTGCTTCATGTATCTTAGGCTCTGTTGTTATGTGCCTATATGCTTATATCATCTTCCTGGTGGATTGACCATTGTAACTTTATAAAATGCCCCTATTTGTCTCTAACATTTTAAAAAATCTATTTTGTCTGATATTAGTTTAGCTGTTCCAGCTGTTATGGTTGCTGTTTGCATGATATATCTTTTCCCATCATCTTAACTTTATTTGTATCTTTGAATTTAAAGTCTGTATCCTGTGAACAGCATATAATAGGATTTTTTTGTGTGTATTCTAATAATCTCACTCATTCATTTATATCTAATTACTGATAAGCGATGATTTATGCCTGTCATTTTGCTCTTTGTTTTCTATATACCTGTGTCTTTTGATCTTCTATTTCTCCATTACTGCCTTCTTTTGTGTTACATATTTTCTAGTATGCCATCTTAATTCTTGTTTCTTTACTATATTTTTAAATTATTTCCTTAGTGGTTGCCCTGGTGATTACAATTAACATCTTAACTTAAAATCATCTGGTTTTAATAAATACCAATTTAATTTCAACCATATTAAAAAAATTTGCTCCAACATGGCTCTATTCTCCTCTCTTTTGGGCTATTATTGTCATACATATTATATATTTTTTACATTATATGCCGATCAACACATCCTAGAATTATTGCTTTATGCAGCTGTCTTCTAAATTAAGTAGAAGAAAAAAGCGTCACAAAAATACAACATACCATGTCTTATATTTATCTATGTAGTTACCTTTACCAATGATATTTATTTCTTTATGTGAATCTGAGTTACAGTCTACTGTCCTTTCATTTCAGCCTGAATAACTCTCTCTAGTATTTCTTCTAAGATAGGTCTGCAATGGCAGTCTCTTGTTTTTCTTTCTGGGAATGTCATTATTTTTTCTTTTTTTTAATTCAATCCAACAGATCCACTGGTAAGGGGATGTCATTATTTTACTTCATTTTTGTAGGATAATTTTGCTGGACATATAATTCTTCACTGACACTTTTTCTTTCAGCACTTTGAATATGTCATCCCACTGCCTTCTGGCCTCTATGATTTCTGACAACAATTTGGCTGTCAATATTATTGACGTTCAGTTGTATGTGATAAGTCATTTCTCTTGCTGCTTCCAAGATTCTGTCATTGGCTTTAGACATTTTGACTATGAAGTGTCTAGGTGTGGGTTTATCCCTCTCAAAATACTTAGAGTTTCTTGAATATGTAGATTCATAGATTTCATCAAATCTGGGGAGTTTTTGGCCATTACTTCTTTATGCCCCTTCTTTCTTTAGCTAGAACTCCCATTGTGGGTGCATTGTTAAGCTTGATGGTGTCCCACAGGTCTCTGAGGATCTGTTTGTTTTTCTTCATTCTTTTTTCTTTTTGATACTTGGGTCTCTGATAATTGACCTATCTTCAAGTTTACTGATTCTTTCTTCTGCCTGCTCAAATCTGCTGTTAAGTCTCTCTCATGAATTATTCATTTCAGTTATTATAGTTTTTAGCTCCTGAATTTCTATTTTGTTCCTTTTAAAAATTTTATCTTTGTTATCTCTATTTGGCGAGATATCATTTTCCTGATTTAATTGTTTATTCATGGTTTCCTTTTGTTCTTTGAGCATATTTACAACTGTTGATTTAAATTGTCTAGTAAGTCCAAGACCTGGGCTTTGTCTGGGACAGTTTTTATAAACTTTTTTTTCCTGTCAGTGGGCCGTACTTTGTTTCCTTGCATGCCTCATACTTTTTTGTTTAAAACTGGACATTTTGATGTTATAATGTGGTGGCTCTGGAAATCAGATGTCCCTCTCCCCAGGGTTTGCTGTTGTTGTTTAGTGAATCATGTAGCTGGGACTACAGGCACTAAAATTATAAAACCTATACAACATATTAAAGTTTTAGAATTATGTTAAATGAAGAAATCCACATGCAAAACTATAAGATGCATTAATACTAGAAATGAATAACAGAAATAAGAAAGAGAAGACCAAAAGGACTACCAAAAATGAGTTATTTTGAGGAAATTATAGGTTTCTCTTCACATTTTTCAAGTTTCCTTTATTATATTACTTTTGTGATTTTAAAAATCGGACACTTTAATTTTGTATTAAGAAAGTAATACATACTCATTGTAGAAATTCAAAACACAATTTACAGAAGAGTTCAAAGTGAAAAATAAGACTTCCCCCTGGCCTTAAGCTCAGTAGATTTTAAAAAGTAACTTGTTATAAACTTACCAAAAAGTTGGAGGAATAGTACAAAGAACTCCCATGTTCACTTCATCCAGATTGTTCAATTGGTAACACTTCACATTTCTGCAGCATGCATGCGTGCATGTGTGTACCACCATTATCATATGGCTTTTTCTTAACCATTTGAGACCAAGTTGCAGACATGTTCCATCAGTCCTAAACACTCCAGTGTACAATTCTCAAAAACAAAGACACTCTTGTACATAACTACCACATTGTCAAAAAAAGGCCAAGCCCAAGAGTGATTGATTTGGCTTCTAAAGTAATGACATGTCCTTTTAAGATTCAGTTTATTACCTACATAGACAGCAAGAGGAAGATGGGCCAAAGGTGCCAGCTCCCCATGTCCTTGTTCCCTGCACCAAACAGGACTTCTGAAACAAGGCCTGCATGTTTGCTGCACCAGTTATGGGACACTCCCTTGCTGAGGAGCCCCTTTTAGACTGCAGCTAGCAGTTTTATATTCTGTAGCTATACCCTGAGTGGGGCAGAGCAGATAGCCTCAGACCTCAATAGTACTCAGATGAGAAACTGTCTGTCTCAGTGGCAGCCTCCCAGGAGAGATTAGGAGGTTAGAGATAGCCTTGAAACAGCACCTCACCACCCTCCCATCCTCTTGTGTTCTGGGAGGATCATGATACATCCTGCCAAGACTCAGATAAGTTGCAATTCAAGCCTAGCTTGCATAGATATATGCATGCCAGGTCACAAGGGCACCATGGCAGATCCACTCTCTACAGCTCCATCCCTCACTTTTCAAATAGCTAGCTAAGAATTCTCAGGAGCATAGGCCACCCCATCAAATTACTCTAATTAACTGTGCTTATAGGGGCCTTAACCAAATACATTCTGATTGTTTTGGGCAACATATACAAGAATGAGTCTCTAATTAGGCCCACTTGGAGGATACACACTGCAGCTAGGCTCCCCAACTGGAGCCAAGCCAGTTAAATATTTCATTAACCCAGGTGCAGTAAGGGATGCTGACAGTTGCACATATCCTGCCTTGACTGACCAGCAGGAAGTCCTGGGTAATGTGTTATTGTCCCATTACCATGTACATTAGAGACAATAGACCACTTTGTGTGTGGCAAGCTAGTATAGGTAGCTTCTTTTCATGTAAGAAGTTGTAGTGACCTCAGCAGTGCCATTGTGTTGAGTTGGGATCAGGGTCCAATTCTATTAAGCTCTTGTACAAAAGAGTTTTGTTAGTTTCCAGAAAGTTAATCTCATTCTATCGTTCTGAATGGAGGCTGTTAACTACTTGAGTCAGCAGTTCCTGGGAAGTTTCTGAGAGTCCTTAGATTAAGATTTGTTGGCCAGCCATTGAGTTGAAAGTGGTGGTGGCAGTCTGGGCTAAATTGTCCAGAGGCTCTGCAGACAAGTAGCTGAGATGTTAGCGGCCCCTCCTCTGCCTTCACAGAGTTTAAAGTGTGCTCTCTCCACCAGTCAGGACTGTTGCCCTCCTTTCACAGCCATGTGATTGATGTTACCAGTCCTTACAGCAGTCACTTCACCCTTTTCCAGTCCTTTCCTTGTCTTACCTACACCTTGCTCCTAAATTGTGTATTAGTCCATTTTTGCATTGCTATAAAGGAATACCTGAGGGTGGGTAATTTATAAAGAGGTTTAAATGGCTCACAGTTCTGCAGGCTGTACAGAAAACATGGCATCAGCATCTGCATCTGATGAAGGCCTCAGGAGGCTTACAATCATGGTGGAAGGCAAAGGGGGAACTGGTGCCTGCTGCCTGGGAAGCACAGATCTGATGAGTGTGTGGATTCCAGTGATGTTCATCCTCAGGCTCCTGGGTCTTGTGCCATCTGCTGCTGTAATGTTTGTCTCACAGAGGCTGAAACATGATCATCCAGTCATCTTGCTGAAAACTTCCTAAGTCTAGTAAGAGATTTAGACATCCAGATACAGGAAACTCAGAGATCCCCAAATATATACAATTCAAACTGTATAAGGAGTTGGGTCTTTTTTTCTTTTTAAACAAAAGCAGACATTACAATAACCAATAGCTGTTGCAGACCAGGAGCTCATTTTATCTCCTTCGCAGGGAGCTTAGGGAGCACAGGTCAGAGCGGAAGAGGCCAGCCTGCAAGGTCAGCTGGAGCTGCAGGAAAGTTTCTTCTTTTGTGTGTCTTTTAAAAAAATAAACAGCTTTATGGAGACATAATTTATACACAATTCACCCATTTAAAGTGAACAATTTAATGACTTTTAGTATAGTCATAGAGCTGTACAACCATCACTGCAGTCAACTTAGAATATTTTCATCACCTCAAAAAGAAACCTCATCCCTCTTAGCCATCAACCCTCTATCCCTGCTCCCTCCTACCCCTCATTCCTTTTTATGGCCAAATAATATTCCATTGAAGAACAGACTGCATTTTGTTTACCCATTCATTGGTTGATAGACATTTGGGTTGTCTAGTTTTTGTTTAAATTTCTGTCTTCAGTTCTGTGGGATATACACCTAGAAATGCCCTTGCTAGGTCTTATGGTAATTCTGTGTTTAAGTTTTGGAGGAGCCATCAGCCAGTTTTCCAAATTGTCTACACCATTTTATATTCCTACCTGTAGTGTACAAGAGTTCCAATTTCTCCACAGCCTCACCAACACTTGTTATTCTCTTACATTTTTATTCTGGTTAGTATAAAGTCATATCTCATGATTTTTATTTCTCTGGTGACTAGTAACGTCAAGCATCTTTTCATGTGCTTCTTCGCAATTTGTAGGTCTTCTTTGGAAAATTTCTATTTAGGTCCTTTGCCCATTTTTGAATTGTGCTGTTTGGTTTTTGTTGTTTTCAGTGTTCTTTATATATTTTGCATACTAGACTCTTATACATAGGATTTGCAAATATTTTCTGCCATTGTCCTGAGTTTTCACTTTTTGATCATGTCTTTGGATGCACAAAATTTTCTAACTTCCATAAATTCCAATTTATCTATTTTTTATTTGTTGCTTGTACTTTGGTGTCATATCTAAGAATCCATTGTAAAAACCAAGATCGTAAAGATTTACTACTGTTTTCTTATAAAGTTTTTATTGTTTAAGCTCTTGAATTTAAGTCTTCAATACGTTTGGAGTTAATATTCATTTATCGTGTGGGATCTCAGTCCAACTTCATTATTTTGCACGTGGATATCCACTTGTCCATTCGCCAGTTGTTGAAGACTATTCTCTCCCATAGTCTTGGCACCCTTGTTGAAAATCAGTTGACTGTAGATGTGTGGGCTTATTTCTGGACTGTCAATTCAATTCCATTTTTAGTGGAGGGTTTGGAAATCAGCATCTTGGTGCTAGCTGTGCTCATAACCACTGGGTGTCACTTCTAGTCCCTCTTGGTGGACGGAGCTGAGACAGATATGTACATATACACATACCTTTCTCAGCTCTGAGATATATATATATAGGGTTTCTGTGTGTGTGTGTATATATGTGTGTGTGTGTGTATATATGTGTGTGTATGTGTGTGTGTGTGTATATATGTGTGTGTGTGTGTGTGTGTGTGTATATATATATATATATATATTTCCTTTGAACAAGAGTTCATATTAATGAACTCTTTTCCAATTTTAATCCAATACCATGAGATTCATTTTACCCTTCCTCCTTTCCATGATTTTGTTTTGTTTTTTTTTTTGAGACAGAGTCTTGCTCTGCCGTCCAGGCTGGAGTGCAGTGGCGCAATCTTCGCTCACTGCAAGCTCTGCCTCCCGGGTTCACACCATTCTCCTGCGTCAGCCTCCCGAGTAGCTGGGACTACAGGCGCCTGCCACCATGCCCAGCTAACCTTTTTTTTTTTTTTTGTATTTTTAGTAGAGATGGGGTTTCAGCGTGTTAGCCAGGATGGTCTCAATCTCCTGACCCGTCTCGGCCTCCCAAAGTGCTGGGATTACAGGCGTGAGCCACTGCGCCTGGCCTTTCCATGTTTTCAAATAATTTCTCTGACATTGAGAAACCTAGCTCCCATTTTCCTCAACAGATTTACTTCTTCACTCAATCAACTTAGTTATTTGCTTAATGTAGCACACTGCTGGCTGCCTCCTCGCCCTGAGGGCACTGGCACAACATGGCTTCCACTGGATCTCTCCCCCTGCCCCTCCACCCAACCATGGAGCCACAAAGCTGGAAACTCTGACACCTCCATGCAGTAATCCCAGCCTGCTTCCTCAGCCATCAGGCACTTTGACACCTCCATGTACCTGCCCCTCCCCCAACATGTTTATCCTACAAATTACTCAGATTACTAGGCTAGAAAAAGAATTTCAAATCGCTGTAACTTTATCAATATAAATAGTTTAGAAGGTGATGGAGAGAGATGTTAAGAATGTCTATTTGGTTTCTGGTTTGTGCAAATGGATGTTACATTCACTATTCACTGAGGTAAGAAATGTTGGAAGGGAATATAGTTTAGATTGAAAACCATGATTTCAGATTTAGATATATTAATTTTTATGTGCCATTAAGACAGCCAAGTGGAGGCCAGGCACGGTGGCTCGTGCCTGTAATCCTAGCACTTTGGGAGGCCGAGGCAGGTGGATTGCTTGAGCCCAGTAGTTTGCCACCAGCCTGGGCAACATGGTGGAACCCTGCCTCTTCAAAAAAAATACAAAAAAATGAGCCAGGCATGGTGGTGCGTGCCTGTAGTCCCAGCTACTTGGGAGGCTGAGGTCAGGAGGTCGAGGCTTCAGTGAGCCATGATCATGCCACTGCGCCCCAGCCTGGGCAACAGAGTGAGACCCTGTCTCAAAAAAAATGTCCAGTAGAGAGGTGGAAATGTAGGTCTGGAGTTCAGATAGAGGCGTGGACAGATACAGATTTGTGTGTCAACTGCATATAGGTATGCAAAGATAGAGAAGTCTATGAATGAATTTGAGAAGGAACAGCTAGAGAAGAAAAGGATAGCAGGAAGGATAGCCAGAGAAGAAAATAAGAGAAACCAAGGAAGTAGATTTCAAGGAGGAGTGACCAACTGTGTCAATACTGAGAGGTTCATCAAGGATGGGAAAAGCAACTATTGACTTTCACTGTATGGAGCTCATTGGTGACTTTGGCAGGAGTAGTTTCAATGAAGTGCTGTGGACAGAGGTCACAAGGCAATGAGTTGAAATTATAGGAGATAAGAAAACAGAGAGAACAAGTATATACAGTTACCATGAGAGTCTTGGATGTGATTGAGAATAGAGAATCTAGTGTTCATAAGGGGATACAGGGTTGTGTAAAGGTAAGCCAGATTGGTGCAGCTGGGAAAATAATGATACATCCTGTTCACACCACTGTTTCTTGTGATGCTCAACACTTTTAAAGACTGGACACTGAGCTAAAAGAAACCTTGGTGGTCAACTACTCTAATCTCATTCTATACCTAAAGAAAATGAAACCCAGAAAGGGAAAAGGACTTGTGCTAAAGGTTGGCATGTAAAAATATTCCAATCGTTTTATTCCCCTCAAATTTTCTAGCACCCTTTTCTTATTTCATAAAATAGGTACCATACGTCCCAGTTCCTTACTTAAAACTTACAACTTTTCATTTTGCAATAATTATATACTTATAGGAAGTTGCAAAAATAGTACAGAGTCCCATGTATCCATTACCCAGTTTCCTCCAGTGGTACGGTTTTGTAACTATAGCACAACTTCACATCCAAGACATTGACAATAATATTATACTGCTATCTAGACCACAGACTTTATTCAGTATCACCAGATTTTACATGCATTCATTTGTGTGTATGTAGGTCCATACAACTTCAGCACAGGTAAAGACTCATGTGCTTAACCTCATAATCAAATGTTATAATCAACATCGTAATCATCATAATCATATAGAACTGTTCCATCAGCACAAAGGAACTCCTTGCGTCATCCCTTTATAGTCATACATACCCCACACCCCCTCCAGTCCCTATCCCTGGCAACCATTAATCTGTTCTTCATTTCAATAATTTTGTCACCTCAAGAATGTTATATAAATGCGATCATACAGTATGTGACCATTTGAGACTGGTTTTTTTTTTGTTCACCATAATACCCCTGAGGTACAACCAAGTTCTTGTATCAACAGTTAGTTCCTTTTCATTCCAGAGCAGTATTCCAAGTTATGGATGGTTTGTTTAACCATGTACCTGTTGTAGGACATCTGGGTTGTTTCCAGTTTGGGGCTATTACAAATAAAGCTCCTATGAATATTTGAGTACAAGTACAATATAGGTTTTCATTTCTCTGGAATGAATGTCCAGGAGCACAACTGCTGGGTCTTATGTTTAACTTGATTAAAAAATTATGTTTAACTTGATAAGAAATTCATAAACTCTTTCCCAGAGTGGCTGTACCATTTTACATTCCTGTCAGCAATGTATAAAATATCCAGTTTGTATCCTCATCAGTATTTGGTATTTTCACTATTTTTTCTTTAGCCATTGAGATAAGTAAGTCATAGCCTCGCTGTGGTTTCAATTTGCATTCCCTGATGACTTATGGAGTTTAACAGCTTTTCATATGCTTACTTGCCATCTATAGATCCTCTTCAGTGAAACATCTATTCATGTCTTTTGCCCATTTTCTAATTGGACTGTTTGTTTTTATTGTTGAGTTTTGTGGCCTTTTTTTTTTTTTGAGATGAGGCCTCACTCTGTTACACAGGTTGGAGTGTGGTGGTGTGATCACAGCTCACCGCAGCCTCAAACTCCTGGGCTCAAGTGATCCTCCTGCCTCCCTAGTAGCTGGGACTACTGGTGTGTGTCATGGTGCCCAGTTAATTTTTTAAAAAAACTTTTTGTAGAGACAAGAGTCTCACTATGTTGCCCAGGCTGGTCTGGAACGCCTAACCTCAAGCACTCCTCCCATCTTGGCCTCCCAAAGTGGTGAGATTACAAGCATGAGCTACCATGCCTGACTTCAGTTGAGTTTTTAGTACACTTTATATATTCCAAATTGATCAGATATATGGTTTGCAAATTCATCTCAATCTGTAGCTTATCTTTTCCTCTTCTTAAATCACAAGTTTTTAAATTTTGAAGAAGTCCAATATATCAGATTTTGTCTTTTATGGATGTGCTTTCGGGGCAAAGTCCAAGAACTTGTCACCTAGCCCAAGATCCTGAAGATTTTTCTCCTGTGGCTTTTTTCAAAGTTATCTAGTTTTATGTATCACATTTAAGTCCGTTATACATTTTGAGTTAAATTTTATATAAGATGTGAGGTTTAAGTAGAGGTTCTTTTTTCTCCTCGCCATGGGTGTCTAATTGCTCTAGCATAATTTGTCAGAAAGGCTATTCTTCCTCCATTGAATTGCTTTTTCACTTTTTCAAAATCAGCTGAGCATATTTATATGGGTTTATTTCTGGGTTCTCTCATCTGTTCCATTGACGTATGTGTCTGTTCCTCTGCCAATACCATCTATCTTGATTACTATAGCTTTATAGTAAGTCTTGAAGTCAGGTAAAATGAGTCCTCCAAGTTTTTCTTCTTTGAAATTGATTTAGCTTAAGTAACTTTACACTGGATATTTTCATCTTTCCTATAGGGAAAGAAAAAGAATAGAGAAGAACAGTGGCTGTGGGAAATTAGGGACAATATAGTATATACATTCCATATGCTCAAGGCTAGTGGTTTTCAAATCAGCTAAGTAGTTCATGCAGATTTTATCCCCAGAGATAGAGTATGACCTTCAAGTGATTCTGATGCAGGTGGTTCTGGACAACACTTTGAAATGTGAAAAATGAGAGGGAGAAACAAAAACCAAAAACAGCCTTTATCACTTAACTTCTAGTATCCAACAAGCATACTTTGTTTCCAGTATGCAACAAGCACACAGAAAAGTATGTCTTTTCTGCAGACACATTTATCATTTGTGCTTTTACATGATAAGAGTAATGCAACCAAACTTTTTAAAGCATGATTTTTATTATATCCTCAATCCTAAATGTTTCTGGAGAAACACATTTTACTATAATGGAAACTCCTAGGCAGATAGGATCTGCTCAATAGGAGTTTACTTCAGAGTCAAATATGCTAGAACTCATGTTGGGCTAAAAAGGGCACCCTCAGAGATTCAACGTTTGATAGGTATCTCAGAACATATATTTTAGAAATCAAGAAGGAAGACACTGCCCTCTCAGTGAGGGCATAGAGGTGGGGTACTTCCTTCCACTCACACTAGATTTATTATTTGCTTGTCCAACATAAGCATCATACCTACAAAATTGAAACATAAAATATTCTAGTGAGTGAATGTATTTGAAAATGAAAATAAAGACTTCCAAGTTAAAAGAAAGGGAAATATAAATGTTTAAAATATACCCCCCAGACATTTTATTCTAAGATATTCCTTGCCATTGTACCACTCATAGCCTTTTTAAAAATAACTTTCATATTCTACTTAAATCATCTTGCATAAGCTCCTTATTGGTCAGTTATAGGTAGGAGGGTTCAGTGAACTCTAATTAAACTGTCAGGAAGACATCCTGTGCTGATTGCATGTGAAAAATAACTACTCTATTGTCTGCCTGCATGTGAGCTGTGTGCATTTTCAGACTGTGTTTAGTACACAAATTGAAAAAGAAGTTTTTTACCCCATTTTGTCTCCTGATTTATTCTAGAGAAGAAAGTTCTTGCATAAGCTCTTCCTTTTCTTGTTGTAATTCCTGCAAATGCTGTTGGTTTTGCTCCAGTCTGTCCTCCAACCACTGTAGGAGAGGCCCGCTGACTGCCGACATCTGACTGCACAGATTCTTGGTAAACACTTCAATAGGAAAAATAAAGATGAGAATAATTGTGGAAAAGCACCATCCACTAGCATGTTTCCACTCTATCACCAACAGACCCCCAACCATGAGCACAGAAAGAAGGGGTTGGAGAAGGAAGTAGAAAAAGTGTAATAAGTAGGACTGGTAAACTATTTTCTGTGCCCAGCCAGGGGAAAAACAGAAGAGCTGAGCATAGAAAATACCCATTCTGAGGCCATCTTGAATCCATAAGCCAGAGGGAAGCCTGGCAGAAAGAGGGCCAGCTCTTTACTCCCTTAGGCAAAAGGGCTAAGAGCCACGAAAGGGTTCCTTTCCCCAGCCTCTCAGACCTTCCCTTGCTGTAAACCACCATAACCTCCTAATGGGCCAGAAGTCTGCCTTCTGCAACTTACGTTTCCAGAGCGCCCTGTAGGTATATAAACTGTTATGTATATTGCAGAAATATACATTAATTGAATACACCTGAGAGCTCCTCTTTTGAAATGAAGAACAGAGGGATGAAGAGTAAGGGAGTTACCATCTTTTATGCTTTACTGTGACTGTTCAGCTTCATGGTGAGACAAAGATTCTAAGGTACTCTTTTAAAACAAATTCCATCTAATGTAAGTATCTTTTTCTCTCTCATAATATGTGACTGTTACTTAAATGACCACTGTCCAGTTTTTTGCTATTTTAAAGACTTTAAAATCTAAGTACATGTACACTTTAAAACTAATTATCCAGTATTTTCCAGATTGTACCAAATTATATCTCCAGAAACAGTGAGACTGTTCACTTCCCTCACATCCTCACCTAATTGTCTCTCAATTTAATCTTTGAAAAGGTGAAAAGCTGATAATCTTATCTTAATCTATACTTCTTTTAAAGATAATAATTAACATTTTTATTTTTGTAGGGGGCCATAAAAGTCTTTAATTTTTATTTAGTCAATCTTTCCTTTTGTGAATTCAGGGTTTCACATTATTCTTAGGCTATCACCTTCCTAGAGTCTGAAAAAAATTCTTATATTTTTCCTCCTGTATTTCTTTAACTTATAAAATGAGCTTTTGGGGGTGTAATTTACAGACAGTAAAATGAACCAATTTAAAGTATACAGTTCTATGAGTTTTGACAAATGTATACCCCATGTTATAATTTGGATATTTGGCCCTCCAAACCTCATGTTAAAATGTGACCCCCAATGTTGGAGGTAGGGCCTCATGTGAGGTGTTTGGGTCATGGGGTGAGTTCTTCCTCTGTTAGTTCCCACAAGAACTGGCTGTTAAAAAGAGCCTGGTCCCTCCACCATTCTCGTTTCCTCTGTTGCCACATGATGTCTGCATACACAAGCTCCCCTTTGCCTTCTGTCACAAGTGGAAGCAGCCTGAAGCCCTCACCAAATGCAGGTGCCAGCACCATGCTTCTTGTTCAGTCTGCAAAACTGTAAAGCCAAGTAAGCCTCTTTTCTTTATAAATTACCCAGCCTCAGGTATTCCTTCATAACAACACAAAATGAACTAAGACATCCTATGTAACCAGTGCTAGTCAAGATACATACCATTTCCACCACCCTCAAACAATACCCTCCGCAGTTCCCTTTGCATCAAATGCCCCTTCACCCCTGGGCCCAGGCAGCTACCACACCATAGATTAGTTTTGCTTATTCTTGAATTTGGAACCATGGAGTATGTAGCCTTTTGTGTGATGCTTCCTTCACCTGGCATAATGTTCTTGAGACGCGTCCTTTTTGTTCATGTTTCAGTAGTTTGTTCTTTTTATTGTTGAGTTGTACTCCATTATATGGATATATCAGAGTTTATCCATTCACCCACTGATACACATTTGTGTTGTTTCTACCTTTTGGCTATTGTGAATAATGCTGCTGTAAACATTTGTGTACAAGTTTTTGTTTGAGCAGCTGTTTTCAATTCTTTGACGTATATACCTAGGAAAGGAACTGGTATGACATTTGGCAAGTATAATTGCCAACCTCTTTTCTAAAGTGGTTGTACCACAATAGTAAAAGTTTAAATATATCTGGAATTTATTTTTTGTGTAGGGTATTAGGTAGGAATCTATTTTCCCCCAAATGGAAATAAAAGAATGTTAACTCCATGAAGGTTAAAACTGTCTCTTTTGTTCAGCACTGTACCTTAGTGCCTGGAATAGCACTCAAATGTTTCCTGAATGAACAAAGAAAGAAATGAACTGTCCCAATCCTATTTAGTAAATAATTCATGCTTTTTTCATTTATTTAAAGTAATATCTTTGCTAAATATAAATTCTTATATATACATAGGCCTATCTCTGGACTCTGTTCAGTTCCACTGATCTATTTGTTTATTTTGAGCTATTATTTATACTTTTTAAATTACTGTGGCTTTAGAATATGGTTATATATCATATATTACCAACTTTTAACTCTGTCATGTTTTATCCTGAGACCGAAATTATGGGACAGATAGACCAAGCCATTTCTCCCTTTTCTTTGAAAAGTAACCGCCTATAACACTCAAAAGCCTCCCCTTCTTCCTCACTGGTGACTTTGGAAGTAACTGGGGAAGAGTGCACAGAATGACCCAGAAGTCAGGGTTACTCAGACAGAAAGTGTGGCTGGGGCAATGTGTATGTTAGGGACAAGTGAATTAGTATATATATTGTATTCAGCTTTTTGTTCCTTTGCCTTGTACAAAAATTACTTTTATATTTATTGACATCAAAAGATTTTCTCCCTCATGCCTTCCCTTTTATCTCTCTATCTGTGTATCCATCCATCTCTTTCAGTTCCCACCACGACAGGCTGGTAGTGTTATGCTGGAACCAATTCATGCCAGCTCACAAAAGCCAACTATTAAAATTCCAAGAAGTTTATAAGCTAGTTGATGACATGTTAGTTGCTTGAAACCAGCCATGCCAGGGGCATTACACCATGGAAACCGTCAAACACGACAAATCAGGGTCCTCCCTGCTCCTTGAGATCTGGTTGTTAAATGTGTGCCAGTATATCACTGAGTAGGTCTATCATAAAGCTCTTTCCTGTCTTTCCTCCTGTCTTACTCTAGGCTGTATTTATAGTATTCATGGATCCCCAGAGTTTACAAGAAATGTTGGGCTCAGGATCAGGAAAACCCTTGGGAAAGGAAGCCTGAAGACAACTTGTACCCATCACTTCACTCACTTAAACTAAATTTGCATCTGTCAGCTGAGTGTTTCAGGGAAATAGTCAGAAAAAATGCTGAGTACTCAAGAAACAATTCTTACCTGAGCCATTATGGATCTTGGTTACTGAGTCCAGATGTGTAAGGCTAAAGAATAAAATAGTTTAGGTTAGTGGCAAAGCAGCACTGAAGGGAAAGCAAAATGGTCATGGACTATACCGTTGCCAACTGTATTAGATGAATATGTAGTATTTAAATCCCCAATATCAACTTCTTGATGATTTGGGGGATGTGATTTTATTCAAAGATAATTCAAAGTGATAATTTTGAAATTGCTGTCTCTCACCAAAGCTCTGACTTAGTACAAATTTATTGGGCAAGACCTAGTGCTTGGCAACAGGATTAAGATGTTGTGGATTATCCTCTTTTCTCAACCAAAAAAGAAAGCATCCTTGCCCTTGAAAGATCCAAAGTAGCAGGAGAAAAACAAATGTTGAAGAAATTATCATACAACGTGAGAAACATTATGATTGGAGACTGCTAGAAAGCTTCCCAGAGAGGCAAAAAGAAGGGGCCTCAAGAGTTGAGCTGCTAAAGAGAAAAGGACAGAAGAAGAAAAGAGAGACTAGGTCCTGAGAAGTAGAGAAGAGGAGTGAAGAGGGTCTCTACCTGTGGATCCTCCTATACGCATCCTGCTCCTCCTGGCACAGGATCTTGGGCAGCTCTACTGCTGATTCAAGGCACACTTTCCCGATAGTGACATGAGGTACAATATGGATTGGGATTTCGATTCTCTCATACCTGTGAGGCAATCAGTTCAGGTCAGTTTTTAAACCCTGAGTTGTTATAATCAGAAGTTCTCTACAGTTTTAATTGGAAGTTTGGGATATGGCATACTTTAAAGATTAAGCATTGCTGTAATTCATTTAGTGATGCAACTTCAAAGTGGATAGAGTTCAAACTGGGTTCGTCTGGAGAGCAAACTAAAAGCCCGTCTGCAGAGCCAGTATTCCCTAGTTCCATAGAGAATCTAAGACCACTTCTGTAAATTTAAGAGAAGCCTTGAGAGCTCAAGGTCCTTACGTCTGCTCCCCAGTCAGGGGAAATAGCTAATTAATACTGTCTTCAGTCAAGAAGTTGCCAGTGAGGTTGAACAAATTAATCACAAAAGTCTGGAGAAGAGGAACTACAGACTCTTCAATGACTCCATCACATTCATTATGTAGGTGGGATTACTCACTTGTTCTAACTCAGTGTTTACCAGTGGCCCTCACTTCCCATTTTCTCCCCTGGGGGGAAATAGGTAAGAAATTCACAAATATTCACATGCTCATGCTAGAGTGGGAGAAACAGAAATGTTTGTTACTAAGGCCCAACCAATCTACCTCTACCCACTTCTCACCCCAAATACACCTAAACTCTACCTACCAGCAGGTTCAGTGGAGAATTCAGGTTGAAGGCCCCTGGCACTGTGAGGCCCCACTGGCACATGGTGGTAAGGCAGCTTAAGATCTAGCTTCCCCATCCCAGCAGAACATGTCTAGTCCCCATACCACAACCTAGATGGAACACAAATGGTGGGGCATTACAAGCCCTCCCCTCCCCACACCCAAGTAGTCAGGGTGTGCTTCCATCTAAAATCATATATTTTCAGTCTGAAGAACTTTTAATATTTCTTGTAGTGAATTCTCCAGATTAATTCTGCCTGCTTTTTTCCATAAAAATGTCTGGTTTGTCTTAATATAAAATTCTGGGGTTGATAGCTTTTTTCTTCATGCACATTAAAGATGTCACCCCATCATCTTCCAGCCTCCCAGGGTTCTGATGAGAAGTCAGCCATCGTTCTTATCATTGTATTTCTCCACTATTTGTAATATATCTTTTATTCCTTTAGCTGCTATAATGTGCCTATTTTAGTTTGCTTATGTTCATATTGCTTGTGATTGGCTGAGATTCATGCATCTATGGGTATGAATCAGTTTTTAGAGAATTCTTAGCCATTATCTCTTTAGGCATTCTTTGTCTACTTCTGGTGCTCCAATTACATGTAAATTAAAATGGTTCACACTGCCTCACAGTTCTGTCACATGCCATTCTTCTATTTCATTCTCTTTTTTTTTTTAACTCTTTGCTTCATTTAGGGTATATTTTATCAACCTGTCTTTGTCACTGATCCCTTCTGCTATACCTGAGTCTCCTGCTAGTCCCTCTGGTGATTTCTTAATTTTAGGTATTTTCCACTTTTACAATGTCCATTTGGGTTTTTTTTTTTAATTGTGGTTAAAAAAATAAAATTTACTATCAACCATTTTAAGTGTACAGTTCAGTAATGTAAGTATATTAACATTGTTATGAAACAGATCTTCAAAACATTCTCACCTTGCAGAACTGAAACTCCCCTTTCTCCCTTCTCCCGGCCCCTGGTGACCACCATTCTACTTTGTATATCTATGATCATTAGATACCTTATATAAATAGAAAAATGCTGCATCTGTCCTTTTGTGAATAGCTTATTTCACTTAGCATAATATTCTCAGGGTTCTTTCATGCTGTAGGTTGTAACAGGTTTTCCTTTATTTTTAAGGTTGTATAGTATTCCATTATATGTTACGTTGCATTTTGTTGGTCCATTTATCCATCAATGGACATGTGGGATGCTTTTACTTCTAGACTATTGTGAATAATGCTGTGAACATAGGTATGTAAATACCTATTTGAGATCTTGCTTTTAATTCTTTTGGATATACACCCAAGAAGTGAGACTGGTAGATCATATAGTAGATCTATTTTTAGGTTTTTAAAGAAACTACAGGCTTATTGCACCACTCTACAATCTCAACAATAATGTACAAGGGCTCCAACTCCTCCATATTCCCACCAACACTTGTTATTTTCTGATTTTGTTAGATAGTAGCTGTCATAATGGGTGTGAGGTGGTATCTCATTGTGGTTTTGATTTGCATTTCTCTGACAATTAGTGATATTGAACACTCTTTCATATGCTTGTTGACCAAGAGAAATATCACTTTAAGTCCTTTGCCCATTTTAAAATCAGATTTTTTTGTTGTTGAGTGTAGGAGTTCTTTATATATTCTGGATATTGACCCCTTATTAAATATATGATTTGCAAATATTTTCTCCCATTCCATAGGTTGCCTTTTCACTCAGTTCATTGCTTCCTTTCGTGCACATAAGTTTTAAAGCTGGATGTAGTCTCATTTGTCTATTTTGCTTTTGTTAGCTGTGCTTTTGGTGTCATATTCAAGAAATTATTGTCAAATCCAATGTCATGAAGCTTTTTCCCTATGTTTTCTGCTAGTTTTGTAGTTCGGGGTCTTATATTTTGGTCTTTAATTCATTTAAGTTTTATATACGGTGTAAGATAAGGGTCCAGCTTCTTTCTTTTGCATGTGAATATTCAGTTTTCCCAGTATCATTTATTAAAGAGACTGTCTTTTTCCCATTTAGTGGTGTTGGTATCCTTGTTGAAGTTTGCTTGACCATATGCAAGGGTTTAAATCTGGGCTGACCATTCTGTTTCATTGATACCACACTGTTTTGATGACTGTAGCTTTGTAGTTACTTTTGAAACCAGGCAGTGTGAATTGCCCAAATTGGTTCTTTTTCGAACTTGTTTTGGCTATTCAAGGTCCCCCGAGATTCCGTATCAACTTAAAATGGCCAGCCTGGGTGACAGAGTGAGACTCCATCAAAAAAAAAAAAAAAAAAAAAAAAAAAGCAAGCAAGCCATTGGGATGTTTACAGTGATTGCATTAAATCTACAGATCACTTTGAGTAGTATGATATCTTAACAATATTAATTTATCCAATCCATGAACATGAGATGTCTTTCCATTTATTTGTGTCTGTAACTTCTTCCAGCAACATTTTGTAGTTTTGAATATATAAGTCTTTCACCTCCTTGGTTAAGTTTATGCCTAATTATTTTATTCTTTTTGATATTATTGTAAATGAGATTTTCTAAATTTCCTTTTCTGATTATTCATTGTTAGTATACGGAAATAAAATAGATTTTGGTTTGTTGATTTTTGTATCCTGCAACTTTCTTTTTGCTTATTAGTTCTAACAGTTTTGTGAGGTTTCCACATATATTTCATGTGTGAACAGAGAGATAAACTTACATCTTCCTTTCCAATGTGGATGCCTTTTATTTCTTGTTCTTGCTTAATTGTTTTGGCTAGGAATTCCAGTCCTGTGTTGAATGCTTATTTTTAAATTGAAGTGTATGTCCTTTTATTTTTGAGTTGTAAGAATTCTTTACCTATTCTGGATGCTATACCATTATCAAATATGTAGTCCTCTCTTATCCTTGGTTTTACTTTCCATGGTTTCAGTTACCTGTGGTCAACCACGGTCCAAAAATGTTAGATGAAAAATTCTAGAAATAAACAATTCATAAGCTTTAAGTTGCAGACCTTTCTGAGTAGCATGATGAAATCTTACGCCATCCTGCTCTAACCTGCCCAGGATATGAATCAACCCTTTGTCCATCTGATCCATACTGTATATGATACCTGCCCATTAGTCACTTGGTAACCATCAGATTGACTGTCACGGTATTGCAGTTCTAATGTTCAAATAACCCTTATTTTACTTAATAATGGCCCCAGAACATAGGAGCAGCAATGTTGGCAGTTCTGCTATGCCAAAGAGAAGCCCTAAAGTGCTTCATTTAAGTGAAATGATGAAAAGTATCCAACTTAATTTTAAAAAACGAGAACATATCATATGCTAATGCTGCTAAGGCCTATAGTAAGAACAAATCTTCTATCTTTGAAATTGTGAACAATATATTGTTATAATTGTTCTATTTTACTATTGTTGTTGTTAATCTCATACTGTGCCTAATTTATAAACTAAACTTTATCACAGGTGTGCGTGTATAAGAAAACATGGTGTAATAGGGGTCAGTACTATCTGTGGTTTCAGGCCTCCACTGGGGTTCTTGGAACATATTCCCCAAAGATAAGGGGAGACTGCTTTTTGTAATTTGCCACTATTTTTTCTGATTCTGTAGGTTATTTTCACCTTCTTGATAATGTGCTGTGATGCACAAAAGTTTTTAATTTTTATCAAATCCAATTTATCTGTTTTTCCTTTCTCCCTTGTGCATTTGATGTCATATTTAAGAAATTAGTGCCAAATTGAAGGTCATGAAGATGTACCCCTATGTTTTCTTCTAAAGTTGTATTGTTTTAGCTCTTCTATTTAGATCTTTGATCCATTTTAATTTTTGTATATTGGGTGAAGATAGTGGTCCAGCATTATTCTTTTTGCATGTGGATATCCAGCTGTCCCAGCACCATTTGTTGAATTGCCTCTTATTTCCCTGTTGAATTATCATGGCACAGTTGTTGAAGATCAATTGACCAGAAATGTACAGGTTGACTTATGGACTCACAATTCTATTCCACTGATTTATATGTCTATCCTTTGCTACCTTTTGTGGTTTTTCTACAGTTCTCTGAAACTCTGTCCCTTTTTTCCCAGTCTTTTCTGTCTGTTATCCAGCTTGGATAATTCTATTAATCTATCTTCAAGTTTACTGACTCTTTCCTCTGGCATTTCCACTGCATTCTCACTTTTAATCTAGAGTTTAAAATTTTTGGTTGTTATATTTTTCAGTTGTAAAATTTACATTTGCTTCTTTTTATCTTCTATTTCTTATATGATACTTTTTCTTTTTAAATATTTGTTGCAACATTTTTGTGACTGATAGCTTGAGCATTTTCATAATGGCAGCTTTTAAAGTCTTGTCAGATATTTCCAACATAAGTGTCATCTTGCCTTTTGTATCTGTTGATTATCTTCTCCCATACAAGATGAGATTTCTGTGGTTCTTAATATGTTAAATAACTTTGGTTTATGTCCTGGTTATTTTGGATATTAAGTTATGAGACTTTGGATCTTGTTTATATCCCCACTTCTGTGGTATTTTGAGTTTTGGGGCCCTTCTCCAATCTGCCTGTTATTTACATTCCAGAGTTCACAAATAGCTAGGCTTGGCATTCTTTCCAGAGTATATAGTTGAGTTCAGTGAGATATAGGGGCAGCATGTGTTGATTTCATCTTATGAAATATTTCTAAATAACACCTACATCAAAGTAAATCACAAGGGTAATAATATCACAAGGGAAATACTTTGAACTGAAGGATAGTAAATAAAAATTATGGATGTACCCAAAGCAGTGCTTAAAGGGACATTTATGGCTCTTTTGAAAAGACTGATATCATTAATAAACCCCCACCAAGACTGATCAAGGTAAAAACAGAGAACACAAAAATTACTAATGTAAGGAATGAAAAAAGAGAAATCACTTCGGATCCTACAAACTTTAAAAGAATAATAAGAAGATATTGTGAACAATGTAAACTAAAGTTCTAGGATAAATTCCTAGAAAAGCACAACTTGCCAAAACTAAAACGATACAGAAAATCAGAATAATCCTACATATTTTAAAGAAACTGAACCTATAATTTAAAACTTTACACAAAGAAAACTCCACACTGACATTGCTAATCTGTTACATTCTATCAAACATTTAAAGAAAAAACCCAAACTTACACAAACCATTTCAGAAAATCGAGATATGGGAACATTTTCTACTTTGTACTATGCAGCCAGCAAAACCATGATATCAAAATCTAGCAAAGGTGTTTAAAGAAAAGAAAATTATGGATCAATCTTATTTATGAAAAAGATATATAATTCCTAAAAAGATTAGCCTAGTGAATACACTAAAGAGATAATATACAGTGACTAAGGAATGCAAAGCTGGGTTAAGATTCAGAAATCAGTTCATGCGACTTACCACATTAAGGCAAATAATCATATGATTATCTTAATAAATGCAGAAGGAGCATTTGATAAAATTCAACATTCAATCATAAAAAAGAGGCTTAGAATACTAGAAATACAAGGGAACTTCCTTAATATGATAGAGGCTAACTACAGAAAAGCTAAATTAAACACCAGAGATAATTGGGAAATTTTAAAGCATTCTCTTTTACATTTTATTCATAAATTTTACTGGAAGACTGAGACAGTATAATAAGGCATGAAAGAGAAATAAAAAGGTGTAAAGATTGGAAAGGGTGAAATTAAATTGCCCTTGTTTATGGAAGACATGACTGTTTACATAGAAAATCCCAAGGAAATAAAATCTGCAGATAAATCATTAGGATTAATAAGTACATTTATATCCATAAGGCTGCTGGATATAAAGCCAATATACATATATCAATTTGCTATCTAAATAACCGGTACCAACTGGAAAATTATGAAAAGATACCAATTACAATAACATAAAACACCAAATTCCCAAGAATAATTTAAATGAAAGATGTGTGCAATCTTTTCAGATGTTTCACAGAAAAATACAAAAGATAGAGAAATTAAAATCTAAATAAATGGAGGGATACATCAAATTGATGAATGGATTCAATTCTATCCCAGTCAAATTTCAGCTGACATGTTTCAGCAAGTTTTCTTGTGGAAATCAACAAACCGATTTTAAAATTTATATGGGGCTACAAAGGGCGAAGAATAGCCAAGACAGTCTTGAAGAATAACAACAAAGGGGAGAACTAATGTTACCGCATATCATCAAGACTTATTATAAAGCTACAGCAACTAAGTGTGTTACTGACACAAGGATAGACACATAGACAAAACAGAATTCGCCTAGAGTCCAGAAACATAATCATATATATAGGGACGACTGATTTAAGGCAAAGTGGCAAGGCAGCAATAAATGGTGCCAGGTCAATTGGATACACACGTGGGAAAAAGGGAATGTCAACTCACATCCCACATCATATCCTAAAGTTAACACTAAGTAGATTGTAGATTTAAGCACGAATGGTGAAATAATAAAGCATCTCTTCCAGATAGGGAAAGATGTCTTAAATAGTGTAGGACACTAAAAAGCACTAGATCGAAAAGATAAAAAGATAATTTGGACTATTATATTAAATAAACAACTTAGGCTCATCAAATGATACCATTAAGATAGTGAAAACCAGGTCAGGGTGAGAGAGTAGATACTTGGAATAGGTATAGCTGACAGCTTGTATCCAGAACATACTGGAATTCTTTTGAAGTACTAAGAAAGTTAAAGAAAAATGAATATGACTTATACATGAGGGGATATCCAAAAAGCCTATAAACATTTGAAAAGGTGTTCAACCTAATTAGTCACTGGGGAAATCCAAATTAAAACCACAATAAGATACTACTGCACACTCACCAGAACTGCAAAAAATGAAAAAGTCAGAAAATACTAATTGTCAGTGAAGCTGTTAAGCTGTGAAAACCTTCATACACTGTTGGCAAGGATGTGAATTTGGAAACTATTCTACTAAAGTGATAACCCAGCAATTCCACTTCTGTGTACATACTGAAAAGATATGCATTCACATGGGCAAAAAGAGGCTTATGTAAGGATTATTTTCATAGCAGCTTTATTCATAAGAGCCCCAAATTGGAAACAACCCAAATGCCTAACAATAGAACATATAAGTAAATTGTGGTAATTTCCAACAATGAAATATTACACAGCAATAAAAAAGAACTACCATAACAGAGTGAAAGAAGCCATACACAAAGTTGTACTTACCGTATTTTCCCATTTATATAAAATTCAAAAACAGACAAAATTAATCTGTGTTGTTAGAGATTAGGATAATGGTTACCTTTGGGAAAAAAACAAGGGCATAACAATTGAGAGGAGTCACAAAGGAGGCTTCTGGAGGGCTGGTAAGGTTCTATTTCTTGATATGTAGTACAGTTTCACAGGCGTTCACCTTGTAAAAATTCATGGAGCTGATCTGGGTTGTGGTTGCATAGGTGTTTTCATTTTGTGAAAATTGATTGAGCTGGACACTTGTAATTTGTGTACTTTTCTGTATGTTACACTTCAATTGAAAAGCTAAGACCAACCAACCAAACTAAGTTTATGACAAAGAAGCTCTAGAGTATGCTAGAGCTCACAGGTCAGAATGTATGCATTAAAATAGTAGTTTTGAAATCTACAGCTGAAGGGACACTAAACAAATATTTACTGAACACCATGGGAACAGTAATAAAAAAGCATACCTTCTTTCAAGGATCTTACAATGTTAGTGGAAAAACAAAATATTAAAATATAATGTTATAAGTATTACAAAAAGGAAGTATATGATTTTATTAAGTTTCCAGGAGGAATGCTTAACTGGGATGGTATTGGGGGTTGAGAATTATCAGAGAAGGATTCCTAAATTTGATCTTCATCTTCAAAAATGACTAGACATTGGCCAGGTGGTATAAGGAAAAAGGAAACTGTAGGCAGAGTGAGCATATGACAGAGAGAGAACATGGCTGGAGAAATAAGCAAACCATGAAGGGCTGCAGGTTTGGGGCTTTATTCTGAGGGCATTAGGGAGCAGGATCATTTTAGAATAGCTACACCATGATACCAAATTGAAAGGAAGTAAAATGGGTGAGTGCTAAAATTAAAGAACTTTTAAAAAAAAAAATAAATAAAAATACTACTTAGCATCTATGGGATATATTTAAAGCAAAGATCAGTGGAAAATTCACAGCCTTAAGCATTTATATCAATAATAATGAAAGACAAAAAATATACTCATTAAATTCCAAACTCCAAATGCTAAGATAAGCACAACAAAATGACCAAAATGAAACATAAGGAAGGAAATAATAAACATAAAAGAAAAAGTAGTAAGGTTGGGAATAGAAAAAAAATAACTAAATAAAAATCAGTGTTTCAAGGAAAAATAACAAAATTGACACACCACTGGCTAACATAACCAAGGGAAAAAAGAAATAGCACAAATATACAAAATATGAAATGACAAGGGGGAGATAACTATTGAAATACAAGAGATTTAAAATATGACAGACTATCTGGCAGAGAGATCTCTGTGTAAATAAATTTGCAAACCATAAAAAATGAATAATTTCTTAGGAAACTGTACCAAAATTGACCCCATTACAGAAAGAAAGCATAAACAGATAAATTCCCAGAGGAGAAACACAAAAAGGCCTAGTTGATTTCATAGAGGAATTGTCAAAGAACTGATTGTCTCACTGCTACTTACATTTCTGTCACAGCCTAGACAGTGAAAGAAAACTCCAAACAATTCTTCTGAAGCAAGTGTAATATATATACCTAAACCTGATAAAGACAGTACAAAAAAAGAATATTTCTGATAGCACTTATGATTTTTCCTGAATACAGAATCTTTCTTAATGAAGAAATGCTACAGGAATTTCCATAAGGATCAGAAACAAAACAAGATCATCTACTATTTCCACTACTATTTAATGTTCTAAAGAAGATATTAGGCAATGCAGTTATATTTAAGGAATCAATTAGAGGTTTAGGAATTGGGAAATAAGTAAAAGTATTTGCAGATGGAGTGTGATACTTATCTGGAAAGCTCTAGAGAAATAAAGGTATAATTAACTCAAAGAACAAAAGAATTCAGGAAGATAAAAATTTACATACAGAAATAGTAGCCTTCAAATATACAAGCAAAAAACAGAGGATGTAATAGAAAAAAAACATTAACAAAGCAAAAAAGAAGTTAAATGCTTAAGAATAAATTTCAGTATGACATATACAAAACCTATATGAGAAAAACAACACTCCCGAAAGACACAAAAGTAGACTACAGCAAGTGGAAAGACAGCCAGTGCTCTTGGATAGGATGATGCAACATCACAGATTAATTTATAAATTTAACACAATCTCAATAGAAATATCAAAAAGTTTTTATCTGGAGCTAGACAAGTTGATAGTAAGGTTCACATGAAAAACCAAACATGTAAGAATAGTCAGGGTCTTGGATGGGCGTGGTGGCTCAAGCCTGGGCTCACACCTGTAATCCCAGCACTTTGGGAGGTTGGGAGTTCGAGACCAGCTTGGGCAACATGGTGAAACCCTGTCTCCACTAAAAATACAAAAATTAGCCAGGTGTGATGGCACGTGCCTGTAATCCCTGCTACTCAGGAGTCTGAGACAGGAGAACAGCTTGATCCCGGGAGGCAGAGGCTGCTGTGAGCCAAGATCGCACCACTGCACTCCAGCCTGGACAACTGGGCGAGACTCCGTCTCAAAACAAAACAAAACAAAAAGAATAGTCAGGGAAACACTGAGAAAAGAAAAGCTACAATGGAGACTAGCCCTATGGATAATAAAACATACAATAAAGCCACCATAATTTATGTGATGGTAACTAAATGGACAGACAGAATAAAAAGAAAGAGATCCAAGTGAATAGGGAGCTTTCATATATGGTAAAAGGTGGCATGTAAAATTGCTGACATGAAGATAAGCTTTTTTTTAATTATTATTTTCCCTCACTCTGTCGCCCAGGCTGGAGGGCAGTGGCACAATCTCGGCTCACTGCAACCTCCGCCTCCCGGGTTCAAGCAATTCTCCTGCCTCAGCCTCCCGAGTAGCTGGGATTACAGGCATGCGCCACCACACTTGGCTAATTTTTGTATTTTTAGTAGAGATGGGGTTTCACCATGTTGGGCAGGCTGTTCTCGAACTCCTGACCTCAAGTGATCCACGCGCCTCGGCCTCCCAAAGTGCTGGGATTACAGACATGAGCCACTGTGCCCACCTAACACAAACTTTTTAAACAATGGTTTTGTAACAGGTAGATTGCCATTTAGAAAGAGATAAAATTAGATTCATATCTTAGTCTATACAAAATTAACTCTATATAGTTCTGACTTTTGACTTTTTGAACCATGTTGATGTTTCATATACTCTAAAAGGGAAAAAAGTATGAGTTAAAAAAAATCCTAAAATGGAAAACAAGCAAACAAGAAAAAGCTGTCTTTCAAATAAATCATATAACCACACTGAAGTGGTCAGGGGGAAAATAGACTGAACCCAGCTAAGTATTTTGAGTATACACTCTTAGGCATATGTCCAAACTCATCAAAATGTGTACATTAAATATGTGCAATTCTGCATGTTAATTATACCTCAATAAAGCTTAATAAAAAGAACTGTGAATATGAAAAAGGAGAATGCTAGGATGAACCTTAAAGTATGGAAATAGAATTGGAGTTATCAGGTTGAACTCAGAGGTAAACTGGAGAAAGTTTCCCAGCTGAAGCACAAGGAGAACCCCCAGGTAGGGCTTGGCAGATGCCGAGTTGAGAAAATGGAGCTGAGACTCTGGGAAGGCCAAGATAGCTTGTGTTTGCAAAGTAAAGTACCGTAGAGGAAAGAGCTGCATAGGAAGAGAAACAACATGTCCAGACCCTCCAGTGAACTCCAAAGTATGCACAGGGGCAGGAATAGCATCTATTTTCAACAGTCCGAATGGAAAATCTCATAATATTGGAAGCATCAGAGTATTAAAAAGGGTCTTGCCTCAGTAGTGGGGAAAAAATGAACCTTATATTAAACACTGCTTTGTTTCTGCCTAACAAAGCTTAAAAGCAAGATCCAAAGGGATAGGAATGTTTCCTAATAATTTTAACAGTATCTTGAAACAAAACTCAAGAATATTTTTAGGAATACAAATATATCTAGTACCCAATAAGGTAAAATTCACAGTGTCTGCATCCAATCAAAAATTATCAGGCATGAAAAGCAGCAGAAGAGTCCAACCTATAAGGAGAGGAAATGAATTGGAATTGGCCCAGAATGATGCTGATTTAGTGACAAAATTGGAGGACAAAAACATTAAAATGAATATTATAACTATTTTGTATGTTCAAGAAGCTAGAAGATTAAACATGTTAAGTATAGAAAAGAAAAAATTTAAAAGATCCAAATGAGACTTTTAGACTGCACTCCAGCCTAGGTGACAGAGCGTGACCCTGTCTCTAAAAAAATAAATAAATAAAAATTAAAACATACAGTGGACAGGATTAATGGTAAATTTAACATTGCAGAAAGAAAGATGAGTAAACTAGAAGACAGCAATAGAAACTATACAGAACAAATCACAGATAGAAAAAAAAAAGACTGAAAAACAATGAACAGAGCATCAGTGAACTGTGAGGTAACATTAAGTGGCCAAATATATGGTTAGTTGAAACACCTAAAGGAGAGGAGAAAGTGGGACATAAAAAACTAGTGGAAATAATGTCTGAAGTTTTTGTAAATTTGATGAAAAAAAATACATAAATCCACAGATCCAAGCAGCTCAATGAAACCCAAGCACAGGAAACAATTACACCATGATACACTTATACTCAAATGGTTTAAAGCCAGTGATAAAAACAAAATCTTAAAAGAAGCCTTAAAAAAGGACACATTAAGTAGAGTAGACAAAGGTAAAAATGTCAGCCACTTTCTTGTTGAACAGCGGAGAAATATCTTTATAGTTCTGAATGTAAAAAAGGCAACCTAGAGTTCTTTACCCATCGAAAATATCTTTCAAAAAATGAAGGCAAAGACTTTTTTCAGATATATCAAAGTCAAAAGAATATAGCACCGGCAGAGCTACACTACAAGACACATTAAAGGATGTTCTTCAAGAAGAGAGAAAATGATACCAGATGTAAACAAAGAAACTAAGAGCACTAGAAATGACTAACCATATGGTTAAATACAAAGACTTTTCTTATTTAAATTTCTTGAAAAGATAATAAACTGTTTAAATAAAACTTATACATACAAGTAAAATGTATGACCACAATGGCACAAAGGCCAGGAGGCGAGAAATGAAAGTATGATGTTGCAAGATTCTTATACTACGTATGAACTAGTAAAATATCACTCGAAGACAGACTGTGATACGTAAAAGATGTATACTATAAACTAGTGGTTTTCAACCAGGGGTAATTTTTCCCTGCAGAAAACATTTGGCTGTGTCTGGAGATGTTTCTGATTATGACAACACACACACACGCACACACACACACACAAAAACTATGTGACCCAAAATGTCAATAGTGCCAATGTTGACAGACCCTGTGAAAAACCCTAAAGCAACCACTGAAATAACAAAAGACTACAGCTAATTAGTCTATAAAGGAGATAACCATTTGACAAAATACAACATCTGTTTTTGTTGAAAACATTTTCTTATCAATCCAGGAATTGAAGAAACTTCCTCAAACTGATTAAAGGAATCTATGAAAAATCTTCAGGTAACATCATACTTAATGGTGAAAGAGTAAATGATTTCTCCAAAGATTAGGAACAAAGTTACCATGACCGCTCTTACCAGCTGTATTCAACAGCTTATTAGAGGTTCTAACAACGCAATAAGGCAAAAAAATAAATAAATAAACAGAAGGCATCCACATTGGAAAGAAACAAGTGAAACTGCCTTTAATCACAGATGACATAATCGCCTGTAGATAATCCAATGGACCCTTCAAAAAAGCTATTAAAAGTAATTGAATTTAGCAAGGTTGTAGGATATTAACTCAATATACAAAAATGAATTGTACTTTTATATAGTAGCAATGAATAGGAAATTGAAATTAATACAATCACATTTACAATAATATAAATACATGAAATGTATAGGGATAAATATGACAAAAGATATGGAAGACCTGTATATTGAAAACCACAAACCATTACTGAGATAATTAAAGACCTAAATAAATGGAGAGATATACCATGTCCATACTTTGGAAGACTACTGTATGTTCAGCCAGTGTGATCCTAGGTATTTCCCCAAGGAAAGGAAAGGCATATATCCACACCAAGACCTATATACAAATGTTCTAAGCAGCTTTATTTGTAATAGACAAAAACTATAAATAACTCAAATATCCATCAACAGGTGAATGGATAAACATATTGTGGTAATATTTATACAATTTAATATTATTCTGTAATAAAAAGGACAGACTATTGATACATGCTGTGACATGGCTGAATCTCAGAATAATTACGATGTATGAAAAGAGACAGACAAAAAAGTACATACTCTATGATTCCATATACAAAAAAATCTAGAAAATGAAGACCAATCTGTACTAATAGTAGATCAGGGTTTTCTGTGGTTAGAGAAGTGATAGGGCATGATGGAAGAAAAGAATTACAAAGAACCAAGGCTCCTTGGAGAAATAATGAATCCAGGCTGGGTAGAGGAAAGAATGAGACAAACCTGGAACATCTACTTGTGCTAGAAAATCAAAGAAAGATGGGAGTAGGTCAAAATAACACAGGAAAAGCTTCCACTAGCCAATTCTGAAACACTGGGTGCCTCAAAATAACTAATGATAGTAATGGATTAAAACTCATTGAATAAAATAAGGATCCAGGTGTTCACATTAATATAAATAAATAAATGAACAAATAATCAAATTGGCAGAAGAGAAAACTCTTTCTTAGAGAAGAATACCAACTAGTAAATGTTGAAGGAATGATGGAATTAGAACATTGCCATGTGACAAACATCTTAGTAATAAGTAATTTAGGAAATACTAATTGATGAATGCTAAAACTCCCCACAAGATACAGTCATCCCTTCGTAGCTGTTGGGGATTGGTTCCAGGACCTCCCACAGACACTGAAATCCATAGATGTTCAAGTCCCTGATATAAAAGGGTGCAGTATTTGCATATAACCTCATCCTCCTGTATACTTTAAATTCCCTCTAGATGACTTATCATCTCTAGATTATTTATAATACCTCATACAGGCTGGGTGCACTGGTGCATGCCTGTAGTCCCAGTACTTTGGGAGGCTGAGATGGGCAGATCGCTTGAGCCCGGGAGTTTGAGACCAGCCTGGGCAACATGGCGAAACCCCACCTCTATAAAAAATACAAAAAAGAAAATAGCCAAGCCTGGTGGCACATGCCTGTAGTCCCAGCTACTTGGGAGGGTGACGAGGGAGGATCCCTTGAGCCTTGGAGGTCAAGGCTGCTGTGAGCCGTGATCACACCACTGCATTGCAGCCTGGGTGACAAGGCAAGACCCTGTCTCAAAAAAAAAAAAAATTATTATACTGTATTGTGTAAGGAATAATGACTAGAAAAAAGTCTGTACATGTTCACCCTGTATGCAGTTTTTTTCCAAATATTTTTGATCCAGGGTTGGTTGAATCAATGGAAACAGAATCCATGAATGTGGAGGGCCAACTGTTTATTAATATCAAAGGGAATAATTAACTTTACAGTGGAAAAACATATCAGGCACTACCTGAAGCACATGGTCAAAGTTAAAATCACCAGTAATGGAACAAATTGACATGTGCCTCCTGATACAAATCACCAAAAGAACCAACATAACTTCAGTGGCATTATTGCGAAAAGTGCATAATCTACATCTAATCATGATAAAACATGAACAAATCCAAAATGAAGGACATTTTCCAAAATAACTGCCCTTTAGTAGTCTTCAAAAATGTTTAGGTCACAAAAGACATAAGAACTGTTTCAAGCCAAAGGAAACTAAACAGCCAAGACAATTACGTGCAATGTGTGAACTTGGACTGCATCCAGGACCAGACTAAAGGTTTTTTCTTCTGTTATATGGATGTAATTAGAAAAATTGGTGATGACATTTGAATACTATCTATGGATTAGATAATAATGCTGTAAGGATTTTAATTTCCTGATACGGATAATGATATTCTGGTTATGTAAGAGAATGTCGTCGTTCTTTCAGAAATGCCTACTGAAGAGGTATCATGTGTGCAACTTACTGTCAAATGGTACAGGAAAAATATCCATACAATAAAGAAAAAAAATGACAATAGAAATGTGACAAAATACCAACATTTGGGGAATCTGGGTGAGGGGTATACAGGAATCCTTAATACTATTCTTACAACTTTACTGTAAATCTAATATTATTTCAAAACGGAATATTAAAAAACATCGAGTAATAACCTTAAAAATTGATTTAGTAAGGACAATTCCTAAAACAGAAAAATCAGACACCAGAAAACTCAATGAGTGCAAGTGACAGGAAGGGGAAAAAATTAAAAGCATAGCAAACAGAAGGCAAAACATAATGGCAGAAATACTGCCACATATGTCAGCAATGGTAATAAAATGAATGTATGACATTCACCTATTAAGAGACGAATGTCCTGATTGCTTAAAACCAAAAAACTCAAGATCTTGCTATATTTTATAAGAGGCATACCTAAAACAAAATAACTGAGGAAGGTCAAAAATAAAAGAGTGGAAAAAGTTATAATAGGCAAACAAATGCTAACAAGAACTATAATACATAACGGGCAGTGGCAGAGATTGCTGGCTGCCTATTCCAAATGCGCATTCTCACTTTCCTCCTTGATAACAGAATGTCCATTTTTAGCAAAGACAGAGCTACTTGAAGTAAAAGACTAGATTTCCTAGTCTCCTTGGCAGCTTAGGTATGGCCACTTGACTGAGTTCTGCCAGTGAGATGGAAGTGGAATTGTTTTCTGGGACTTCTGGGAAGGTCACTTATTGGAAATCAGTTGAGCTGGGGGACAGGCCCCTTTTTGCCCTCCTACCTTTCCTCTTCCTTCTGGCCCTCAATGGAGATGTGCTGGCTGGAGCTCCAGAAGTCTCGTGGACCATGAAGGGACCTTAGGATGGAAACCACACACCAAGATGGTGAAGCAAAATAGAGGAGTCTGGGTCCCTGATGACACTGCAGAGCCCTGAGACCTGATATCCATCTCCAGACTTCTTTTACCACAAAAAAAAAAAAAAAACATTTCTAATTTTATTTCTTATTTAAATTTTTTTTTCTAATATATGCTGCTGAACCTAATCCTGACGGGAACAATAATATTATTTAGAGAGAAAGAATTCAAGGCATAAATAAAAAATAAATAGGACAAAGAGGACTATTTCATATTGTGTGAAGGAAAAACACAGAGAAGTTTAATAGTTATGACCTGTAAATATTCTGCACTAAAACAAACAAACAAACAAAAAACAGCTTCAAAGGATATAAAGCTAACTCTGACTAAAATATGAAAGTGGACAAATAATTTAGTTGGGATGGGAAGTTTATACATACACATCTCTCTCAGATATCAATAATCAAAACCACAATGAAGGATATAAGGATTGGTATAACACAACTTAAGCTTATTCTGACGGGGATATAAGGAACTTGTACCCAAGAGAAAATATACATACTTTCAACCCAAATGAAAAAGCTGTGAAAATTGACTATGTTTTAAGTCAGGGATCAGCAAACTCTTGAAGTAAAGACATATTTTAAGCTGTGTGGGCCACAGGGTCTCTATTACAACAGTCAGCTCTACAATCATAGCTGGAAAGGGGTCATAGACAATATGTAAATAAATGGATGTGGCTATATTCCAATAAAACGTGATTTACAAATGTAGGCCCCAGGCCAACCTGGCCTACAAGCTATAGTTTGTGGACCCCTGTTCTAGGTAACAGAGGAAATATTTTAAAAATCCGTAAGGCTGATACCACACAGGCCACAATCAGTTACCATAATGTAGTGTTAAAAATTAACATACTAGTCCCTCCCTCAAGTCTAAACAACTGGAAATTTCAAAATTTTAAATTTTTAAATGCACTTCTAAATAACCCTTGGGTTGAAGAGAAAATAAAAATGGAAAGTACAAATTATTTACAAGTAAACAAACAAAAAACATCAGAACTGCCTTACTATATATACATCAAAACCTGTGGGCCCAGAGTGAAGAGGAAAATTTATGACCTCAAATGTATTTATTAGAAAACTAGGAAGACAGAAAATAAACCTGGTTTTCACCTCAAGAATTTAGAATACAACAATAAAATGCAAAGAAAATAGAATAAATTAATAAAGAGAAATGCAGAATTTTTAAAAAAGGCTAAGAAACTGAGTTGTAAATAATGCTGCTATGAACATGGGTGCACAACTATCTCTTAGAGACCCTGCTTCCTTTTTTTTTGTTTTTGAGACGGAGTCTCACTCTGGCGCCATCTCGGCTCACTGCAAGCTCCGCCTCCCGGGTTCACGCCTTTCTCCTGCCTCAGCCTCCCCAGTAGCTGGGACCACAGGCGTCTGCCACCACGCCCAGCTAATTTTTTGTAGTTTTGGTAGAGATGGGGTTTCACCGTGTTAACCCGGATGGAGAGACCCTGCTTTCAATTCATTTGGGTATATACCAAAAAGTGGAACTGCTGAATCATATGGTAATAATATTCTTGATTTGAGAAACTACCATACCATTTTCCACAGTGGGTGTACCATTTTACATTTCTACCAACAGTGTACAAGGGTTCCAATTTCTCCATGTCTTTGCCAACACTTGTTATTTTCTGGTTTTTTAAAACACCTTTTTGAGATATTGATTTCAATTTTATTGGATATACTCCTGGAAATAGGATTGCTGAATCATATGACAGTTCTATTTTTTGTTTTTTGAGGAGTCTCTATACTGTTTTCTATCTTTGACTTTTTGATAATAGCCATCCTAACTCATTATGGTTTTGATTTGCATTTCTCGGATTAGTGATGCTGAGTACCTTTACGTGTACTTATTGGCCATTTATATGTCTTCTTTGGAAAAATGTCTATTCAGGATCTTTGCCCATTTATAAATTATATTATTTGGGTTTTTCGCTATTGAGCTATATGAGTTCTTTATATATTTTGGATATCAGCCCCTTTATCAGATATATGGGTTGCAAATATTTTTCTCCCCTTCTGTAGGTTGCCTTCTCATTTTGTTCAGTTTCTTTTGCTGTGCAGGCGTTTTAGTTTGATATAGTCCCACCCGTTTCTTTTTTCCTTTGTTGCCTGTGCTTTTGGAGTCGTATTCATAAAATCTTTGCCAAGACCAATGTCAAGCAGTGTTTCCTCTGCTTTCCACTAGTAGTTTTACACTTTCAGGTCTTATGTTTAAGTCTTTAATTCATTTTAACTTGATTTTTGTATATACGTGTGATAAGGATCCACTTCCATTCTTTCGCATGTGGGTATCTTGTTTCCCCAACATCATTTATTGAAGAGACTATCCTTTTCCCATTGAATATTCCTGACATCTTTGTTGACGGTTAGTTGACTGCATAAGCATGGGTTTATTTCTGGGCTCTCTATTGTCCTATTAGTCTATGTGTCTATTTTTATGCCAGTACCATATTGCATTGATTATTATAGCTTTATAATATACTGTGAAATCACATAGTGTGATTTCTCCAGCTTTGTTCTTCTTTCTCAAGATTGCTTTGGCTATTCAGGAACTTTTGTAGTTTCATATGAATTTTATGATTTTATTTCTATCTCTGTGAAAAATGTTATTGGAATTTTGATAGGGATTACACTGGATCTGTAGATGACATTGGGTAGTAGTGTGTGGGAAGTAATGTCTCATTGTGGTTTTTATTTGCATTTCCCTAAAGACTAATGATTTGGGGCAATTTTTCACGTGTTTATTGACCACTTGTATATCTTCCTTGGAAAAACGTCCATTAAAATCCTTTTACACATTTTTTAAAATTTAGGTGAAATTCACATAACATAAAATTAACCATTTTAAAGTGAACAATTCAGCGGCATTTAGTACCTTCACAATATCGTACAACCACCACCTCTATCTGGTTCAAAAACATTTTCATCACGCCAAAATAAAATCCCGTACCTATTAAACAGTTACTCGACATTCTTCCTTCCCACCAGCCCAGGATAACACCAATCTGCTTTCTGTCTCTATGGATTTAGCTATTCTGGATACTTCCTATAAGTGAAATCACACAATATGTGACTTTTTGTGTGGCTTCTTTCACTTATGTTTTCAAATTCTTTCAGATTGTAGCATGCTTCTATACTTTGTTTCTTTTTTATGAATAATATTTGATCGAATGGATATACAGTCATGCATTACTTATTGATGGAGATGCGTCCTGAGAAATGCATCGTTAGGCAACTTCATTGTCATTAAAACATCATACAGTGTACTTATACCAAACAAGATGGTACAGCCTACTACATGCCCAGGCTATATGGTATAGCCTATTGCTCCCATGCTATAAACCTGTACAGCATGTTATCATATGGAATACCATAGGCAGCTGTAACACAATGACAACTATTTGTGTATCTAAACACAGAAAAGGTACAGTAGAAATACAGAATAAAAGACCAAAAAAAAGTACACCTGTATAGGGCACTTACCATGAATGGAGTTTGCAGGACTGGAAGTTGCTCTGGGTGAGCAATTAAGTGAGTGGTGAGGGAATGTTAAGGCCTAAGATATTACTGTACACTACTGGAAACTTTATAACACTGAACACTTAGGCTACACTATATTAAAAATTGTTTCTTTCTTGGCTGGGCACGGTGGCTCATGCCTATAATCCCAGCGCTTTGGGAGGCCGAGGTGGATGAATCACCTTAGGTCAGGAGTTCAAGACCAGCCTGGCCAACATGGTGAAATTCAATCTCTGCTAAAAATACAAAAATTAGCCAGGCATGGTGGTGCACGCCTGTAATCCCAGCTACTCAGGAGGCTGAGGCAGGAGAATCACTTGAACCCGGGAGGTGGAGGTTGCAGTGAGCCTAGATCCTGCCGTTGTACTCCAGTCTGGGTGACAAGAACAAAACTCCATCACAAAAAAATAAATAAATAACAATAAAAACTAAATTTTTTCTTTCTTCAATAATTAACCGTAACTCTTTTACTTTATAAACTTGTTAATATTTTGAATCTGGTAACACTTAGCTTAAAACACACTGTACAGCTATACAAAAATATTCTCATTCTTTATATTCTTATTCTATAAGAATCAACATTACACTCAAAGAAAATGACCATTGGAGCACTGTGGAATTCATATTTTCAGATTAGGGATGCTCAACCAGTAAGTATAATGCAAATATTCTAAAATCTTAAAAAATCTAAAATCTGAAAGTATTTCATATAAAGGATACTCAATCTGTATTTGCTTTAAAGTCTTTATCACACAATTCCTACATGGGTGTCAGCTCAGTGTTGGCATCTGTTAATGTCCTTTTCTATGCAAGTTGAAATTTTCTCAGTTCTTCACATACCAAGTAATTCTGAATTGGATTCCCAGTATTTGGAATATTATGTTGACACGCTGGGTCTTGTTTATATTCTATGGAGAATGTTGTTACTTTTGTAACAATCCACCTAGTTAGGTTCAGGTTCAATTTTCCGCAGCCTTCTGTAGGCAGCGGTTCTAATTTTTCAGAGCCTTTGTAGTGTTCTTTGGATCATACCTGCATGTGCACCACCTAGTGGTCAGTATAGGATCTATGCGGTGGTCTATTGGTTAATTCTGTTCTAAATTATGCTAATTAGGATCAGATCCATGCATACATTGCTCAAGTATTAGCCCAGAAATTTATAAGCAACTTTATGAAGTTGCTTTATCATGTTCCTCCCTTTATGTGATTTCTTGGACCCCTTTTGTTCCTCCTACCAGCAATGAGACTCTAGCTACTCTCTTGTGTTCCTTCATGATTTGGCCTGCGTATACACCAAATGTTTAATAACCAAGCTTTCATTCTTTTATCAAAATAATAATAATAATAATCATTATCATTTGCAGTAACAGCAGCATCAAGAATTCTTCTAATTAATAGTTAATAATGATAACAATAATAATGATAAACTGTCTGGGAGGAAGTATGACAGCAATGGCTAAGACTGGTGTCCCACAGCAAGATATCTCAGGTCTAGAACAGAGTGATACCTGAACAAAAGAGCTGGCTCCCAACCTATTCACCGTAAAGTGAAGCCTCATGTTGACAAGCCAAGGCCACAAATAATGAGCTACCACTTCACTTTTTGTTGCTTTATTCTTAAAAAGGGATAGACAAGGAAGATTTTAAAAATTAAACAAAAAAAAATTATCAGAGGAAACAGGTAACTGTAAAAAACAGAAGGCAATCTAACATTTTCAATATCATATCAATAAAATAAAAAAGGATGCTGTGAAATGGGAGTAACCAGCAAATGTAGAAAAAACTCTTGAAAATTAAAAATATAAAATTGCCAAAATAAAAGAGTTGGAAGATAAAATTTTAAAAAGCCGAAACTAGAACAAAATAAAAGAGACAGAAAATATGAGTAAAAAGAAAGAGTCATTAGGTCAATTTAGGACCTTTAACTTGTGACTGATAGGAGTTCTAGAAAAAGAAAGGGAAAAAAACAGGGAGGAATTATCAAAGAATAGAGAAAAGGATATGATATCTCTGTCCTATTAACTTAGGGGGAAAAGGAAGGAGAGAGCTGTGAGAGAGGAAGCATCACCAGTGTTCTCCTTAATTTATCCAATAGAATCCTGTCTCATGGACTTGAAGTGAGAGATGCATCTCCTTCTGCTAGGACTTCAAGTCCATGAGACAGGATTCTATTGGATAAATTAAGGAGAACACTGACCATGAGAACAAGGACTCCTACACTGACTACCATAACCAGCATGAGACTAGAAAGCCTCCTTTCCTTACAGTGTAGTTTTATTTAAGTCATCTTCCCAATACTTCTGATGCCATCTTAGAGTGAACATGGGGAGTAACGGAAGTAATTGAAGGAATGAGAAGTCATTCCCCAAAGACCAATATAAACTAGAAGAAACTGTTTAAATTATGGAATTGGACTGAGTTACAAATAAGATTTCCTCTCTCCAGGAACTAGGTAGGTTGTGGATTGTTTTATCTGGGAATACAAAACAAACAAACAAAAAACAACAGAGAATTGCCCAGAGCTGAAAGACAAGCACTTTCTGATTGAAGTGTACAGCAGTTTGAATAAAATATCCACATTCTAACTATATCATAGTTAGAAAATCATAGAAAATTTCACATCAAGAATAAAGAGAGATACCTAAAAGCTGTCAGAGAAGGGAAAAAAATGCCCTACAAAGGCTTATCATCAGTAACATTGGATGTTTAAAAACAATGAAACAATGCCTTCAAAGTTATGAGGGGGAAAATTTCCACTTTGAATTCTTTATCTAGTAAGGTTATTAATTAAGAATAAAAACATTTCAGACAAGCAGAACTCAGAAAGTTTAGCTGAAATACACACCATTCTTAGGAAGTTACTAGAGAGTCTTTTCCAGCAAAATGACACAGTGAACCAAGAAAGATAACATAAAATCCAGGTGACAATGGATCCAACCCAGGAGAATAATGAAGGAAAGTCCCAGAATGTCAGCTGTGCAGTAGGCCTAGAGAAGATACCAGATCAGGGTAAGAGGATAGTGGGTTTCAAGGGAGCAATCCTAGGAAAAGCAAGGATTCCAAATATTTTAATATTACTTCTGAGGATGTAGAGCTCTGGGAGATGATAAAGGCAGAAAAATAAGGGGAAAAAGCCACTCAAAACCCCATGTAAAAAACAAAAAGCTATGTAAGAAAGGAAGTGGAATCATAGTACACTACACTGCTTGGTTGTACAGAGAATAATCTTTACATAATAATAACAATATAAACACTTTATTTTCTACTCTCAGAATCAACCATAGACAAAGCACAGAAAATGCAATTATGGTTACAACACAGAACATAGATGCTTACAACTGTGAAAATATAAATGCTTAGGGTAAAACTACAAGTAACAGCAGGGAGCCAAAAAATATTGTCTACTGTCAATTGTTAATAGAATAAATAAGCAAACTTTAAGATTAGAAAAGTAACCAACAGAACAAAAAATAGTAACATAACTACATTGAGGAGAATGGAGATGGGGTAGTATAAGTGAGCTAAATCCTCATTTGTGAGAGCAATATAACACAATAATAAATAAGAATAGAAAATATCCAAAACTGGTAAATCAAGAAAGAACATCATAAGTATATTATTTAGAGATATCAAAGTAACAGAAGAACTAAAAGGAAAATAAGGAGAAAGAAGTGGTTCCATTTGAGGAGTGAAACTATTTATTATAAGCCCTTCTGTACCACTCAATATTTTCATGCATATGCATGCATTAGTGTGGTGAAAATTTTAAAAATTAATTTTTCTTGACTAGGTATTTATCTATTTCTCTTCTACATCTTTACACAAATCATAGCTTACTGTTCTTCTACCCTGCATTTCCATTTAACAAAATATCTTGGAGATATTTGTGTATTACTACCAAGCTTCCTTGCTTTTTTTTTTTTTAACGGCTGCATTTTATTCCATTATATGAATGTATTATAATTTATTTAATCAGTTCTGTACTGATGAGCATCTGTTTCCCAATTCTTTGACATTTCAAACAATGCTATAATAATAAATTGATAAATATGACAAGAAAAAAGGCAATACAGTATTTGCTTCTATCTCCCAATTAGACAATGAATGAACATGGCATATAGTAGGTACTCAATTAAGATTTGCTAGTGGCCGGGTGCAGTGGCTGACACCTGTAATCCCAGTATTTTAGGAGGCCGAGGCAGGCGGATCACCTGAGGTCAGGAGTTTGAGACCATCCTGGCCAACATGGTGAAACCCCATCTCTATTAAAAATACAAAAATTAGCTGCGCGTGGTGGTACATGCCTGTAGTCCCAGCTATTCAGGAGGCTGAGGCAGGAGAAATGCATGAACCCGGGAGGTGGAGGTTACACTGAGCCAAGATTACACCACTGCACTCCAGCCTGGGTGACACAGTGAGACTCTGTCTCAAAAAAAAAAAAAGATTTGCTAATTTAGATTGAATTGGATTTCAATAAGGAAATGGATCTATGCAAACATTTAAATCAAGTTTATGACACAGCAAAGACAAGAATCTATACAAATCTAGTACTCTGCATGTTCAGTCTTTGATTTATGATTTACCAGAGAAAGGAAAAATAGCAGCTCAGTTAGGATAAGTGTACAAAAGGAAATGTCAGGCAGGACTGTGGTGATGTAATTACAGTGAAGAGACTGCTCATATGACCCTAGCTTCCTAGGTCCCCAGTATCCAAGCTGCTAAAGAGATTCTAACTCATCGTAGAGCTGTAAATGAGTATAAATAAAAATGCAGTGTCTTAGTGTCTTACCAGTGAAAGGAATAAAATGAAACAAAACAATAAATTCTCTGAATTGGAGATTAGCCCTCCAATACACACATAAGTCTCTCTCATACTTACTCTGAACTCTTTTGGGCCTGTATGGATTGGAAGCAAGTGTAGAGTACCCGGCCAGTCTATCAAAGGAAAAAAGAAAGAAAGAAATATCACACAAAGAAAGATTAATATTGAAAAAGACCCCAAAGGTCCCTCTAGAAGCAGAATGTTAAAAGAGATACCAAAGATGGAATATGCCATAAATTAATTTCTATAAAAAGGATCATATGCTCAGTCAACATAAGATGGTCACAACCAAACATCTGCTCATGTAACAGCAGGGAATTGTTAACAAACACAAGAACCAGGAACCTAAGAACCTGAACATTCAAACTGCCATCCTGAAAGCTGACAAACTTATTCAACAACTACTTATGATGACAATAAATAAATAAACGCATGATGACAAGGTTGAAAGCATTTCAAATGATGTATAAAGTTCAAGGTACTGAACTTTAGTGTTTCTGGAAAACTGATTTTATGGAAAATATTCATTATTAACACAGATTCTGAGAATATAACTAATGCACTAAATAAGACACTATTGGTATTCTTAGCAGAATTCATACCTACAATGTTAAGTAGTAATTTTCTTTTTGTTTGAACTGACACATATTATAACCTCTTGACATGAACATAAAATTCAAACAGAATCCAAATAAAGAATGGCAAGACTGGCCACTGATCAAACTGTTTAACCTCTGTGAGCTTCAGTTTGTTCATTCATAAAATGGGAATAATACTCCTTCTGGGTTTTTGTCAGGGTTACAGCATATTTACGTAAAGCACCTAATAAGTACATGCCATACAATAGGTGATAAATGGTAGTTGTTACTATTAGTAGCCATCAAACTATATTCAGCATCCAACCACTTCTCATTATCTTCACTCTTACCTCCATGACCAAACCTCCATCATCTCTTGTCTAGATTACAGCAATATCTTCCTAACAGGTTTCACTGATGCCACGGATTCCACCCACACCCTCTGCCCACTGTTCAGTCTACACAGAAGCCAGAGAGATCCCATTAAAACATAAAGTCATCCTCCAGTGACTTCCCAACTCAGAGTCAAATCCAAGGCCTTACAAGATCTGGACCTTGTTTAGGACAACTAAATGAGTTATCATTCAAACTGGGACACTTCCAAGAGGGAAGGTCACTAGGATAATAGGGTAAAACTGGGACTGACAGAGGCAAACTGGCATGTATGGTCATGGTCTTCCTCACTCTGCTGCAGCCACACCAACTTCCTTGATGTTTCCTGAACATGCCACACTCACCTTAGGGTCTTTGGACTGGCTATTTCCTCTGCCTGGAACGTTCTTTCCCCAAGAAATCCACAAGACTTGTTCCCTCACCTTCTTCAGGTCCTGACTCAATGACCCTTTTCCTTGAAACCTTTCCTGACCATCCTATTAAAATCGCAAAGAGATTTTTCTCTACTCTGTGTGTAGACACACACACAGACCCTACACACACACACACACACACACACATGCACACACAATACCTTTGTGTTCTTATCTTCTATGAAACAGGAAAAAATAAGTCCTACAAAGCCTTGATCCATCATCTGGTACATGGCTTGTGTGCGAACATCTGAAAATAAATGAAAATTTAAAAATCTTCTGTCAATAAGCTGTGTCTCACAGCTTATTGATTTAAAGATTGACTTAAAGATTTAAAGATAACAGCAACATATAATCTTCCTAGGATTCAGATTGTACAGGCAAAACAGGAATATATCCTAAGGACAATATCAAAGTAAAAATGTTTTGCTAGGTTAGGGTAATACTATCGAAAGTCTGCCATTAAATAATAAAACTTATTAATAACTCTAGCCTGCCTAGCCCAAGAGTAGCTCTGCTATGGAATGTGGTAATAGAAAGAGAAATTAAAAAGGAGAGAAAGTATTTCCTAGAAAAAGCCTTTTGATGGACAGCTTCTAGGAAAGTGAACATATTTATTAGGCTTGCTACTAAAGAATAGAAGTGTGGAACAATTACAGAGGAAAATCTTACAGGAAGCCATTGTATGGAAGTGGTTGTGATATAAATTCAACATTCCAGAGAGTAGAAACCCCTCCTATATGGTTACTTGATTTTTTTCTTAATTCTGCTTGATATGGTTACTGAACTTTTGAAAAGAGATAATAAACAGGCACCAAATAACAACATTAGAAAGGATTAAAATATTAAATGCCAAAAACGGCCAGGCGTGGTGGCTCTTGCCTGTAATCCTAGCACTTTGGGAGGCTGAGGCAGGCGGATCACCTCAGGTCGGGAGTTTGAGACCAGCCTGACCAACAAGGAGAAACCCCTTCTCTACTAAAAATTCAAAATTAGCTGGGTGTGGTGGCGGATGCCTGTAATCCCAGCTACTTGGGAGGCTGAGGCTGGAGAATCGCTTGAACCTGGGAGGCAGAGGTTGCAGTGAGCCGAGATGGTGCCATTGCACTCCAGCCTGGGCAACGAGAGCAAAACTCCGTCTCAAAAAAAAAAAAAAAAAAGCCAAAAACTAAACAGAGGCTAAATTTAGTCTTCAGACCATTGTTTATAAAGGATACAAAAGATCAGGTGTCACAATGAAACACTGCAGATTACAGTTTTGCCCAATGGCTTACATTCACTTATTTTGGCAATCTGTTCTTCAACATTCTTTGTGTGTATACCTTTTTGATCTAGATTTTGACTTCTCCCCAATGTCCTCCTAAGTAAAGACTGAGACCAAACAGTACCCAGCAATGAGTACAAAGGAAATTGGCTGAAAATATTGCTAAAAGAACATAGCATTGTAAAACGGTCTATAGCAGTACAGAGAATTAAAGTAAATTGCTAAAAGTAAAATTCTTGGTACTGTTAAGCCTATTTCCTTATCAGTTAAATGAGAATAAACATCATCGCTTCTCTCATAGGGTTTTTGTAATTTTTAAATTGCAAAATTTTTAACACACATCAAAGGTACTTCATAAGCATTACTTCCATTCAATTTTATCTACAACCACTGGTAACAACTACTGTGCCCATCATGTTACCCAAACTGCTTTTTGTCAAGGTCACCAATGATTTATTCTTGGTCTTCAATTTACCTGATCTCAGCTGATCACTCCCTTCTTGAAACACTATCTTCACTTTGCCTCACGTTCCCACTCTTCCTACTCGTCTCTAACTTCCTGTCTCTGTTGCTGGATCCTTCTCATCTTCCCACTCTCCAAATATTGGTGTGGCCCAGGCTCAGTGTTCAGTCCTTTTATCTCTCTACCCTTACCCTTTGGGGGATTTTATCTAGTTTTGTGGCTTCAAATCTACACCAGCCACTCCCAACTCTTGCCCAACAAACTCTAGTCCCAGAACTCCAGAACCATAGATCTAAGTTGCCGTCTGACAGTTCAACTTGGTTGTCTTAAAACAATGCTCCTGAGAGTATGTCTCACGTAAGCTCAGTACCTCCACCCTGGCGCCTGCCAAAGCGAGCCGACCCTGCCCGTCCACTGGCTACCAAGAGTTCCCAACCTTGGGCCCCCAGAGGCTCAGACTGGCCTCGGTCACCCCTCCGGGGGAGTCCCTCGTACCCCCATCTTCCCCTGTGGGAAGGCGTATTCTTCTCGCCGGCGAAGCTTCTCCGGGTGGGATCGTTCTGGCATCCCGTCCTAATGGATGTACCCCCTCTGAGCATTGTCTACCCCTTGGGAGACCACCTGAGCGCTGAGGGACCCACTCCAGCCACCGCTGCCCGCGAGGAGCTGTCATCCTATGGACACTTATTCTCATCTCAGCAGGCTCGGACCCTGCACCTCTCGCCCTTGCCCCTCAGCATCCACTCAGAAATTCTCTCAGGCATTCTGCTTCCGTCCAAACACAACGCTATCTACCTCTGCTGGCCACCTCTCAGCCTTTCCTTCTCTCTGAGTGAAAAGCCCATTGGTGCCCTCAGAACAGCCAAAGACATTTCAGAAGCCTCCAACAGAGGTATGAGATGCTTTAATGACATCGGAGCATTAGCCTGGCCATCTTTGGGATATAATGGATAAGAACGGCTGCTGCTTGCTGTATGTTTTTGACGATCAGCTATATAAAGTGGAGTGAACCTTCAGAGCCGATTATTTGGCCAACACTAGGGTAATTCGAGAACAGGGATGGGGGTGCTTTGCACGAGGCTGCGTGCTTTGAATAGGCCACTGCCCAGTCCTGCTTTGAGGAAGCTTACAAAAGGATCCACCAGATGGCGCTGTGAGCAGCGCTTTGGGAGGCCAAGGCGGGCAGACCACCTGAGGTCATGAGTTTGAGACCAGCCTGGCCAATGTGGTGAAACTCCCTCTCTACTCAAAATGCAAAAAAAAAAAAATTAGCCAGGCGTGGTGGCGCGTGCCTGTGATCCCAGCTACTCGGGAAGCTAAGACAGGAGAATCGCTTGAGCCCAGGAGACGGCGGTTGCAGTTACCTGAGAGGGCGCGCCATCGCACTCCAGCCTGGGCAAGGAAGGGAGGGAGGGACGGAGGGAGGAAGCGAGGGCAGGCGGGCAGGTGGGGTTCTCTACAAGACTGGGTGCACAATGTGGACATCGCATGCATGTTGCTGTTAAAAGCCACTCTGGACACTGTGCTTTCTCTCGGACATGCCTTCTGACCAGATATGGCCTCCTTAAAGGATGCAGATGCCACTGTGATCAGCATGAAGTTTCCCAATGGGGCGGCTGTTAGCTTGGACGTCAGCCAGCACTGGACAGACAGCTGTGACCACAGACGGGACGTTCATGATTTCCAAGGTGTGTTGCAGATGAATAATCAGAATCCCTTGGGCATGACCAGGCAGGGTACGTCCTATCACTCTGCTCCCAGACCCAGGCTGGCCGCTACCAAAACTCATATCGAGAGCGCTTCAGACATTTTGTCTGAAGAACCCTTAAAGGGAAAGAACCTCCTGAAATCACCAAAGAGCAGTTCCTCGGAGTCATTCAGGTAGCTGTCATGGCAAAGCAGTCCTGGGGGAACCAGGCAGCCATGGACCTACCCAGCAAATTGGTAAAGATCTCCGTGGTCAAGACAGAAACTCTGTAAACCGCCCCAAGGCTCAAGCCAAGACCCTGCTTGAGATCCAATTGCCTGTTCCACTTCTCCCTGTTACTGAGAGAGGGAGATGGAACTTTCTGGTGACATTATCCTCACCGGAAATTAAGAAAGGAAAGCAACAGGAAACCATGTATGTTTCATTACTGGTGTAACCAAACTCTTCAGGATGTGACTTCAGACCCAGGGATAAAAAGTTGGAGGTCGCTTATCTGTTTTCTGTTGAACTCAGGCCTGGTACACGAGAGATGCTCTTTTGGTCAGTTTCCTCTGGTTGGGTCTTTCAGGAAGAAAGCAGGTTACGGATTGGACCACATAAACTGACCTGGAAACCAGCAGTTTCAGCTTTTCTGTATGGCAAGTACGGCAGAGAGCTGGTTAAGCTGTTAGACTGAATGTCACATGCACTGGGCCCCTTTGTGGGCAATTACACAGGTATTTAAGAAACAGTTTTCTTGAAGAATCTGTGATTTTGTGCACAGTGATATTACACAGCACCATTCCTAAGAAATATGATGAAATAACCATATGTAGTATTAAAAGCCCATTTTATTATTCTTGCCTGAAATAGACATTCTCTTTTAATGTCAGTGGAGGAATGAACTGAAACTGTTTTCCCCCCAAGGGGACATGGAAACATTTCAGAAATAGGCCTTCTCATTTCCTTTTAGGAGCTACGTGGTGAAAATGTTCCTGTGAAGTGGCAGACCTGCTCTGAATCCAGCCTATCTTTCCAAAATTACATGTGGAGGCCATTGGAAATGTTCTTATATATCTGAAAATAATTGACTATTTCTCATATCCTACTTTTTAAAAAAAAATTTTAAGAGACGAGGTCTTGCTTTGTCGCTCAGGCTGGCACACAGTGGTGCAGTCACGGCCCACTGCCACCTCCAACTCCTGAGCTCAAGGGTTCCTCCCACCTTAGCCTCCTGAGTAGCTGGAAATACATGCATGCATCACCACACCTGGCTAATTAAAAAAAAAATTAAGAGACAGAGGCTCGCCATCTTGCCCAGGATGGACTTGAACTCCCAGGCTGAAGCAATCATCCCACCTCAGCCTCCCAAAGTGCTGCAATTACAGGCAGGAGCCACTACACCTGGCCTATCCTACTTTAAAAAAACTTTTTGGGGCTGGGCACGGTGGCTCAGGCCTGTAATCCCAGCACTTTGGAGGGCTAAGGTGGGTGGATCACGAGGTCAGGAGATCAAGACCATACTGGCTAACACAGTGAAACCCCATCTCTACTAAAAATGCAAAAAAATTAGCCGGGTGTGGTGGCGGATGCCTGTAGTCCCAGCTACTCAGGAGGCTGAGGCAGGAGAATGGCGCGAACCTGGGAGGCGGAGCTTGCAGTGAGCTGAGATCGTGCCACTGCACTCCAGCCTGGGCGACAGAGCCAGACTCTGTCTCAAAAAAAAAACTTTTTAAACAAAGATATTAGAACTCACCGTAGTGCTAGAAAAAAAAATTGAGCAGATCTTAAAATGAGGAACATAACTACAGGTACATGTCTCCTTGGATAAGCATTTACAAGTAAAATAAAATGAATATAAAAGAATAACTTCTACAAACAGTACCAAGTCTTGGGAGATTTATGAAATAGTCTGCAGCATTTAAATCACTTATTTTTCTTTTGCAAACGTGTACTGTATAGGTAAAATTCAGGTACGTTAAGTGTGTGTATGATGTAACTGAACTATATCTCTTTCCCCATCACCAAACCTATGTTTCCTCCTCCACTTCCTACTTCCATGAATAGGATTCCCACTTGTTCAATCAAAGTGAGATGCTGTAGAAATCCTAGGCTCTAGACTCATATAAACTCAATTCAGATACTGGGTCTGCTGCTTACTAGCCATCTGGTTTTGGACTGGGTATTTCAGCTCTGACCCTCAGCTTAGTTTCTTCCCCCAAAAGCCACACACTCCTCGTGATTAGCTGGGAAGTATTTCAATAAGTAGAGAGTACCTGACAGTGTCAATGTTTTATAAGATGGGATTTTAAAATGGTCACTAGATTTTCAACATGGATACCATTGATGACTCTAGCAAGATCCACTTTAATAGAAGCCAAACTAGAGTGTTTTTGTTGTTTTCCTCAATGTGAAGTATGAACATATTTGAAAGCTCCATGAAGGCAGGGACCGTGTTTCTCTCATTCATTATCTTCAGCACTTTGACACATGGTAGACACTCAAATTTGTTGAAAGAAATAATAATGGGAAGAATCCAGTATAGTGGCAAAGTATGTAGATGTGTAAAAAAGAGGGGCATAAAAAACAGAGTAAGGTTCTTGAGAATGTAGGAGGCAAAGATAAAATAGGAGGGAAAAGGGGAAGAGAGGCACAGTGACAAGTAGGTGAATCAAGAGAAACAGATGAAATTCCTTTCTAATGGTTCCTGTTTTCTCTATTAAAGTGGGAAGCAATGTTAGATAACATTGCTGAACATGAAGGCAGAAACGGGGAATTCAGAGGTTTGAAAATGAAAGGGTTTGCCTTTGCAAAAAGTAGGAGCATACTGATCAGAGATATCATGGAACATGCACAGCTTCCCAATTTTGGAATTGGCTTTGCAGATATTATTACAAATTGGCATGGCCAAGTCCTCGGTATCTGTTCAACAAATGGACAGGCTGAGAAGAGGCTTGTTATCACCTCTTCCCATTTGACTCACATTTGTTAATTCTGCCTCATCAGTGGCATGAAAATGTTAGTTTGAGGCAGAGAAATCACGCACGTCCAGATGGGAGACGCTGACAAAGGCCTAGCACCACATGCCAAAAGTGCATAACCTGAATCTAGTCATAAGCAAATAGCAGACAAAGTCAAATGGAGCAACATTCCATCTCCTAAAATGTCTATGTCACGAAAGAGGAAAAAAAGTCTAAGGAGCTGGTCCAGAGGAAAGGAGACTAAAGTGACATGAAGGCTAAATGCCATGCATGATCTGAGATTGGATCCTGTATTGGAAAGAAAAAACTGCCATAAAGGACAATATTGAGTTAACTGGCAAAATGTGAATAAGTTCTGTGTAGTTTGCACAATATGATCGTATTTATTAAATGTGCTTATTTTGACAATTGCACTGTGGTTATGTAAATAAATACCCTTGATCTTGAGAAATACACAATGAAGTATTTAAAGGTAAAGGAGCATCATGTCTGCAACTCACTCTCAAATAGCATGTGTGCACATGTGCATGTGTGTATGTTGGAGAGGGAGGGAGAATATGATAAAGCAAATGCGACCAAAGGTTAACAATTGTTGCATCTGGTTCTTCATACTATTCTTGAAATTTTTCTGTAAGAATAAAATTCTTTTAAGATGAAATTTTAAAGTCTTTGTGTGTGTGCTTGTCCTACCTCACCCTTGCTTTTGTTCACTGTCCCCTCCACGCTCCACTGCCAACCTCAACCGAAGGCCAACTCACTTTATGTTCTTTTGAAGGAATGAATAAATTTTGAAAGTGGGTTATCAAGTTCTTCTATCTCAACTAGTTTCCATTCCTTACATGTAAAACTTTATCCTGTGTACATGTATGTTGCTACGGTAGGGCACATAATTCAGCCTCATTAGAGTTTCCTTAGTTACTATGCCTTTTGTTATAGAATAAATGACCTATCTTCTCTCACTTACCCTTTAGCTGATGATGGCTGCTCTTTATTTTCCCCATACAGCTTAACCTAGTTTGTTAGTTTTTGTTCAAGTCTTTAGGTTTGCAGCTTGTCTTAGTAACATCTTATTCTTCCTTTTTCCTAATCCCAAGGCTTTTATTTTTATAGATGCTTCCCCTGTTTATATTTACAAGTACAAATGTTCTATATGGACTACATCTCATTTCTTCTTTATCATGTTACTCATTGTTTTCCCTTTAGTACTCTGTTTTCCCCCCAACAAAATCATTAAGGTCCAGGACAGCAGGAGCCATGACCTTATTATTCCATACAGGTATCCAGTAAATTTCCTGAAGAATCGTTTTATGGAATGATCCCTTTAAATTATGTTCAAAACAGTGTTACCTAGCCCACTGGAACTTAACCTAATTGCACTAATTACCTTATCATAAAAAGCACTGAAATGGTCACGTCACTCTCCCTCACCAACTAAAATTATACCTTTCCTTTAACAGAAAAAAAGATTTCACTTTCTCACTTGTCACTCTTTACCACAGCTTGGAATTCTTTTCCTGTTAAAGGTAGTTAGTTTTTATTCATTGCTCACTTTTTCTGAGGTTTGTAATGCAATACAGTGCCTCTGTTAGACTCAATTCTTTTTTTCCCATTTATTTACTTTCTTAAATACTAGTTTTAATTGACAAATCATAATTGCATACATTTATAAGGTACTACTTCTTAAAAGGCTGTTTGGAGATGAGTGTGAATGCCAGCTCAGTTGGGCAATTATTTTTCTTTAGTTGTACCCATAGTTTCATTACTGTACTTTTTTTTTTTTTTTTTTGAGACAGAATCTCGCTCTGTCACCCTGGCTGGAGTGCAGTGGTACAATCTCAGCTCACTGCAACCTCCATCTCCCAGGTTCAAGTGAATTCTCCTGCCTTAGCCTCCCCAGTAACTTGGATTACAGGCACCCGCCACCATGCCTGTCTAATTTTTACATTTTTAATAGAAACAGGGTTTCACCTTGTTGGCCAGGTGGGTCTCCAACTCCTGACCTCAAGTGATCTGCCTACCTCATCCTGCCAAAGTGCTGGGATTACAGGCGTGAGCCACTATGCCCGGCCTGTAAATATTTTTGAGATCTCAGGATCTCAAATGAGAGACCTGATGTGTCCTCATTGTTAATCCTTTGAATATTGTCTGCCCTTCAATATAGATATTTCATATACTCTCTCCATGTCCTTGAGAGTTTTACAAATAAATGCTTTGGTGTCTTTCTTTTGTTGCTCATTTTATAGGTGAACAGCTACCATGGTAAGTGTGGGACAAGGTGTTGTATACATGATTTTCATATACTACTCTTAACTCTGAGACTATGTTCTTTTCTGACAGAGAGGAAACTACAGAGGCATAGACAAGTTAAAATATTTTCTCAACTAGTAAGTGACTGAAACAAGATGCTAACACAGACCTAGTCTCCAACTAAATCAAAGCTGGTATTCCCAACCCTCATGCTATGGTAACTCTCTAAACTTTCTTTACACATAGCCCTTATTGCATATTCTAATTCTTGTTCAGGTAGGATATCTATACTCTGGACTCCAAATCTATTTTGTCTTGAATTATTTGCACATGGCTTCTTAATCATTTCATAATTTAGAGTTGATTTTTTTCAGTTACTTTCTGCAGTATCCCTTTTTTTTTTTTCTGACTGCTATAAAGATTGAAATGTTCCCACTACTGTTACTGCTGCATTACAAACTCCTACCTGGGTTCTTGTTTAATGGCTCAGATCTTCTCCCCTGAGAGAATTCAATTATTCTCTGAACTCTGAAATTTTCTGGGTGCTCTGCTTCAGATACTTATAAGGTATTTTTCCTTAAATTCGTAGGGAATTTCTTTTTACCACCAAATTTTATGTATTTATTTCCCATTGTAACTTATTACTATAGTGAAAATAATTGTTCAGTAATATATGTGTCAAACTTTTCTTCATTAGTGGCTGATGGCACTACCATGGGAAAAATTTTAGGCCAATCTGATTTCAGTGTTGACAATGACAGGAAAACAAATCAGCCACTGAATTTTTTCAGTGACATTAAGGCTTTACAGGAATATATTAATAGTTATAAAAACAACTTTATTGGGACATCAGTGAACCAATTAAAGAATCTGAATAAGGTCTGTAATTTAAATAATACTATTATATGAATGGTAATTTCCCAATTTTTATAAATGTATCATGGTTATGTAAGAGAATTTCTTTGTGTTTAGGAAATTCATAGTGAAGAGTAGGGGTAAAAGGTACCATGTCTGCAACTTAATCTAATACTTCAGGAAAAAATTATCTTCAGACACACACACGTATATACATATATGTATAAGAGAATGATACAGCAAGTGTTGCCAAATGTTAAAGTTTGGCAAATCTGGGAGAAGGTAGATCTGTCATCTCCCTTATTCTAAATCAGTATTTAACTAGGGGCGTTCAACAATATCCCCACCTAACACCTACTCCCAGAGGTTGTTACAGTAGGTTTGAGTTAGGGTCTAGGAAAGATTAATTTGGGGCAGGCACATTTTATGAAAGCTTTCTCAGGTGATTCTGAGAAACATCCTCACCCACCCAAGACTGAGAACTAATACTGTATTTCTTAGGACCACTCGTGTTTCATTAAAGTCTGGGACTGTACCACTGATGACTTTTTGCCATTCGTATCACAGTGTAGATGAATATATAACTTGCTATCAACTCAAACCCATATGACTAGTAGTAGCACAGTGGGAAGAGCAGACTTGGGAGTCAGACCTGGGTTCTAACCTCAGCTCTGCAACTTACTTAATTCATGTGAGTCTTTGTTTACCCTTCTGTACAATGGGGGTAAGATCTCTAACTCACAGGTTGCCACAAGGATTAGAGAAGAAAACATCTGTAAACCATTAGCACATAGTTAAGTGCTCATGAATATTAGTTCACTCTCCCCAAGTTATTCTCCTTCTTTCTGGAGACGCAGATACGGACAAAAAAACCCACCATGATTCTCAAAAAGGGGTAAAGGTAGAAAGAAAGCAATTTAGTTACATTACACTGATTAGAAGGGTAAAGATGTATATTGAGAGCCCCAATGGACTATACGTAAACAGCAACTGTAAAAATCAATTTTGCAAATTTTACCCTTTAATATCTTTAAGTCTGCAGAATGGGAGTGTCCTGGACAGTAATGATATTCAGCAATCAGCAATTTTCAGTTAACAGTTTAATTTTTTTATATCAACTGACAGACTTATTAAAAACAATCAATATGACATAAATCATTACTTTTAATACATAATAAAATAAATCAAAATAATGACATCTGCTAAAGGACAGTCAAATTTTGGTTTAAAATAACCATACCCTATGTAATGGAAAAGGAAACATGATATTAATTTCTGAAAACAATAAACATTGCAACCCCATGATACTTACCAACATGTGAAGGCCAAACAGTTATATGAGGATGGGAATGATACCAGCCCACAACTCTCATGGGGCGGCCTGTCAGTTCAGCCAACCTGTGTGTCTGTCAAGGTACTTTAAAAATGTGGGAACAAAATTTATGATGCTAATAAGGGCTCAGAAAGCACCCTGAAGTTTAAAATAAGCTTATTACAATTTAATGGCAACAAAAGAATGAAATAAGATTAATGCTGAGTTTCCCATAATGCCCATTTAAAGCCAAAATTTCTAAACTAGAATCCACATGGTTTCCAATGCCATATATACTTACATCCTCAAGTTTAATTTAGCTGATGTTTCATCACTCGAATCCTTACCACTGTGCTATCTGAAAAGCTTTTCTAAATCTTCAGAAGTTGTCACTTTCAAGACTGCTGCTGTTATCCTGTAAAATGCTCATTAGTTTTCCTGCAAATTATTTATATTAAAATATAATAATCCTTTTTATACAACTAAGTCTGAGAAACAATATTTCTAAGATATATTTTCAAGTTTTCAAATGCCAAGAGAAACTACTTAACTTCTCTTAGCCCATTTCTTCAGCTGCAGACTGAGGCAGGGGAATAATGTTTCAGAGCAGTGAAGAGTAAGTGCAATAATCCACACACGGTGTTTAGCATAGTGCCTGGCAAACACCTAGTAAGTGCTTAACAAATAGTAATTGCAGCTGAAGTTTGCAGGGCAGAGGACCAGAGAGGAGAGCTGCAGAGAGATAGCCTGCATATCTGCACTTGAGGGTCCCACTTGAGCATTCAGCAGATCACTGATGAGCGGAAGCATGTGAGGAAACTACGAGAGGCCAGGGAAAGGATCCCTGAAGAAAACAAAAGTGGGATGGGGATCAGCTTCATATTCACTTACGAGGCGCCGGCCAGGACACTCGGAATCATACTGAAACAAATCACAGGAAACAAATGCCCCATTTGATCATTTTGGGGTTATATGTAACATGAAACACTGCATTCAGTTCCCAGCATTGCATTTTTTGAGAGGAAGTCACAAAAGAGAATCTCTCAAGAGGATAGAGACCAAGATAGTAAATGGCCTAGAAATTAAATGATACTAGGAAAACTGGAAGGAGGGGCAGGGAGGAATGGAGAGAAGACTAGGGAGGAAGATGGAGGGGACTCCACACAGAGTTCATTGTCGCAGTGTTTGACCCTGAGATCTTTTGGCATTTAGGAGCAGGAATGTCAGAAAATTTCTAATTCTTCCAATAAAAGCCACTCAAAAGGAGAAATAGAGAGAAATTCTAAAAACCAAACAATTGGATCTAAGGGAAGAAAACTTGTGAAACCACCTAAAGCAGGATGACTGCAGCAAGCAGCAATGCGGCCCAGGAACCCCAGAGCACATAAAAGCTTCTATTGACCAGTAAGGATATCTCTGCCTCTGTTGAAGCTGCAGACAGCTGCTCTGGAGAAATTTCTACTCGGTCCTTCCTCTTATCAGAACGTCGTAAGATGATGACAGAATGAATGTGAACAATTCTGACGGCATCAACCTAAAGGAAAATCCACAGAAATGGTTACTTACAGCTCTCTCCAATAACACATCCCCCTTCAACTATAGAATTGCATTTTATTATAATATCAGATAAAATATTCCATTTTAGAAAACTGACACTTTTCTCACGAATAATGAAATGTTTCAAATAAAAGACACCCAACCTCAATATATACATTTCAGACACAAAAATATAAAATATATATGCTAATATTTAAATCAAGGAAGGACTTTTAGGATGATCAACTAGTAATTATTTGACTTACAACTATGTACAAAACACTGTATTGCACAAAGGAATATAAATCAGAGCACTGACAAAGGGTTCAATGTGCTAACGACATGGTTGAGTGGCAAGTTGTCATTCATGAAACTCCACTAAGATAATGTAGTAAGTCAATGCCATAGGAGCTGATATGGCTGGGCTCTGTGTCCCCACCCAAATTTCATCTCAAATTGTAAACCCCACGTATCAGGAGAGACACCTGGTGAAAGGTGATTGGATTGTAGGGGTGGATTTCCCCTACGCTGTTCTCATAATAGTGTGAGAGTGAGTTCTCAGGAGATCTGATGGTTTAAAAGTGTGGCACTTCCCCCCTCACTCTCTCTCTCTCCTACCACCATGTAAGATATGCCTTGCTTCCCCTTCACCTTCCACCATGATCATAAGTTTCCTGAAGCCTCCCAGCCATGTGGAACTGTGAGTCAATTAAACTTCTTTTCTTTATAAATTACCCAGTCTCAGGGAGTTTTTTTTTTGTTTTTTTGTTTTTTTGTTTTTGACACAGTCTCAGTCTGTCGCCCAGGCTGGAGTGCAGTAGTGCAATCTCAGCTCACTGCAACGTCTACCTCCTGGGTTCAAGCGATTCTCCCACCTCAGCCTCCTCAGCAGCTGGGATTACAGGCACACGCCACCATGCCCGGCTTTTTGTATTTTTTGGTAGCCATATTGGCTAGGCTGGTCTCAAACTCCTGACTTCAGGCCTGCCTCGACCTCTCGAAGTGCTGGGATTACAGGCATAACCCACCGCACCCGGCCTCAGAGAGTTCTTTACAGTGTGATAACAGACTAATACAGGAGCTCAGAGGAAAGAACTCACTTATATTAGAAAAGTAATCTTTTACATAAGCAGAATATGAATCTAAAAAAGAAAAAAATCTTCATAGAAAAGGCAGACAAGTGTATCCATTCCTTGATTATTGTGGGAAGTGGGGGGAACAGATTTTCTACAGGTGCCGAATGGAAGTAGTAAAGTGTGAATGAGGTGTCTGGGAGACAACTTACCCAACTGATTTAGATACAGAGCTTGAGGTGAAATGGCAGATGGCAAAGCTAAGAAAGTTGGAGTGAGAATGTACAAGACCTCAAATGCCAAGCCATAATTTGCAGGATGAACTCGAAGGAAAAAAAATTATTTCAGATAAACTGTACATGAAGTAACAATGAAGTACTGGGCTAAGCAGATGGCAGAGATGGAAGAAACAGATTTGAGACCCATTAAAAAGAATGAATCTACAAGATTTGGTAGCTTATGGACCATGGGTGATGGTGGACAGGAAACGGTCAAAGAGGACTCTAAAGTTTCAAGGTTGAAACTAGGTAGAACGTGTGAGGCAGATCTAAGTTTAGAAAGGGTCAGGAAGGAAAGAAGATGAGCTTGTTTTCAGATGAGATAATCTGGGATGAGAGATATACAATATGGCAATTTTTAGCAGGCAAGTGGGATTATAGCTTAGACTCAAACAGCATCAATGCAGGAATCAATAAAGCATTTATGAGTGGACAAAAAAGGTGTGGAGAAAGGGAGCAGAGGTCTTGGCCTGAATCAAGGGGAGTGGCCACATTTAGTGTGGGGAAGAACAAGAAGGGCCAGGGGAAAGAGTGGGCTTAGCATTATCAGATGTTGAAGGGACAAGGGTGAAATCTGAGAGAAGGCTTTTGAAACAAGCTATAGATTTTCACTGTGCAACAGGTCTGATTTCAGATATGCAGCAAGTATGAAATACACATGGAATTCAAAGACAACACAAAAGAGAAAAAAGGAATGTAAAATATCTCAACATTTCTTAATATTCACTACATATTAAAATAATAATCCTTCAGATACTTAGGTTAACTAAAATACACCCTTCAAATTAATTTCATTTATTCCTTTTTACTGTGATTACTAAAAAATTTAAAATTATGTATATGGATCACATTCGTGGCTCACATGATATTTCTTTTTTTGTGGTTTATTTTTGTTTTGTTTTTCAACTGAATACTCCACTTAAAAAGATTATCACACTGGATTTTTTAAAAAGTATTTACCACTAATAAGAGACACAAGAGACACATTTTAAATATTAGTATACAGAAAGGCTAAAAATAAAAGGATAAAAAATACACTATGCAACACTAAAAAGGCAGCTTAACTAATAAAGTTTAATATCTAATTTAGACAGTACAAACTGACATAAAACTCAAGACGAGGGCATGAAATCTTGAATAATAAAATTACATTATTAAGATTGGAATGTATCTTAGTAACTGATGCCCAGGGTGAATTGTTTCTTTCTCTCTTTCTTGCTTTAGTCAGAGATTTCAGTGCCTAAGAGGAATGAGTAATATTTAATGCATAGACAGAGGAGGAAGAGGAGTCCACAAAGGATTGTGGGAAGGGGGAAACAGGAATAAAGGCAATACAACAAAACCAACAAAAACTCATGAGAGTTTAGAGATTCAAGGAGAAAGATGAAGATAAGCACCAGGAAATAATCCACCGAAGGTAGAATTAGAAACCAGACCTCAGTGGGTTTGACTGGGGAAGGTGAAGGAGTAGTAATTGTAGCCCATTCTTTTAAGAAGTCTGGCTATTAAAGGAAGGATATAAGAGTACTGACTACAGGAAGATACGGGATTAAGAAGTAGCTTTCCTTTCTGAAAATGAGAGTAATTTAAGCATATGTTTATCCTAAAAGAACCAGGTGACAGGGAGAAGACCCAGAAAAGAGACAGAACATTTGATAAACAAGGTCTCTGAAGAAGCTGCAGCTTTGGATAGGAAGAGGACTTATTTCTTTGATATGGGAAGAGATGCAAAGTGATTAAGGTGGAGAAGTTTGTAACTAGTAGTAATAAGTAGATGAAGGTGTGGCCTGATAACTTGGTGGGAGGAGGGGAAGTAATTCATTTTTTTTGTATTTTACAAAAGCATCGGTCTGTGACAGACTGGGGGAAACGTTAACTGGTCCGATACCACGATTAGGTGAGAAGCATTACACTAGACCATCAAGGCTAGAGCATGCCACAAAAGATGGTGTAGGAGTGCAGATAGGAAAAAAGTCAAGGCAGACTAAGAACTATGATGCTATGGTCAGTTTGCCTGTTTAAGAAGAGAGGGCTGCATGAGTAGATGTTGGAATTCGAGATAAAGAGGTAATAGTGATGTGAAAGTATCAAGGATGCCAAAGTATCAAGGAAAGTGGGAGAAGGGCCAGAAAACAGGCAGTGACAGCAAGGAGAGCAGCAAGAGGGTGGTACTGACAGTGATTATTAATCTTGATCAAGTAGAGACAATTTGCTACAAAGAACAGAAAATTAGGTCCCATTCCTAGTGAGTAGATTCTTCATCTGATTTTACTAGAAAGAATATCTCATCCAGCCAGAAACCGCATACTCTGGCTGAGATCACTGGATTACAGAAATCTTTCCCCAACTGCAAGTTTCCATCATGCAAAATTTTAGCACACATACCTTTTCAGCAACTGTGCGCATTTCAGTTCCAGTATATGCAAATTTGGAGTCACTCCTACTGGGAATAAATTAGAAAAAAAAAAAGGAAGTGGGGTTTGGAATATAAAAAGGAATTAAAGCAAAATAACAGGATTAACTGTTTTTGCAATGAAATCTTAGCAGAGACCAAAGAAGAGGAGGGAAACTGAATTGAGGCTAGAGCTGCACTCTATCTGTTAGAAGCAATCTGGGACACATGCACAAGTGGCTGAGTGTATAAAGTTATAATGGACAAAGCTAAATTCCTGGAATCCTGGGAACTAAGGAGGTGGGCTTGAGAAGTATACTATGGTATGATTTGAAGTTTAAATTAAAATGTTACCGAAAGGTTTCACCACGTCAAGTATTGAAGCTACTGGGGATCTCTGAGATCACTGAGGTCCATCAGGAGGAAAGGCAATGTCACTGTCAATTTACGTGAAGGAATGGATCAATGGGGAAATGCCTCTAAACGTATATGCTCTCTGTCACTAAGAAAATTACTGATATCTCACTGGCATTTAAGGGGAGACAGAACATGAAATACACTGAGCAAGGCCAGGTGTGGTGGCTCACGCCTGAAATTCCAGCACTTGGGGAGGTCGAGGTGGGCAGACTGCTTGAGCCAGGAGTTCGAGACCAGCCTGGCCAACATGGTGAAACCCCGTCTGTACAAAAAAAAAAGACAGCCGGGTGTGGTGGCGGGCACCTGTAATCTCAGCTATTCGGGAGTCTGAAGTATGAGAATCGCTTGAACCTGGGAGGCGGAGGTTGCAGTGAGCAGAGATCGCGCCACTGCACTCCAGCCTGGGCGACAGAGTGAGGCTCTGTCTCACCCCTAAAACGCAACAATTATGATAATGCTTATTAAGATGTTTATCCCATATCTCAACTGAATAGGAGGTAAGGCAGAAACCAAAGTTCAAGGTTGTATCATTAAGGGAGCCCCGGAGTGATAATGGTAATTAATTTAAGACACGATCCGGACACAATACTGCCAAAGTCGCCATAATTTTAGGTTAACAATGACTTAGAGATTATAAGATATGAGTAAACAAATACAGTCTTACCTTGTATCATCGTTCAACTAGAGTGGGAAAAAGCAAAAAACATTATTGATCACATTACGTTTGTTTGACATATATGGATGCAGATTATATGACAATTAGGTCATGTGTTCACGCACATGGTATGAAAGACTGGAGAATTACTTTAGACTGTAAACAGCTAAACTGTATTTCCTCATCCTCTTCGGCCCCTCCTCAACACAATGCAGCGGAAACTTTTGCTTCCTTCAAGCCCCGCACCTTCTGTTAGGCTCTTCGATACCCTTCAAATGCTTTGGTTGATATCTCTGCTCCCTAGACAGAAGACTCGAGGCGAGGCAAGGGGCTCTAACTGTGGTCAGCTGCTGCGTCGTAATACCCGGACATCCTCATTATACTCCAGTGTCTTTCTGACCTGCCTTGCAGTTTTGGTCAACCGGGCGAAAAGCGCAGATCTAAAGAGAAGCCCCAGGCTACAGGAGAAAGGGCAAGGCTCCCGGGGCCTGTACAGACCGCCGGGGGCTCGCAGGAGACTAAACAAGTGTCAGGCGGCCAGAAGAAACGGGGCTCCCCGCGACAGAGCTATGTAAAGGGTGTCCAAGGACCTAAATCGAGGATGCCTGTGGCCTCCGCAGCCCTGGGAGCTGCCGGCACCCACCCCGGGGACACACTGGGACTGCTCAGCAGGGTTCCATCCAGGCTAACAGACCTACTCACCTCCCCTATGCACAGCCCCATTACTTCCTCCTTCTCTGTGCTCAGAGCGTGGTTGAGACAAACGAGGAAAGCGTCAGACTCGAGATGAACCGCCTGCACCGCCTGCACCACCTGCACCGCCATCTTGGCCCGACCCTTCTCACGTCCGCCTCGGGCCCACTTGGTCCTGACCAACCGGGTGCTGCGGCGCAGCCTCCCCAGCGCCCAGCGCTGTGCGCTCCGCCCAGGCCTGGCCTTCGGCGCGCGGGTTCCTAGGGGGCGGGGCTTAGGGAGCGGGCGGGGCTGTGGGGGCGGGGCTGTGGGGGCGAGGAGGGGGCAGCGGGCGCGCGGCTGGCGCGCGGGGGCGGGCCTTGGGGCACGGGGGCGGGGCCCGCCCAGCAGCACCTGGGAAACGCCCGCGCGGTTTGGGGCAGGCGTGGCCGTCGGGGCGGAGGGCGGTGGCCGGCCGCGGTCCGGGCGTCAGGCCGGGCGGCGGGGGCGGCAGGGAGGCGGCGCTCTGGGGCCGCAGGCGGACGTACTCTGTGAGCGGCGCCCGGGCGCCTGGGCAGGCGCCTCCCGAGTACCGGCGCCCATTTTGCCCGCCCGCTAAGGAGACCCGTGCGCGGCCTACACGCTTGGGGGACAGCCCTTTAAGACGACATCTCCGCGAACGCCGGCCTCTTGAGCCAGGGGGACGCTCTTTTGAAAGTCAGTCCCAAAACAGTTAAGGTTTTATTTTATTTTGTTTTATTTCCAAGTCACAGCCCCCGAATCTCGTACAACTCTCCCTGGACCACTTCCGGTTGCCGGCCCGCGCCTCATAACTTCGGTTCGAGTGACCTCGGCCCGGGATGCCCCTCGGCTCACCCCGGGCTCACGTCGCGATCCTGGCTTGAGTGGCCCAGGGTGGGAGACCTGGAAGTTTTAGCCTAGCTGTTCTCAAGGCGGATTAATTAGCCCAAGAAACATTATATTCATGTGAGTAACCTTTTGCAGAAACAGTGTTATACTGTATCTGAAAAAGTATCACTCTTAAGCTTGGCTGCTGCTACTTTCTACAAAGGCTTTTAGGTAGCTATTTGTTGGATACAGGGAAGGGGAAATGGAGAACTTCAGTTTTTATTCAAGTTCGGATGTATCACATTAGGTATCCAGAATGCAAGTTTCCTCGGGTCTCCTTGTCTCGATGATATCAGACAGTAAAAATATATGTAAAAGTAATTTTTATTTCGAGGTATGTCAAACGTGCCAAGGATAAAAGTACAGATCTTCCAACTCACAAGTCTAGGAATCACACGTGGATTTTGAAAGCGATTCTAAATCAAAGCACAATATATGCCGTGCCGCCTCCACAGCCCGTCCGTGTTCGTGTCTTTGATTTGGTTTTCTACTTTGTGTAGTTTTGAAGCCAGGCAGGTATGGCAGTACTGGAAAGGGAACATTCCCAAGGTGCTACTTGAAGTGTTGATGCTTTGCTCTTTTCTCCCAAGTCAGTTCCAACCCAAGTCTCCCCACACATAGGGTCCCCATCCAGTGCAACGATCTGTAATGTGCACGCCAGCAGCCTCCGTTTTTACCTAACGATCTGTAAGGATCACATGGCACATCTTTCTATAATTAATTTGATCATGATGAAGGTTGGAAAATTTTCGTGTGCAGTTACATTGGACCTGTCTAAATTTTCTCTTGTTTCAATTTTATATCATATGTTATTTTCAGTTACTGTTTGTGGCTAGTATGCCCCGTCCTCATGGAGCAGGAACGGCTGTTCTTATTATTATGACATTAACATTTGGTGATGGGATATAGTGCCTTTAGGCACTTTCAAGAAGAAAAATACCTTTTGTTTGTTATCGGCGGTAGTCAATCTCATATTCCAGAATGAGGTTCACTAACTTTTCTAATGCTCATGGCTGCCTTTTACAGCTCCAGGCATTTAACTGGAGTAGAACAAAATTATTAACATTTATGGCAAGCTTATTATATGCTAGATACTAAGCATTTATATGCCTGGTACATGTAAACTGCCCCATTTGGAGTCAAGCTCAACAACTTCCCCACTGTGTGACCTTGAGCAAGTTACCTAACTTCTCTGTGCCTTTCTTTTCCTCACCTTTAAGTGGGGATGATAATAATTCTGCCCACCTCATAGCGCCCTATGAAGATTGTGAAAATTAAATGAGTCAATATATGTAAACATATAGGAAATGCTAAATAAAGACTATCATGATTAATATGTTCTTTAATTCTCATTTTACACCTCAGGAAACTGAGGTGGAGAGACGTTAACTTGTCCAAGGTCACAAAGCTAGTAAGTGACAGACTCAGGACTCATACACAGGCCTGGGCCTGTGTTCTTGGTAATTTCACTCATTGTAATTGGACGAGTTTATTAATTGACTTCTAATAAAATAAGTGTATTCAACTGATCAATGTTTAAAAACTGTTCATCAACCTGGCAATTAAAGCAAACTATACTTTTTTAAAAAAGACACAAAAGAATTTATTCTGTAAAGGAAAAATGATAGTTTTACTTAGATTACTACCTAAGGAAGCCCTTCTATCTTATATGTCATCCATTTAAAACCTAATTTACAAAATGCCTTACTAAGAAATTGTCTGTCTTGGCCAGTGTGCTCTCTGGCCCCGAAATCAAGGTGACCCTCATGGGGACAATCTCTTCTAGTGGATGATAAAGTTATGCAGTTATCTAAACATTTTTGGAATTCATTTGTATTTGTAGCTGGCAGTATTCCTTGAGTTGAGTTGCACAAGTTTATATTCCATGTATTGTATTGCACCTTGTACCTAAGTCTATGTTGAGGTTTTAAAAGATTCGTCTTAGTTCGAGAAGTCCTGAATTTTGTAAACAAGTATCATGTGCAAATAAAATGTTCTCTAGTCAAATAAATTTGGGAAATGTTAACATAAAGTTTCTTTACTGCATAACTTGCCAGAACAGTTACTACACTAATGTGCTTTATGACTCTCCAAGATTCCCAAACTTATTTGACCAAGGAAAATGTTGGGAGCAAGTTTTCTAAGAATCACATTTTTCCACTCATAAAACCTGTGATTGTATAGGCTTTGATCTGAATCCCTCTCCCTCAGCCTTTGCATTTCTCTGCTGAGGACTTTGTTCATGCTCATATGGTGACTTCTCTGTCCCTTGATCACTGCAGTTGTCTTTCTCTGGGCCTGCATGCCCTCTGAATGCTAGCACACACAATTCCAGGATACTGTGCTGAGAGGTGGTTCCCAAGCTCATCCCGCTGATGCCCAGCATGTTGACCTTTGGGTCACAGCAGCACATCACACTGCCTTTCTTCTGAGAATATTTTGTAGTGACTCATAGGCCTCTTTGTAGTGACTCAGTAACTCAGACCATCATCTCCAAACTCTTTGCCCTCTATTCCACTGGCATTATTTCCTTTTAATGTCAATATAACCAATGCAATTTTGTTTTCCATTCAAAACAAATTTAAATGTCAACATGTTGGTTGTTGCTAGGACCTATCTATGAAATTGAGATGGTCCTGAAACCCTTAACACATGGTTTCCACTTTTTTAAAACAGTTATTGGCCACACTTAAGTCTTCTGTGCTTGAAATCCGAATTTAATATATTTTATTTTGACATTAGTATTTACCAGGTTTTTATTTGTATTTCTCTTTTCCAAAGCTCTGGGAAGGAAGAGAGGCAAAACAACTGTATCTGCAAATGGGAAAAAAGGGGGGCTTTGGAAAAAAATTATATATAGCCAGAGGCTTATGCCTAGAGAATCAATCTCTACCCACGTATACATAGCCAATCATGACAACCACTGTGGCGTTCCTTTGTTTCCCTTCCCTACCCACCATACATATACACCTGTTCACTGAAACATTGCTTGACCAGTACCTGAGACTTGGGGTGCCCAGAACTGTATCATTCCTGCTATTGAGCAGAATACAATACTGTGCTTTAGGGAAGACAGGACTTGTGAAATAAGCAAAGCAAATGTGTAAGGTGACTTTGTTTAAATATAAATGCTACAGTAGTCAAAAGAGGCAAGAATTTTCTAAAGTTTTCATAGAGGAGGCAGGCACCTGGACTCTGCTATAATAGCACTAAGATAGGCAGAGAGGCCCAGGGAGGCATTTTAGGCAAGTGGAAAACAAGAGCAAGGGTATGGAGCTAGAAATGAGCCTGGTATTTGGGGAAAGTTGGTCTCAACTGCAGTGGTAGTTGTAGTGCCTGCTGGAATTGGTGACATATAGGATGTAGCAACTGAATAAGAGGAAGAAATCCAAGATAATTCATAAGTTTTGAGTCTGCAGGATCAGGAATGGTGGTGTTGCCATTGAGAGAAATCAGGATTTGGTTAAAGAGAAAGTTTAGACGAGTTTGAAATGAGAGAGCACATATGTATGAAAACTAAGACAGGAGCTTACACCAGGCTCAGAGTCAGATGCACTCAGGGTATAATGGGTGAAGCATCTGGTTGCTCTCGACAGTCTCACTTTGAGGACTCTAACAACCACCCTCCCACGCTGCATTTCTTTTCCCACCTAATGAGAATAGCAGGTCTTTGTTTTGAGGGGCAGCTCCCCAGTGCCGTATCTATACTCTGGCCAAAGGTAGAAATACAGTACAACTGCGCTATAATGCTCTGAGTAAGGTCTAGAAGATTGACTCATGCAAAATGCACATCAAGTTATTGTGAGGTCCTGAAATGATATCTGGGGCTTGGGCAGAGGATCGTTATAGAGTTTGCCCTACCACTCAAATGCTTTGGGAGGTATGCTTCCTTTACACCTCTCAAATGTGCTTCTGGTCTTCTGGCTTAGGAAGTCAAAATTTAAACCTAGTCCTCTATGGAAAAATGGGCTCCTGTAACATCCTGCAGAATTATTAAAATAAAACAAGGACCTAGATGGATAACTTTCATTTGCACTCACTCAGCTCCAAATCAGCATGATCCCCAAAGTCTCTTGCAGCTCAGAAATTCCATGAAGCTAGCTTACTTTTCCTAACAAGAAAATCCCCTTCTAGAAATGCCCATCCGCTATTTGTAAACTTTCTTAGTAAACTGATAAATAGATCATTTGCCCTTAAAACAAACTTTTAATTTCAACTCTGAAAGACATGCATATATGTCCTTCAGAATCTTACCTTTTAAAATGGAAACTGCTTGGAAGTGGCTTTTACCTGGGGAATATGACATGCATGTGTCTGTTATACTGCCTTCCTGCCAAAATAAGTGTGTCTTTAGGCACGCTCTTTGCATATTCTATTGCTAACTACATTTTGCCAGACACTGCTTGTGAATGCAGTATGTGTGAGACCACTGCCCAGCTTCCTGTAGTGCTAGTCCTACATTTCCACAGAACTCCTCACCTAGCCAAATTCTTGAGCGCTTTGCAGTCAGCAGCACTACCTGAGGCTCTGCCTGAGTGTCACTTTAGTTGTCTTGCAGAAAGCTTCAGATGTCCTTGGTTCTATTTAGGTTGTGCAAATAGACATATGAGGTTTGGTTCTGGTTAGTGGTTGCTAGTACCAGATCACCTTGCTTACTGGTGAGTTCATTCAAACCCAAAAAGTCACACCTGTGTCCTGTGCGCGGGTGCTGCAGGCTTAGGTGGAGAAAAGCAGGGCTAGAATTGGAACCCAAAGCCCAGAATGGCAGGAGAGGATGTGGGGGCTCCACCCGATCACCTCTGGGTTCACCAAGAGGGTATCTACCGCGACGAATACCAGCGCACGTGGGTGGCCGTCGTGGAAGAGGTAACTGTTTACATTTTGCTTATTTCTTTGATTTTGCTTTCAAGTAACTTGGTTTCTATTCCAGTCTCAATATTCTGAAGTCTTTGGTTTTATTTTTGATCATTCCTTTCCATTAGGAGACGAGTTTCCTAAGGGCACGAGTCCAGCAAATTCAGGTTCCCTTAGGTGACGCAGCTAGGCCAAGTCACCTTCTTACCTCCCAGCTACCTCTCATGTGGCAACTCTACCCGGAGGAGCGCTACATGGATAACAACTCTCGCTTGTGGCAGATACAGCATCATTTAATGGTACACATGTTGCTTAATTATTTTCCATTGTACTGGGACTCTCGTAACAGAGTACTCCATAAACTTTTCTTTTTCTGACAGGTCAGGGGAGTACAGGAGCTGTTGCTTAAGCTTTTGCCTGATGACTAACCTGGTATGTATTTCTATTTCTCCTCTGTCCTCCCCCTCTTTGTTTTGGCTCTATTCAGTTGTGGTGATTTTAATGATTTTTTTTTCCAGGTGCTGGGATTCTACGAAGATATGCTCCTTTGTTCTGTTCAGTATTTGGCAATCACTTCATCCACTACTGCAGTGCACCCACCCTTGGGCCTGGGGGGAGGGAGTGGGTTGAAAAACTGCTCAAGAAACAGAAGTTTAGCAAGGGTCATGAAGAATACTGCAAGTGAAACTGCAGAGAGAGGTTACGTAGGCAGAAAGCAAGTCAACAAAAGCACTTAGTCAGGATCCGTAACTTGAAATTGACTCCTTTGGAAATTGCCATAGAACCCTTAATGGACATCATCGGCTGGACCTGGGATCTGATGAATCCCACAAAAGTCAGCACCTTCTACAGAACAGATGCCCTGATCACCAAGGACTTGGTACTGATTTAGAGAGAAGAGAGCAGCTCCTAGCAGCATCAACATCTATTTGTCGCTTATTTGCCCTGCAGCAATTCACCTGCCTTTCCTTCTCCCATCCTGTAAATATCCTAGGTTTTGCTCCAGTGTTTCCCATCCCAGTACTGACCTAATTTGGATCTGCTGAGTATTTAGAGGGCTCTGAAAAGAGATATGCATTGATGAAATTAGCTACAAAGGCTTGTGGGCCTTTTTTTCTATCTGAAATCGTGTCTTCAAATTACTGGAAGTTGCTGATCAAAATTGTGGGCTCTTGAATTCATTCTCTGATTACAGATATTTTAAATAAGCTGGTTTCTATAAGAACTTCAAGAAAAACCATTTTAGCTGCTTAACTGGCACCTTTCTCAGGAAGTAATAACACCAAATATTGCTGATTCCTAGGAAAACATTTACTACTTGTAAAGAATTTCCTGAGTTAAAGTAGTTATAACAGTTTATATACATTAAAAGTAAGGTTTTACTTTAAAAAAAAAAGTCTTGGGAATAATAGCTACCATGTATTGGAGTCCTTTCCAGGCACTATTGTATGTACTTTATATACTTTATCACATTTAATCCTCCTGTCAATGCTTTGAGGTAGGTATGATTCCCATTTTATATATGAGTAATAAAAAAAGCTCAAGGAGTTTAATCATTTATCAAGGGTTTCTTCTGCGAATGATAGAGCCAGGCTGCGCCGTCGGCTCCTCTAGCCTAACGTTGGTTTACAGTATTCAAAAAGAGTTGATTGAATTCAAGGTTTTTTTTCCATGTAAAGCTATTTATATCTTCCAAGCCTAATGAAATGGATATTATAAAAATACAGTTGATTCATCCTATGTTTGGGAAGAGTATTTTTAGTGTAATTATTTTCCAGCAATTGTAAGGGCATATACTGCTTGTCTCAGAAGAAAATTCCACGTAGAGGGGCTTTAAAGTCTTTATGGAAAAAAGAAAAATAAAAATCATTTTTCTTGTTTTAGTTTTCTGGATATGCCGCAGAAGGATCCGTGCCAGAAGCAAGCCTGTGAGATACAGAAATGTTTACAAGGTAGTATATTGTAAAATGCTTTAAAAATATTTTTCCACTGTGAACTAACTATAAGAGACCAATTATTCTTTTATCTGTATTAACTCTTTTTTAAGAATGTAACGTATATGTAATTATCCTGAAGATTCTCTTCATTGTATCATCAAAGATGCAGAAAATAAAAAGTAATGTGATCAAAGCTAGGGGTTTTCACTCCAGGTGATTAGCATCACCTGGAGATCTTTAAACACTTACCTAGAACAATTCAGACTTCCTAGGGCTAGGGCTAGGAAAAAAAGGGTTTTTTGTTGTTGTTGTTTGTTTTTACTAAAAGGCTAGTTTTAAATTGGTTGGTTATACTTCACTGCAGCTGACAATTCACTTTTTAAAAGCAATCTGGAAGAGGTGCGGTTGAAATAACAATTGGAATTCAGGCTGCCAAAGTCATCAACTAACTCTTAAAGGCAGAAGTGAATCTCGACTAAAGCATATTTGAGGTGATTTGTCCATTTGTCCAGCTGCTAAGTTTGACCAAATGTTAGAGGATTTTAGTTTTCTAATCAGTGAATGACTGTTGCCAGAAGAGCAAATAGAAAAAGCTATAAGGCTATCTGAATTTGAAAAAATTTTAATAAGTTTTCCTCACTAGTAAAGTAATAGATGGAGATGGAAGGTCATGAAAATATAGAAAGGTATGAAGGAAAAATGTTCAGAGTTCCCCCAAAGATTCACCACCAAAGAAATCCTTTGTTTGTGTATCTCCTTGGACTTTTAGCTTTCATTCTTGGACTTTTCATTTTTTGATGTTAGCAATATTTTATAAAATCTTTTAGATTAAAATCTGGATGTATAATAATGCCATTTTAGTCAAACTTCTTCCCTCCAACTTTAAGGAAAAGGAAAAAGTTTTTTGCATTTAATTCCTTCTCCCAAATAAAACCTTACCTTGTTTGAAATAACCCATAGCTAAGGGAAAAAAATAAGTTAAAAAGAGCTGGTGACACCCCCTTGGCAGTGTGGGAGGATTAAGAACTGGAAAGACTAAAAGATGACAAGCACCGTTATAAGGACTTTATACGTATTAAGCCTTTCATCCATGAGGTAGATGCTACTATGACCCCCATTTCATAAAGGGGAAAACAGACACACAAGTTATGTAATTTGACTAGGGTCACATAGCTAGTAAGAGGTATGGTGGGAATTTGAACACCCCCCGCCAACCCCGCCCTTGGTCTAGCTCCAAATCTGGACTGTTACCCACCTTGCTATACTGCCTTTCTAATCAGAATTGTCTTTCCTATCCTGAGCTAACTACCATGTACTCCATTTTAGTACTGGGGGACTCATTAACTGCAGCTGACCTAGAGTCTTTAGGTCAGGTCCTCCTTAACTTAGTGTTTATGTATAGTAGGGATCTGCAAATGTTTTATGAAAAAGGCCAAACAAGTAATATTTTAGGCTTTGGAGGCCAAAGGCCTTTGTTGTATATATTGTGTATGTGTTGTGTGTTTACAACCCTTTAAAAATTAAAATCCATTTTTAGCTCCCAGCTGTAAAAACCGGCTGAATTTGACCCTAAGGCTGCAGTTTGCCAATTCCTGATGCACAGCCTTAGTAGGGGAGGTCCAACAATCAGCTTAAACTGTATGCAAAATAATGTGTGGTGTATGTGCATTTTCCTAATTCATCAAATTAGTGACCAGTAATAAAAATGATGTTAAAAACCAATGTCCTAGAAAAAGGTGCATACATGCTATTAACCTTAAAGGAAATTATATATTAAAATAGCTTTCAACCACTTTGTAAATCATACTTTCCCTAACGAACCTGTCGACAGGTCTCTAAATTAGAAAGAATTCAGTGGACTTTGGTATATCTTCTTTCTTCCAGTTCCATAGGTACTGAAAGTGAAAAGGGGTGGGAAGCACTGATCTAAACCTCCCTGTACCTTAGTCCTATGAGATCATGACTAGAGTCTGCCTGTATGTTTTTCAGCCAACAGCTACATGGAATCAAAGTGTCAGGCTGTCATCCAAGAACTGCGTAAGTGTTGTGCTCAGTATCCCAAGGGAAGATCTGTCGTCTGTTCAGGATTTGAAAAAGAAGAGGAAGAAAACCTAACACGGAAGTCTGCATCAAAGTAAAGTTCTTCTGAAGTGCTGCTCCATGTTTCCACCAAATGAATTTTTTTTATCCTCCTGACTCTTCAGGCCAGGTAGCAGCAAATAGCAAATGAAAAAGTCAGCTACAAAAGTTAATGAATATGCCATCTATGCAGAACAGGCAGAAATATAAACACATTAAAAGACAAATATGTAGAATGTAATATACTGAGCTGCTAAAATAAACCTGTTTAAGAGAAAAATTTGGGTTTTGTACTAAATGTATTTTAAGACTATTAGATATAGGGTATTAATGAATTCTCTTGAAGTTCAAGCCACTAGTGCCATTCATCAAATTTAAGTCATATGAGGTATGTTAGGTGAAAGGACTCACTTCCAGCATCACAATTTTGACGCCCTTTTTTTTTTTTTTTTTTTTTTTTTTGAGATGGAGTCTCACTCTGTCATCCAGGCTACAGTGCAATGGTGCGATCTCGGCCCACCGCAACCTCTGCCTGCCGGGTTCAAGCAATTCTGCCTCAGCCTCCCAAGTAGCTGGGATTATAGGCATGCACCACCACGCCTGGCTAATTTTTGTGTTCTTAGTAGACGGGGTTTCACCATGTTGGTCAGGCTGGTCTTGAACTCCTGACCTCGTGATCTGCCCGCCTCGGCCTCCCAAAGTGCTGGGATTACAGGCGTGAGCCAATTTTGATACCTTTTATAGATTACATGCTAAACTAATTCAAAGTTTCCTTTAAACTAACTCATTACCTTTTGTACTTCCAAAAATGCAGAGCAAAAAGTGTCTTTCCAGATGCCAGTAAGAGCATTTCTTTCTGCTTTTGCATCCCCACTGCAGCGACTAACCAGGTAGGAAAGGCATAGAAATGATTCTTGTAATGCTTAATGATCCTTAATTTATCATGAAGGAACTGAAGAAAAAATTTTCATTGGAAGTCAGGTAGGCAGCAAGATAATTCAAACTTAGTTGGTTTATCTATTCTTTATATCCTGATAATAAAAACCTGTTACAGAGGATCCAGACAACATTAATACAAAGCTGCTGAATGAAGCCTGTTGACAGCTGTCAGTCACTTTATGAAGTAGGAGGAGGCAGCATGCAACAGGCCATTTGCTTTCCTCAAATGGATGCTTGAACCACCAAAGGCTGTCCTCTAAAAAAGAAAAAGATGACTAAAAGCAGGAACAATTTCTGCTAGGTCCCTGATGTTAAAATACCATGATTATTTGAGACCAACTGTTTTCTTTAAAGCAGCATTACTCAAAGTGTTTCTAGGAATTGCTGTAACCGGAAGAAAAAAAAAAGGCTTCTCTGGTCAGGTAAGTTTGGGGAATGCTAGGTTGCATACAAGTACACAGGTTAATTTCCTGTCAGACTTCAGAGCTTTCAAAAAACCTAAGTGAACCTGTTTTGCAGACAGCATCTCTGTGTGTGAATGCTCTCCAGAGCGACTTAAAGAAATGCTGCCTTAGAGACGTTTGGTCCACAAACCAGAGTGACAGAGCTAAATCCCCATGAAATTTAAATGACGTCTTGTGTTAATAATAACACAATAAAACATCATACAACTTTAATGTTACACCATCTACAAATCTAAATTACATTTAAAATTATCAGTTGACAGTTGTACTAGGATTTACATTAGGAATCACTACATGATCAAATAGATTGTTTTTCTGTGTTTTATTGCCAAGTTATTTTTACTGAGTTAACTACTCCAGTTTCAGACTCTTTTAAATGTTTTTATGCTAAAGTATATGTATTAGTCCATTGTTGCATTGCTATAAAAAGTGCCTGAGACTCGGTAATTTATAAATAAAAGAGGTTTAGTTGGCTCACAGTTCCATGGGCTGTACAGGAAGCATGGCACTGGTATCTGATGGGCTTCTGGGGACGCCTCAGGAAACTTACAGCCATGGCAGAAAGCAAAAGGGGAGTGAGCACTCCACATGGCCAAAGCAGGAGCAAGAGAGAGTGAGGGGTGAAGTGCCAGATCTCATGAGAACTCACTATCATGAGTGAAGTACCAAGAGGGGATGGCCCCCACGATCCAATCACCTCTCACCAGGATCCACCTCCATTAGGGAATACGGTTCAACATGACATTCGGTGGCTCCAAACTGTATCAGTATACGACTTTCTTTCAGTTTTGAAAGGTTCAAATCAGTTCCTTCTTTTAAAGGATTGTGTCAGTTTAAGTCAACAAATCCATTTGAAGACATTAATTTAACTCTTCTTATTCTTAGGTATTATTATGACATACAAAAAAATAAAATAGCCATCATAGAAGGCTTAACATTTACTGAGTGCTTCTTATTGTTAGGGACCAAGAGTAACACTGAATCTCAGTCTTAAGCAAAGAACTCTAGGAAGGTGAAAACTATGATCTCCCATTTTAGAAACCAAAAAAAAAAAAAAACTTTGTTAAGTTGGCTATTAGTGATGCTAAGTTTAATCACTTGGTTAGTGACTGACAGACCTTTTAGCTAGAAAGGTAGTTTTCCCTTCGTAATGGGTAAGTCATTTGTGGGGTGATATCTTGTCACTCCTTTCCTTGCATTCACTCCACACGATTCCTAAGACATTTAATGAACTATAATATTACACTTGTGTTCAGTATTCAGAAGGCATCTGAAGTTGTATGGCACTTAATATAAAAGGCTTTAAAGCCCTCTTAAGGAGTTAACAGCAAAACTCTTAATTTTTTCAGCACCAGCTTCCAACTGTGTACTTCAGTGGTTCTCAGTCTCTGCTGCTCATTAGAAAAAGCTAAGACACTTTAAAACCTCAGGATGCCTGAACAGCACTCCAGACCAGTGAAATCAGAATCTCTAGGATGAGAGCCAGGCATTAGTAGTTTTTAAAATTTCACAGGTGATTCCCAAGTGCAAGCAAGGATGAAAGCCACTGCTCTCAGGAATGTCATTTCTTACCATTTTAAAATTTAAAAAGGTAGACACTTTTGAAAAGTCAGTAAACTGACTTTAAAGCTTTATAAAAATGTGAAAAAGTGCGACACTTTTCTTTTAAAAAAAAAAGTATTAAGATTCATGACCCCTTAAAAAGAATGCAAGCATCGGAAATATAAGCTATACCATATGACTTCTAGAAAAATCAGGCTCAGAACTAAAATAGGTTTTCTGCCCAATTACTCAGATGTTAGTGTGACCTCTTAGAAAATTGGGCAGAAAATGTATTTTAGTTCTGGGCCTGATTTCTGAGAAATCATACTAGATTTCATGACAAAGAAATGAAGCTGATAATTTGGTAGAGGGAGTAGAGGGCAGCAGCCACATTTTTCTCTGGGGTCCAAAACTGGCTGTGAGCTTCCCTCTGAGAAGAAATTGAGATCATCATGAAACATTGATGATACTCAGAAATTTCAAATCCATCAGTATACCATCTTTTCAAGCAGAGATTCCCAAACTGTACAAAAGTAGAGGTTCCAAATAAGAGCCCAACCATTAGTTATGCCCATCTTTCTGACAACCGTGAAACAAAAGAATGATGGAGAGACTATTCTTACCACAATAGTTGTTAACTACACAGTAACTTTGCTTTCCAAAACCAGAAGCACCCACCCCAAGAGCATGTTGGCTAGAATTATGCAAGAGATCATTCCTTGTAGAATCTAGTCCGCCAACTTGAATCGTCTTCTGCCAGCATCCATGAGACAGTAACTGCCCAGATCCAGTAGCAAGGACTGTCACCCCAGTGGTAGGGGAGTCAAGAACCCCACTGTCCTGTTAATGAATGTCTGGAGGCTGAGTGGCGGGAGATTGCAACAAACAAGCGGCCATTTGGGAGGAGAGTCATGCTAACATATTATCACAATGGCAATAACACTCATGACAATGGGCTGCTCAGGCAAGGGTCCCCACCACCACATCTCTCCCCGCACCCAGCTCCCGTGTCAGCAATGAGGATACACATTCTTGGGGGAGACTGAAACATTGGACTCCATCTGTTGAGCCCGAGCAGGCAGCGGCCAGAAAGTGCCCCTGGATCCGTCTCTGCTCTCCGACTCTGGGGAGAACCTTGGGAAGAAGAGACTCAAAAGTTCTACCTCTCCTGTAGCATGCTCCAAGTCCCCATCCCACCAGGTCCCATTGCGGGAGAGACGCTGGGTCAAAGGGTGGCTCAAAGTGGTGAGGACGCAGGGCCGACCCATAGTAGCCAGGAAGGGGACAGAAGGGGTCCCTGAGCCGGGACACTGTCCAGCACGCTGCAGGACAAGGGAAGGGAAGCCTTCACTACGTAGATGCCATCCTATTGGTTGACAAGTTGGAAGCCTTGAGTGCGGTGTTACCACGTCGCCGCCACAAGGGGGCGATGAAACCCCGAACACATTCCAAGTCAAGTTTCTGCGGACCATATACAGCGACAACGCTCTTCCCAAGGAAAAACTTCCGCCCCACCACCACTAATTAGGAAGTCCAGAGCGTCATTGGACTCTGCTACTGGAGAAAATACGTGCCTAGCTAAGCAGGCCTCTCCAGTCAAATGAAAGTAGTGCACTGAAAGGTGGAGCTGCCTGGTCCTTGAATCATCTCGGTTTTGCATGGAGGAGTGGCAGCTGTTCTTTTGGGGGAAACCTTAACTCCCACTTCACCACCTGAAACAAAACTGCTGGCACAATAGGGCCTTGATTCACAGGTAACCCCAAATGCCTGAGCCTCCTTCACCGATGGTTCAGCTAAACTGAAAACAAGGTGTGCAGCTGTGCGTGTTCAACCTCCATGCCAGCTCTGCACAATCCCAAGTGGTCACAGTGGCCTCACACCGTGGGCAGAACTCACAGCCGTTCTCATACTAGCAGGATGAGGCCAACCTGCAATACTGACCTCAACCATGACCCTCACAGTCGTAGAGGCAGCCAGCTGGGAAAAAACTTCAGGAGGGACCTACCTACAGATCTTAATTCAGACAATCAGAATACAGTCTGAGGCCAGACTATTTATTACAACCTACTCAAGGTAGTTTACAACCACCTGCTAATCTTTGCTGCCCTCACCAATAATCACAGGAAAAACAGATGCACCAAAAGACAACCCCTACCCCACTGGAGAGGCATTGGGTGGCCAGTCTCCCCACATGCAACCCAAAGGGGCACAGAGCACTTTGGTTAGCTTTGCTGTTACCATCCCATTGCTGTGGGTAAGTCACACAGGTAAAGTGGCTGCAGCCACTATCACCATATATGGCATAACCCAGAGACCCAGATGTCAGGAGAGGCAGAGTGTGGGGAAGCAGGAAACAGATGACTCAGTGTCACTACATATGTCTATATCAATATATATAGAGATATAAATATATAGCAAGCAAAAAAAAAAAAATAGAGGAGGATCTATAAGGTTAAGAGACTTATCCAAATCATGCAAATACGATGTGAACCTTGCATGAATTTTGATTCAAACAAACTAAATATAAAACACTTGAGGAAATTTTGAACACTGATCAGATTTTGGATATTATGTAATTACTGTTAATGTCTGATATGATGAGGTATTTATGATTTTTAGAAATAATTCTTACCTTTTAGAGATACATACTGAAATATGATAAAATGACATTTTGATATTTGTTTCACAATAACTGGTAAAAACCAGCAGAGCTATAATTTGATGATTGTTGTGAGTGAGTGATAGATACACAGGGGGATTATTGTACTATATTCTCTACTTTTATATATTCCTGAAAGCGTCCATAATAAAAAGTGAAAAAAAATAAGTTCTTATAGCAAAATATGCAGCAAAGAGGCTCATACCATTATGGTTTTGAGATGATTCATACATATTGCAAGCAAAATGGCTTATGTTTCCTTAAATGTAAGGAGAAAAACGCAAATAGGTGGTTTCTGTAAAGTTCCACACATCCACTGGTAGTTTTGATTTTCAAATTCAATACATCATTCTCAAGACGGGTTAAAATGCAAACATTTTTAAATGTATGGCCTTAGAAACACACTCATATTTCACAAGAGATCATCTCCAAGATTAACAATTCTGAGTAAAACTAACCTTTAATAGTGAGTTTTCTTTCTATAAAGTCATTATTCAAATACTCAGCACCTATTAAGTGCTAGGCCCTGTGAGTATAATGGTGAAGACAGAAGTCTTGCCCTCTGAAAGCTGACTGATATTCTAGTAGGGACTGTAGACATGGTAACATGCCACTACAGCAAAATGTGGTAAGATTCTGTGTGTGCGTGTGTGCCCGTGTGTGTGTGTGTGTGTAAGCTTTTAAAGAATAATTCTCAGGGTTGTGGTCATCATGAGACGGTAGATTACACTTGATGGAAATTTATTTCTCATGTCCTATCACTATCTTTCTTAATTCTGAATCCCTGGAAAGCTACTTCTTTAAAATTCCGGTTTAAATGTTGTATTTCATACTAACTAGATTAAAAAAAAAAATAGTAGAAGTGGCACAGAGGAGTTATGGCCACCCCTAATGTTTTGATAAGGATATTTCATTCACATTTCAAAGCTTAAAACCTTTTCTACAAAATAAAAATCCAAAATCTTCCCTTTCCCACCTAAATCACTTGTTTTACAATAAATAAACCCTTTGGAAACAGCCATGAGATACATTATCCTGTACGGTAGAAAGCATTCCTGGACAATATCAGATTTTTCAATTACAGTAATTATGCTGCCAATTTTGTCGGCATAATTATAACACATTTAAATAGCTTTCTGTAATGTAAAACCAACTAAAAAAGAAAGTAGACACCAAGATACCAAAATCTTTCATGCTTAAAGGCAAATGTATTCAGTTCCTTTCCATGCAGCACACAATAAGGTTATCTATGTGCTTATTTCTTTTCCAAATCAACAGTTTGGGACAACCTTTCAGGATCCACTCATCCTCCACGGTCAGCCATCTTGTAATGTGTTCTCATAAGTGTCTTGCATGGGGGTAAAGGAACCTTCTTGTTGGCCTACAGACTGGCCAAGTAGGGGGTGTACTGGGAGGAGAGCTAAGGACTATTGTCTCTTCTGCCACCATGAAGCTCATGGTGCCACATTGACTTGTACCAGCAGATGCTTAGAGAAGCCACTCAGATTTGCCATGGCAGGGAAGAAGGCATGGGAGAAGAGGAGGAGGGACTCGATGTCCTATGATGGAGTGTAGAGGCTGCTGGCTGGAAAAAACCAGGAACAATGAACATGAGGTCATCTTCCTTAGGATGCCATGCCAAGCAGAAAGCCTCCGAAAAATCCCCCAGTTACTAGAACATTCTTCTTCACAAATGACACCACCTGAAAACAGAAGATAGTACAATGGGTTGTTTTGCTAAGGATGTTAATAATATTAAGAATCATCTCTATTATACCTATGCCAGTCTTAACAATGTCAATCCCCTCATCGGTTACGTAATTTGCACTTTACCCAAAGGGCAATGGACTTACACTAATAGTCTATTTAATAATAATTAAATAGACTTACATATGAAAATGACTACTGGCTGGTGTGGGGAGAATAAGACTAGAGGGAGCCTGATGGGAAGGAGGATGCACATCAGGAGGTAGAGACAATGGCTCTTTGAATCAAGGACAAAGAAGGAGAGTTCATGGGGACAGTTATGGCGAAAGAGTAAAGCTGCACTAAATAAACTGGTTACAGAGGCAATTCTGTTTCCAATTTTGCTCCTTCCATCCTCTTTGGCATCTACCCTCCAATAGAGGCTTCTCATTTCCTGAAGTCTCTCCCCTAAATCTCTCCATCCATGCATTCCCCCCTGAAACCTGCTCCCAGGTAGATGCTATAAATTCTCATTCTCACACTTCACCACATCTAAGATGATTAACAGGTGACGTTCTTATTTCCTTAAGTTCCCAAAGCTTCCCACCTCCCCTCTACCCTCCTGGAATAGCTCCCGGTCATCTGAGACTCAGTGCATACATTCAGACACTCTTTATGGCTCCTTAGTCTGTGCTCTACCAATCTCCTGACCACTCCCCACCCTTCCAATTTCAGAGACAATTTTGATAAGTGGCTCAGACTTCCTCTTTCTCCTAAGTGTGATCACCACCTTAGAAAGTGTTCATATGAACAAGACATCCAACATCCTGGCCTGATCATTTCTTGAACTCAAGTACGGTGACTTCCATCCCCAAACCACCTAAGCTACTCACACCCTGACATTCCCCTAACATTTTTCACACTACCAACCCCATCCTCCTAGGACCACTGTCTTCTAACCCTCCAGTAAGCCCTTACTCCAACGATGCCTATGTCTTCCTGCCTCATTTCCACTCCTCCTCCATCTCTCCTGGACCTCTACATTTCCTTAAATGAAGCACTTTTGTCATCTGCCATTGGGGTGAAGAAAAAAAATCATACAACTTCCTGAGAAAATTGGTTTCGTTTATTATTTTTACTACTCTTTCTTCAACTTGCTAATTTGGCTTTCAACTCCACCACCCCACCAAACTGTTCTCACTGAAGTCATCTTGTTGGTAAATACTGAACTAAATCTTCATCCTGTTTCTCAAATCAGACCACCGGCTCTATGAGTAGGAAAACCAGCCACTACATCCCCAGGGCCTGTGACAGTGAACTCAATTCCAAATTATCTGGTTACTTTATAACAAACTCCCTCTGTGAGTCAACAGTTGGTTCTAATCAAATATTAACTTTATGCTTTTTATTATATACACTTCCAGTATTATTTTTAAAGTTTTCAGCAAGGTGCCATGGCTCACACCTGTAATGCCAGCACTTTGGGAGGCCGAGGTGGGAATACTGCTTGAGCCCAGAAGTTTGAGACCAGCCAGGACAACACAGGGAGACCCTGTCTCTCCAAAAAATTTAAAACTTCACCGGGTGTGGTGGTACACACCTATAGACCCAGCTACTCAGAAGGCTGAGGTCAGAGGATCGCTTGGTTGAGGCAACAGTGAGCCATGACTGTGCCACTGCACTCCAGCCTGGGCAACAGAGTGAGACCTCTCTTACAAAATTTTTTTTTACTCACTGTGGTGAGTCACTGTGCCCAGCCATGCATTATTTTTATAAACATTTGAATAATAAAGTTTTCATGAAATAAAAAATGTAACTTTCCTAACTTTGAGGAGAGACAGAAGGAAGAAAGGAAAGAGAAACTATCTGGGCTCTGGGCTCCTGTAGATACCCATCTCTGCCACCTTCCCACTCTGGGTAAAGGCACCAGCTTTGACCAGCCACTTGCCAATCACCAGCACGAAGAGCCACTCACAACATGAGAAGCCTGAGGCGCACACAGGGTATTTCTCCTCCCCTGCACTCAATCTGTCTGTTTTCCCTGTGAGGCTAGAGTGAGCTAATGGGAGAATCTCTCATCACTCCAGGCTACAGAAAGTACCAGCTATCTTCTTGACACCCTGATCCTTGTTTATTTCTCCCCAGTTCAGTGTACTTATTTATTTGCAACATCTGACATATTTCTAAAGGTAATAAAGCAGCAGCAAAAAATATCCTTTTAAAAAGGAAGGACTTCTCCTGTCCCTGCAGTGCCAGGTCATAATCTAACTTGGCTTTAATGAACAAGATCAGGGGTTAGCAAACTACAGCCCATGGGCCAAATCCAATCTGAACCTGTTTTTAAATAAAGTTTTATTGCAACACAGCCACATCCACTTATTTAACATATCATCTATGGCTATTTTGATGATATACAGTGGAGTTGAATACTTGTGACATTTCCACTAGTTATATGCAGAACAAGCAGAGTATGAATGTTTCAGAGATATGCGTGTATAGCGACAAAATGGGACTCAAAATAATTATACTGGCCATATATCCTTCCCACCTACTATGCTGCCCCACATTCCTACAAGAACTGGTTAAAGGGATAATCACTCCACAAATGTGCACAGACAAAGGTCACCAAACAATTATCCAGCTTTTAAAAATGTTCTGAAGTGATGATAATCCAAGTTAGTTTTGTCTCATTACTCTAAGTTCTTTGTAATGCTTAAGCCCTGTCCATCACTGAGATATGGTACAATAGGGTTAAGCCCTGTTTTTGTCTGCACTGTTCACACACTACACGTGAACAATGCAAGTCTCACCTCCTCAGCTTTGCTCCTGACCTCAGTAGGTATCTGATTGCTCTTACGGATCTTCAGCTGCTCTTTGGCTTTCTTCATGTCCTTCTCCACTCGTTGCCAGTCAACTTTGATGTACCCAGTATGGTTTGCAAGCTACAGTATCAACAATAATGACAACAAGAAATGAGAAACAGATTTGTTATTTCTTTTAGTCAGGATAAATCCTGAAGTAGACTCTCGAAACCCTCTGACTTTCCATTTTTGGAGACATCTGCCATTTGATTCTTTGTATCATGATGACATCTACTCAGCATCCCCCCTATATGCGAAGCCATATGCCTGGCACTAGAAATAACTACTGGCAATTCTTTTAAATTATTTATACTCTTACAACCCTTTTACAAAGAGTTACATAAGATGAAAATCAAGGTGGGGGGTCAAGATGTAGGGTGAAGAGATGGACCTTACAGCCAATACAAATGTTTCCAGAGAATGACTCTGACAATGTGCCCATGAGTGTCAGTTTCCTGACAATGTGAACAGAGCAAAGCATTCAGGCAGTTATTACTGTTGCTTAACAGGAAGAAATCTAGCATCTGGCCCCACAGAGATTTCTCATGAGCAAGTTCATATAAACGGATATTAAGAGAACCACATCCAAAGACACCTACAGCATATACCTATTTCCCTTGATAAAAACAGCAGGCACAAACACTAAAACTCAGTGTAAATCTGATTCAAGCATGTAGATTTTGATGATGGATTAATATCATCCTAGGAATGAAGAGAATGACTGTAGCCAATCAATCAATGCCCTATCAATATCACTTCTCTCTACCAAATTTTTGGCAATCTCAAAATATCTGAAACTAAAAGTCTTCACCTTGCTAGAGTCTCCTCCTGCATTGTTGCTCTTCCTCTAGGCCCTATTTTAGCTAATGGCACCACCAGTCACCCAAACAGACTAGAGAAAATACTTGTGATGTGTATCATAAACAAAACATTGATACTCAAAAAAGTGAACTTCTTATAGAGATCAGTAAGAAAGTTCACTTTAAAAATGGGTAAGGGCAATTCAGAGGAAAGTGTCCACAAAAAGGAAAAAGTTCAACTTCACAAGTAATCAAGCCATAGTACCTTTATTTATGAGTCTATAACTGGAAATACACAAAAGTCTATCAACACATGAATGGATAAACAAATTGTATCATATTTACACAATAGAATATTACTTAGTACTAAAAAGAACAAATTACTTACAGCAACCACATAGTTGAGTATCAACATTTGTATCTAAAAGAAGGCTCTGGTTCATTTACTCCACCCTGTTTATCCCACAAAATCCTGCTATTAAACTGAGAGAATACATGGACTAGCTATTTGAAGGCTCTTACATAAAAACAGCGACGTGCAGATTGGAGAAGACCAGAATTCAAAGCACCACCAAACTGGTGGCGTGTTTCCTGCTTTTCCTGCAGTATCGCCTGGCCTAACCTCAAGGCAGGACTCAAGAAACATCTGACAAAATTCAACGCAAATTCATGATAAAACTCTCAGAGAAAGAGCAATAGAGGGGAACTTCCTCAACTTGATAAAGAACATCTACATAAAAAACCCTGCAGCTAACACTGTACAGAATGGTGAAAGAACGAATGCAGGGAACAAGGCAAAGCTGTCCGCCGTCTCCACTCCTATTAAATATCGTACCAGAAGTGAATTCAGAGTCAGCACAACAAGGCAAGAAAAAGAATTAGGAGGCATCCTGATTCACAAGGAAGAGGTCAAACTGTCTCCAATCATAGACATCTTTGTCTACATAGAAAATTTCATAGACTTCAACAAAAAACAAAAACTCCTAGACTAAAAAAGTGAGTTTAGCAGGGTCACAGGACACAAATTCACACAAAACCAACTGAATTTCTATATGCTAGCAATTTGAACTGGAAATGAAAAATGTTTAAATGATTTACAACAATGGGTGCAAAAAATAATTAAATATTAGGTACAAATCAAATAAAACATACAGGATCTGTATACTGAGAACTACAAAATGCTGAAGAAAGAACTCAAAGACAACCTAAATAAATGGAGAGACACATCATGTACATGGAATGGAATACTCAACACAGAAATGATGCCCAGTTCTCTCCAAATTATCCATAGATTTACTGCAATCCCAAATCACAAATCCCAGTAGGATTTCTTATAGATACATAAATAAGCCGGTTCTAAGATTTATATGGAAAGGCAAAGGAACTGGAATCACCAAAATGAATCTGAAAAAGAACAGAGTTGGGGAAATCACACTACCTGATTTAAGATTTACTATAATGCTACAGTAGTCAAGACAGTGTGTCATACTGAAGAAGAGATAGACACACAGACCAACAGAACAGAATAAAAAGTACAGAAACGGACGTGGACAACTACAACAAACTGATTTTTCACAAGGGGGCAAAAGTAGTAATGGTGGTGGTGAAGTCCCCTGGGTGGCCCAGGCCAGGATTGCGAGGTGACTTCCTGCTCTCCTTGGCATTACTGGGGGACTGCACTGCAGGGGCAAAGCAACACCAGAACTGGGAAAAGCAGCCTCTCCCGCTGCAAGGTCCCTCCAGCGCCCTCTACTGACAAAGCTCAACATCCTACTTCCATTGCAGCACAACAAGTAGAGGGAGCCGAATAAACTGAAAACTGGCAAGCGTTGCTGCTGGGCTCTGAAAGCTGCAAAAAGTGCTGGAAATGATCTACAGCTTGGTAAGAAAAAGCAACTACATTCATAAAGACGTGAAGGAAAAATTTCACTGTTCACAGATGGCATAAAAAGATTTTATAGACAAAACCCAAAAGAATCCCAGACAAGACTTTTTTAACAAGGTGGCTGGCTGAAAGAGCAACATAAAATATCAACTGTATTTCAACACACTAGCATGAATCAGAATGTGTAGTTTTAAAAATCGTATCATCCACAAGAGCAACTAAAGTTATAAGGTATCCAGGAATAAAACTGAATCACAGATGTACAAGATCTATACGGAAAAATAATAAAAAGTCTATTCAAAGGCATTAAAGAAGACCTAAATAATTGGAGAGAAAGCCCGTGTTCACAGATAGAATACTCAATATCATAAGAGATATCTACATGGTTCCAATGCAATTCCGATAAAAATTTCAACAGGATTTTTGAAAATAACTGACAAGTCTGATCTAAAATTTAGATGAATGAGCAGAAACACAAAAGTAGCTGCAACACTCCTGAAGAATAAGGTGGAGGAATTTGCATTACCAAATATTAAGCTTTAGTACTGTCATAAAGATCGAAAGTTGACCAGTGGAACAGAACACAGAAACCAGAGTCACAGCCACACATACATGGGTTCTGATATATGAAAGAGACAATGCTGCAAATGTTGGGAAAGGGAAGAATTATTCACTAAATTCTGCTCAATTATCAGTATGGAAAAAAGGAAACTGGATCCCTATGTCAAACTATAACTTGTGATATAACTGATCTCCCAACATTATGCTTGCCTCCTGCTCTCACTCCCCTGGTGACAGATAACATGAGTGCCTGCCACAGATTCTCCATGTCTCACCTCTGCAGCAAAGCAGTGTCCCTGTACCCCTTGAATATTGGAATTATCCAACCCCAAAATCTCATTTTGAGGTGCCTTTCTGGAGACATTTTCAATACCAATTATTTCTGTCAGGGCCCCAAAACGAAACAGAGGACACACTCAAATTAAGACATTTCAAAGCAATATTAAAATGTTTATGAAGTTTGGGGCAGCATATAAGGGAAACCACAGGGATAGAGATGTTACTGCACTTCCACCTGAAGGGTCAAGGGGAAGGAGAGAGAGGTGTGAGGAGGGGCCCCACCTTGCAGGGAGTCTGACCTGTCTAGCAACAGAGCCAGCACGTAACAAGCCCACAGGGAAGCAGCCAACAAAAGTGAGGCTTGGGCAACAAAGGAGATGCAACTTGCACCATGTTTCTGCAGAACTGTGCTTGGGAGTCCTGAGGTCATGGTAGTGTGAGGAAGCCTATACTGGCACAGGGACCACATGGAAGAGCACTGAGACTATGGACAGGGGGGAAATAAGGAGAGGAGGAGGGAAGACAAACAGAGACAGAGACACAAAGAGGCCCCACAAGTCCAGACCTACCCTAACCCTCTGATCATCTGGCCTGTAACCACATGAGACTCTGATCCACAAGCACCTACCTTAACCCTCCCCAAACTCCTGTAACCATGAGAGAGAATAAAGTGATCATTATTTGAAGCCATTAGGTTTGGGGGAATTTGTCATGCAGCAATACCACACTCAACCCAGCTACAGCCAGTTACCAGCTTCCCTCTTCGATACATTTGATTTTCACCTGACCTATCTGCAAAACTCACTCCAATCATGGTGCTAATGCAGAACTTACCTTGCAAAAGTGAGGGTTGCCAACTGTGGGAAGAGACAAACGGCTGTGAATTCAGAGACTCTGGCATGATTCAGCAAGTTATGGCTCCCACAGCACAGCAGAATCACCTCAGGAGTTTTAAGTTTTCCAATGAAATCAGACTGTGGGTCAGGAGTGGCACACGTTGGCTCTTTTAAAAACTCCTAGGTGATTCCAATGTGGAGCCAAATTTGAATACCAATGCCACAGAGCTAAGAAATGTATGCCTAATACAATCAAATGTCAGTTTTCTTTTGTTTTTGGAGAAACTGCTCCCTTTTTCAAGTCTTGCTTGTTAGTCTCTCCTAAGCAGTCTCAGAGAACTGGCAACCACTGGTTCTGAAACTATGGGTCAAGGAGACAGCAGACGACATCTGACTGTACTGTCACTTAGCTCCCATTTCTCATCACATGCTCAACATCCCCTCTGTGAAAGCTAGCTATAATATTAGCATATGACACTAAATCATCACAGCACACTTGTATTTTTGAAATCACATCCGCTTAATAATTCAGCTGGTCTTAAAAACTCTTTTAAGGGAGCTATGATAAGGAATTTGCACTTCTGTCGCCACATGAGGAAATAAAATGGGACTGGCAAATAACATTTACTAGTATAATGAATAAAATTTGACTCAAACGGTCACTAGCATTTAAAATAGTACATGAAAACAAGTGCTAAGGCTAGTCTAGTGTGACATAGCCAGGACTGTATTACAACTCCCCACACCACATTCCTTAATGGGCAGGTGGAATTTCCAAACATCTGAGAACATTTCACATACAGACCTGAAGGAGAAAAAATCCACCTCCCACAGCTGTTGCAGCCAACTTTCCAACCTTCTGGAATATGAAACCTGTGCACCTACAAAAACAAACCAACATCAGACAAATTGATGAGCTGTCAGTTACATACAAACATGCATTTCTGGCAATGTTCATATCTTACTTAGCTTAAGATGACCTAGCTCCTTCCTACCCCCTACATAAAGCCAGCCCCAAGAGGAGCATGACATAAGGAAATCAAATCTTGGCTCTATGAATCTTGTGGTCTTGAGTAAGTCCCTTAAAACTCTCAGGTTATATTTTTAAAAGATGACTCTGGCTACATTGTGGAGAAGAGATTAAAGGGGGAGGACGAAGGCAGAGACTCTAGTTAAGACGGTGAGGTAGCGATCCAGAAGAGAAGTGAATGCCAATGGGCCGAGGTAGAGATGGCAAGGAGGGAGCAGACCTGAGGAACTGTTTGTGAAGAAAAAAAAAAACACTCCTGAGTTTGAGGACAGGATGGTTGCAAGGGATAAGGCACAAGATTCTGTCCTGAATGTGGCATTTTTTACAATATAAAAACAAGGAAGAGGAATAGAGGAAAAGGTGGGGGAAGGGAGGGGAGGAGATAATGTCATTTTGAATATGTTGAATGCAAAATGTCCATATGATATCTGAGTGGCAACATCTTGTAGCCAGTTTAATATAATTATGTGTTTCTTTATTACTGTCTATCTTCCTGCCCCCACCCGATACTAAAATGTAAGCTTCATGAAGGCAGAGATTTTGTTGTTTCATTGCTGAACACCTATCAGCTGTAATCATTAACCATTGTTGAAAAAATCCTCCCTAGACTCCAATTCTCCAGCCCCCTTCCCTTTTCTGTGCTCTCCTTTACAGCAAAACTACTTTGAGGCCGTCTCTTTTGTCCTGTGTCCATATTCTCTCACACCTACACCATTCAGGCTTTTGTCCCATGACTTCAATGAAACCATTCCTATCAAGGTTACCACTGATCTTGACCTTACCAAATGCTAGTGTTCACTTCTCAGCTTTAATCTCATCTGACCTACAGCAGCTTTTGACACAGTTGATTACTCTCTCCTTTTTTTAAAAAAGGTATTTTATTGTGTATATTTGAGGTTTACAACATGATGTTATGGGATACATATAGACAAGTAAAGTGGTTACTATAATGAATCAGATTAATATATCTATCATCTCACATAGTTACTTTTTTGTGATAAGAGCAGCTAAAATCCACTTAATTCACAGAAATCCCTAAGGCAATACAATTGCATTAGCTGCAGTCCTCATGCTGTACATTGGATCTCTCGACTTGCTCCTCTTACATATTTGCTACTTTGTATCCTTTGACCCACATCTTCCCATTTCCTCCCATCCTATCCCTGGTAACCAGTTTTATTTCTTTATATTTATTATATTATACAACTGTATATATGACTTTTTCCCCACACATATGAGATCATGCAGTATTTTGTCTTTCTATGTCTGGCTTACTTCACTTAGCATAATGTCCTCCAAAATCTATGCTATGGCAAACAGCACAATCTCCTTTTTTAAGGCTAAATAGTATCCCATTGTAGACACATTTTCTCTATCCATTCATCCATTGATGGACACTTAGGATGTTTCCATATCTTGGCTACTATAAATTAATGCTGCACTGAACATGAGAGGGCAGATATCTTTATGAGGTGGTGATTTCATTTCCTTGGGGTATATACTCAGAAGAGGAATTGCTGGGTCGCATGGTAGTTCTAATTTTAATTTCTTTAGGAACCTCCATACTGTTTTCCATAATGGTTGTAACAATCTACATTCCCGCCAACAGTGTACTAGGGTTCCTTTTTCTCCACACCCTCATCAACAATTATCTCTTGTCTTTTTGATAACAGCCATTCTAACAAGTGCCAGTTGATATCTCATTGTGCTTTTAATTTGCATTTCCCTGATAATTGATGATGCTAAGCATCTTTTCATATACCTCTGGTGGCCATTTCTATGCCTTCTTTGGGGAAATGTCTGTTCACGTCTTTTCCCCATTTTTTAAATCAGGTTATTTGTTGTTCTGCTATTGTACTCTCTCCTTCTTGACATCTTTTTGCTCTGGAATACCATTCTCTCTTGGTTTTCCTCATATATCACTGGCCATTCCTTATCAGACAATTTTGCTGAGTCCTCCTCTTTCTGACTTCTGAATGTTAGGTTGTTCTGAGGCTCAGTCCTAGAACCTCTTTGCTCTGTGTATTCACTTTCTATCTGCTGGGTCTATACCATGATCTCTGATGTAGGTTACTGTTACAGCTCCTCATCTGGACTTCTTACCTCCACTTTCACCCCCTAGAATCTATTCTCAATATAGCAGCTCATACAGTCCTAAAACAGGGGTCGACAAACCGCAGCCTGGGAGCCAAATCCTGCCAGATGTCTCTTTGTAAATCAAGTTGCAACAGAGATTGTGTGATCCATAAAGCCTACAATATTTACCATATGGGCTCTTTACAGAAAAACTTTGCTGACCCCTGCTCTAAAATGTAAGATCAAGGTACACTTCTGCTCATAACCTTCCAGTAGCTTCCCTCCTCACTAAGAGAGAAAGTTAAAGCCTTACACTTAACATCTTGTCTCCCATTACCTCACTACCCTCATTGTCTACTGTTCTCCCCTTATTACATTTCAGCTCAGTAAGAGAAAGAATTACAAATACAACAATGCATGGAGAACCTCATAAGACTTTTAATCTTTTTTAAACAAAAGTTAGATGTCAGGCAGTATATTTCTGAAGCGACTCTGAAATTGGAAGGGTGGTAGGACCAGTAAATAAATGATAAGGGTCCATTTTAAGAGCATTCCACTGTTCAGACTTACTAAAGTATAATCAGAGTAACTGACATATTTAGAATGGTTACAGATTTTTGCTGTTACAAAAATTGTTGCACTGTTTACAACACCTGGCTTTTTCTCTTTTTAAAACAAAACACACATTTTAAATAAAGCCTAATAACAAAGCAAGACCCAAAAAGATCAAGTGATTTCTAAGTAACTGCATCCAAGAACAAGAATCAAGCACATTTATAAGAATAAAAAATATCTAGCACCCAATGAAGTAAAATTCATAATATCTGCCATCTAATTAAAAACTACCAGGCTTGCAAGGCAGAAAAATACCACGATCAAAAAAAAATAAACTAAAAGAAACCCAGAAATGATACTGATGAAAAAATTAGTAGACAAAAGCATTAAAAGTTATTACAATTATATTCCATATGTTCAAGAAGCTAGAGAAAAGATTGCACATAATAAGTAGAGGCAAGGAAGCTCTTTTAAAAACATGCAAATCTTGGCTGGGTACAGTGGCTCATGCCTGTAATCCCAGTACTTTAGGAGGCCAAGGCAAGAGGATTGCTTGAGCCCAGGTGTTTAAGGCCAGCCTGGGCAACATAGTGAGTCCCCATCTCTCTAAAAATAACTTTTTTAAATTAGCCAGGCACGGTAGCATGCACCTGCAGTTCCACTATTCAAGAGGCTGAGGTGGGAGGATCTCTTGAGCCCAGGAGGTAGAGGTTGCAGTGAGCTGTGATTGTGCCACTGCACTCCAGCCTAAGCAACAGAACAAGAAAGTCTCAAAAAAAAAGATGCAAATCAAACTTATAGAAATAAAAACTACAATGTCCGAGACGAAAAATATAGCAGTTTAGACACTGTAGAAGATTAATAAACTTCATGAAATAGCAATAAAAACTATCAAAAATGAAACAGAAAAGAGACAAAAAAATGAAAATGGTTATGATACTGAACTATAGTTAGACAAGATGCTACCATAGGGGGAACTGGGGAATGGGTATAAGACCTCTATGGATTATTTCTAACTGCATGTGAATGTACAATTATCTCAAAATAAAGTTTCTAAAAAGTAAACAGTATTAATGAACTGTGGAAAAACTTCACACACCCTAATAAATGTGTAATTGGAATCACTGAAGGAGGACAGAAAAAAATATTTGAAGGACAACAGAAAATATTCCAAGCTTCGTGAAAACTATAAACCCACAGATCCAAAAAGCTCAATGAAATCTAAGCAAAAGAAACAAAGAAGGCCAGGCATGGTGGCTCACACCTGTAATCGCAGCACTTTGGGAGGCTGAGGCAGGAGGATCACCTGAGGTCAGGAGTTCGAGACCAGCCTGGCCAACATGGTGAAACCCCATCTCTACTAAAAATACAAAAATTAGCCAGGTGCGGTGGTGCACACCTGTAATCCCAGCTACTCCACAGGCTGAGGCACGAGAATCACCTGAACCTGGAAGGTGGAGGTTGCAGTGAGCTGAGATCATGCCACTGCATTCCAGTCTGGGTGACAGAGAAAGAGTCCATCTCAAAAAAAAAAAAAAAAAAAAAAAAAAAAAGATAGAAAAAGAAAACTATAGCAAGGTACAACATAAACAAACTGCTTAAAACAAATGGTAAAGAGGAAATCTTTTTTTTCTTTTTTTTCTTTTTTTTTTTTTTTTTTGAGACGGAGTCTCGCTCTGTCGCCCAGGGTAGAGTGCAGTGGCACAATCTTGGCTCACTGCAAGCTCTGCCTCCCGGGTTCACGCCATCCTCCTGCCTCAGCCTCCCGAGTAGCTGGGACTACAGGCGCCCGCCACCACGACTGGCTAATTTTTTGTATTTTTTAGTAGAGACGGGGTTTCACCATGTTAGTCAGGATGGTCTCGATCTCCTGACCTCATGTTCCACCCGCCTCAGCCTCCCAAAGTGCTGGGATTACAGGCGTGAGCCACCATGCCCGACCTAGAGGAAATCTTAAAAGGAGCCTGAAGGGGGGAAAAAAGAGGCATTAGGTACAGAGGAATAAAGTCTGAAGTGAACACATTTCTCACAGAAAATAATACAAAGCCAAAAGACAATGAAATAACATTTTTAATGTACTGAAAAAAAAGCAACAACCCTGTCAATCTAGAATTCTACACTAAGTGATCTTGCAAAAACAGAAATGAAATAAAGACCTTTTTCACAGATACAAAACCTGAAAAAAAAAATATCCCCAGCAGACCAGCAATATAAGAAATGTTAAAGGAAGTCTTTCAGGCAGGGGAAAATGATATCATATAGAAATCAGGATCCACACAAAGGCATGAAGAGCACAAGAAATAGAAACTATGGAGTAAAATGTGAAAGGCTTCCTTCTTGTTATTAAAAACTATAAAAATTCAACATTTAATGCAAAAATAATAAGAATGTATTATGAATTTACATAATTTTAAAAGTAAAATTTATAGCAATGAAAACAAAGGGGGAAGGGGAAAATGGAAGCATACTGTTATATCATATATGAAGCGTTAGATTTCTTGAAGGCAGACTACGAGTAGAAGATGTCTCCTATAAACCCTAAAGCAACCACTAAAATTACACAACAAACAGTTATAGCTAATAAGCCAACAAAGGACATAATTATGAAAATATCCATAAAAATAGAATTATGAAAATGGAATTGAAAATATTTGATCTAAGCAACAAAAAAAATAAATTGGACCTCATCAAAATTAAAAATAAATTGGACTTCATCAAAATTAAAAACTTTCTTGTATCAAAGAACATTATCAAAACAGTGAAAAAGACAAGTTAGAGAACAGGACAAAATATTTGCAAATCGTGTCTGGTAAGGGTCTAGAATCCAGAACATATAAAGAACTCTTACAACTCAATAACAAAAAGATAAACCCAATTAAAAAATGGGCAAAGGACTTGAGTTGACATTTATCTGGAGAAGATATACAAATGGCCAGGAAGTACATGAAAAGATGCTCAAAAGTTAGGTGGGTCCTCAAAAAAGTAAACATAGAATTATCATATGATCCAACAATTCCACTCCTGGGTATATACAAAAAAATAGAAGACCTAAAAATAGGTATTGAAAAAATACTTATACCCAATGTTCATAGCAGCATTATTCACAACAGTTAAAAGGTGGAAATACCCCAGATGTCCACCAACAGATGTCTGGATGAACAAACTGTGGCATATACATACAGTGGAATCCTATTGAGCTATAAAAAGGAATGAAGTAGCAATATATATACACTATAACATGCATGAACCTCAAAAGCATTATGCTAAGTGAAAGAAGCCAAACACGAAAGTTCAGCCATTGCATGATTCAATATATATGAAATATTCAGAATAGGTCAATCCATAAGGACAGAAAGCAGACTGTGGTTGCCAGGAGTTGTAGGAAGGAAGAATTAGGAGTAACTGCTCAGTGGGTACTCAGTTTTATTTGGAGGTGATAAAAGGATTTTAAAACCATATAGAGATAGTGGTTGTACAATATTGTGAATGTACTAAGTTGTACTATTCACTTTAAAATGGTTAGTTTTATGTTATGTGAATTTCACCTCAGTATATATGTTATATATGTACGATTAAATACCAAGATGGTAATTTTGAACCCAGTAATAACAAAAACAAACGTCCCACTTACAAAAAATATACACTTATGAATAAATCTAGCCAAGAAGGCAAAAGGTCCATACACTGAAAACTACAGAAGGCTGATGAAAGAAATTGAAGACAACACAAATAAACAGAAAGATATTCCATGTTCATGAATGGGAAGAATTAAAATTGCTAAAATCTCCATACCTCCCAAAGCAATCTACAGATTCAATGCAATCCACATCAAAATTCCAATGACATTTTTCACAGAAAGAGGAAAAAAAATCCTAAAATTCACATGGAAGTACAAAAGACCCCTAATAGCCAAAGCAATCTTCAGCAAAAAGAACAAAGTTGGAGGCATCATCATACTACCTGATCTCAAAATATACTACAAAGCTATAGTAACCAAAACAACATGGTCCTGGCATTAAAAACAAACACATAGACCAACGGATCAGAATAGAGAGCCCAGAAATAAATCCACGTATTTACAGTCAACTGATTTTTGACAAAGATGCCAAGAACACACAACAGGGAAAGGATAGTCTCTTCAAAAAATGGTCCTAAGCAAACTGTTTATCCACATGCAAAAGAGACCCTCATCTCAAACCATTGCAAAAATCAACTGGAAACAGATTAAATACTTAAATATAAGACCTGAAACTGTAAAACTGTTAGAAGAAAACAGGGAGAAAGCTCCATGACACTGGTCTGCACAAATATTTTTTGGATATGACCCGAAAAGCAGAGGCAACAAAAGGCAAAAATAGACAAATGGGATTACATCAAACTAAAAAGCTTCTGTACAGCAAAGGAATCAACAGAGTGAAGAGACAACCTAAAGAATGGGAGAAAATATTTGCAAAGCATATATCTGATAAGAGATTAATATAAAAGATATACAAGGGATTAAACAACTCAATTGTAAAAATACAACCTGATTTAAAAATGGGCAAAGGACCTGAATAGACATTTCTCAAAAGAAGACATACAAACATACAAATGGCCAATAAATAAGGTATATGAAAAAAATGCTCAACATCACTAATCATGAGGAAAATGCAAACCACAATGAGCTATCACCTCACACCTGTTAGGATGGCTATCATCAAAAAGACAAGAGATAACAAGTGTTGGTGAGGATGTAGAGAAAAGGAAATCTTTGTACACTGTTGGTAGGAATGTAAATTAGTAGAGCCATTATGGAAAACTGTATGGAGACTCCTCAATAAATTAAAAATAGTAGAACTAATAACATATGATTCAGCAATCACACTACTGGGTATACAGCCAAAGGATATGAAGTCAGTACATTAAAGAGGTATCTGCATTCCCGTGTTCACTGCAACTATTCACAATATCCAAGATAGAGACAACTTAAGTGTCCATCAACAGATGGATAATGAAAATGTGGTATATTACATAATGGAATACTGTTCAACCCTTAAAAAGGAAATCTTGATATTTGTGACAACATGGATTAACCTGTAGGACATTATGCTATGTAAAATAAGTCAGGCACAGAAAGACAAATACCAAATGGTCTCACTTATATGTGGAATCTAAAAAAAGTCAAATTCATAGAAACAGAGAATGGTGGTGACCAAAGGTTGTGGGGTGGGGCGGTTGGGGAAATGTTGGTCAAGGACACAAAAATTCCAGTTAGGAGGAAGAAGTTTAGGATATCTACTGTATATCATGGTGACTACAGTTAATAACAACATATTATATATTTGAAAATTGCTATAAGAGTAGGTTTTAAGTGTTCTCACCACAAAAACATGGTAAGTATGTGAGGTAATACATGTTAAATAGCTTGATTTAGCCATTCCAGAATGTATACATATATCAAAACATCATGTACGCCACAAATAAATACAATTTTGGTGTTGCTGTTTTGTTTCCTTTTTGAGACTGGGTCTCATTCTGTCACCCATGCTGGATGGAGTACAGTGGCATGATCTTGGCTCACTACAACCTCCCCCTCCCAGGTTCAAGCCATCCTCCCACCTCAGCCTCCCAAGTAGCTGGGACTACAGGCGCATACCACCACGCCCGGCTAATTTTTCTATTTTTTGTAGAGATGGGGTTTCGCCATGCTGCCCAGGCTGGTCTCAAACTCCTGAGCTCAAATGATCCACCTGCCTCGGCCTCCCAAAGTGCTGGTATTAAAGGTGTGAGCCACTGCACCCAGCCTACAATTTTTACTAGTCAATTAAAAGAATTTTAAAAATAAACTTAAATGTAAATAGTCTAACCACCCTAATTTAAAGGAAGAGACTGTCAAATTGGATTCTAAAAAATTAACAACCACCTATATGGAACCTACAAGAAACCTACTTTACATGTAAAGACTCAGCTGGGTGTGGTGGCTCACGCCTATAATCCCAGCACTTTGGAAGGCTGAGGCAGGCAGATCATTTGAGGTCAGGAGTTTGAGACCAGCCTGGACAATATGGTGAAACCCTGACTCTACTAAAAATACAAAAATTAGCCCGGTGTGATGGTTCACGCCTGTAGTCCTAGCTACTTGGGAGGCTGAGGCGAGAGAATTGCTTGAACCTGGGAGGCAGAGGTTGCAATAAGCCAAGATCACACCACTGCACTCTAGCCTGGGTGAGAGAGCGAGACTATGTCTCAAAAAAAATAAATAAATATAAATATAAAGACTCCACAATACCCTATTCCATGTGCCTCTTCCCTTGGCTGAGTTAATCTGTATCATTTTCTGTTAAAAAAATAAAAAATAAAAAAATAACCCTGAGTGGAACAGCTCTGAGTTCTGTGAATTCTCCTAGAGAACTATCAAACATGACAGTGGTCTTGGGGACCCCTGAACTCTGCAACTAGTAAGTGGCTTTTAGCAAGACTACAATATACAAGATCAATATACAAAGAAAACTATTGCATTTCTATATACTATACAAGCAATGAACAATGGCAACTTGAAATTTTGAAAGTAATACCATTTATAATGGTATCAAAAATATGAAATACTTAGGAATAAATCTGATATAAGATGTGTAAGATCTACAAAGCATTGCTGAGAGAAATTAAAGAAAACCTAAACAAATTGGAGAGATACACCAATGTTTATGGATCAATGCAATCCCAGTCAAAATCTCATCGGGTGTCTGGCAGAAACTGGCAGCAACCTAATTCTAAAATTCATATGGAGGAGTGTATAAAAACAAGATAAAATTCAGATGGAAATGCTAAATACCTAGAATACTCAAAATAGCTTTGATGAAAAACAAAATTTCAAGACTTGCATTACCTAAGTTACAGTAATCAAAACAGCATGATAATGGCACCTAGATCAATTTGGCAGTACAAAGAGCTCAAAAACATATAGTCAACTGATTTTCAACATAGGTGTAAAGACAATTCAGTGGAGAAAAAGACAGTCTTTTTTTTACAAATGTGGGGACAACTAGATACCCATACGCAAAAAAAACTTGGATTCCTACCTTATACTATATACAAAAAGTAAATCAAAATGGATCACAGAACTAAATATAAAATCCGAACCTATATACAATCTAGAAAAAGCGAGAGAAAATCTTGGTGACCCTGGATTAGGCAAATATTCTCAGACATGACACCAAAAGCTGGAGCTACAAAAGAGCTGCACTTCAAGATTAAGAACTTCTGCTCTTTGAAAGGTACAGTTCAGATAATGAAAAGCTACAGAGAAGTAATATATTTGCAAATCACATATCTAAGACTTCTATCCAGAATATTTAAAGAACTCTCACGATTCAGCAGTGAAAGAAAACCAACAACCCAATAAAAATATGTGGAAAAAGATTTGAACAAATAAGTCATCAAAGATATATGAATGGCAAAAAATAAGCCCGTGAAAATGCTCAACATCATTAGTCATTAGAGAAACGCAAATTCAAACCACAATGAGATACAACTTCATACCCACTAAGATGTTCGTAATCAAAAAGATAATACCAAGTGTTAGTAAGGATGCAGAGGAACTGGAACCCTCACACATTGCTGGTGGAGATGTAAGATGGTACAGGCACTTTAAAAACTGGCAGGTACTTGTAAATTTAGAACATTCACTTACTACGTGACTCAGCCATACTATTCCTAGATATTTACCCAAAAGAAATGAAAGCATATGTTCATACAAAGACTTGTACACTTGTATACAAACTTGAAGTTTTATCTGTAACAGCTAAAAAGTGAAAAAAAAACTCAAATGTCCATCAAAGGTGGATGGAGAAACAGATTGTGGTACATCCATACAATGGAGTACTACTTAGCAATAAAAAGGAATGAACTGTTGATAAACAGAAAAGCACAGATTATCTCAAAATTATTATGGTGAAGGCTGATGCAGGAGAACTGCTTGAACCCAGGAGGCGGTGAGCCAAGATCGTGCCACTGCACTCCAGTCTGGGCAACAGAGCAAGACTCCGTCTCAAAACAAAAAAATATATTATTATGGTGAATAAGAGAAGCCAGACAAAAAAGAATATATACTATGTAATTCCACTTCTAAAAAGAATCTAGAAAACATAATCTATAGTAATAGAAAGCAGATCAGTGGCGGGAGGATGGCATGAAGGAAAGAGCGTGGAATTACAAAGAGGTACAAAGCAGCTTTTGAAGTGATAGGTATGTTCATTATCTTGACTGTGGTGATGGTTTTATGGGCATGTACATATGTAAAAATGTATCAAATTTTATACTTTAAATATGTGCAACTTATAATATACCTATTTATTAAATTTAAAAACTAAGAGATAAAGAAAATAGCCAAGATGTTCCTAAAGAACAAGATAGCAGACACACACATATGCATGCGCACACACACTCACATAAAGCAGCGGGGAAAGGGATAGCTTTCACAATAAATTAAGTTGGGACAAATGGGTATTCCACATGGGGAAGAAAAGAAGGAATCTACCACATACTGAGCACAATAACAATTCCAGGTGGATAATAAATCTAAATGTGAAAGGTCAAATAATAAAAGTTCTGAAACATGGGGTAGGCAAAGATTACTTAAATAAGCCACAAAAATCACTAACCATTAAGGTTAAGATTGATAAAATTGACTATATTAAAAATAAGATCTTCAGTTCATCAAAAGATACCATAAAACGAAAAGATAACCACAGAATGAGTGAAAATATCTATAATACACACAACTAACAAAGGACTGAGAATATTCAGAATATATAAAGAACTCTTACAGCTTAACAAGGGAAAGAATGACAACTTCAGAGGAAAAAAACTAGAGTGGAACTGAAAGAGGAGATCCAAATGGTCAACAAACATACGTAAAAGTCGATCAATGTCACTCCTACTCAGGGAAATGTAAATGAAGCCACCATGAAATACTACTACCTAACTACCAGACTGGTAAAATTTTTATAGTCTGGATTTAACTTGATTACCTCGCTAAGGAAAAATTAACTAATTTTTTAAAAATTTAATAGCCTGGCAAAATCAAGTGCCACCATGTAGAACAACAGGTTCATTTGGTCCTTGCTGGGACTGTAAACTGTTAAAAACAGTTTTGGAAGGTGGTTTGACATTATTTAGTGAAGCTGAAGATACCTATACCCATTACCTAGCAATTTCTAGGTACAGACCCTACAGAAATGTATGCACATATACACTGGGAAATCTAATACTCATATAAGCATAGTATTAGCCAAAAATGGAAACAACTCCAATATCAGTCATCAACTGGATATACTGTGGTATATTCACATAATGGAACTCAAAATACAAGTGAAAGTGAAGAAACTACAACTATACACAATGTAGTTGAATATATGAAACATCAGGTTGAGCGAAAAAAGCAAGACTCAAAAGAATACATACTGATTGCATTTACTTTAAGGTGGAAAGCAGGTAAACCACAGTATGTTATTTAGTGACATAACTGGTGTTAAAACTACAAAGAAAAGCAATGAAATAACTGCTTAATAACCTCTCGAGTTTCTAGGGCGCTAGCCACGTTTTTTTTAACCTTAGCAGTTGTTACATAGGTGTTCACTCCAAGTATTTGCTAAAATGTACACCTGTTAAATGTGCTGTTCTATATTTGCTATATGGTGCTATAAAATTTTTCAAATGTAAAGAGTCTATGAGATTAATGGATTCAATATTCACCTATGAAATTTGCTATTACTTTTTGAATTTATTACAAATGAAACCATAAGCTGTGTCACATTAAGTTATCATCTGACATAGCTAATAAGTAGTTAGCTCCTTATTCTACCAGTTACCAGCTATGTGGCCTTGGGCAAACTAACCTTTCTGAGCCTCAGTTTCTATAAAATGAGGATAGAAAATAACAGTACTAATTCCAGAGTTGTGAGAAGGAAATGAGATATCTATGTAAATACTTCAAACAGAACCTGGCATATAGGAAACAATCATTATGTGTAACCATTAAATGGTACTTTAAGATGATGTTTAGATACATGCTCCACATTAAGTGACCAATTTCACAGAAGCCAATGTGTTTTCACTGGTTAAAGGAGATGATGGTACCTATAACTGCAATACTAAATCATGCACAAAAGACAGTGGACATCTTTCACATCACTTACCATCCAGTGACACCTCCAATGAACAGCTGGGTTGCCACGCTATACTTTTCTGCTGAAGGTCCAGATTCCTGCCCGAACAGCTTACGCCACCATGGCTGCTTCTTAGCAAATTCCGCAAGGTCCAGTGACTCAAAATTTCCCTCAAAGTTTCCTACAAGAAGTAATACGTTAAATAAGAAAATATTTACTTTTATACCTAACTAGATTGAGATATTTAAAGAAACAGACATAAATGTAATAAGAAACCTCCAAATATTCTATTTTAAATAGTAAATTTATTCTAAGTTGCAATTTTGGAAAATCAGACTAAAATCAGCAAATACTAATGTCTATATTACAGGGAAAAACCTAGAAAATCTCAAATTAGTCCTCTAGTTTGTCCTCTCAAATTTAAAAATAACAAAAAAGGCTGGGCGCGGTGGCTCACGCCTGTAATCCCAGCACTTTGGGAGGCCGAGGTGGGCGAATCACCTGAGGTCAGGAGATCGAAACCAGTCTGGCCAAAATGGCAAAACCCCATCTCTACTACAAATACAAAAATTAGCCAGGCGTGGTGGCAGGCACCTGTAATCCCAGCTACTCAGGAGGCTAAGGCAAAAGAATTGCTTGAACCCAGGAAGCAAAGGTTGCAGTGAGCCGAGATAGTGCCGCTGCACTCCAGCCTGGGCAACAGAGCAAGACTCCATCTCAAATAAATAAATAAATCCAAAAAGACCTATAAAAAACTGCCAGTAATGCATCCCAAATGAAACAAATTTGCCCCTTCTCTTCAGAAGTAGCTCAATGCTATTCAGTAATCCACAAATTTTCTAAGTACTACGTGGATCTCCAGTGATAATGAAGATGAGAGGGTAATGTTTAATTGAGCTCTTACTATTTACCAGGCAATGTGCTAAACATTAATCATGTACATCTAATTAATCCACAGAATAAGGTAGGTACTACTTATTAACTCAATTTTATAATTAAGAAATGAAGGCCAGGCATGGTGGCTCACACCTGTAATCCCAGCACTTTGGGAGGCCGGAGGCAGGTGGATCACCTGAGGTCGGGAGTTCAAGACCAACCTGACCAGCATGGAAAAACCCCATCTCTACTAAAAATACAAAATTAGCCGGGGGTGGTGGCACATGCCTGTAATCCTAGCTACTCGGGAGGAGAATCACTTGAACCTGAGGGGCAGAGGTTGCGGTGAGCCAAGATCGCACCACTGCACTCTAGCCTGCGCAACAAGAATGAGACTCCATCTCAAAAAAAAAAAAAAAAAAAAAAAGAAGGCACCAGGCGTGGTGGCTCACGCCTGTAATCCCAACACCTTGGGAGGCCAAGGTGGGCAGATCACCTGAGGTCAGGAGTTTGAGGCCAGCCTGGCCAACATGGTGAAACCTCGTCTCTACTAAAACTACAAAAATTAGCTGGGCATGGTGGCATGCGCCTGTAATCACAGCTACTTGGGAGGCTGAGGCAGGAGAATCACTGGAACCGGGGAGGTGGAGGTGGCAGTGAGCCGAGATCGCGCCACTTCACTCCAGCCTGGGCAACAAGAGTGAAACTCCGTCTCAGAAAAAAAAAAAAAATGAAATGAAGGTTCCAAAGTTAAATGATTTGCCCAAGCATGGAGAAAGACTTAACAAAATGTCAATCCCTTTCTCTGTGGGAAGATAATGTCAGGCTCCCCTACTATACCCAGCCCTGTTTCCCTGGAAACACACCGCACTAAGAAATGTCTGATATGAAATGTCAGCAATGTACTATTCAAAGCTGTTTACTGTAAAATTGACCTCAAATGATCAACTTCATCTGGCATGGAGTGTGTACAATCTTTTCACACATAATGTAACAAACAATAGAAAATGACTACTACCCATGCAAAGGCAAAGCCATATAAAGGAAACAAAATTTGTTTAAATAAAAGAAATAGAAGCAGGCCAGGCACGGTGGCTCACGCCTGTATCCCAGCACTTTGGAAAGCCTGGGGGACGGATCACTTGAAGTCTGGAGTTCAAGACCAGCCTGGCCAACATGGTGAAACCCTGTTTCTACTAAAAATACAAAAATTAGCTGGGCGTGGTGGCATGTGCCTGTAGTCCCAGCTACTCGGGAGGCTGGGACAGGAAAATCACTTGAACGCGGGTAGCGAAGGTTGCAGTGAGCCAAGGATCGCACCACTGCACTCCAGCATGGGTGACACAGCGAGACTCAGTCCCAAAAAGAAAAAAGAAAAAGAAACAGAAACAGAAACAGAACCAGTGATGATCAAGATGCTGAAGTAAGCAAATAACAATGATCAAAAACTGCTCAAAAGATTAAACATATATGTAATTGGAGTTCCAGAAGATTAGAAAGAATGGGATAGAAGTAATATTCAAAGAGGTACACAAAAGTTATTCAGGCCGACAAGAAATGATGCCACATGGAAATATGGAAATGCAGAAAGGAATGAGACACTGGAATGGGCAAATAGGTGGATAAATCTAAATGAATACTTACTGTAAAAAAATAATAATTACAGAAATTTTATACTTTAAAATCAAAGAAAAAAATCAGAATAAAAAGTAGAAAATAGGGGCTGGGCGTGGTGGCTCATGCCTATAATCCAAGCACTTTGGGAGGCCGAGGCGGGTGGATCACCTGAGGTCAGGAGTTCGAGACCAGCCTGGCCAACATGGTAAAACCCCGTCTCTACTAAAAATACCAAAAATTAGCCGGGCATAGTGGCAGGCGCCTGTAATCCCAGCTACTCAGGAGGCTGAGATGGGAGAATTGCTTGAACCTGGGAGGCGGAGGTTGCAGTGAGCCGAGATCAGACCACTGCCCATTTTCCTGGGCAACAAGAGCGAAACTCCATCTCAAAAAAAAAAAAAAAAAAAGTAGAAAATAGGAATAGAAAGGGATTTCTTCAATCTGATATAGGACATCTATGAAAAATATACAACTAACATCATACTTAATGGTGAAATATGGAACACTTTTCTTTCCCTAAAATCTATTCAACTGTTTTTTGTTTTGTTTTGAGACAGGGTCTCACTCTATCACCCACATTGGAGTGCAGTGGCACTATCACAGATTACTGCAACTTCAAACTTCTGGGCTCAAGCAATCCTCCCACCTCAGCCTCCCCAGTAGCTGGACTACAGCTGTGCACCACTATGACCAACTGATTTTTTTTTTTTTTTTTTTTTTTTTGTAGACAGGAGGTCTCACTTTGTTGCCTAGGCTGGTCTGGAACTCCTGGCCCCAAGTGATCCTCCCTCCTTAGCCTCCCAAAGTGCTGGGATTACAAGTGTGAGCCACCTCGCCCAGCACTGTACTGGAGTTCCTAGCCAGTGCAACAAAAGAAAAGAAATAAAAGTCAAAGAGATTAGAAAGGAGGTACAACAATAATTCTGTCTTCATTGGCAGATAATATAACGGTGTATATAGAAAACCCAGAAAAATCTACAAAAAGGTACCAGAAGCAAGGTCACACATTATAAGACCAATATTAAAAAGTCATTTGAATTTTTGTGTATTAGAAATGATGAATTGGAAAACAAAATAATTTTAATTGCAAAAATTATGTTGTAGTAAATTCAATGAAAGATGCACAAGACCTGTTCACTGTAAACTAGAAAACACTGCAAACTACAAAACACTGCCAAGAAATTGAAGATGACCTAAAATAACAGTGATATACTGTTTATGTTTTGCAAGACTCAATATTTTTAAGATGTTCATTCTCTCCATATATTGATCTATATATTCAATACAATCTCAATTAAAAAGTAGGTTTTTTCTTTTTTCTTTTTTTTTTTTTTTTTGAGATAGAGTTTTGCTCTTTTTGCCCAGGCTGGAGTGCAATGACAATCTCGGCTCACCACAACCTCCTCCTCCCAGGTTCAAGTGATTCTCCTGCCTCAGCCTCCCAAGTAGCTGGGATTACAGGCATGCACCACCACGCCTGGCTAATTTTTTGTATTTTTAGTAGAGACAGGGTTTCTCCATGTTGGTCAGGCTGATCTCAAACTCCCGACCTCAGGTGATCCGCCTGCCTCAGCCTCCCAAAGTGCTGGGATTACAGGAGTGAGCCACCACGCCCGGCAAAAAAGTAGGTTTTTATGTAATTGACAAACTGGTTCTAAAATTCATATGAAGATACAAAAAAACCCAGCAGTGTTCCAGTTACTTCGGCTGTACTACAAATTACTCCAAAACTTCATGAAGCAAAACAATCATATATTATGCTCTCAGATTTTGTGGATCAGGAATTCAGCCACAGCACTGTGGTTTGTCTTTGTTTCATGTCTGAGGCTTTAGCCAGAAGACTTACAGGCTGGGTCTGAAGACTCTACACTCACACAGATAGATAGGCTGCTACTCTATGTGAGTCAGTCTAGGCTTCCTTACAGCATAGGAGCTGAGTTCAGGAGGTGAAAGTCCCAAGAAAGGGAGAGAGCAAATGCAGTGTTAACTTCCACTGCATTCTGTAGGAACAGGCAGTCAGTCACAAACTCCCATCCAGATTCATGAAGAGGGAATATAGATCCCACCCCTGGGTGGGAGGAGTGTCAAAGTCACTAGGAAAAAGACCATAAGGAATGGAAAATATTGCTGCAATCAGGAAAATACAAACTGCCACAATAATCCTGGGGGCGGAGGCGGGCAAGGGAAAGAGGAGGGTTCAAGGAATTTCAAGGCTCATTATAAAGCTACAGTATAATATACAACTATCTTAATTTCAAGGCTTATAAAGCAATGACATTCAACACTGTCAAACTGACCCAAGGATACCCAAATATAGCAATGGAAGAGAATCCAGAATCCAGAAATAGATCCACACATATAGTCATTTGATTTTTAATAACTTAGCACCAAGGTAACTCAATGAAGGAAACAACAAATGATGTTAGAACTACTATATATTTGTGTTTCAAAAAAAACTACTCTCAACCTCTACCTTAAACCATACACAAAATATAATTCAAGAATTCATTCAGGATACATCACAGACGCCCATTTAGCAGAACAAAATATGGATGTCTGAGTACCTGGGTACTCCATGGCCTCTCAAGTAGTTAAATAATTTATTTTTCTAATGTAACAACAAAACATTACAGTTTTAACGTAATTTGACCAAGCCCCTTAGATCAACAGGTGGCTCCACTGGGGCTGCAGTGAGCTATGATTGTGCCACTGTGCTGTAGCCTGAATGACAGATCTAGTCCCTAAAAAAGGGAGTAGGGGGGAAGGTAGATTAAATGCGAGATATTTGGTCAGTCATTGGTCAAACACTGCTAAGCACTATGACAGACAAAAGTCAGCCAATAGCTTCGTTTATGAGCCCACAAAATCAATGATCACAGTTATTATGTGATCATCACTGTGATAACAATTGAAACTCATCTTAACCTCAAAATTTCTCACAACAATTTCCTAGGTGCAAATACCTGATCAACCTATAAGAGCAGTCTGCTCTTATAAAAGTCTATAAGAGCAGTCTGCTCTTATAAAAGTCTATAAGAGCAGTCTGCTCTGCAGGAAAATACATAATTATCACATTGCACATTCCACCTTCCCAGAGTCATCTAAAATTTAGCGGCGTGCTGGTGAAATGCTTAACAGTCGGCTTTAGGCAAGGGCTGATTTGTAGTGTAGCCAATTTCCATTGCGTATTCATTCATCGTGAGCATGACATTACTGAATTGTGAAACTACTGAACCCAGAGATGGGAAGAGACGCACAGTAGAGCACCATAGTATAGTATCTCCTCCACAAAGATACAATAGATGTATAAATAACCTCAAAAGTAAAGTAACAATAAAACATGGTAAATAATAAAAGTGATGAGTTTTTAGTATTTTCACTGCCTTTGTTTTTAACATAATTTACGTAATTTTACGTTTATATGATTGAGTTTTCAATGATGGCTCTGTTTAGCAATGGGATCCCGTGAGTCAGTACTAAATTAAATACAACCTAAACATTCAAAATAGGGTAAGACGCATAACTTAAAGACGTGCTCCACTGCGAATTACACGGAATCTTTGACTATGCCGACTAAACAGAAGGCTATTCCTAAGTACCATCCCATATGTGCTAGTTTTTCAAAACCAACAATAAAGCAGTTGGGGAGGTGCCTTGTACACAGAATGACGCCACGAGGCATTTGAGATGAACGTCCAAAGGGACAAAGAAGCCAGACCGCTTCCGAGAACGGGGACAGAATGTCTTCGGGCTTCTGCGCCGGGGGCGGCGCCGGAAGGCTGGGTGAGCTCCACTGGAGACGACACCCCAGGGTGGTTAGGCCCCAGACACGCGCGTGACCTTGGCCGGACCCTGGGAGCGGCTGAGCCAGGGGCGATCCCCGAGCGCCCTCCCCGTCCCCGCGCCGCTTGGACTCCCCGGGGAGCTCGGTCGCGACTGGCGGGCGCGGAGCCCTTCCCCTTCCGGAGCCCAGGAAGGCGGCTCCCCGCGGCGCCGGCCGCGCGCGCGCCCGCCCTTACCTTGACTGGACGCGGCCATTTCGGTGAGCTTGTCTCGCGAGGACACACGTAGAGGATCTGCGCGGTAGGCCGCGGAGTGGCGCGCAGTTGTCGCCACCACTTGGCTTCCGGCACGTGGGGCAGATGTTTCCATTCCCACGGCGGCAGCGGAAGAGGGAGGGCCGGGCGCGCCGCGGCTGCTTGCAGTCTCCGCAAGCGGCTACATCACAGAGCTCAGCGTGCGGTGTCACAGGCCCCGCGGTCCCGCCCAACAGATGCACCGAGATGCGCGTGCGCAGAAAGCGTCCCGGGGGTGAGGCTCCCTCCCTCGCTCTCCCTCTACTCCCGCCCCACTCTCCCCCACTTTCCCCCCTCCACCCACCGCGGCCGTCGGGGCTCGCTCGCTCAGTACCTGGAGGCGAGTTCCTGACGCGACTGCGACTCAATCCTCGCCTGGTGAAGAATATTTTACCTATGACTCACTGAAAATAAAGACGGCTGAGTGACCGTGTTTGTTCATGTAAACATTGAACAAATATTTATCGGCTTCTGCGATGTGTCCTACTCTTTTAGTGGAGGAAGACACATTTTATTTATGTATTTAATTTTTCTTTTGAATTTTACATGCGAGTTATACTTAATAAAACTCACTTCAAAATATACCTTCAACAGAAAATCCAGCAACAGTTTCTATTATGTTAGTTAAAACAGCCAGTCTTTTCCTTTACTTTTAAAAATTATTCATAAATGTAATTAGTGAATGATAATAAACATTGACATCTGATCCACTGCTTTAGGAGTGACACAAATGAAGTTAACTCAGGCTATTTTCTTTATAATCATTGTGCTATTGTTTTCTTTTTCTTTTCAATTATACTGCTTAATATAGGATTTTGTGGCACCATAGGAGTTGAGTAAAAATAAAAGGAATAAAAATATACCTTATCTGGCCGGGCGCGGTGGCTCACGCCTGTAATTTCAGCAGTTTCGGAGGCCGAGGCGGGCGGATCACGCGGTCAGGAGATCGAGGCCATCCTGGCTAACATGGTGAAACCCCGTCTCTACTAAAAATACAAAAAATTAGCCGGGCATGGTGGCGGCCGCCTGTAGTCCCAGCTACTCGGGAGGCTGAGGCAGGAGAATGGCGTGAACCCGGGAGGCGGAGCTTGCAGTGAGCCGAGATCGCGACACTGCACTCCAGCCTGGGCGACAGAGTGAGACTGCGTCTCCAAAAAAAAAAGAAAAAATACGTTATCTATGAAGATTTCCAATTTGATTTCTATTTATCACAAATGGCCACAGTACTCCTTTGTACTTTACCACATACCATATTGTATTCAGTAATTATTTGTGAATATGTAATTGATAATATTGTAGGTTTTAGAGAATCCTTGAAAACATGAAAATTTGGTAATGGGGTCTATTTTGATTATTTATTTATTTATTTATTTATTTTATTTTTGAGACAGAGTCTCGCTCTTGTTGCCCAGGCTGGAGTGCAGTGGCGCGATCTCGGCTCACTGCAAGCTCCACCTCCCGGGTTCAAGCGATTCTCCTGCCTCAGCCTCCCAAGTAGCTGGGACTACAGGCACGTGCCACCATGCCCGGCTAATTTTTTGTATTTTTAGTAGAGGAGGAGTTTCATCTTGTTAGCTAGGATGGTCTAGATCTCCTGACCTCGTGATCTGCCCGCCTCAGCCTCCCAAAGTGCTGGGATTACAGGTGTGAGCCACCGTGCCCGGCCATATTTTGATTTAAAATTTAGCAATAATAGATAAAATTTTCAATCAACTAAGCCCTTGGGCCAGGGAATGCTATTCCTTAAAAAGTGCTTCTATCAATATAGCCTCTGACTCATTACTTTGTTAATTTTTAAATTGTATTTCATTCCTGATTAACATTCCCACCCAGATTATTAATTATACAATCTGTTAACTGTAGAACCTCAAACATGTTGGATTGTACTGTATTTGTCTGGAAGACACATTTTTAAAACATTGTAATCGCTATAAGAGAAGCACTGGGAAAGAAAGGAGCTTCTATGCCTGCAGTGCCTGAGGAGCCCTTTAACAGTGTGCCCCGCCCCTAAGCTACTCATGCAGTCATCCCCATCCCAGTTAGTCAACTTTATTCCAAAAAACTTGGTGTTCCAAATTTTTCCTTCTCAAAGCCCACAGATCCAAAATTCATCAGCAGTTCCCACAAACGTTACCCTCACAATGAATCCAGCCATTTTTCACCCTCTCCAGTGGTACCATCATAGCCCAAGCCGCCACCATTTCTCACCCCCGGTTAACAGGCCACCCTCCTTCTACCCTTATCCTGCTAGAGTTTGTTTTATCTACAGTGATCAGAAAGATCAGCCTAAAAGATAATTCTGATCACCACCCTCCTCTACTCACAACCCGGCCGTGTCTCCCCATTGCCCTCAGTGTAGAAGTCAATGTCCCTTTGCTGAAATGCAACCTTAGTGAAACTTTCCATGACTAACCTCCTTTAAAATTGCAACCTGGTCCACCCTTACTCCCCCTTACCCCACTTCTCTTTTTTGCACAGCACTTATTTTACCTTCTAACATACTGTATAATGTACTCATGTATTGTAATTATTGCTTATCATCCCTCTTTCAGTTGCTTATATTTTTCATCAATGTGTACCCAGTGCCTAGGACAATATCTGTCTAGGACAAATGGGTAGTTATGTGGCTGTAGGCAAGCCATTTAACCTCTCTGTACCTCAGTTACTTTATCTGTATCCACTTTGCGGTGTTGTCATGAGGATTAAATCAGATAGCCTATGTGTAGCACCTGGCAGTGAATTTATCACCCTGTACTGTAACTGTCTACTTTTCTGTCTCCTCCATTGGACTGTCATTCCCAGGGGGTTGGGAACTGGGATTTCTTCATTTCTGAGGCATAGAAGTATAGCATAGTGGTTAGGAGCATGACTTCTGGAGCCAGAGTACATGGGTTTGAATGCTACCACTCACAAGCTGTGTGGCCATGGAGAAGTTGCCTAACCTCTCCGTGCTTCAGTTTCATCACCCATAAAATGAAGGTAAGAATAGTACCTGTATTTAAAAGCACCTAGAACAGTTCCTGGCATATAGTGTCAGCTGTCATCTCTGCATCCTTGTACCTGTCAGAGAGGAGTGTTTATCAAAGGGGCTTCTTGCTGCCTGTTTCCAAACCAGTCGACAATATACCAATTGCTCCCTAACACATTCTTGTTTGTGCAGAACTGAGCTCAATGATAACATTTTTATAGCAACCCTGATCAAGTTTCTTCTCATAATCTCTTACACTTTGAGGCCCCTGCAGGGGCCCTCACTCTCCCTAATAAACATTAACCTGAGTAGGGTGTTTGAGCTCACCATGGCTACATTCTGATGTAAAGAGATATATCCTATACCTGGGCCAAATGTAAACAGCCTGGAAAAGTGTTAGGTTAAAAACAAAACAAAATAAATAAATGAATAAATGCCAGGTGGTTATGAGTGCTATTGAGAAAAATGAAGCCAAGAGGGATATCAGTGATGCAGGTGGGGGTAAAGAGCTTACAACATAAATGTGGTGTTCCATATTTAAACCTCATTCAACAGGGAAGATTGGAGCTGAAATGTGAAGGAGTTGTGGGAGTGGAACTACGTGGAAATCTGGGGGAAAGGTGTTTTGGGTAAAAGAAATAGCAAGTGTTGAGGTCCAGGGGCATGAGTGTGCTTGATATTTTAGGGAAGAGTAAGGAGACCAGTATAACCAGAGTGAGATGAGACTACAGAGGTCAGGAGAAAGGGCATGCAGACCATGTGGGATGCTCTAGGACCTAGGCCATGGTAAAGATGTAGGGTTTTACCCTGATGGAGGTCAGAAGCCATTGGAGGATTCTGAGAAGAGGAGTGACAGGACTCGCTTTATAGTTTTAAATTATAACTATAAATTATAGTTTTTAAAACAATAGTTGCCTAACCTCATGTTATATGTAAAACTACAGTTTTAAAAACTATAAATTCCTCATACTGGCAGCAGTGTGAGGGGCAAGGGCAAAAGCAGAGAGACTAACAGGTTGCTGGTTACTCTTGCTAGTGCAAGTGAATTCTAGAATCTTCGACAACATCCAGAACTTCTCTTGCTGCTGCCACTCAGGAAGAGGGTTGGAGTAGGCTAGGAATAGGAGCACAAATTAAAGCTCCTGTTCACTTTGACTTCTCCATCCCTCTCCTCCTTTCCTTAAAGGTTCTGATTAAAGCAGACTTATGCCCCTACTGCTCTCAGAAGTGAATGGGTTAAGTTTAGCAGCCTCCCTTTTGCTACTTCAGTTCTTCCTGTGGCTGCTTCCCACTGATAAAAAGGAAGCAATCCTATCGGTTACTGCTTAGTGCTGAGCACATCCAGTGGGTAAAGTTCCTTAAAATGCTCTGCAAAGAAATTGGGACTTTTCATTAAATCAGAAATTTTACTTTTTTCCCCTCCTGGGAGCTAAAGATATTTTAGAGAAGAATTAACCTTTTGCTTCTCCAGTTGAACATTTGTAGCAATAAGTCATGCAAATAGAGCTCTCCACCTGCTTCTTTCTGTGCCTTTTGCGATTCTGCTTTAGTGCCACCAGAAGATACTACCTGGGTGCAGTGGAACTGTCATGGGACTATATGCAAAGTGATCTCGGTGAGCTGCCTGTGGACGCAAGGTAAAGGCATGTCCTGTAGGGTCTGATCGGGGCCAGGATTGTGGGGATGTAAGTCTGCTTGGAGGAAGGTGCAGACATCGGGTTAGGATGGTTGTGATGCTACCTGGGCCCCAAAGAAACATTTCTGGGTAAGGTGTGCACACATCTGTGTTATTAGCAGAAATGCTAACTGCCAATTCTTTTCATAGGTCTGACCTATTTGTTGATATTTTGTTCTGTTTTGTCCATTGCTTCTCTTCGTCATATGCTGCTCCTCCAGAATCTAGAGACTGGAGTAGAGGGAGGGTGAAGGGACAAAGACAAAACTTCCCTCTGCCTGCCCAAGCTTCCATAGAGAGAATCAAGGCAATGAAATCCAATCAATATCACACACAAGTTTCATGTCTGGTTCTCTTGTGTGTACATGCAATGTGTGTTTTTATAATATCTTTTCCTACTTTGGGTGTAAGGATAATATGAGCCTTGAGTTCAGAAGCTTTTCGTGTTTTGGGGGTTCTGGTGCATTTAGGCAGAGTATTAAATAACTTTATCAATATTGTCTATGGTCATCAGTTGATTCAGATTTTTCTACCTCTTCTTCAGTAAATATTGGTATATTTTGGTCTATACTTTCATAGAAAGCAATCTACTGTCCCTAGATTTGATAATGTATTGGTATCAAGTTATGTAAGAGTCTCCTGTGATTTTGTTAAACTGTTCTGTGTCTGTAGTTATATTTTCTTTTTCATTCCTTATGTTGTATATGTTCTCTTCCTCTCTTTTAAAAATAATATTTCCAGGAGTTTTCTTGATTTTATTGGTCTTGTCAAGAATTTTCTTTTGGTTTGATTTATCAATCTCTTTTTTCTTTCTGTTGCATCAGTTTCTGCTTCTACTTTCATTGATTTATTCCTTCCTTCTAATTTCCTTTGGTTCATTTTGTTGTTAGATTTTTGCTTCTTGAGTTGAATGCTGAAATCATTTATTTTATTTTTTTGTCTTCTTTAAATGTGTATTATAAAGATTTAAATATAATACATAGATTGTGGCTGTGTAAACATTAAATGTGGTCATGTTGTACATACTTTATATTCTTTTTGGTTCTTTCTGTTTGGCTCCCCACCCTCTTTCCACATCAGTCCCCTTCTCCCCCACCTCAGCTAGGTAACCCCAGTATGATAATATATATTCACATACACATACACACACACAAAGGTTTTCTTGGACATTATTTGTTTTATAAAATTGGGACATTATACACACATTTCTCACTCATTAACACGTACTAGAACTCTAAGTCAATTGGTATAGCTTTAATTCATTATTTTTATTGGCTATATAAGATTCTATGGTATGGCTGTATCACAATTTAGTCAATATGTTCACTTTATTCCAGTTTTTGGCTACTATATCCTATATCATTACATACTGGTGCTTTTACTTCTGTTGAACAAACTTGCAAGAGGAATATTAATGGAACGAAGGGAATGTTTCCTTCTAAGTTTTAATTTCCAAAGAGGTCAGAACTTTTCAAACATTTCTACCATCGAAGTATGAAAATGGCCTTCTCTCTGCATTCACATAGCGATAAGTTTTATCCTGTTTTTAAAATTTGCCAATTTTACAGGTGTAGAGTGATATTGCATCATTACTTTCATTGTGTTATTTTTATTTCTAATAAGTTGAGCATCTTTTTAAATGCTTGTTGGCTATTGGATTTATTTGGGGGATTTAATTAGTCATATGATTTGCCCATTATTCTTTGGACTCTTTCATTTAAAAAAATTATGAGAACCCTTTTATTATTACAAATATTAACTCTTTGTCATGTATATTGCAGTTTTCCCCAAGATCTATTGTTTGTCTGTTGACTTTCTTATAACTTTTACCAAAACAGTTTTTAATTTTTATAATCAGAGATATCTTTTCTTTCATATCTTCAGAGTCGGCAAGGTTGGTTAAAAATGTTTCCCACACCTCAAGATTGTACGTGTAATCTCCCAGATTTTCTTGCAAGATGTTTACTGTTTCGCTTTTTATATGCATTGCTTCAATTATCTGCTAATTACTTTTGTCATATGGCATGAGAGAGGGATTTGTCTAGTTTTATTTCCATCCAGATCAATAGCCTATTGTGATGGCACCTTTTGCCACTGATTTGAATCAACACATTCATCATATAAAGTTCTCATATATATTAGCATATATTTCTGGATTCATTAGGCTGTTTCACTAATCTACTATTATCTTGCTATGCCAGTACCATAGTGATTTGATTACAGTGAGCCTATGATATCTTCTGATATCTGGTGGGTGAAAGCAATCCTCACTATTCTTTTTGTACCTTTCTTAGCTATTCTTAGACACTTTATTCTTCCACATAAAACTGTTAAGATATTTTTCAAATTAAAAAGATCCAAGCCCTGTTGTGATTCTAACTGCAATTTCATTAAACTCAGACCTTAATTTTATTAATGTAATAAATTTAAATATTTTTCTTATTACATTTATCTCTGTGTATTTTATAAGTGTGATGCTATTGTTAATAAGATAGTTTTCTCCTATTTCCATTTATGAGTGCTTAGTACCAAATAGAGATAAGCTATTGGTTTGTGTATTTTCAGCTTTTTCTTTTGAGCCTGGGTCTCATTTTGTCACCCAGGCTGGAGTGCAGTGGGGTGATCTCACCTTACTGCAGCCTCAACCTCCTGGATTCAAGCAATTCTCCTGTATATCAGCCCCCCAAGTAGCTGGGACTACAGGAGCAGGCCACCATGCCCGGAAAATTTTTGTATATTTTTTAGAGATGGGTTTTTGCCATGTTACCCAGGCTGGTTTTCAACTCCTGAGCTCAAGCATTCCCCCCACCTCAGCCTCCCAAAGAGCTAGGATTACAGGTTTGAGCCACCGCACCCAGCCATTGTATATTCATCTTAAATCTAGCTACCTTACCAAATTTGCCTATTAATTCTAGTAATTTTACCCTAAAGTCTCTGTGAGTATTGAATCATATCATAAGTTAAATGAGACAGATTTTAGCTCATTTCCAATATTTATAGCCAGTTATTTCATTTTCTTATCTTATTGAATTTATTAGAAAACAAGAGCAAATGTTAAATAATAACAATGAAAGTGAACATTCCTTCTACTCTATGATTTTACTTGAAATAATTTTTGTATTTTGCTATTTAGAGTAACATTTGCTGTTTTGGTTTTTGTAAATGGTGTTTATTCTATTCTCATTTGCCACAAAATGTTTATCATAAATAAGTTTTCAGCAGCTGGTATCATCTGAATTGTCTTCTTTGATATGCTGATGAACAAATTATGTTCATAGATGTCCTGACACTAAATACCCTTACATTCTTGGAGTAAAATCTACTATTCATGGAATTTGATCATTAGTGGGTTCTATGTACTATTTCTTTAGACTATTCTTAGTAGATTTTCACTACTCAACCTACTAATAATAATAAACAAAGTTTTGTTGGCTTTATCAAATGAATTGATGAGTACTCCATCTTTTTCTATTGCTTAGAATAGCTTAAGTAACATTTGAATTATCCATTGTCTAAAAGTTAGGTGAGACTCACTTATGAATCCATTTGGTCCTAGTGGCATTTGCAATATCTTTAATCACCCCTCCAGGCTCTTCTATGATAATCAGTCAATTCAAGTTTCAACTTCCAATAATTATATACCTTTCTAGGAAGTAACTTTATTTATTTTTTCAATTTTGTTGCCACAGTGTTGCATGTAGCACTCACTCATGATTCTTTTACTCCACATTATCTGTAGTTATGTGCCCTTTCTTATTCCTAAATTCCTCTATCTTTGCTATTTATCTTTTTTTCCTTGAATAAGCTTGCCAATGACTTGTCTATTTTGTTGCTGGTGGTGCTCTTTTCAAAGAATGGGCTTTTGGATTTTTTTTTTTTCTAGTTGGTATAAAGCATTTTTATTTTCACTGAGCAGAAAAAGAAGCTATTGATTCATTAACTGTGCTGCTTTATTGGCATGTAGCTATGCACTGTTCACACATTAATATATAAAACTCGTCAGTCTGTTTTATTTTGTCTGATGGGAAAACATGAACAGTGAGATTTCTTATGCAAAAAGTGAACAGTTCAACTATGCTAGCTCCATATACCTTTATTAACATTCCAGAGACTTATCCTCTCAACATGATCTGATTTCTGTAGGATAACTTTTCAGGAAAAGTATTTTCTGATCAGTGAAGCTTGGAGATATAAATAAGCAATCGGCCAGGTATGGTGGTTCATGCCTGTAATCCCAGCACTTTGGGAGGCCGAGGCAGGCAGATCACCTGAGGTCAGGAGTTTGACACCAGCCTAGCCAACATGGCAAAACTCCGTGTCTACCAAAAAAAAAAAAAAAATTAGCTGGGCATGGTGGTGCTCACCTGTAATCCCAGCTACTGAGGAGGCTGAGGCAGGAGAATTGCTTGAACCTAGGAGGCGGAGGTGGCAGTGAGCTAAGATTGTGCTCAGCCTAGGTGACAGAGTGAGACTCCATTTCAAAAAATAAAAAAATAAAAAAAAGCAGTATCTCTCATATTCATTAACTGGACCCTGACTTTCTTAAAGCTCACCCCAAAGCTGAAGTCCATGAAGGCACTAGTTCTCAAACTTCAGTGTGCATAAGAATCACTCGGGAAGCTTATTAAAATTTACATTCCTAGGCCCCATCCTCAGCAAACTATTTAGTCCCCAGGTAATTCTATCCCACCCCACCCCAGCTTTATTGTGGTATAATTGACAAATAAAAGTTGTATATATTTAAGGTGTACAAGATAATGTTTTGATGTAAGTATACATTGTAAAATGGTATAGCATGAAGGGTTTTCTTTTCATTTTTTTCAGAATAGTTTGTAATATCTTCTTTGATTTCATCTTTGATAATCTAGACGTATGATTTTAATTGCTTTTTAAATTTGTTTATCAAGTTAGTTTGTAGTATTTGGGTCAACATTGAATATCCTGTTAATTTCCTATTGCTGTGTAACAAACTACATCAAATGTATCAGCTTATGACAGACCCATTTACTGTCTCACAGTTTCTGTGAGTTAGAAGTCCAGGTGGACTCAGCTGGATACTCTGTGCAGGGTCATACAAGGCCAACACCAAGGTTTTAATAGGGCTGCACTCCTTAGTGAAAGCTCTTGGGGAGAATCTGCTTACAGGCTCATTTGGAATGTTAGCAAATTCAGTTCCTTCTCTCACTTTCCATGTAGTGCCCTCTACCAGCAATGGTGCATCAACACTCTCTCATGCTTGGAATTGCTCTGACTTCAATTTTCCGTGCATATCTCTGGCCTTTTTTGCCTCTCTCTTTTACTTTTAAGGACTCATGTGATTACATTGGGCCGACCTGGGTAATTCAGAATACTCTCCCCATCTCAAGGTCAGCTAATCAGCCCCTTAATTCCATCTGCAAAGTTTAATTTGCCACATAATATATTTTTGGACATGACACCAAGGAGCAAAGGTGATGTGGGCCAAATTTTTACCTGCCACAGGTATAGTTTACATACAATGAAGCTCATCAATTTTAAATATGCAGTTTGATGAGTTTTGACAAATGCATACACTTGCATAACCACCACCCTAATCAACATGCATTTACATCAACCCTCCTGCAACTTTTTAATGAGTCTCTCCCACTGACCTGGCCTCAGCCAATAAACTGCTATCTGGAAGTTACAGATTTGTTTTCACATGTTCTAGAATTTTACATCAGTGGAATCATACGGTATGTATTCTTCTATGGCTTTTTTTCTTCAGCATCATGATTTGGAAATTCATGCAGGTTGTTGTATAAAGTATTTCTATCCTTTTTATTGCTGATTACTGCTCCATTATGGGATTATATCATAATTTTGGATTATTTCCAGTTAGGAGCAAATACAAATAAACCTGCTATGAACAGTGCTCCACATGTTTTGTGTGAACATCTATTTTCATTTATCTTAGTTAAATATCTAGGAGTGGAATTGCTGGATCATATGGTAAGTGCATGTTTAAGAGAAACTGCCAGACAGATTTCTTGAACGTACCATTCTATACTCCCACCAGCAATGCATGAGAGTTCCAGTTGCAATATATCCTGGACAACATTTGATGTTGCCAGTACTTAATGACTGCACAGTGGTATCTCACTATACTTTTTTTTTTTTTTGAGATGGAATCTCATCCCATCACACAGGCTGGAGTGCAGTGGCGCAATCTCAGCTCAACATCTGCCTCCTAGGCTCAAGCAATTCTCATGCCTCAGCCTCCTGAGTAGCTAGGACTATGGTCACACGCCACCGTGCCCAGCTAATTTTTGTATTTTTGGTAGAGACGGGGTTTTGCCATGTTGGCCAGGCTGGTCTCAAACTCCTGGCCTCAAGTGATCCACCCGCCTCGGCCTCCCAAAATGTTGGGATTACGGCTTGAGCCACTGCACCTGGTTATACTTTTAATTTGCGTGTCTCTGATGACTAAAGATGTTGAGCATCTTTGCATGTGCTAATTAGCCATTCCTATATCTTCTTGGAAGTGTCTATTCAAATCATTGGTCCTTTGTTTTTAAACGTAGTTTCAACTTTTATTTTAGACTGAGGAGGTACATGTGCAGGTTTGTTACATGAGTATGTTGCATGGTGCTGAAGTTTGGGTTACGAATGAATGATCCTGTCACTGAAGTAGTGAACATAGTACCCAATAGGTGGTTTTTCACTCCTTGCTACCCTTCCTCCTCCCTCTTTCCTCTAGTCGTCTCCAGTGTCTATTATTCTATGTCCATGTGTTCTCATCATTTAGCTCCCACTTCTAAGTGAGAACATATGGTATTTGGTTTTCAGTTCCTGTGTTAATTCACTTAGGATAATGGTTTGCCAGTTTTTAATTGGGTTGTTTGTCTTGTTATTGTTGAGTTTTGATAATTTTTTATATATTCTGGGTACAAGACTATTCAGAGGTACCTGTTTTGAATGTTTTTTTCCAATCTATGGCTTGCATTTTCATTTTCCAAATGGTGTCTTTCAAATAGTGGAAATTTATAGTTGTAGTTAAGTCCAATTTAGCTTTTCTTCTTCTATGATTCATGCTTTTTTTTCCCCTGTCCTAGGAAATCTTTGCCCACCTCAAGTTCACAAAGCCTTTCTTCTGTTTTCTTCTAGAACTTTTATCATTTTAGCATTAGTATTTAGGTTTATAATACATTTTGAGTTAAATTTTCTGTATGGTGTGACTTTTCTTTCTCTATTGAATTCCCTTGGTGCCTTTGTAGAAAATTAAATGACTGTATATAGGCAAATCTGTTTATGGATTCTCTAGTTCCATAGATGTGTATATCTGTGCTTATGCCAGTACCAGATTGTTTTGATTGTTGTAACTTTATAGTAAGTCTTAATATCAGGCAGTCTAAAACCTCCAACTTACTTTTTTATTGAAATTGCTTTTGATATATTTAGGCTTTTATATTTCTGTATTAATTTTATAGTCAACTAGCCAACTCCACCAAATAGCCAACTGGGATTTTGACTGGAATTGAATTGAATCTGTAGATCAATTTGGGGAGAATTGACATTTAAACAATACTGAATCTTTCAATACAACAACATGGTATGGCTTTGTTTCTTTAAATTTTCTTTAATTTCCCTCTAGGATATTTTGTAGCCTACAGAGTAGTTCTTGCAAGAATTATATTAATTGTATCCCCAAGTATTTTGAGGGATTCGATGCTATTGTTAATTGTATCATTTTTATTTGTTTTCGTTTTCCAATCATTTGTTACTAAAATATAGAAATTCAATTGATTTTTGTATATTGACCTTGTTCACTCTAATCTTGTTAATTTGCATTTTAGCTCTAGTAGCGTTTTGCACTTCTTTTAGAATTTCTACATATACAATAATGTTGTCTGCAAATAAAGACAGTTTGCTTCTTCCTTTCCAAACTGGATGCTTTTTATTTTTTTTTTCATGCCTTACTGTACTGGCAAGGGCCTCCAGTACAATGTTAGATAGAACTGATGATAGCAGAATCCTTGTCTTCTTCCTGATTTCAGAGGGAAAATATTCATTATTTTACCATTAAGTACAATTACTTGTAAATTTTTTCATAGATGCCCTTTGTCAAATTGAGGAAGTTTCCTTCTATTCTTGGTGTGAGAGTTTTTATCAAGATTTGATATTAGATTTTGTCAAATGCTTTTTCTGCATCTATTCAAATGGTCATATGGTTTATCTTGTTTATTCTGTTATGGTGAATTACCTTGATTGATTTTTTAATGAGGAACTAGCTATGTATTCCCAGGGAAAAAATCCACCTGGTTGTGACATATTACATTGGTAATATTTTCGCTATGGACTGAATTGTCTCCACCTCCCCCCACCCCAAATTCATATGTTGAAGTCCTAACTCTCAAGATGATTATATTTGGAGATAGGGCTTTTAGGAGGTAAACAAGGTTAAATGAGGCCATAAGGATGGAGTCCTAATCTGATAGGACTGGTGGCCTCATAAGAAGAGAGAAGGTTCTCTCTCTACACTCATGCACTGAGGAAAAGCCATGTGAACATACAGCGAGAAGGCAGCCATCTACCAGCTGGGAAGAGGGCTCCACTAGAAACTGACCGTGCTGGCACCCTGATATTGGATTTCCAGCCTCCGGAACTGTGAGAAAATAAGTTTCTGTTGTTTAAGTCACCCAATCTCTAGTATTTTGTTATGGCAGCCCTGGCCAACTAAAACTGTTTTGTTAAGGGTTTTGGTGGTGATGGTGGTTTTTTAGTTTTTGCGTCTGTGTTCATGATGGATATTTGGCTGTGATTTTCTTATAATGTCATTGTCTGGTTTTGATATAAGAGTGGTATTAGTCCGTTCTAATGCTGCTATGAGGACATACCCGAGACTGGGTAATTTATAAAGGAAAGAGATTTAATGGACTCACAGTTCCACATGGCTGGGGAGGCCTCACAATCATGGTGGAAGGCAAAGGAGGAGCAAAGACACATCTTATATGGCATGGTGGCAGACAAGAGAGCATTGTACAGGAGAACTGCCCTTTATAAAACCATCAGCCCTCATGAGACTTATTCACTATAATGTGAACAGCATGGGAAAACCCCACTGCCATGATTCAATTACCTCCCACCTGGTCCCTCTCACAGCACATGGGGATTGTGGGAGCTACAATTCAAGATGAGATTTAGGTGGGGACACAGCCAAACCATATCAAAGAGTAAGACTATTCTTTTTTTTTTTTTTTTTTTTTTTGAGACGGAGTCTCGCTCTGTCACCCAGGCTGGAGTGCAGTGGTGCGATCTCGGCTCACTGCAAGCTCCGCCTCCCGGGTTCACGCCATTCTCCTGCCTCAGCCTCCCGAGTAGCTGGGACGACAGGCGCCCGCCACCACGCCTGGCTAATTTTTTATACTGATAGTAGAGACGGGGTTTCACCGTGTTAGCCAGGATAGTCTCGATCTCCTGACCTCATGATCCGCCCACCTCGGCCTCCCAAAGTGCTGGGATTACAAGCGTGAGCCACCGCGCCCGGCTGACTATTCTTATAAAATGAGTTGAGACGTGTTCACTCTTCTATTTAATGAAAGAGTTTGTGTAGAATTGGTATCATTTCTTTTTTAAATGTTTATTCACCAGGGAAATCATCTTATCCCAGTGTTTTTTGTTTTGGTTTGGTTTTTTTTTTAAGGGTCTTAATTGTGAATTCTATTTTTAATAGGTAAAGGGCTATTTGAATTTTCTATTTCTTATAGGATAAATTTTAATAATTTCTTTTAAGAAATTCCATTTGAGACTGGGCATGGTGGCTCACACCTGTAACCCCAACACTTTGGGAGGAGGCAGCAGGATTGCTCTAGGCCAGGAGTTTGAGATCAGCCTGGGCAACATAACAAGACTTGACTTCTACAGAATTTTTTTTCATTAGCCAAGTGTGGTAACATATGCCTGTAGTCCCAGCTACTTGGAAGGCTGAGGCAGGAGGATCACTTGAGCCCAAGAGTTCAAGGCTGCAATTAACTATGGATCATGCTACTGCACTCCAGCCTGAGCAACAAAGCAAGGCTCTGTCTCAAAAAAAGAAAAGAAATTCCATCTGAGCTGTTGAATTTAATAGTATAAAGTTCAGAATATTTCCTTACCATTTTTTCACTCCTTGGAGGTATGATTTACATACTGTAAAAATCACTTATTTTCAGTGTGGAGATTCTTTTCCTTTCCTAAATCTCCACATTTTTATTGACATATACTTTACATATCATAAAATTCACCATTTGAAAGTGTACAATTCAGTGGTTTTTAGTGAATCCGTAAAGTGTACAACTATCATCTTTATTTAATTCCAGAATATTTTCATCACCTCAAAAAGAAACCCTGTAATCATTAAACAGTCACTTCTAATTTTCTTCCTTTCCCCAGCCCCTGGCAACCATTAACCTACTTTCCGTCACTGTGGTTTTGCCTATTCTGGATATTTCATGTAAATGAAGGGATAAAATATGTGGCCTTTTGTGTCTAGCATCTTTTGCTTAGCATGTTTTCAAGATTCTTCCATTTTTGCAGAATGATAGAGGAGTTAAAATAAGAAAATAAAGATATAGTAAGAATGAAACTATTTTCATTTTTTAATTTAAAAAAATCTTCCATGTTGTAGTATGTATCAGAATTTAACTCCTTTTTATGGCTGAATAATACTCCATTGTATGGATAGACCACATTTTGTTTATCCATTCATCTGTTGATGGACTTTTGGATTGTTTCCCCTTTTGGCTATTATGAATAATGCTGCTATAGAACATTCATGTACAAGTCTTTGTGTACATATGCTTTTATTTCTCTTCGGAATATACTTAGGAATATAATTGCTAGGTCACATGGTAATTCTATGTTTAACTTTTAGAGGAACTGCCAGACTTTTTCAAAGCAGCTGCACCATTTTACATTTTCACTACCAAAGTATGAGTGTTCCAATTTTTCCATATTCTTATCAACACTTGTTACTGTCTGTCTTTTTAATTATACTCATCCTAGTGTGGATAAAGTGATATCTCATTGTAGTTTGGATTTGCATTTCCCTGATGACTTACGTTGTTGAGAGTCTTTTCATGTGTTTATTGACCATTTGTGTATCTCCTTTGGAGAAATGTCTATTTAAATGCTTTGCGTGTTTTTAATTGGATTATTTGTTTTTTAGTACTGAGTTGTATAAGTTCTTTATTTATTCTTAATATTATACCCTTATCAGAGCTATGACATGAAAATATTTTTTCCCATTCTGTGGGTAGTATTTTCACTTTCCTAATAGTATCCTGTGATGCACAAAGTTTTTCATTTTGATGAAATCCAATATTTATTTATTTTACCCCTTTGGTTGCTTGTATTTTTGTTGTCATATCTAAGAAATCAATGTCAAATCAAAGATCACTAAGATTTAAACCTATATTTTCTTTTGAGACTTTTATAGTTTTAGTTCTTACATTGAGGTCATTGATCCACTTGGAGTTAATTTTGGTATATGGTGTGAGGAGGGGATCCAAGTTCGTTCTACAGCCTATATAGCCTGCAGATGAGCAATGTTAGTGACCTTGAAAGTAGAGGCCCAGGTTGTCAGTAGCCTGGCATCTAACTAAACAACCATTTATCCATTAAAGTTAGCCCTGTTAACAATTAATATTGAGATAATTTTACTTAATACACTGTGTATATTAGTGTCCATCTAGCATGCAGCCTGAGGCACAGAGAATAATAGTTTGAGTATAAAATTGAATTGAATGGAATACATCATTAATTTATTATCTAGCTTTCTGTTATTGTATAGGCAGTCACATGTATTTACCAGAAAAAAGTTGATAGAATTTTTATTTTAATGAAACCCTTTTATACTTTAGATTATTTTGATGCTGATTAACAGGATAAGCTGACTCTGGACACATCCTGACAGCCTCTGCCAAGGTTTGAAATAAACAGCTGGGAAAATTCAGTTTTATATTATCTGTTCCCGCAGCTGCTCAGTTTCTTCTAACCACAGGTCAGGGAATATAATAGGTTTTCCGATTAGTTTTAGATAAAATGTGAAAGAACAGTTCATGTCAAGGACAATGGTTGCCAAATATATTTGGCAGGATTTCTATATTGAATCCCAAAGGAAATACACAAACAAAACCCCACAAAAGTTAGGAAGGAGTAAAACCCAGGAACCCTGGAACATTTTGTCATTTACTATGCAGATTTGCCTGAAAGTGAGACAGGCAAATAAATCACATGTTTCTGCCAGCGTGGAAAATATTCACTCAAATGGCAAAGGTCTCAGGCTGGGGAGCTGGATATTGTCCTGTAATAGGTTCATCTCAGAACTGAATCACACACTTGGAGGGTGTTAATGCTCTTAGGAACATCTAGTTATTCCCTTTGAATAGAGTCCTGTCCTGAATCACATATACTTGACCTAGGGCCTAGGCCTTTTTGTTTTTCTGTCTCACAATCTTGTTTCTCCATCAATTATGTGTTTTCACTCTTCCCTCAGAGAGGGAAAAAGTGTTTCTGTGTGCTCTTGATCCTGTTCCCTCTCTGATCTTCCAATCTATTGCTCTATAACATATTTTATATGTGTCTTATATCTTCATTTTAGTCAGAAACATTTATTTATTTATTTATTTATTTATTTTTTGAGACAGAGTCTAACTCTATCCCCCAGGCTGGAGTGCAGTGGCATGATCTCGGCTCACTGCAACCTCTGCCTCCCGTGTTCAAGCGATTCTCCTGCCTCAGCCTCCTGAGTAGCTGGCATTACAGGCATGCCCCACCACGCCCAGCTAATTTTTGTATTTTTAGTAGACAGGGTTTCTTCATGTTGGCCCGGCTGGTGTCGAACTCCTGACCTCAGGTGATCCTCCCGCCTCGGCCTCCCAAAGTGCTGGGATTACAGATGTGAGCCATTGGGTCTGGCCTTTAATCAGAAACATTTAAAGTGAAAGCACTGTGGTAACTTATGTTGAAATACCTTAGAAATCAATGGAAACTGCACAGAGAGGGGGTAGGATAGACGTAGTGGAACCAAGGATATGATATGGAAAAAGGAGAAAGGTAGCAAACTAGGGATGAGTTGGTGAATGTGGAAGGGCATAATAATGTTAAATGACTGAAAACTACATAGGCTTATGTTAAGACTAGTGCCATGGAAATTTTTAGAGGTAGATGACATTAGAGTATGTTTAAATATAAATTAATGTTCTTGCAGTGAGCCGAGATTGCGCCACTGCAGTCCGCAGTCCGGCCTGGGCGACAGAGCGAGACTCCGTCTCAAAAAAAAAAAAAAAAAAATTAATGTTACTGGTTGTGTTCCCTAGATGTAGACTCTGAGATGAAGATTAACATGCAGGAATTTTATTTGGAGTGTTCTTGGGATCAACACCTGAGGAATCAGGGATAGGCAGAGGGAGAAGCGCGCTGCCGGGTAGGCTCCAGGACAGCCTTGCTGGATCTTACAGGGAGCTCTGGAGCTGGAATGAACCTTCCAGGTTGGACCAACATGTCCAGGCCTCTGTGTCCCTGCACTGAGCACTCATGAAGTGCTGTCCATCCTGGGACAGGGCAGAGTCGGCGCTGGGAAGAGGCGTGGTCTGCCCAGAGAGGGGGTGGGGCCTGTCCTGGAAATGGGCGGGGCATGCCCTGGTAGAGGGGCGTGGTCTGTCTTGGGAAGGAAGGTGCGTGGCCCCCACAGGCAACATTCCTCTGGGGCAATCCCGGCGCACACCTCAGCGGAGGTGAAGGCTGACTTCCCACACCCAATGGCTGGGACTGGGGAGTTCTTTCCTAGACTGCCATCCGGGCGCCCCTCACCCTCTTGCTGCTCAGCTCCAGGTCGTCGTGGGTTCAGGGCTCAGCTGCACGCTCCTGCCCGCGCCCTGGGCGTGATGGCACCCCCAGCCCCTGCCATTCTTCCCCCTCACCCCCTCTCCCTGCCACTGCTCTGCATTGCCCTGGGTTAGCCTGGCGGGGCCAGGTGGCACCCGCCGTATACTCTTGCCTTTCTGCTGCAGGGGCCTTTCTGCTGCGGGTCCCAGAGCTGCAGGGAGGGGCGGCAGAGACTCCCCACGTGGCTCATTGGCGGGGGTGCTAATCAGAGTTCTTTTGCTGCCACTCTTTGATTCCCAAACCCCATGTAATCTTCTTAGTGGGGACACAGAATCATCTTTGAATTCATACATATACAGCACCTTGGAGGCTGGCCCTCCATCCTCACAGAGACCTGCCTCCAAGCTGGAGTTCTACCTGTGCCTGGTTGTGGACCCACTCCCTCATCTCTTTTGCTGTACAATGATTCCCCAGGTCTACACGGTGCTATATGGAATTCCACATCAGTGAATCAAATCCTCTGTAAGATTTCAGATAGTGGTGCTGGCTAAGGCCCTGAAGGGAGGAAAGGCTAAGTTACGCCAAGATTAGGTATCACAATGAAGTCCTGTCCTTTCTAGGATGGAAGGAGTTCAGTGTGTCTGGCCACCGAGAAGCTGGTTTGTCTCTGTGATGGACAATACCATATTGCAGCAATCCCCAACCTTTTTGGCACCAGGGACTGGTTTCGTGGAAGATAATTTTTCCAGAGACTTTGGGGTTGTTGGGAATGGTTACGGCATGAAACTGTCCGCCTCAGATCATGCGGCATTAGTTAGGTTCTCATAAGGAGCACAAAACCTAGATCCCTTGCATATGCAGTTCACAGTAGCATTCGCACTCCTATGAGAATCTAATGCAGCAGCTGATCTCACAGGAGGCAGAGCCCAGGCGGTAATGCAAGTGATGGGGAGCCGCTGTAAATACAGATGAAGCTTTGCTCCCTGCCTGCTGCTCACTTCCTGCTATGTGACCCCATTCCTAACAGGCCACAGACCAGTACTGGTCAGGGGCCCAGGGGTTGGGCCCAATATGGCATATTGGGAGCTCAGCATTGATTTTTGTTGCTGGCAGGTTGGACTTTGGTGGCAACAGTAGCTAGATCAGCCTTAGTCAGTGGGAAGCCACGCTTTTGGGTCCATGCATTAATTCTCTCCCTGCTGCTGTAGCCACTTAGCTCATGTCTTGCCAGTACTGCGATGGCCTATGCAGAGGCTAGCTGATGTGAATTGCCAGAGTCATTTTTATATGTGTTGTTGGTTTGTGCTTCCTTCAAGATGGATGCTTTCTGTTGGCATTAACGTATTACTTGGAGATTTTTCTAGTTTGTGTCCACTCACTAATATGCCTTTGTCCCAACTTTTTTCTGGAAGAGCTTCCTTATCAGTACGCTGGGCCCTGGCCCTCAGCCAGTACAGAAAGTCATTTGTCAAGGCCTTCAGTTGGCAGACGTGCTCCCTGGACTACGTGCTTTCTCGGGTGTCCCAGAAACCCTGGAATGGAGTGAAATGCAGGGCTACGTGGGAGAGCAGGGAGGCAAGAATTAAGTCGGCCCCACCTTTGCCCAACTCAGTGGGTCTCCTTGAGAGAGGTCTGCAGTTTCAAGGAGACTTTTCAGCCAATCTGCTGCGAGATCCTGTGAAGGGGTGTGAAGGTCTTCCTCTGTGACTATAGATTGGCCAGTCTCTCCTTGTGTGTCCAACAGTTTTCATTATACTTTATGTGAATTAATGCAAAACTGCTAGGTTTAAACTGCTCACCATTTTAGGGATCCCTTCTGGATTTTACCTTCCTTAAGGGGAAATTTTCCTCCTTTCCTCAGTTCATCCTTTCTGCCTTGGCTTTGACGTGGTCTGGAGGCCACAGAGCCTCCTCCTGAGAACCTCTCTCTGGTGTGTCTGTTTGTGTCCGTCCCTCTCCTTTCGATCATTCCCTGTGGTTCCTGTTGGGCGCGGCTCCCATAAACGCACAGAGCAGGGTCTGCTTTGTCTGCAACCTGATGCATTGTTATTTCTCACCAAAACTTGCAGTCCAAACATCACATTTCCGGGCCACACTCTTTGTCAGAGCTCCAGGGGCACAACCCCGGGGACCTGCTGGAAGGTGCCACCGTGACGTGTGCCTAGATGCGTTTTCCCTCAGTTACCACAGCGTTCCTCTGGTTCTGGTGGCTGGAGGGTGACCGCGTGCTTCATGAAGGGGGTCCTTACTGCTTCGCATCCACCCTTTTCACGGAAAGCACTTTGTCACATGTTTTCAGTGTTTCTAAGCGATTTTCTGCCAATCTTGTGTGCTAAGATTGTGTGGCAGCGTTTCCACAGATTTATAGCTGGCAATGAATTCTCCCAAAGGAAATCAGACAAAATAAAATGTTTCCAACATTGTTCACATACTGACAACTTATGTGCTTCCTTGGGTGATTTTACAACTTTTTAAGCACATGAATAAAAATTATTGTCTGCTTTTTTCTCCTTTTTTCTCTCTTTTTTTTCTTGCATGCAGAAAGTTTATAGGAGGGGGATCCTCTGGATCAACACCCATGGGGGAGTGAAGGAAGCAGGATTGGGTAAAAGAAGTTGAGGTGATACAGTCTGAATAAAGGTCAGTCCCACAGGGAGCTCAAGCTAGGATGGCTCTGCAGAGATGTTCTCTATTGAGGCAAGTTGTCTGGACCTATATAGTCCCACCTTTACCAGGAATAAGGCATGAGTTTGGATGTGGTGACTGACTTCAGCCAAAATTGGTTCTCAGAGAGGAATTCAGATTAGAGTTGTCAGCTGTCAGCACACCCAGCAGCTTAGGAAATAAGTGCTTTAGTCCTGAAGCGGTGAATCTGGACACCAGCCTCCACTGTGGTCCACCCTTTCTGCTGCTCAGATTCATTTGCTTCATAAGTTCTGGAATGGTTCCTTCAGGATTCTGATGGGCTCCCTTTCCTGGGGAAACAAAAGAGAAAGGTTTGGAACACAGCACAACTCCTGCTGCTTTAGCTTTTCTTGAGTCTGCAACTGGTACTCATCATCTTCCCCTTCTACTACCCATTCTAGATCCCTCCCCCCACCACCCTCTCAATTCATACTTCTGCTGCTCCAAGTGGGTTACCAGATAAGGTATCTGGTCATCATGCCCTTTGTAAGCCATGACTGTACTTGTCCATTTATCATCAACATTGAACAAGGGAATACTAAGAGATACCCAGGCAGATGACCTGGCTGCCAAATATATTCTCCTCTGTCTCCATTGTGTAATGTCAGCCCTTCCTCCTGATGATCAGGATCGGTTACGCTTGCCAGGATAGTGACTCTTTTCCTTACCTCTTGGTCTCTTAATAGTGATCTGAAGTAATATGATGGCAACCATAGTTTCAAGTTTAATGAGACTCTTGGTGTGTCCACTGGCGGACATATTCCCCTTTTAAGAACCAGTACTTCTAAACTCTCAGAGCCCAGAGTTGGGATAAGAGGCATAGTTTCCCTAATTGGGTCACTGGGAGTAATGGTAGTGTGAGGCTGCTCCTACTTACACTCCTTGTTTTCCAAAACCATATATTTTACTTCGGGACACACCCCACTAAACGATGGCCATTGATCTAGAGTATATACTGCATCCTGCAGGATGGTGCCTCGTCCTTAGGTATTATGTCTAAGCTAGTGCCTCAGCTGTGCCTTCAACAAGCTGTCCTACCACTCTATCAAGTGGGTAGCTTCTGGGTAGTGGATTCCATGGTCATGTATCTTCTTGCTTTAAAGTAGGTCTCTTGGTCTGATGCAGTGTTATGTAAGATCAAATATTCTGTGAGGCCTTGAATGGTGGTGTTTACTGAGGCTCACCAAGCAACTGAATGATTTTCTTGAGAAATGGTGACATATCAGAGCCTTAGCTTTGGTCTCTGTTACTGGCAAGTTGAACATTAACAACATCAGTAGCTAGATCTGTATTGATGAGTCCATGATGTTGGGCCCATGCATAGCCTCTGCCATGGCTCCTCCTTTCATACATCCATTTTGTAAGAATTGGGGCACCAACAGCAGAGACTGGTAAGCATCAAAGTGGCTAAGTCATTCAGTCTACTTGGTTGTTTAGTGCTGTTTCTGTGGCTGATGTTCTTTTCATTTATTCATTCTGTAATGCGTATCCTTTGTAGATTCAATTTCCTTCTCTCTGAACAACTTCTTTGGATATTTATTGAAAGGCAGGTCTACTGTCAATAAATTCCTTAATTTTTATTGTCTGAGAAAGTTTTTATTTCTCCTTCATTTTTGAAGGATACTTTCACAGAGTTCAGAATTTTAGGTTGACTGTTTTTTCTTTCTCTCAACACTTTAAATATGTCAGTGCACTCTCTTCTTGTTTGCATGGTTTCTGAGGCGAAGTTGGATGTAATTTTTATCTTTGCTCCTCTATGGATAAAGTGTTTTTCCCCATCTGGTTTCTTACAACATTTTTTGTCTTTGATTTTCTGGAGTTTGAATATAATATGCCTAGGTGTAGGGTTTTTTTATTTGTTTGCTCGTTTGCATCTATCTTTTTTTTTTTTTTTTTTTTTTTGAGACAGAATCTCGCCCTGTCACCCAGGCTGGAGTGCAGTGGCGCGAACTCGGCTCACTGCAAGCTCCACCTCTTGGGTTCACGCCATTCTCCTGCCTCAGCCTCCTGAATAGCTGGGACTACAGGCACCCGCCACCACAGCTGGCTAATTTTTTTTGTATTTTTTAGTAAAGATGGGGTTTCACCATGTTAGCCAGGATGGTCTCGATCTCCTGACCTCGTGATCTGCCCGCCTCGGCCTCCCAAAGTGCTGGGATTACAGGCGTGAGCCACCGCGCCCAGCTGCATCCATCTTCTTTGGTATTCTCTGAGCTTCCTGAATCTGTGGTATGGTGTCTGGTGTCTGACATTAATTTGGGGGAAATTCTCAGTCATTATTGCTTTAAAAATTTGCTCCTATTCATTTCTGCATTCTTCTTCTGGCATTTCCATTATGTGTATGTTACAACTTTTGTAGTTGTTGTTCCACAGTTTTTGGACATTCTGGGCCCATGCATAGCCTCTGCCGTTGTTGTTGGTGTTTTTTTTTTTTTCAGTCTTTTTTTCTCTTTGCTTTTCAGTTTTGATTGGAAGTTTCTATTGTCATGTCCTCAAGCTCAGAGATTCTTTCCTCAGCCATGTCTCATCAACCAATGAGCCCATCAAAGACATTCTTCATCTCTGTTACAGTGTTTTGATCTCTAGCATTTCTTTTTTATTCTGTCTTAGAATTTCCATATTTTTCCTTATGATATACATCTGTCATTGCATGTTGTCTACTTTTTACATTAAAGCCATTAGCATATTAATCATAGTTTAAAAAATTCCTGGTCTGATAATTATGACATTCCTGCCATATTTGACTCTGATTCTGATGCTTGCTTGTTCAGTCTCTTCAAATTTTGTGGGTTTTGCCCTTTAGTGTGCCTTGTAATTTCTTGTTAAAAGGTGGACATGATGTACTGGCTATGAGGAACTACAGTAAATAGGCCCATAGTGATGTGGTGAGATGGAAAGAAAGAAAAGATGCTCAACATCACTAATCATTAGAGAAATATAAATCAAAACTACAAAGAGATACTGCCTCACACCCATTAGGATGGCTACTATCAAAACTAAAACAGAAAATAATGAATGTTGGTGAGGATGTGGAGAAATTGGAACCCTTGTGCACTATTGCAAATGTACAATAGGGCAGTTTCTCTAAAAATTAAACAGAATTACCATATGATCCAGCAACTCGACTTCTGGCTATATATGCAAAAGAACTGAAATGGGGTCTTAAAGAGATATTTATACATCAATTGTATTAGGGTTCTCCAATGAAACAGATCCGTGTGTGTGTGTGTGTGTGTGTGTGTGTGTGTGTAAATATATGCCAATGGTAAAAGTACAGGGTCTGAGTCAGAAGGCAGAACCAAGAATGCTTATGTCCAAGGGCAGGAGAAGACAGATGTCCCAGTTCAAACAGGGAGAGTGAATTTGCCCTTCCTCTGTCTTTTTGTTCTATTCAGGCCCTCAGTGGAATGGATAATGCCCACCCACATTGGTGAGAGTGATCTTCTTTACCAATTCACATGCTATTCTCTTCTGGAAACATCATCACAGACATACCTAGAAATACTGTTTTGCCATGTATCTGGGCATCTCTTAGCCCAGTCAAGTTGACATATAAAATTAACCATCATATCCATGTTTATAAGCAGCATTATTCACAATAGCTAAAATGTGGAAGTACTGCAAGTGTCTATTGACAGATGAATGGATAATCTAAATGTGGTATATACACACAAAGCATTACGAAAGAAGGAAATTCTGACACATGCTACGACATAGATGAACCTTGAGTATATTACGCTAAGTGAAATAAGCCAGTCATGAAAAGACAAATGCTGTATGATTCCACTTATATTGGGTACTTAGAGTAGTCAAAATGATACAGAAAGTAGAATGGTGGATGCCAGAGACTGGAGGAGGTGAGAGTTATTGTTTAATGTTTATACAGTTTCAGTTTACAACATAAAATTAATTCTGGAGGTAGATGGGAGCATATTACACGTTTTCTTTTTGGAGATGGGATCTCACTCTGTTGCCCAGGCTGGAGTGCAGTTTTGTGATCATAGCTCACTGCAGCCTTAACTGTCTGGGCTCAAGTGATCCTCCCACCCCAGGCACCAAAGCAGCTAAGACCACAGGTGCACACCACCACGCCTGGCTAATTATTATTATTTGTAGAGGCCAGGTACTGCTGTGTTGCCCAGGCTGGTGTTGAACCCCTGGGCTCAAGTGATCATCCTGCCCTGGCCTCCCAAAGTACTGGGATTACAGGTGTGTGCCACCACACCTGGCCAGAATATTTAATGCTACTGAACTGTATATTTAAACATGCTTGGGCTGGGCATGGTGCCTCATGCCTATAATCCCAGCACTTTGGGAAGCCAAGGAGGGTGGATTGCTTGAGCCCAGGAGTGTGACACCAGCCTGGGCAACATGGTGAAACCCTGTCTCTACAAAAACATTAACCGGGCATGGTGGCACACGCCTGTAGTCCCACCTACTCTGGCGGCTGAGGCGGGAGGATCACTCGAACCCGGGAGGTGGATCTCGCCACTGCACTCCAGCCTGAGCAACAGAGTGAGACCCTGTCAAAAAAAAAAAAAAAAAAAAAAGATTTACGATAGTAAATTTTATGTGTATTTTACCACAATTATTAAAATTGAAGAAAATCCCCATGGGTCACTGGTTTACCAATTTAGCCATTTTCACCATTTTTAGATTGCATTTTCCTTCTCTATCTCAGCATTCTGACTAAAGGAAAAGCAAAATTTCTTACAAGAATGAATGATTCTCCAGTGTGGCTGCTCCTGAAAGGAACAATGAGACTTTTGTTATTTCACCACAAGACTGAGAAAGAAATAAACAAGTGATAAATGCCCAGACCCCTTCTTATTCATTCCACATCCTGGTAATCTGAGGCATGGTGTGGCTTTTACTCCAAGCATATGAATACTTACAATCAGAAGCTGCCTCTCCTTTCCCTCACTTTATCATTATTGCCATCATTTATGACAATGGAGGGAGTGTCTCACTGGATGATATTTGGGGTTCTTTCTTCAGTGGTCCGCCATACCAAGCATTTATTTGTGCTGTTCTCCATCTTTCACATCTACCACTTTTCAAAAGTCCCTGAGAGTCAATAAGACATGCGACTCGAACAACTGCTTCACATCTAAGTGTATGTCTTTAAAAATCTCTCCTTTTCCATGTTTATGTCTGATGTGTTTTGTTATGGCAAAGTGGCATGTAGTATACGGTTCATAAGTGAATCGATGTATATCTGTGGAGGGCAAATGCTCAATTTTAGATCTACACATGAAAGCTTTTTTCCAGGGCAGGAGCCTTGCTTTCTCCAACTAAGCCTTAATTACCCAAATGCCCATGTGTTGTGCCTTTGGCTTGTTGAAATGATACCAACTGGTAAAATCTGATGGGAGATAAAAGTTAGATGTCCAGAAGCATAAAAGTCAGGAAGAGAGGCTCTTTATGGCATAGAGAAAGCTGCAGAACTGCTCCATGGTGTGCAAAACTCATCAGCACATGAAACTAGTGAGTGGAGATAGTCACCTTCAACCACTTTGTAATTTCTACCAATTCACTTGGGGCCAGTGTCCCTTATTCACCAAGATTCACATTGGTCCTTTTGATTATTTGGCGTGAGGAGGCCCCCAGACATGCTAAACTGTCATGCAGGGAGAGAGGAAAAGTTGGGAACCAGCCTTTGCTTAAAAGGGCTTTGACAATGGAGGCAAATAATAACATTTTGGGAACATTTATATAAGTAATTATATAATTTCTGATTCAGTAGCTGGTTCATGAATAAATGAGTAATTGGGAGTATCTGAGTGGAGACAAGAATGAACATTAATGTAGGACTGATTCTGAATTACAGCTTCTGGCACTAGTAGGTTTCAATATACATAGTCTGCTGAAAGGTAATTTTCTCTGTGATATTCCTGGTATCCCTAAGGAGGGAAGTATAATTTTAGGTACATACTGACAAAATTTGAACACAAGGTACTTAGATGAAAGTTATAGTCTGTTTTAGAGATGAAATTGAAGGATGCAGTAGCTATTGCTTTGGCAAAGGATTTTTGGCTGATGCAGTGTATGGTTATTGATTTTATGATTCTTATCATATGGCACCTAATGTATCAGTTGAGTTGTGAAAACAGTGTTTCGGTTTAATGGATGTTAGGGATTTATATACAACTTCAAATTTGCCTCCTTGCTAATAGTAGAAAAGAGTAGTATGGAAGCATTACTTCCAGCTGCTTTTTGAAGTGTCCACCAAAATGAACGACTTTTTCCTTTCTTCACGCAGATTTCCTCCTAGAGTGCCAAAATCTTTTCCATTCAACACCTCAGTCGTGTACAAAAAGACTCTGTTTGTAGAATTCACGGATCACCTTTTCAACATCGCTAAGCCAAGGCCACCCTGGATGGGTAATGAAAACAATGTTGAATGCTATTTATGAAATTGGGTATCTTATTTTCTATCACAGATTCCCCAATCTTGAGGTTGCAGTTAAAAAGTGCAGCTGCCAAAGAGAATGTTTCCCTAACTGCTACCTATAGGGAAATACACTGACTGCATTTTCTGTCTTTTTGCTGGGCCGTCTTCCTCTGCTTGGTCTATGCCAACTGCTTACCTCCACTTAGATGTCAAATAAAGTATGTAACAACATGTTATGACAGGACATTTTCTGTCTTAGAATTGTTGCTGAGAATTATAGGTGGGAAGTATCCCCTTATTCTAAAGAGAGATATCAGCCTATCGATTTAGAACTTGTTCAGGTAGTAGTCCAAAATTGGTTCTGCAACCCTTAGGCCCTGACTCACCTCCAACCTTGTATAAAAAAAGGCTAGGAACTTATGGAAGACTTTAGATTTGAATATTTATTATTTGGAGAGCCTCTTCGGTGTTTTATGTGTTGCTTACCCCATGGGGAGTGGGAGGCCTGTCCCTCATGTCAAGGTATAATGAAGGAGGCTTCAGGAGAACCACTTAGAAGACTGGACAAGGTACCTATGGAACTTGGGAGACACTGACCACTGCCTGGTTTTTATCTGGATAAATTTTCAAGGTCAGAGGCCAAAAGGACTTCTCCTGATGGAATAGCAGGGGGAGTGGGCAATAGTGGGAGCTAACTGCACTACCATTGTTAGGTGTAAGGCCAGGAAGGTCACTGAATGGGACTTGTCTTACAAAGACTCTGCCTGAGAGGTCTTCCTGCCAGGATTAGATAACCCCAATAGAAAAAGCCTGTATGGGTTGTACTGCCAGAAGCAGAATCTGAGAGGAGAGATACAAGTGACCAGCTGGAGAAGGTATATCCCATGCCAAGATCAGGAGCAGTGGGGTGTCTCCTTGTTGGCAGGGAGAGGTCTCCAAATAACTCATAAGTTCCCTAAGAAAGAAAGGCAGAATTTTGGTATGTGTCACAACTAGGGAGTACTAATGCCACATTATCACTGCTCCTTCCAAGAAAGACTTTGTCATTGTGCCTATTTGTTTTTACCCTCCCCCCTCCTTTCCACTTGCTCCTACCTTGGCAGGTCCAGAGACACAAAGGTGAGTTGGGGAGGAAGATTAGGAGAGGAAGGTGGGAAAGCAGCGAAGCTGCCAAAACAAATTACCTTTACATATTGCAGATTTCTGGGGCTGTCAGAATGTAGCTGGAGAAGGAAGGGAACTTGCAATTGCAGAAGACATCAAAAATTTGGTATTAGACTGGACTGGACTTGTTAGAACCTAAGAGTGATACTGTTGGTTAATACCTGAAGGTTACTGGAAAAGATTTGGGATCAACCAAAGTGCAAGAAAAGGGAGATCTCACATAAAGTAATTAAAAGCAGTGGTCTAAGAAAAATAAGGCTATTTTATGTTTTTATCCCACTCAATCCAGTTCATTCAACAGACTGTTTATAGGCATTTTATACTTAGTGTATTCATAAAACAGAGCTCTTAATTTTCCTCCTGATTTTCTGTCATGGCCTGACTAACAACCCAGTTGCACAAGCCAAAATCATAGGAGTTTTCTTTGACTCCTCTCTTTTTTTCTATCTCCACATCATATTTATGAGCAAGTCCTGTTGACTGTTCCTCCAAAACAAGTTCCAAGTCTTCTTATTTTACTTCTTGTAAAATCCAAATTCATCCAAATTCCTGTGGCCTGCAAGGTCCTACATGTTATGTTTCCTTTTTGACCATATTTTCTGTTACTCCTCTGCTGATTCACTGTGCTTCAGCCACACTTTACTTGACTATACCAAACTTATTTCTGCCTCTGGACGTTTGCATTTGTTTTATCTGTTTTCAATGCTCTTCCACTAGATCTTTGAAAATCTTGCTTCTTTTTCATTAGTCAGATCTCTACTCAAATGTCACCTCCTCAGAGAGGCCCTTCCTGACTACTACACTGAAAGTATCCTCTACCTCCTGCCTCATCACTTTCTAGCAGACCACTATCTTTTATATTTATAACAACTTGAAATTTTCTTATTTATTTCTTTATGTGCTTAATGTCTTGAGAATATGATCTCCATTATCTGTCTTGTTTGCTACTGCACCTCCAGTGCATAAGACAGTTCCTAGAATATAGTAGGAACTCTAGTTGAATGAATGAATGAATTGAATGATTGCCAGAAATCTTGCCTCAGAGCAACCATAAGGTTAGGCTGATGTTGGCAGCAAGCAAATACTACTTTTTGTCAGTAATTACAGGGGCATGCTTCTCCACTGTGACCTTGACTCTAACTTTTGGAATAACAGGTTTTCTGGAGTACTATCCCCAAGTAACCTTTGGCGGACATCTCATTCTTACAGGTCTGCTAGGTCCTACCATCCAGGCTGAGGTTTATGATACAGTGGTCATTACACTTAAGAACATGGCTTCCCATCCTGTCAGTCTTCATGCTGTTGGTGTATCCTACTGGAAAGCTTCTGAGGGTGAGTAAAATACCCTCCTATTGTCCTGTCATTCTATGAATAGAACAGTGAGATGTGTGTGCTTTGTAATGGTGGCGTTACAACTCTTTTAAGGTCCTAACTGAACATTATGTGTATTTCTTAACATTTACTAGATTATAAATATCTCAAGATAGGGAAATCCATCTTATTTATTGCTGTGTCCTTAGCATATAACATATTGCCTACCCTATAGTAGATACTCAATACAAGAATGAGGGTGTAGTGGACACCAGTCATTTTTTCTTCCTAAAATTAAACATTTCTCACCTGTATACCCCCTAGGAATTGCTTTTCTGAATATACTTCAAACAGAACCTGCCATTTTCTTAAAGCCCATGCCTCCCTAGCCATAGCAGTTGATCTAGGAGTGAGCAGTTGACACGGGTATCCCACCTCCTTGGCCACAGTTGATTGGTCCAGAGATGGGCACCTTACCCAAGCTAGGCCAATGAGAGTACTTGCACTAGCATTTTGAAATTTATGAGAAAAAGGACCTATTATTACCAGGTAATCCTATACTTAGGGGATGGAGCCCAAATATAATAAAATCAAGATTCTACTACTTCATGTATATCATGTGGGCCATGGATCTTATAGGAGTCTTAAGGGGGTGTTGGTCTTGTCCTTTTCTTAGTTGCCTAGCTCTTTGCAGGCATGGTGCAAAGGCAGGACAATCTACCTTTATCTGCTCCTTCTATACCACTGATCCTACCCTAAACATGTAGCTGTATAATCAGAGACAGGAAGCCATGGCAAATCTGGAGGGTCTCGGCTTGGCTATATCTTAAAGAGTTACATGTATTCGTAGTTCAACATTGGGGAAATTTTCCAAAAATTGGTGGAGAAACGAGTGGCCAATGCAATTTTATCTTTTTTTTTCTGCTGACATCAGGGAGAGATAAGAGCTTTAAAATCACAATTATGGGGAGATAATATTTTAAAATCCAGCTCAAGTTAAACCCATCAGAAAAGGTAACACCTTTTGGGACCCCCAAATGGCCACATCTTATCCAATGAGGGGACACCAACCATAGAGTCTATACTGCACAGTTCAAATGGTAGCCATGAGCTATCAGGCACTTGAAATGTGGTGAGTCCTACTTGAGACATACTGTAAAATATACACCAGATTTCAAAGGTTAAGTACAAAAAAGACTAAAAATATCTCATTCATTGTTTATAAGTACAAGTTGAAATGCTTATATTTGGATATACTAGGTTAAACGAAATACATTATTAAAATAATTTCACCTGTTTCTTTTTACTTTTCTTAATGTGACTACCAGAAAATTTAAAATTACATATGTGGTTTGCATTATATTTCTATTGAACAGTGAAATGTTTAGCATATGTTGAAGTTGCTGCTCCTGATGCAGTGGCTCATCTCAGATTTGGCCAAGTTCTTCTGTCCAAGGAAAACTAGGTTCAACCCATTCCTGGAGAGGAACAGACTCAAATCTTTCTGGGCTGGGTCACTTACCTTGGTTAAATCTGTTCTCCACCTATTCTACCAACAACCAAAGGGATGGACATAGCTGAAATAAAAATCACGCAATCACACTGAATGGTATCTCACCTCAGGTGGGCCTTCAGCATTGCCTAGCCATTCTACTGCTACATTTCCCCTAATCCATTTACTCTCCCTCTCCCCAAGACAGCTATAATGTTTCACACATTGTTAGCCTCTCATTGAACCTCCAACATGTGCTCCCGCCCCTGCCCCCACCACAACGTGAGCCTTGGGAAAAAGGGTATTTTTTTCCTAATGAAATATTTCAAACAAAGATAAATACAGAAAATAATATAACAAACAAACATGTGCCCATCACCTCACTTTGCCAAATCTTAACATTTTGTCATCTTTGCTTAATTTATTTTACAAAATTAAGCATTTTACATACAGTCTGTACTCCTCTATGGGGCTGGCAGGAAAAGGCTCTCATTGTCAAAGTTCAAAGTAATTGATCATTGAAAAAATAATGATCACATTAAAAACAACACTTATATAATAGAGATACATATTGTAATACTCATAAATGAAATGATATCCTGTCTAGGATTGGCTTCAAACACATCCAAGCTGATGTTACAATCATTAGGTGAATTCCTGATGTGGAATTTGACATTTGTATGGCGCCAAAATAATATCCCAGTGATTTTTTTCTGATTGTAAGTGGAAATGTTAACTTTAGAATGGAGGTATCAGGCTAATCCACAGGTCAGTTTTAGTGTCACTAAGGATGGGATGGCCAGATATTATCTGCCCCTGATATGGCACAATATGAGGGACTCAGCATCATCTTTGATATATTTTAGCCAAAAAACTTATTTAATTTGAATCTAATCAGAACTTAGGCATATTCAATAGCATGGGATATTCTACAGGACTACAAGCCAAATTTCTTTCACCAAATGAGTGTCAGAAAAAAAGGGACTACTCCATACTAAAAGAGACTATGGGCCTAAACAACCAGATGCAATCTGCAGTCTTAGGTTGGATTCTGATTTGGACCAACTAGCTACAAAGGATGCCTTTGAGGCAATTAAGAAAATTTGAATATTGCATTGATATTAGGTGATATTAACTGGATCAGGTGTGCTAGTGTCATTTTGTTTATGTGGGCAATTTTTTTTTAAAGATGACTTCTAAAGTATATAGGAGTGGACTATCATGAAATTTGTAATGTACATTAAAATGCATCATCATAAAAAGTGTGTTGAAAGAAAAAAGTGAAAGTAGCAGTGCAATTCTAAGAATAATTTTCTAACATCCACTCACAAAAATATTAAATTCTTTATATTAAACACATGAAAAAGAACACAAATATATCTGTCTTTCAAGATTCATCTCAAATTCCACCTCCTTCATCAAGCATTACTGAAGAGTAGGAAGCTTGTTTACTTTTTTTATCCACTGTGTTGCTCGCTCCAAGGGCATAGAGACTTCTATCTTGATCTTTATATTTTCAGCTTGTAGCTGAGTCTGGTAAAGAATAAGAACTCAATAAATATTTGTGAATAAATAGGTGAATATTTCCACATGGTATTATAATTATATCTTTATATGTCTATGTCCCCCACCAAACATAGTGTTGTACCACTAGGAAAGAACAAAGTTTAAGAAATTTTCTTAAATCTCTCTTTCTTACTGTTCCGTGACCCTCACTAGTGCCTACCAAAGAGTCTGTGACAAAGTGTATTTGTTGTTGAATTGAATTAGGCAAAAAGATGCAATAATGGAAGCAATTTATTATTTAACAGAATGTGGAGATATCAACCAGAACCTAGTTTTTACTGCTCATGCTAGGGTTAGTGATCTCAAGATCCTCTGGAGTATATGAAGCTTCTCCCCATTTGTGGCTGCTGCTTGTTAGTTTTTCAAATTAAGATGCAGAAAGTAGGCCGGGTGTGGTGGTTCGCGCCTGTAATCCCAGCACTTTGGGAGGCTGAGGCGGGTGGATCACAAGGTCAGGAGTTTAAGACCATCCTGACCAACATGATGAAACCCCATCTCTACTAAAAATACAAAATTAGCCGGGCATGGTGGCACGTGCCTGTAATCCCAGCTGCTGGGGAGTCTGAGGCAGGAAAATCACTTGAACCTGGGAGGCGGACGTTGCTGTGAGCCGAGATCCAGCCTGGGCAACAGAGTGAGACTCCGTCTCAAAACAACAACAACAACAACAACAAAGATGCAGAAAGTCCGTTTCTTATGTAGAACCTATTGGTGACAATAAACTTGACATGTTTCTTTGAGTGTACAGTGGATATAGAAAGGACAATTTTATTTCTTCCTGCTATAGGAGCTGAATATGATGATCAGACCAGTCAAAGGGAGAAAGAAGATGATAAAGTCTTCCCTGGTGGAAGCCATACATATGTCTGGCAGGTCCTGAAAGAGAATGGTCCAATGGCCTCTGACCCACTGTGCCTTACCTACTCATATCTTTCTCATGTGGACCTGGTAAAAGACTTGAATTCAGGCCTCATTGGAGCCCTACTAGTATGTAGAGAAGGTAAGTGTATGAAAGCGTAGGATTGAGATGAAATAAGCAGAGAAGTACAAACAACTGAATCTATCTATAACAGTTAGCATTTGTGTTCCTTCACCTGAAAGAGGCTTTTTTACTCTAGCATCATGCTCATGGAAAGGAGAATAATCCAGTTTCTGAGAGAAGCAGATATGCATTCTATATAACCACAATAAACTCTAAGCTGGGATCAGGAGGAGCTGAGTTCCAGAATTAAATCTCTCTCCTCAAAGCATTGCTATTTTCCTCTTCAAATCTGTGGGCTTTATCAGTAGTGATTTCTACTGTCCTCTGCCTTTTGCAAACTTTGAGCTAGGTTCCTTGAAAACTTCATGGAGGTAAACACATCCAAGTGTGTGATCAATGGCATATAGACTGGTTCAGGTGGTTAGTTTGTCATCTGTAAACCAAAAGTATATAAAAATCTAAGAAAAGTCAGCATTTATTTATATGTTACTGAAAATTAATTAATTTGGATTGAATTAATATATTCTAAAATAATTCTAATCAAACCTGTTTTTAATTTATACCTTAGCATAAATTAGGGAAGTAAATTTTGCATAATTTGTTTTTATCCTATTTTTTATGGTGAAATCAGCTTCACTGTACCTTTTCCTTGTTCCATTTATCTTTTACTGCATAACTCCACAATTTAGTGGCTTAAAACAACAACAGTCTCTTATTATCTCTCATGGTTTCTGTGAGTCTCATGGAATTTGTCAGTGTTTTGACTTGGTGGCCTATCTAAGTGTGTCTCATGAGGCTGTAGTCAAACAGTGGCTAGAGCTGAAATCATCCCAAAGGTGACTTTATTCACATGTCTTTGACCTTGGCTTGATGGTACTCTCCACATGATCTCTCTCACATGGGTTTTACAGGGTAGCCAGACTTCTTATATGGTCCTGAGATAGCCCATTAGAAGCTGTTTCACGATTTCTAATGTAACCTTGGAAATCACTCACATAACCTACATTCTATTAGTTAGAATGCATCACTAAGACCAGTCTATAAAGGGAGACTCCACCTTTTGATGGGGAATAGGCAAAGAATTTATTAACAGGAATCACCATACTCTTTCTGAATGGTGATGATGAATGTGATTCAAAAAAAGGATGGGAGCGGGGAGTGGAGAAGATGAGAAAGGTTTGTAGTTTATAATAGTTTCAGATGAAAGTATGATTTCTCATATACTGAGTTCAGTTTCATAGTCATAATTAATGAGAAAGTGCCAAAACCACAGTGTATTATTTATGGGATGTAAAGGCTAATGGAACAATGAGATCATCAAAACATTAGTGTTTACATATGACATATAAAGAAATAAGTTAAAAACCCAAATGATTCTTTGACACAGAGTTGAACTAAAGAGTCTACAGAGGTTCTAGTTCCAGGTGAAATGGATAAACACACTCCACCCTTTATTTCCCATTGAACTTAACTATAAAACCTTGACAAAATGCAAAGCCCAGATATTTAAAAATTTCTAAAAAGCAAATAGAACAAGTATATAGAGAAAAGACACTAGAATTGAAAGTATTACCAAACTTGTGGGGGAGTATACCTTTTTCCCCACTCTAGTATTCCTTAACCTGAATTAAAACATAACTGGAGACTTCGAAGTGAGTACTATGTTGCAAAGAGAGCTCCAGGACAAACCCTCTGGGGTTTCAAGGAGTGAGAAAGGTAACTCTAAATGCTCAGAGAGCGTGGGAGGGGAAATCCCCTAGGGTTTTTGTCCTCTTTTCCACCATTCTCTCAAGCTTCAGTCCCAGGTTGCCTGTGGCAATGACAGTGGCTGGCAACAGAAACCTGCCGGAGTAAAAACTTAGGGAGGGGAACATTATTCTTCATTCAGTACAGCTACAGATCTAAGACATTGGGGGAAAAGCACATTACTTTCTCTCTGTCTTTCCCCTTCCATTGCTTGACCTTAGCTATGATGTAGTTGTGGAAATTGGAAGCTTCTGGTTAGAAAACCAAAAAAGGGAGCTCACAGAACTGGAAAGTTTATAGATGACAGAGAGAAAAGATCCCAGGAAAGTAAACCCATAAAGTTGTGCATTAACTCCTGGATTCACCCCCAACCTACACATCCAGGTATGTAGTTTCAGTGTCAGATCTGTTTTAAACCCCTTGCAGTGCCATTGAGTCCAACGCAGTGGCCAGTCTGGTGCTTGAGGGGAAATCTCAGTTTCACAGTCTTCAACATGTTCCATTAGCCTTTACGTCCCATAAATAACACACTGTGGTTTTGGCACTTTCTCATTAATTATGACTATGAAACTGAACTCAGTATATGAGAAATCATACTTTCATCTGAAACTAACGCCCACAGAATTCCTTAAAACATGTCTGATGGCTGAAAGCAAAGATAGAACATTGTGAGATAGGTTTTTTAATGTATGGTAGATACAATACATAAAAGAATCATAGCATAACAAGAGGAGGGTAAGGAAAACTTTATGGTCCATTCAACTTCATTCCAATTCAAATGGTAAAATGTTGACTCTAAGTAGATGATAGTGAAAGGTTAAGTATGTATTTTGTAATCCCTAGAGCAACCAATAAAAAATTATACCAAGAGACACAGTAAAAAGTCACAATAAACTAATTACAATGGTATATCAAAAATATTCAAATAACTCAAAAGAAGGCAAGTAAGGAGAGATGAAAATCAGAGAGAAGAAGCAGTAAAATCATAATAAAATGATAGGCTTAAATCTAAACATATCAATACTTACATTAAGTGCAAATGGCTAAAACACACCAATTAAAAACAGAGATTAGCATACTGGATATAAAAGCTTGAACCAATTATATGTTGTTTACAAGAAACTCATTTCAAAAAAATGATATAGGTAGGTTACCAGCATAAAGATGGAAAAGGATATATGATGCAAACATGAATATGAAGAAAGTTGAAGTAGTACAAATCTGTAATCACAACATTGATTTTTGCCAGGAGTGCCAAAACCATTCAATAGGGGAAAGAATAGTGTCTTCAATAAACAGTGCTGAAACAGGTGAATATCTGCATGCAAAATACTGATTGAGTATCCCTTACCTGAAATGCTTGGAACCAAGAACGTTTCAGATTTCAGATACTGGAATATTTGCACATATATAATGAGATAGCTTGGGGATGGAACTTAAGTCTGAATATGAAATTCATTTTGGATATAAATCCCTTGCCAGTTATGTGATTGGCAAATATTTTCTCCCACTCTATAGTTTGTTTTTTCATTCTTTTAATGGTGTCTTTTATAAAGCAAGAGTTATATGGACAAACATATGAAAAGATGTTCAACATCATTAACCATTAGGGAAATGCAAATTCAATCAACAGTGATGTATCTATTAGAATAGCTAAAATAATAATATAAAATTGCCAAGAATCCTGTCAAGAATTCAGAGCAACAGAAAGTTTCACAATGCACAATGGTATAGCCATTCTGGAAAACAGAATGGCAGTTTTGCTGCTTGGTAGAGAAACAGTCTCTGGCAGTTTCTTGTGAAATTAGATGTACACTATAGAGGGATAGCAGGAGGGAGTTCTTTTTGGATATTGAAATGGATCTGTATCTTGACGATGATGGGGTTTCATGAGCTTATATCTTTGTTAAAAGTTATAGACCTATACACCAAAAGAAAAAGTCAATTTCACTATAATTGAAAATTTATATAAAAGTAATTAGAATGTTTTAAGACAGCTTTATACGTATTTTAAATGTGTCTCTAAAGTTTTTAATCCAGTACTTCTGGTAAAGATGGCACAGGGTCTTCCTACTTAGCCATTTTTCCATCCTCCACCTCAACCCCAACCTCGCTGAAAACCAACAACAAAGATAGGTAAACCATAAATAGAGAAAATCGAATAGGCATGGTCAGCTGAAAAAGAAGATAAATATTTGTGGACCAGAAGCAGAACAGGAACTGTGAGTAGTAAAAGGGGTGGAAATTACAGGCCAACTGAGATCTGGGTCAGGAAGCCAGCTGCGGTAGCCAAGGAGTCAGGATGACAAGGATAAATAGTGCTCCCCACCAGAGGGACTGAGAGCCCATATCATAGAGTTGGGCTCTTCTTCACTTGAAAGAGAGCTGAGCACAGCTGCTGCTCACTCTTTGTTTAGGGCCATGGCTTTGTGGAAACTCAGAGTCCTAGAAGAGGGGAAAGCAAACCCAGTCCTAGAATAGGAACTGAACTAAGTTTTCTTGGTTCAGTGGGGGAATCTGCAATATCCCCAAGGTTTCCATTGGCCAGTATCTCCAAAATTCCATTCTAGGGTATGATTTGCTAGATAGAGAATAGTGAACACATCCTTTGCTTAATCAACCAATGATCACAAGGGACAGCAAAGATCACTATAGTTCAACAAAGTCAGATTTATTGGCTCATGGCAACAAGAGACTGTGGACACCTCCCTAAACAAAGGGAAATACTGTATAGAGTTAGTAAAGAATTTTGGGGAAGGGTGGAGGTTAGGTGATATTTAAATGAAGCAAAGTAGAGTTGTGTGTAAAGAAATAACCATGAGGTCTAGACTGTGAAGTGTTCTAAAAAGTTAACATAGACATGAAAGGTTAAGTCAAGGCACCCCTTACCTGAAGCTTGAGCTTTAAATTGAGCTGCTTCTTTGTGTCAAAGTAATTTAGATGACCTAGGAAAGAATGAGATGTTTCATTCTTGTTGCTATTAGTTCAAACATTTCTGGCAGGCTGTGAATTCAGAGAACAAACAACTCAATTGAGTAAGAAAGCAAGAGATAATCAAAGCAAATAGTTGGCATTCAGTGAGTTTATACAGTGGCAATGTGTCCTTGGGAGAAATGGTGTTGTTAACTCTGCAGTTAGCTTTATCTATGTCTCTTATCCCAGCCTGATGAGTAGCAGCACACGTACTGTTGCTTTCTTAGTCCAAGCTAATTTTTATTTCTAAGCATTAAGGGTGCGAGAGAGAGAAAGAACGGCAAAATGTCATAAACAAAAATCTTTCTACTCAAAATAAGCCTGTAAACAAAAGTTTCCAGTCAAATTTAAAAAATATATAATTCTAAGAAAGATAGCCAACAAGCTCAACAGTTAAAGCATGAAACAAGCTAGTTTGTTCCATTAAAAACTTCAGCTATCGATATACACGGTATTTATTTAAAATGTGAGTATAATTAGAAGCACTGTGGGCTATTGAAAAAAAATCATGAGTATAGATGTTTAATATGGACAATTGCTATTTTACTCAAAACTTTTAATTTACAATTGCAGAAGTATAAAAAGTTACAAGAGTAACAGAAATTATCTATAATTTCACTATTATCACACAGTGTGTGAGGGCTTGTATTTTGTAAGTGTTTTTAATTTTTTTCTTTAGTAATTCATTTTTATCATATTTTACACAAGTAGTGGTCTTCATCAAAGTTGAAATAAAAAAATTCTTTGCTCCAGATAGTTTTAGAAACACTGCTATAGGAGACCTGACATCAAAGCCAAGTTATCAAGAGACAGAAGACTACATTTGTTCTTACTGTCAAGTAACTGATGAAGAACTGTCTCCTCCTAGTGACAATTTCCTACAATGAGATTTTTTAAATAGAAGATAAATGTTCTCACTTCTTTTTCAGGGAGTCTGGCCAAGGAAAAGACACAGACCTTGCACAAATTTATACTACTTTTTGCTGTATTTGATGAAGGTTAGTGAGTCTTAATCTGAATTTTGGATTCCTGAAAGAAATCCTCTGCTACTATTAAGAGGAGGTGATTATAGAAAGATCATAAATTACATTACTGTTCAGGAATGAAGGAGATGGGGTTAAAAATGAATTCCAAGAAAACAAAACGTAACCTCAGTTCCACTGGCAGCTATGAGGTAAGAAGATAGAGGAGCTGGATAACGGACTGGCCTCATCCCCCTCATTAAGACTGTCAACAAATACTTTGGGCTCTACTTTCTAAATACTTTCTCTTATCTTCATCTATTATTAAGTGCACAACCTTTGGCAAGTTATTTAACCTCTCTGTGTCTCGGTTTCCTAAATGGAAATAATAGTACATTTTTCATAAGATTGTTGTGAGTGCTGAGTGATTTCACTTAAGTAACCTAGAGCACTGTGTGGCATAGAGTAGGCCCTCAATAGTGTTAGTACCTCCGCCTCTTCCTCCTCCTCCTAATGTAATCACTATGTAATCATAGTAACATAATATTCTTCTTGCCCCCTTATCAATTTACATTGCCATCTTCTTAATTGAGGCCCTCATGATCTGTCTCATAACTCTCAAAGGAAGCTTACTGAAGTGAGTATCTGATCTTGTCACTCTAGCCTCTACAATACTTCAGTTTGCCAGTTTCGGTGGCTCATGCCTGTAATCCCAGCACTTTAGGAGGCTGAGGTGGGCAGATTGCTTGAGCCCAGGAGTTTGAGACCAGCCTGGGCAACAGGGCGAAACCACATCTCTACAAAAGAATTAAAAAATCAGCCGGTCATGGTGGCGGGTACCTGTACTCCAGCTACTTGGGAGGCTGAGGTGGGAGGATCACTTGAGCCCAGGAGGTGAAGGTTGCAGTGAGCTGTGATTGCGCCACTGCACTCCAGCCTGGGTGATAAAGCCAGACCCTATCTCAAACAACAAAACAAATAAAATAATTCAATTTCAAGGTAAAGTGCAAAATGCATTATCTATTCTCTGGTGACATTTCCAGCCTTGTTGTGTTCCATTTCCTGCCTTATCTTCCATGTCACCCAAATATGTAATGCTTTTTCTTGCATGAGACCTCTGCATATGCAGTTTCCTCTGCCTGGAAAAATCTGTCTCCCTCTTTACACTAAGTAAGCTTCTCCTTTTTCTTTAAGTCTGACTTACTTCAGTTATCCCCTTCCTTAATTCCTTCTCCCAGGATGACCTCTAGTCTGGATTAGATGCCTGCTTATATTTCCACAGCATCTTGAGCTTATTCCTTATCATACTATATCAGTATTTTCTACTTTATTTAATATTTATCTTCTTTGATCTCATATCTTTTTCCCTTCAAGCAAAGTGAAATTTCTTCTCCTCTCTGCTCCCTGTAACACCCTACTCTCATCTTTATTATATCACTCTTTACTCTTTATTATAATTATCAGCTTCTCTGACGATTCCAGCTAGAGTGTAAGCATCTTGAAAGCAGAGGCTGTATCTTCCTCTCTATCATCAGTGTCTACAATTAGTAGTGCTCAATAAATATGTGTTTGAATGAATGAACAAATGAATGGCTGCCTCATAAAGTTTTAGCACTAGCTACCAGTCCTTCACACAAAGGGGTAACTCCAGGGAGTCACTGTTCAATAGTATTTCCAGTGCTTCAGCCCTTATCAATTTCAGAGACAGTGTTAGGGAGCTTTCAGGTTCCTGGGGTTTCATAAATATAAGCTGGGATGAAGCAATTATAACGGAGACAGGGACTGACAGACAGCCTTTTTCCTAGGACAATTTTCTTTTTTCTTTTCTTTTTTTTTTGAGATCGAGTCTCACTCTGTTGCCCAGGTTGGAGTGCAGTGGCACAATCTTGGCTCACTGCAACGTCCACCTCCCAGGTTCAAGTGATTCTCCTGCCTCAGCCTCCTGAGTAGCTGAGATTACAGGCACATGCCACCATGCCCGCCTAATTTGTGTATTTTTAGTGGGGATAGGGTTTCACCATGTTGGCCAGGCTACTCTCAAACGCCTGACCTGAAGTGATCCACCTGCCTCAGCCTCCCAGAGTGCTACGATTACAGGTGTGAGCCACCGCGCCCGGCCCCTAGGATGATTTTCATAAGCTTTCTTTTAAATAATTCAGCTAATAAAAAGAATTGAATCCTGATGCCTCAAGCTAACCAATATTCTGTCTTCTATTATTATCCATTCCCACTTATTGTCATGGACAAATGGAGGGAGAGAAAATCAGTTTGAGCAAGAGATGTCTGCCTTTACATAATTATCTTCTCCCTCCCTCACACTGACTTTGAGAGGATAAGTGCTGTGTGCCTACTTTGCTGACAAAAATGCTTAAGGTGTGAGCACACTGGGAGCAGGGAAGGAGAAAGGGGAGGCGGTCATTCATGAGACACATGCTTAGCTGACTCTATCTTTGCCTTCTCTCTCATCAGGGAAAAGTTGGCACTCAGAAACAAAGAACTCCTTGATGCAGGATAGGGATGCTGCATCTGCTCGGGCCTGGCCTAAAATGCACACAGTCAATGGTTATGTAAACAGGTCTCTGCCAGGTATGTACACACCTGCTCAACAATCCTCAGGGTCTTCCAAATTCAGCACCAGAGTTCTGTACTTCAGTTCACAAACAGCTCGGCATCTCAGAGGATATAGCCCACTGAATACTTGAAGATCTCTGGCCTCTGGGGATCTTAATGTATAGTAGGCAATTCCTCTTTTGGTCACCTGAAAATGAAGGCTTACCCATGTACATACAGCCCACAGTCAGATTTTTCTTTCCTTTTCTTAAATGTGAGTGGGCAACCAAGGATGAACAGACATTTAAAAAGAACCTAAAATATGGAAGGGATATGCAAAGATGAACAAAGAAAATAATAATCCCAGAATAAAAAAAGCTATGGCTCAGAACAGAACTCATCGGAAGCTCTTACTTCTATTTTCATAAAGATTCAAGAAGATACTGCATCAATAAAGTAACAATAAGATGCCTTCCAGTTTTAAAATAGGGGCATAGAGGCAGGCTGGCTTTACTCCCTCTCACAGAAAACCAAAACCAAACATACAGCACCAATATCTACACCAACAACAACCCAGAGCTCACATGTGAGGATGAGACAGTTCCCGGAGCCACAGAGAAGTGAAAAAACTTTGAGAATCAGACTTCCACATCCATGACTCTCCTTCCTCCTATTCTGCCCAGCACCAAGTGTATGGAAAATCTCCCCTCAACTCATGGTTTCTACACTGGAAAAAGTGACATTGAGGTGTTCAACCAGCTTCTCCACCTTCTTGGGTTCCCTGGGGGGAGATTTGTCCTTGCCTTAACCCACAGAAAACATCATGACTGTCTGAAGGCAGAAATATCCCAGAGTACAGGCAGAGACAAATGAGGGAGGAAGGACTACCATCCCCAGCCCTGGAAATTCTGCTCTATAATTTGGCCAAAGACATGCAAATTCAGAATGGCCGTGCAGCAGCACCATGCTGTAGCAGGTTTATCCTACAGGTCACCTTGGCATGAATCACTAGCTGGCCTTCCAACACTGCTATGATAATCCCTTTGGGACCTCACCCACTTGGGACAGGCAGGGCTCTGACCACTTACTGGAACACCTGTAATCCCAGCACTTGAGCTCAGCACAATAACAATAGGAGATGGCTACTACCGTTAATTTTATGCAGTTACGATTTAATACTGGATCTTTACGTTTGTTTACATTTGTCCCAACTGGCACCTTCATCACCTCCACCCTCCCCACCCCAGACTATGGTAACCACGATTCTACTCTCTATTTTCACAAGATCCACTCTTTTAGCTCCCACATGTGAGTGAGAACATGTGGTATTGCCCTGCAGTGTCACCTATGTTGATGCAAATGAAAATATTCTTTTTTATGGCCAAATAGTATTCCATTATGTATATATACCACTGAACTGTACACTTAAAAATGGTAATGATGGCAAATTACATATGTATATTTTACATCAATAAAAAGAAACTTAAAAATAAGGTAACAATAGGATTCTATGAAAAACAATCATAACAAAACGTGCTCATAAAAATTATAAACACAATGGTCAAAATAGAAACTCAATAGAAAGTACTAAGAATAGATAAAATCTTTCATAAGGTCAAACAAAATGTGGTTGAGAATATAGTTGACCCTTGAACAATGTGGGGGTTGGGGTACTAACCCCCTGCACAGTCAAAAATCCATGTATAACTTTTGACTCCCTCCAAATTCAAGTACTAATGACCTATTGTTGATCAGAAGCCTTATCAATAACATAAACAACAAATATTTTGTGTATGTATTATATGCTGTATATTTTCAATAAAGTAAGCTAGAGAAAGGAAAATGTTATTTATACTTTTCTCTGCTTCTTGGGAGTACTTCCAGCATCACTAGTGGCACTTTATACGGGTCCCAAGTATCCTTCAAAGTTTATGGAGAGATGAAATGCTTATGCAGAGATGATTAGCATCATGCAGAGTTTTCAGTGGATGCCTGCAGCACTCGAGCTCAGCACAATAACAATAGGAGATGGCTACTACCGTTAATTTTATGCAGTTGCGATTTAATACTGGATCTTTACGTTTGTTTACATTTGTCCCAACTGGGAATGGTGCCATGTATGGTTGTAAGTATGTAAGTTTTTATAAATTTCAACTTTTTATAATAGATTTTTGTATATTTTATGGTAATAAATGATAAAATAGTCTAGTATCAACATGTATATGTATATATAAGTGTGTATACATATATATATATATTTTTTTTTTTTTTTTTTTTGAGACGGAGTCTTGCTGTCGCCCAGGCTGGAGTGCAGTGGCGCAATCTCAGCTCACTGCAGGCTCTGCCCCCCGGGGTTCACGCCATTCTCCTGCCTCAGCCTCCCGAGTAGCTGGGACTACAGGCGCCCGCCACCTCGACTGGCTAATTTTTTGTATTTTTAGTAGAGACGGGGTTTCATTGTGTTAGCCAGGATGGTCTCGATCTCCTGACCTCGTGATCCACCCGCCTTGGCCTCCCAAAGTATATATATATATTTTTTGAGACGGAGTCTTGTTCTGTCACCCAGGCTGGAGTGCAGTGGCACAATCTGAGCTCACTGCAACTTCCCCCTCTTGGGTTCAAGCGATTCTCCTGCCCCAGCCTCCCAAGTAGCTGGGATTACAGGCATGTGCCACCACGCCCACCTAATTTTTGTAGTTTTAGTAGAGATGGGGTTTCACCATGTTTGCCAGGCCGGTCTTGAACTCCTGACCTCGTGATCTGCCCGCCTTGGCCTCCCAAAGTGCTGGGATTATAAGTGTGAGCCACTGCATCCGGCCATCTCCATATATTTTTTGCATTCATAACATACCTTTTTCTTAATTTTTTTGATATTTTTACCCTATGTGGTCCATCTGACAGTTTTTTCAAATTGTCATAAATTTCCAAAAAAATCTCACTATATTTATTGAAAAAAAACTGCATATAAGTGGACTCATGCAGTTCAAACCTGTATTGTTCAAGAGTCAACTGTGTGTTTTAAAGCAGATTTTAACATCAAGAAATGATAGAAAAATGATAAGAATTAAAAGAGATAAATATTCATATTAGAATTGCCCATCAGGAGCTTCTGAGTAGCTGAACGCATGGAGGTTCCTGGAGAGTGGCTGGCCCCATGCCCCTTCCCACATACCCTTCCTTATATATGCATCTCTTCCATCTGGCGTTTATAAGAAAAGGTGCTGACTGCTGAATTATAAGGACACTGTGGTCTACTAGATAAAGGTTGAGGAGAGGGGTTTGGGCTTCTATTGTCTTCTTTCCGGGCCTTCATCTCCTGCTTGTGATTAAGTAGTGCATGCTGAGTGGAGCAAAGTGGTGGAATAGGACTCTTCAGCAATAATCTCCTCACAGAAACATCAAGGTAACAACTCGATGCGTGAAATTACCTTCAGAAGAGTTAAGAAAACCTGAACCCATGAGCAAGACTGTGAAGCCCTTTTGGACTGCAAAGACGAGTAAAACCATAGTTGCACATAAAGGGGATTGGTTCTTTATGACTGAGACCCCACCCGCAAGCCACTGCAGTACCACAGGCGGAAAGTCACCATGGACCCACGGTTTTTACACCGGAAAACTCTCCCGTATGGCCTGAGTGCCCTCTGTGGATCTCCACTAATTAGTAGCAGAGCCAGCATGAGACTTGCGTCTAACCTGGGCTCAGGGCGCCCTCTCGTGCTAAAAGGAAATACAACAGCCAGTCCTTTCACTTTCTTTTTGATATGGTCTCTGTTGCCTAGGTTGGAGTGCAGTGGTGCGATCATAGATTACTGCAGTCTTGAACTCCTGGCTGGGCTCACACGGTCTTCCCACCTCAGCCTCCAGAGTGGGACTACAGGTGTGTGCCACTATGCCTGGCTAAATTTTCGGGTTTTGTGTGTGGGGTGGGGAAGATTGGGGTATTGCTATGTTGCTCAGGCTGGGTCTCGAACTCCTGACCTAAAGCAATCCTCCAGCCTCAGCCTCCTAAAGTGCTAGGTTACAAGTATGAGCCACCACACTCAGCCCCACTCAATTTCTAAACGAGCTCACTGAAATAGAGCAGTCACAAACAAACCCAGACTGTGAACATGAGAATAAATACCTAATTCTTCAATGTGTAGACAGGGATGCACATCTGCAAAGAATAAGAATAGCCTAAGAAAGACAGCCTCAACAAATGAACAAAAAATCGTGCCAGTGACTAATCCTAAAGACATGCAGGTGAATGATCTGGTAGACAAAGAATTCAAAATAGCTATTTTAAGAAAACTCAACAAACTTTTATAAAACACAGAGAAACAATTCAGAAGTTTATCAAAGAAATTTAACAGAGAAATTGAAGGAATAAAAAAAGTCAGAAATCCTGGAACTGAAAAGTATAATAAAAAATGACACATGCAATACAAGACATCAGCAACAGAATTGATCAGGCAGAAGAAAGGATCAGCAAGCTCAAAGACAGGTTATCCAAAAATACAATCAGGAGGGGCTTCAGGATGGTTGACTAGATGCATCTAGTGTTCATCCCTTCCATGGAGAGGAACCAAAGTAGCAAGTAGATAATTATACTTTGAATAGGTCATCTAAGAGAGAACACTGGAATTCAACAGAGCAGTGACAGGAAGCATTGAAAGCAAGGGAGGAGAGAGAAATAAGGCCTGTTTGCCTGGGATTGGCTGGGAGTCTGGAACAGCTTCCTAATGTGGGGAAAAGGTAAGAGACCCTTAGTGTTCCTCATTTTCACCAAGGACTCTTGCAATCCTAGCCACAGGAGAGCGCCTTATTCCTTGACAGCACAGAGACTAGCATAGGGAGTTGCCTAAAGACCGTGTGAAGGCATTGCAACAGAGAGCTCACGCTGGATTCTGCAATTCTCCCAAGCAGCTGCAGCACAGCACCATTTTGAGAACACAGCCCACACATCCTGCCCTGCTATGATGGCCGTGACTTAGGCAGGAGCCCTGAGCAGTGATCCTGCCCCACCCAGCAGAGGAGTGCCCATGCATTTTCACATATTCCAAGAACAAATTCCACTACCTACAACCACTGCTGCTGCAGGCTGCTGTGGGGCCAAAACACTAGTGAACCTTGTGCTCCCAAGCTACCTGCCTACAGCTACTCCCTGAGAAAGCAACCCCACCTTCACCAAGAGCAGGGCTATAGCACAGCTACTGCTGCACCCCAACCTGAGCATTTTGCTAGTGACCTCGGTATCACCCCACCCCTGCATAGCACAACCAGCACCTCACACACCACCAAGGAGCCTGAGGGCAGGTTCACGTAGCCCAGCTCTACCTGCCCCCAGTACCCAAGCATATCATCCAGGGGCCTAGGGATCACTTAGCCCTGTCCACCACTGGTGGCACCTGAGCACCTCCTGGGGTCTGAGGTCAGGCCCACTCAACCTGCCACTACTGCCACAGTTAGCACTCACTGCATGCACCACTTGAGGGTCTGGAGACTGGCCATGCGATCCATAGCAGCCACAACCAACGCCAGCACAGACCACTTGAGATTCAGGTTGTTTCATTGCTATGATTGCCATCAACCATGCCACTTTGCTGCCCAGGAACTTGAGAACCCACCCACCCATGTGATCCATCAATACCACTTCTGGCACCCAAGTAAACCACTTGGAGGCCCACAAATCAACCTGCCTGGACCTAAAACCAGTGCAATCATATGCCACCATGGTACACCAAAGACAAGCACACTCAGCCCACTGCTGCCACCATTGGGGCCTGAAGACAGGCCTACCTGGCATCCCACTTCTCAGAAAAACTTCACCACAGCCTCCACTAATAACCACACCCTAAGCCACTGAGAAAATCACAAATATCACTGATGCTGTTTAGAATCTTATACAGAGGCTACTACATTCACCGAGAATCAAAACCGAAGTGCTCTACCCAAGCAACACCACAGATACATCTTCAGGAAAAAGTTCTTTCCTACAAAAGCAAATTTTAAAAATTGGAAAAAGTGATTATTACACCAGATGTGCAGATATCAATGTAAGGACACAGGAAACATGAAAAATCAAGGAACTATGACACTCCAAAGGAGCACAATAATTCTGTAGCAAGAGATCCAAATAAAAAAAATTTAAGATGGGTACAAAAAAATAGAAAGAATGAATAAGACCTGCTATTTGATAGCACAACATGGTGACTATAGTTAATAATAACTTAATTGTACATTCTAAAATAAAGAGTGTAATTGGATTGTTAATAACTCAAAGGATAAGTGCTTGAGGGTATACATACCTCATTCTCCATGATGTGTTTGTTTCACATCACATGCCTGTATCAAAACATCTCATGTGTTCCATAAATATATACACCTACTATGTATCCACAAAATAAAAAAATCATAGTTTACAAGCAAAACAGTATATGTGACCATTGGTTTTTAAGTAAACTGGCCAACATCTCTTTAAAAATTTATGAAATCCTGGAAAAATAATTCCAAATTTTGATACTAAATAAACTCAGTGAGATACAAGAGAATTCTGAAAAAAATACAAAGAACACAGAAAAACAATTGAGGCTATGAAAGAGAAATTTACCCAAGAGATAGATATCAAAAAAGAACCAAACAAAAATTCTGGAACCAAAGAATTCATTGAATGAAATACAAAATAGATTTGAAAGGTTCAACAATAGACCGGACCAAGCAGAAGAGTATCAGAACTGAAATACAGATCTTTTGAAATAACCCAATCAGACAAAAATAAAGAAAAAAGAATTTTAAAAAATGAGCAAAGATTTCATGACATATTAGGCACTATAAAGTGACCAAATATTTGAATCTTCAGTGTCCCAGAAGGCAAAGAGAAAATGAAGAGGTTAGAAAGCCTATTTAATGAAATATTAGATGAAAAATTTCCAAGTCTACCAAGAGATTTAGACATCTAGATAAAGAAGGCTCAAAAATACCCAAATAAATACAATGCAAAAAGGTCTTCTCCAGGGCACATTATAGTCAAACTATCAAAAGTCAAAGAAAAAAATTTAAAAATAGCAAGAGAAAAGCATATAGTCACCTGTAAAGGAGCCGCTATCAGACTAACTGTGAATTTCTCAGCAGAAACTTTACAAGCCAGGAGAGAATGAGAGAGAGAGAAAAAAAAAAAAAAACACCTGCCAGCCAAGGATACTGTACACAGCAAAATTATCCTTCATAAATGAAAGAGAGAGAAAAATATTTTCAGACAAAAAAAAACTGAGGAAATTCATTGCAACCTGATCTGCTTTACAGGAAATGCTAAAGGGAGTTTTTCAAACTGAAAGAAAAAGGTCCTAATGTGTAACATGAAAACATCTGAAGGTATAAAACCCACAGGTAAAAGTAAGTATCCCGACAAATTCAGAATTCTCTAACATGGTAATTGTAGAACATAAATCACTTATATCCTTAGTAGGAAGATTAAAAAACAAAACAGATAAAAATAATTACCATAACCTGTTAAAGAATAAGCAATATAAAAAGATGTAAATGATGACATCAAAAACACAAAATTTGGGAGTCGATTTTTTAAAAAATTTTCTTGCAATCAAAATTAAGTTGTTATCAGTTCAAACTAACTTGTTATAACTATAAGGTATTCTGTGTAAGCCTCATGGTAATTACAAAGCAAAAATTTTTATAATAGATACACTAAAAATAAAAAGCAAGGGATTAAAACATACTGATAGAAGAATCACTTAACCACAAGGGAAGAGATTAAGAGAGGAAGAAAGGAACAAAGGATCTACACAACAACTAGAAAACAAGTAAAAATATGGCACTACCAAGTTCTTACCTATCAAAAATTACCTTGAATACAAATGGGTTAAATTCTCCAACTAAAAGACATAGAGTGTTTGGTTTTTTGTTCTTGCGATAGTTTACTGAGAATGATGATTTCCAATTTCCTCCATGTCCCTACAAAGGACATGAACTCATCATTTTTTATGGCTGCATAGTATTCCATGGTGTATATGTGCCACATTTTCTTAATCCAGTCTATCATTGTTGGACATTTGGACCGCATATTCTCACTCATAGGTGGGAATTGAACAATGAGATCACATGGACACAGGAAGGGGAATATCACACTCTGGGAACTGTTGTGGGGTGGGGGGAAGGGGGAGGGATAGCATTAGGAGATATACCTAATGCTAGATGACGAGTTAGTGGGTGCAGTGCACCAGCATGGCACATGTATACATATGTAACTAACCTGCACAATGTGCACATGTACCCTAAAACTTAAAGTATAATAAAAATAAAAATAAAAAAATTTAAAAAAAGACATAGGGTGGCTGAATGAATTTTTTTTTAAAAAAAGATCTAACTACATACTGCCTAAGAGAAAGACTTTACCTGTAAGGACACACATAGACTGAAAGCGAAGGGATAGAAACAGATATTCCATGCACATGTAAACAAAAAGAAAGCAGGAATAGCTATACTTATATCTGATAAAATAGACTTCAAGTCAAAAACTATAAAAAGAGACAAACAGCCAGACGTGGTGGCTCATGCCTGTAATTTCAGCACTTTGGGAGGCTGAGGCGGGTGGATCACCTGAAGTCAGAAGTTCGAGACCAGCCTGGCCAAATGGCGAAACTCCATCTCTACTAAAAATACAAAAATTAACCAAGCATGGTGGCAGGCGCCTGTAGTCCCAGCTACTCGGGAGGCTGAGGCAGGAGAATGGCATGAACCCGGGAGGCGGAGCTTGCAGTGAGCCGACATTGCACCGCTGCACTCCAGCCTGGGCACACAGCGAGAATCTGTCAAAAAAAAATTGACAAACAAGGCCATTATATAATAGTAAAGAAGTTAATACAACAGGAGAATGTAACAAGCATAAATATATATACACCCAACATTGGAGCACCTAAATATATTAATGTTTGATCTTTGTATTTTCTAGTCTCATTAAAAGTAAGGGCAAAAACTACAATTACTTTTGCACCAACCTAATATAAAGCAAACATTAATAGACCAAGGGGGAAATGAAGACAGCAATGAAATAATAGTAGAAAACTTTAACACCCCACTTTCACCAATGGACAGATCATCCAGACAAAATATCAACAAAGAAACACTGGACTTGAACTGCACTGTAGACCAAATAGAGCAAACAGACATTTACGGAACATTCCATCCAACAGCTACACAGTTCACATTCTTCTCAACTGCACATGGAACATTCTCCAGGAGATTATACATTAGGCCACAAAGCAAGTCTTAACTAACTTTTTTAAAATGAAGTATTTTTTTCCTGCCAATAATGGAATAAAACTATAAATCAACAACAGGAGGAACAACTGTACAAATACATGGAAATTAAAGAACATGCCCCTAAACAAACAATGGGTCAATGAAGAAATTAAAGGAGAAGTTAAAAAATTTCTTGAAACAAATGAAAATGGAAACATAACATGCCAAAACTTATGGGATACAGCAAAAGTAGTCCTTAAAGAAAAGTTTATAGCAATAAATGCCTACATCAAAAAAAAATCTCAAATAAACAACCTAATGATGCATCTCATGGAACTAGAAAAACAAGAACAAACAAAACCCCAAATTATTAGAAGAAATGAATGAATACAGATGAGAGCACAAATAATCAAAATAGAAACTAAAAAATACAAAAGATCAGTATAATGAGTTAGTTAGTTCTTTGAAAAGATAAAAAAAAGTCAATAAACTTTTAGCCAGACTAAGTGATAATAAAGAAGAAAAACAGAAATAAATCAGACATGAAAAAGGAGACATTACAACTGATAACACAGAAATACAAAGAATTATAAGAAACTACTATGAACAACTATAAGCCAACAAATTGAAAAGCCTAGAAGAAATGGATAAATTCCTGGACACATACAACCTACCAAGGTTGAATCAAGAAAAAATGGAAATTTTGAACAAATCAACAATGAGCAACAAGATTGAAGCAAAAATACAAAGTCTCCCATCAAAGAAAAGTTCAGTACCCAATGGCTTCACTGCTGAATTCTACCAAACATCTAAAGAACTAATACCAATTCTTCACAAACTATTCAAAAAATTGAAAAGGAAGAAACTCTTCCAAAATTATTTTAGGAGGATAATGATCATTATCCTGATCCCAAAACCAGACAAAAGCACAATAACAACAAACAACTACAGGCCAATATCCTCAACAAAATACTAGAAATAGAATTCAACAGCACATTAAAAGATCATTTACCATGATCAGGTGGGATTTATCCCAGTGATGTAAGGATGGTTTAACATATGCAAATTAAGAATGAAGGACAAAAATTATATTATCATTTTAATAGACACAGTAAAGGCATTTGACAAAATTCAATATCCCTTCATGATAAAAACTCTCAACAAAGTATAGAAGGAGCATACCTATATGATAAACCTACAAACAAGATGAAACTGAGTGGGGAAAAGTTGAAAGCTTTTCCTTTAAGAACTGGAATAAGACAAGCATATCCACCCTCACCACTTCTATTCAACACAGTACTGGAAGTCCTAGCCAGAGCAATTAGGCAAGACATCCAAATTGGAAAGAAGGAAGTCAAATTGTCCCTGTTTGGCCAGGCTCAATGGCTTATGCCTGTAATCCCAGAACTTTGGGAGGCCAAGGCGGGCAGATCACTTGATGTCCAGAGTTCGAGACCAGCCTGGCAATATGGTGAAACCCCATCTCTACTAAAAATACACACACACACACACACACACACACATGCTAGCCAGACATGGTGGTGCGCTCCTGTAGTCCCAGCTACTCGAGAGGCTGAAGCAGGAGAATCACTAGAACCCCAGAGGCGGAGCTTGTGGTGAGCCAAGATCGCACCACTGCACTGCAGCCTGGGCAACAGAGTGAAACACTGTCTCGAAACAAAAACAAAAACAAACAAAACAAATTGTCCCTGTTTGCAGAAGACATGATCTTATATATAGAAAACTGCCAAAACTACACCAAAAAACTGTTAGAGCTAGTAAATGAATGTAGTAAACTTGTAGTCTACAAAATCAACATACAATAATTGATAGCATGTCTATATGCCAACAGTGAACAATCTGAAAAAGCAATCAAGAAAGCAATCACGTTTACAATAGCTACAAAAAATGTCCAGAAATAAATTAACCAAGGAAGTGAAAGATCTCTATAATGAAAACTATAAAATATTGATGAAAGAAATTGAATAAGACACAAATAAATGGAAAGATATTTCATGTTCATGGATTGAAGAATTAATATTATTAAAGCCAAAGCAATCTACAGATTCAATGCAATTCCTATCAAAATTCCAATGTCATTCTTCACAGAAATAGAAAAACAATCCTAAGATTTGTGTGGAACCACAAAAAATCCCAAAGAGCCAAAGAAGTCTTGAGCAAAAAGAATAAACCTGGAGGCATCACACTACCTGATTTCAAATTATACTACAAAGTTATAGTAACCAAAACAGCATTGTGTTGACATAAAAACAGACATATAGACCAATAGAACAAAATAGAGAGCCCAGAAATACACCCAAACATTTAAAGCCAACTGATTTTCTACGAAGTTGGCAAGAATACATGATGGGTAAAGAACAGTCTTTTCAATAAATGGTGCTGGGAAAACTGGATATCCATATGCAAAAGAATGAACCTAGACCCCCTATCTCTCACCACGTATGAAAGTCAAATAGGCCAGGCACAGTGGCTCATGCCTGTAATCCCAGCACTTTGGGAGGCCAAGGCAGGCAGATCACTTGGGGTCAGGAGTTTGAGACCGGCCTGGCCAACATGGTGAAACCCCGTCTTTACTAAAAATACAAAATTAGCCAGGTGTGGTGGCACACCTGTAGTCCCAGCAACTTGGGAGGCTGAGGCAGGAGAATCACTTGAACCCCAGAGGTGGAGGCTGCAGTGAGCCTAGATCGTGCTATTGCACTCCAGCCTGGGCAACAGAGTGAGACTCTGTCTCAAAAAAAAAAAAAAAAAAAAAAAAAAGAAAGACAGAAAGAAAAGAAAAGAACAATAGATTAAGGAATTAAATTTAAGACCTGAAACTCTGAAATTATTAGAAGAAAACATAGTGTAAGCATTTCATGACATCAATTTGGGCAAGAATTTGTTAGACAAGACCTCAAAATCATGAGTAACAAAAGCAAAAATAAAGAAATTGGATTACATCAAACTAGAAAGCTTCTGCACAGCAAAGGAAACAATCAACAGAGTGAAGAGACAACCTATAGAATGGGAGAAAATATTTGCAGATTATACATCTGACAAGGGATTGATATCTAGAATATATAAGGAACTCAAACAACTCAATAGCAAAAGTCCAAATAATCCTATTAAAAATGAACAAAAGACCTGAATAGACATTTCTCCAAAAGAGACCTACAAATGGCCAACAGGTATATGAAAAATGCTCAACATCACTAACCATCAGGAAAATTAAAATCAAAACTACAATGAGATATCACTTACCCCTGTTAGAATGACTATTATAAAAAAGACAAAATAACAAGTGCTAGCAAGGATGTGGAGACAAAGAAACCCTTATACACTGTTGGTGGGAATATAAATTAGTTAAGCCATTAGAGATAATGGTATAGAGATGCCTCAAAAATTAAAAATAGATCTATCATATTTTCTAGCAATCCCACTACTGGGTATATACCAAAAAGAAATGAAATCAGCATGTTGAAGAAACATCTGCATCCCCATGTTTATGACAGCATTATTCACAATAGTCAAGATATAAAATCAACTTAAATGCCCATCAATGGATGAATGGATAAAGAAACTGTGATATAGATACACAATGGAATACTATTCATCCATTTAAAAAAGATGAAATCCTGTCATTTTCAACAACGTGGATGAGCCTGGAGGACATTATGTTAAGTGAAATAAGCCAGGCAGAGAAAGACAAATACTCCATGATCTCAGTCCTATGTACAATCTTTAAAATTTGATCTCATAGTAGTTGAGATTAGTGATTCTAGGAAGATAAGGGGGAAGTGGGAGATGGGGAGAGATTGGTCAATGGGTACAATGTTACAGGTAGATAGAAGGAATAAGTTCTGGTACTCTATTGCACAGTAGGGTGACAATAGCCAACAATAATATATTGTATATTTCAAATAGAAGAGAGGATTTTGAATGGTCTCACAACAAAGAAATGACAAACATTTAAGGTGATGGATATGATAATTACCCTGATTTGAATAATTACACAATGTATACATGTATTGAAACATCACATTGTACCCATAAATTTGTAGAATTATTTATGTGTCAATAAAAAGTAATACAGTTAAAAAAATAAAATTGCCCATTAGGATAAATAAAAAGACCCACACACAAAATTATCATTGTGGCATTTCAGAGCACAGAGAGAAGATACTTAAAGCTTCTTCTGAGAGGAACAGGACGCATACAAAAGAATGGGAATTAGACTGGCGATATAATTAAGCAATATTGTAAAAGATCTAAGGGAAAAATTATTTGGAACCTAGAATTTTTAGTCAAACTATGAATCAATTTTGGGGGAAGAAAAAAGACATTTTCATATATAGAGGGCCTTAATAGTCACTGAATGTGTACTATAGTAAAACCAGAAACTACATAAAAGAGGAATTTGGGAGATTCAGCAACCCAAGAGAATAATGAAGTATGAGGGGGATGTTTTCTCCTTAGTTCTTTTCCGTATTTTTCAATAATTTGATAATAAACATGCATAATTTTATAATTAAAAAGGAAATTAATTTTGACAACATGCAAGTTCCTGTTCTCACATACCTTATAGTGGAGGGACAGATTGTAGTCAAATAAGCATAATAATACATGCAAAATTACAAACTGAGCATTACTCTGAAGGAAAATTACATAATTCTATGTAAGCCTATAATACAGGAATCTGACCTAGACTGGGGAATCAGAGAAGGCTTCCCTAAGCAAGTACCCCTTGAACTTAGCTTTGAAACTGGGAAAATGAGGCAATGTGAGATGAAGCTGTTAGAGGTATTAGGAATCAAACCTATTGGGGCCTTCTAGTCCTTAGTAGAGAGTCTGGACTTTATTCTATGTGGAATGACAGCCTCCAGTGGGTTTTAGGCTGGCGGATACTACAATCAGATCTGGAATGCAGAAATAGTACACCAGTTTCTTTGTGGGTAAAAGTCTTAGAGGGGAGAATATGACCAACTGTAGGGAGACCTGTAAAAAAAGTTTATCAGTAGCTCAGACGAGATAATGGTAACTTGGATTAAGATAGTGGTAGTAGTAACAGTGAAAAACTAGATACATTTGAAAGCTTTTAGAGCCAAAATAGGAGGCAGCTGTGCCCTTGTTGTTACCAGTGTGGGATCTGAACACATGACTACTTGGGTTCAAATACTGAGCAAATTAATTAACCTCTCTGGGCATCCGTTTCCTCTCCTGCAAGACATGGATGATAATGGTTTCTACATTCATAGGGTTGTTATGAGGAATGAATGAATTAAAACTTGTAAAATACTTTGGACAGTGCTTGACATAAAACAAGTGCTCAATACATATTAGCTATTATTGATTATATTGCCCTGGTCAGTGTCAAACTGCATATGGGAGATGAGAATGGTAACAAGGATAACTCTCACTTGCATATTCAAATGCAGGATGCTGCCATTCACTGTTATAAAAAACTCTGGAAGAGAATGAAGTGATGAAAATTGTAAATTTGGTTTTGAACATGTGGGTTTTTTGAGATATCTAGGTGGAGATGTTGAGAAAGTGATTGGCTGTATGAGCCTGGAGTTCCAGAAGAGGTCAGCAGGGGAGACAGAAGAAGGAGCAGTCTGAGAAGTAGGAGAAAAAAACCCACAGAGATGTTGGCACAGAGGCCAAGGGAAGAGAGAGTTTTAAAAACGAATGAATGGTCAACAGGTGCAAATAAAGACTGAAAAATGTCCATTGGATTTAGCAGCATGATGGTGATTGGTGACCTTGGCAAGAGCTGTTGGTTTGATAGTAGCCCAATGTTCTTGATAAATTTGTTTACAAGTCAAGGTAGCAATAAAGTGTCTAAAGTCAATTTGTCCATTCTGTCCTAGCAAGTGTTTTCCATTTCAGATTCTCTACTTCATAGCCATAGGTGTCTTATTCCTACTTTACAGGTCTGATTGGATGCCACAGGAAATCAGTCTATTGGCATGTGATTGGAATGGGCACCACTCCTGAAGTGCACTCAATATTCCTCGAAGGTCACACATTTCTTGTGAGGAACCATCGCCAGGCGTCCTTGGAAATCTCGCCAATAACTTTCCTTACTGCTCAAACACTCTTGATGGACCTTGGACAGTTTCTACTGTTTTGTCATATCTCTTCCCACCAACATGGTAATATCTTGGATCTTTAAAATGAATATTATAAATATCCAGTCCTACTTTTAATAAAATTTACTGGACAATGTACAGGAATATAGTGTGTTGCTGAAGGGGACATTATAGAGTTACTGTATTAGACCTCAGCCAAGATCCCCTAGTTTCCAGCTTCCAGTGTAAAGTTTTTACCTTGACTATAAAAGGGCTTGAGTATTAGTAGGACTCATGGATTTTTAGTTAAATGTCTGTGATGGAGAAAAGATGGCTTATGGATGATTGAGGTGGGAAAATGAGGAGAATAGTATGCCCTTGGTTTCTCAGCCTTATCCCATTAATTACGCTCCAATATTATGGAGAGAGGAACTGCAAGTTGTAGCTGAAGAGATTTTTTTTTTTTTTGGAGAAATCTAGGGAAATGGGAAAAAAAGGCATTGTCCAGATTGCAACTGTAAGGGCTCCACTATATCATTAGTAATGCCCAGAGCAGTAAATAGCAAATATGACAGGCTATTGTAGAGCTTGACTTCAGACACCAGACAGCCAGAGGCACTCTGTAGATACCTGGCAGTAGATGAGAGACACCTGTGAAACTGAGGGCAGGTCAGGAGCTAGTGAATTTTAGAAGTAACATGGGATTGAAAGGACTATTTGGTGGGAACTTTGGAAAGGGTCAAAGGTTCTGTGTAAGCAAATTAGGACGATGGTAACTACAGTTTTAAATTATTGTTAATGTAACTTTATTTGTAACTGCTAGTTGTGCAAATTCAGATTGCATCATCATTTCACCCCAATTTTCCTTACTTTTGTATTTATTCTGCTAACTCTTAATCTTGGATCAACCTAATAACCCTCTTTCTCTACCCCTCTCGTGGCCATTGAAGGCTCTTAGTCAGTTTGTGCTGCAATAACAGTATACCACAGAATGGGTAATTTATAATGGACAGAAATTTATTGGCTCACATTTCTGGGGGCTGGGAGGTCCAATATCAAGTTGCCTTTTTCTGCGTCTTAACATGGTGGAAGGCATTATATGACAAAAGGGCAAAGAAAGGGTGAGAGAGAGCAAGAGGAGGGTGAGCTCACTCCTGTGATAACAAATCCACTCCCATGAACACTTTCCCCAGATAACTGCATTAGTCCATTCATGAGGGTGGAACGCTTATGACCTAAACACCTTTTATATGTTCACCTCTCAATACCATCACGATGATAATTAAATTTCAATATGAGTTTCGGAGGGGACAGACATTCAAACCATAGCAAGAGTTATTGGAGAAAAATGTCGGAGAGGCCTAATCTTTTATATTTAATAGCATTTCTTTCTTCCTATTACTCTCATATTAACCTTCTCCTCAGGTTCCTTGGTTGACTTAGAAAAGAGAATTGATCTTGCCATGCATCCACCATTTTCCTCCTTATGTTCTATTAGTGACCTTGTTTATTGTCTTCTGTAGTGATTAAGAATAGAAATCTCTCTTCCCCATGTGTCACATAATATTTATGGAATTTTGACAAGACCTTAGTGGACAAAATGTGTCATACTGAATGAGTAACAGGAAGTTGATGCACAAACAACATTCTTGCAGGCACAGAGGAATAGGTCATTTACTTGTATATGATCATTGTCAATCAATCATTGTCCAGTTGGACCCCGATTCAGTTTATTTTTTGTTTTGTTTTTCTCCTTTTCACAGATTCTATCCACTAATTTTAATCTTTATTTTTCAGAAAAAAATGCTTTATCTTATTGAACCTCAGACCAAACACTTTGTTTTTCGATGCAGACTGAGTTATGTTTAAGGCTACATGAACCCCAGACTAGTTGTTTGCTGCTCCTAAAACCTTCCCTGTTCCTCATAATCAAGTAAACAGGTCTCCCTTCTTAGAAGTATTTGATCTTCAAAATTGCCCTGTGGTATAAATAGGGCAGGAATTATTATTATCCATTTTACAAAGCATGAAGATGAGACTGAGAATGTTGAATACATTTGCCATAGGGTTTACAACTAGTCACAGGCAGACATGCTCTTAAAATATATATCTCCTTGATTTTAAGTTGTATCTTGTCATGGTTTTATGAACTTGGAACATGTCTTAAAGTTTATATCTACACTAACATTTTTCCCAATAAGCTGTTATTAAATCAATGATTTGTGGCAAGAAGGGATAGTGATGTGGAAAGGGGGGGTACTTAGGGGAGAGCCTGGAAGGCCTAATAAGAGAGAAAGAAGTCATAAAAGTTAAGGCAAGTGATATGGTTTGGATATTTATCTTCACTGAAATCTCATGTTGAATTGTAATTTCCAATGCTGGAGGTGGGGTCTGGTGGCAGATGTTTGGATCATGGGGGTGAATCCCTCATGGCTTGATGCTGTCTTCATGATATTTGGTCATTCAGAAGTGTGTGGCAACTTGCACTCTCTGTCTTGCTCCTGCTTTCACCATGTGACATGTCTCCTCCCCCTTCACCTACCCCCATGATTGTAAGCTTCCTGAGACCTCCCTGAAGCCAAGCAGATGCCAGCACCATGCTTCCCATATAGCCTGCAGAAACATGAGCCAATTCAATCTCTTTTCTTTATAAATTACCTAGTCTCTGGTATAGAACAGCCTAATATAGCAAGACACTCTGACATTGTTTGGTTTGTCTGACTCCAGATGGCATGGAAGCTTATGTCAAAGTAGACAGCTGTCCAGAGGAACCCCAACTACGAATGAAAAATAATGAAGAAGCGGAAGACTATGATGATGATCTTACTGATTCTGAAATGGATGTGGTCAGGTTTGATGATGACAACTCTCCTTCCTTTATCCAAATTCGCTCAGTTGCCAAGAAGCATCCTAAAACTTGGGTACATTACATTGCTGCTGAAGAGGAGGACTGGGACTATGCTCCCTTAGTCCTCGCCCCCGATGACAGGTAAGCACTTTTTGACTATTGGTACTCTCTCTTCCCCATACTCAAAAAGTTCTTACCAGTTATTCAAACCAACAAATCCTGAAGCCATGTTTAAGGTTAGGTACAGGTATGGAATCAAATGGCAAGGGTATTAACATTTGGAAACTAACATAGCTGAGCATCAGAGAAGCTTGTATTTTTCTCACTCCTTGCCTTGATTGAATCATATAAGCTGTTTTAGAGTTGGATTTGAGCCTACCTAGAATTTTTCTTCCCAACCTCTCATCTTTTTTTCTCTTATACAGAAGTTATAAAAGTCAATATTTGAACAATGGCCCTCAGCGGATTGGTAGGAAGTACAAAAAAGTCCGATTTATGGCATACACAGATGAAACCTTTAAGACTCGTGAAGCTATTCAGCATGAATCAGGAATCTTGGGACCTTTACTTTATGGGGAAGTTGGAGACACACTGTTGGTAAGTTGAAGAAAAGATTTAAGGTCAGGTAAGAAGAAAAAGTCTGGAGAGTTTTGAGTTTCTAAAATACCTCATAATTCAGCCTTGTCTCCAATGGACATGATCTTTTAAAAGCTATAAATGTTACACAAATAATAGCTGATTGTATGTATTTAAAGTTTGAGTATATAGAATAAAAATTTAATGTCACCCACTAAACTCGACACTCCTTTGAAATACTGCTTAGACTTTGATACATATCCTTCCAGATCTTTCTCCATTAATTATGTCATATAGGAGTCAGCAGACTATGGCCTGTGAACCAAATTTGGCTTGTGGCCTGCTTTTGAACAGTCCATGAGCTTAGATGAGATTTTACATTTTTAAAATATTGCAAAGAAAAGAAAGGAGGATGGGAGGAAGGGGAGGAGAAGGCGGAGGAGCAAGAGAATATGTGACAGAGGCTAGATAGGGCTCACAAATTTTAGAGTACTTACTATCCAGCCTTTTCCAAAAAATGCTTGCTTGCTCCTGATCTAGGATATTAAGAATGAGTATGGTGTAAGTAACAGAATACTCAATGGACAGTGGTTTAAATAAATAAGGGTTTATTTTCTTCACAAGAAATTTGAAGATTGGTCGTTGGTTCCATAAATTCAGCCGCTGAAGAATGTCATGAAGAACACTGGTTTTTAGATATGGAGTTTTGTTAGATACTGCCAAACTGACTTTCAGCAATTTTGTACCAATTTATATCCCCTACCATAAGTATATGACTGCCCTTTTCCCCACACCATTGCCAACAACATATATTATAAACCTTCAGAAAATTTTCCAATTTGATGAGCAAAATGTTTATATGTTGTCTTCATTTGCATTTCCCTGGTTAGTGGTCAAATTGTATATTGTTTCATGTTTGTTGGCTATTTGTATAACTCCCTCTGTGAATTGCCTGCTTGTAAATTTTGTCCAGTTTTCTATTTGGTCAGTCATCTTTTGCTTATGTATTTGTAAAAGGTCTTTATAGATTATGGATATTGACACATTGTTATTTATCTTTCAAATGTTTTCCTCACATTGTCACTTGTACTTTAACTCCTTTATGATATTTTTTGTCCTTCAAAGATTTTTCATCTTTATATAGTCAAAACCTCCTATCTTTTATCAATCTTTTCATTTATATGTCTCTGGATCTTTTTCACTTATGTTTTCTGCCTGAGAATGTCTTTGCCACCCCCAAGACACTACAAAAATAGTCTATATTTTATTCTCTTACTTGTATAGCTTTATTTTTACAGTGAGCAATCTAATTGCCCTGGAAGTTACTTTTGAATGTAGTGCATAATTCAAATAGAAATTTTCCCAAATGGCAGCTGACACAACCAATCCTTTTTTCATTAATTTGAAAATGTCTTCTTTATCATATACTAAATTGCTAAAATCTGGGATTTTTAATTCTCCTTAACTAATCTGTTACCACCCTGTTTTAATGACTTCAACTTTGTGATATGTTTGATATCTGTATGACATCTTCTTTCATTGTACTTCTTCAAAATTTTTATTAGCTATTATTGTACAATTTTTCTTCATAAATTTTGTGTACGTATTTTTTCTATTTTTCATTTTTTGAAGATTGTATAATTTTATTTTTTATTCATTAATTTTTAAAATGCATAATGACACAATAATTTTACATATTTATAGGGTACTTTTTGTGTATTTTGAGTTACTTTTACTGGCTAATTTAAAAATAGATAAACAAGAGCATGCAATAAAATGTAAATTTTCCTCCCTCTTGGACTTCCAACCCCATAGTCTGACAGACAGTCATTGCTGTGGGTTTGTATACTCCCCTCCAGAAGTAGTGCATACATGTACAAATGTGTGTGTGTATGTGTGTGTGTGTGTGCATTTCACACAAAAACAAGAGCAGTGTAAATTGGTCTGTACCTTGATTTTTAAAAGGTAACAATATATTTTGAATTAGCCAGGCATGGTGGCACATGCCTGTAGTCCCAGCTACTCTGGAGGCTGAGGCAGGAGAATCGCTCGAATCTGGGAGGCGGAGGTTGCAGTGAGCTGAGATCGCACCACTGCACTCCACCCTGGGCAACAGAGTGAGACTCTGTCTCAAAAAAAAAAAAAGTAACAATATATTTTGGATATCATTTCATGTCAACATATATAGATCTACCCCATTCTTTGATTTATTCAGGTTATACTCTGGATACCATGCTGAATCCTACACTTAAACATTACCTCAAAATGGATCAAAGATAAAATGTAAGAGCTAAAACTACAAAATTATAAGAAAACAACAGGATAAATCTTTGTGATCTTGAATTAGACAATAGTTTATTGGATAGGACACCAAAACCAACAAGCAACAAAAGAAAAACCATTTGACCCAGCCATCCCATTACTAGGTATATACCCAAAGGAATATAAATCATGCTGCTATAAAGACACATGCACACGTATGTTTATTGCGGCACTACTCACAATAGCAAAGACTTGGAACCAACCCAAATATCCAACAATGATAGACTGATTAAGAAAATGTGGCACATATACACCATGGAATACTATGCAGCCATAAAAAATGTCCCCGTTTGCAGATGACATGATTGTATATCTAGAAAACACCATTGTCTCAGCCCAAAATCTCCTTAAGCTGATAAGCAACTTCAGCAAAGTCTCAGGATACAAAATCAATGTGCAAAAATCACAAACATTCTTATACACCAATAACAGACAGAGAGCCAAATCATGAGTGAACTCCCATTCACAATTGCTTCAAAGAGAATAAAATACCTAGGAATCCAACTTACAAGGGATATGAAGGACCTCTTCAAGGAGACCTACAAACCACTGCTCAACGAAATAAAAGAGGACACAAACAAATGGAAGAACATTCCATGCTCATGGATAGGAAGAATGACTGGGTTTTAAGACAAGAGCAGAAGTGGAAGTTGCATTTTTATCCTCATATCACACACCTCAGATCTGGAGGTGGGATTGATATTTTCAGGGTTCTTCGCTGCAGCTTCCATGTTATTGCTCTTCCATTCTCTCTCTCTCTCTCTCTCTCTCTCTCGTCTCTGTCTCTCTCTCTCTCTCTTGAGATAGGGTCTCATTCTGTCACCCAGGCTGGAGTGCTGTGGTGTGATCACAGCTCACTACTGCAGCCTCAACTTCCTGGGCTGAAGTGATCCTCCCACCTCAGCCTCCCAAGTAGCTGGTACTATAGGCATGCACCACCACGCCTAGCTAATTTTTTTATTTTTTGTAGAGATGAGGTCTCACTGTGTTACCCAGGCTGGTCTTGAAGTCCTGGGCTCAAACGATCCTCCTGCCTCAGCCTCCCAAAGTGCTGGCATGAGCCACTGCACCTAGGCCTTTGTTTTCTTTTAAAGCTGGTGCAATCAGGCAATACCACCTGCTACCCTTGCTTAATACTGTAATCAACTGTCCTCTTGGTCATGCCTGCTCATGCACTGAAGATTTTATCTCCTGAAACACTGTCTCTTTCTCTATTATCAGTGAATTTAATGCCCAAATAGTAATAAAGGCTGAGAGGAAGCAGTGTCCTCACCAGGCATCTAAATTTCAATTAGTGTGAGAAGGTGCAGAGAATACTTCCTGAAGCAATTGAAACAATTTTTAAAGAAGTGGAAAGGGGCCTTTAGAGAGAAACCTAAGTACTGTCAGCCCTCTACATTGTCAACTGAAGAATCCTAAGTTTGTAAATTTGGAGTGGAAAGGGTTGCAGGCTGGGAAGTGTAGCCTCTGGCAGCAAATGGAAGCAAGCACTTTGAAGAAGGAAGGATGAGATAAGAATTTATGCTGAATGAGTTGGCTAAGTATACATATTTAACAGGTTCCAGGAGGAGCTGTGAATATTTATGATGGGGCACCTGCAACCACACATGTTACATACATTCCATGTTCACTTTGGGGTGGAGACTTAACATTTAGATGCATGAAAATTAGGCTGTATATGTCAAAAGATGAAACAGAGGACACAGAGGCAGCCTCTGTAAACTGGCCAGAGCCAGTCCATGGTCAGTGGTCTCTCATCAGGAAGCAATGCTTCTCGGTTGTTATGATAAAACTGCACAAAGGGAGGGGAATCCACCACGTCTTTAGAAAGGACTGGTTTATGTTTAACCCTTAAGAAAGAAAGTCTAACGGCAGATTAGGGAGGGAGGGAATGTAACAAGGCATGCCCGATCTCCCATCCCATCATGGTCAGAAACTCAGTTTTTAAGCCATCTCTGGGGTCTCCTTGGCCGAGAAAGGGGTCTCTTCAGTCGTTTGGGGATGCTTAAGATTTTATTTTTATTTTTCAGTATCACTGGATTTCTAGTCTCATATTCAAACAACCATTGATTGAAAGTATTCAAAAAACAACCCCAAAACAATAAAAGATAATAATACAACAATAAACAATAATACAAAGAAACAATACGGTAAAACAACTATTTACATAGCATTTATGTTATATTATGTACTGTAAGAAATCTAGAGACGAGTTAAAGTACATGAGAGGATGTGCATATGTTATATGCAAATACTACATCATTTTGAGTAAGAGACTTGAGCATCACAGATTGTGGTATCTGCAGGGGTCCTGGAACCAATCCTCCATGCATGCCAAGGAACAATTTCATGAAAAGACCAAATATTTTGAGTTTTATCTAGCCTCAAATTACTATAATGTAGATAGAGGCCACTTTTATTTATCTGGAGTTAGACCACAGTTTTCTTGTTGATCCTAGTCGTTTTAGGATTTGATCTTAGATCTCGCTTATACTTTCAGATTATATTTAAGAATCAAGCAAGCAGACCATATAACATCTACCCTCACGGAATCACTGATGTCCGTCCTTTGTATTCAAGGAGATTACCAAAAGGTAAATATTCCCTCGATTTATAGCTCTTTTTTACCTGTAGATACAGATGAGATAAATATCATCAATAACAACTAAAATTATGTTGGTCCTTTCTCCAGCTGTTGGCCGGACCTCAAGCTCCAGTCTAAAGTTATAAAAATCAATTATAGGAATCCTCAGGTGATGTTTCATGTAAATTCGTGAAGAGTCGCCTGACATGTTTTTCCTATTACCTAGCGGTGATGTTCAAATATTCCACAGCCAATTAGATTCCACTGCAATTGGTTCCACTGCAACTACTGTAAATGCCCTAAAATCTTGAAGCTGGTTCTTCTGGCACTTAAGATAATTTTTTTTTCTGAGTACGGTTTTCAGCTACATTCCACACTTTTGGTATCTAGTGTGGTATTCCACACTTTGGGTAACTAGTTTGATATTTTCAGGATTCTTTGCTGCAGCTTCCATGTTATTGCTCTTCCTTGCTCTCTCTCTCTCTCTCTCTCAACAGGGTTTCACTCTCACTTTTGGTATCTAGTTTGATATTTTCAGGGTTCTTCGCATATTCATTTCTAAATAGTTCACAACTCCAGTTTTTATTTACTATATTGTTTGCTGTTTAAAGATTTATTTTTTCTTTTAGTAGATTGGATGTTATGTATATTCTTTCTATTATTTAATTTTGGATGAATATTTATCAAAATAATAGATGTGTATGCTTAAAACTACAAAAGGGCTGCCTCCCTAGAGGCATCCATTTTTAAGAATTTCTGTTTTTGATTTTTGGTGGTTATCTCTACATCTCTAAAAAGTTACTTATACTGCTAACTCTTTGTTTTTCAACTTTAGACATTATATACTTACTTTGTTTTGTGCTTTTTTCCATTCAAGTTGTTTCAGTTTTATCAGTGTTTTCAGTTGGATTGGCTATCATTAGAACTTTAAAAATATACTAAACATCAACTTTTAGTAAGATATTTTCCAATCATGGATTGAAAATATCTTTTGACTCCATACTTCATAAATTAAGGATATTAAAAACTGTACCCCTCACTTTTCCTTTCCCCAAACCTTTCTTTTCTCTACTGCTGCTAGCCATTCCTTTACTTTTACAAAACTAAACTTGATAACATTTACATTTTGTGCTGTAATTTGAAATAACTCTTCCTTGCTTTGTCTATATATTTTCTCTAAAGCTTAAAAAATTAAAAAACAGCATTTGTATTATTTTAGTATTTTAGCAAGTTTCTTTTCATAAATGTTAACTGCAGAACTGGGTAATATGCTATGATTGCTCTCTTTTCTACAGCTCAAGTGATTTTACTATTAAGATAAAATAATATGTGGAAGGAAAAAAGTTGATCTCATAGAAGTAGAGATAAAATAGTGGTTACTAGAGGCTAAAGAGGGGAAGGGGAGGGGGAAATAGGGAGACGTTGGTTAATGGATGCAAAATTCCAGCTAGATAGGAGGCATAAGTCCTAATGTTCTATAGCACTGTAGGGTGACTGTAGTCAACAATGACATCTATTTTCAAATAGCTAGATGAGAGGATTTGGAATGTTCCCAACACAAAGGTGTATCCTGAAGTAAGACTTTGTTTTCTTTTATTCGGAAAAGAAATGTAGGCTTCTTCAACCCTATTTCTTAGGCCTTTCAGCTTCTTAATCATTCTATGTATTGCTTGCTATCCAAATCTTTTATTTTTTTTTTGAGACAGCGTCTCGCTCTGTCACCCAGGCTGGAGTACAGTGGCACGATCTTGGCTCACTGCAACCTCTGCCTCCCAGGCTCAGGCTATCCTCCCACTTCAGCCTCCTGAGTAGTTGGGACCACAGACGCACACTACCATGCCCAGCTAATTTTTTTTATTATTTTTATTTTTTGTAGAAATGGGGTGTTAACTTGTTGCCCAGACTGGTGTCGAACTCCTGAGCTCAAGCGATCTGCCTGCCTCAGCCTCCCAAAGTGCTGGAACCAAATCTTTTTCTTCTTAAAGACATTCTTGTAGTGAATAGCATTAACTACTTTTCCCTTGTACATTTCTATTTTTTGATTTCTTCTTTTGTTTTTCTGGAAGTATATTCTCAAGTAACTTCTAAATATGTGGTACATAGAGGGTGAACTTTCTGAATCCTTCAGTATCACATGATGGGCAGACAGACTGGTTATAAAAATTTTCCCGCTGGGTGCGGTGGCTCACGCCTGTAATCCCAGCACTTTGGGAGGCCGAGGCGGGCAGATCACTTGAGGTCAGGAGTTCAAGACCAGCTTGGCCAACATGGTGAAAACCCATCTCTACTAAAAATACAAAAAAAATAGCCGGGCATTGTGGCGTGTGCCTGTAATCCCAGCTACTCAGGAGGCTGAGGCAGGAGAATTGCTTGAAACTGGGAGGTGAAGGTTGCAGTGAGCCAAGATCACCCCACTGCACTCCAGCCTGGGCAACAGAGCAAGACTGCATCTCAAAAAAAATTCCTTCCCCTGTTTTCTAATATTCATTATTGCCGATAAGAATTCTTTATTTGCATTTCTTTATGGAAGAATGGCATAGTGACAGAGTTCTGGGGAGATTTTGAATGTGTGTCCCGAAATTTGGAGGCATACGTGGATAGTTACTGGTAACCTGCTTTTCCATGGAGAATTTTGAAGGCTGTAATGCCCATAATAGTGGGCAAGAAGAGAGGGCAAGAGTGGAGCAGTTTACCTTCCTGCTGTTTGACATGAGTTTATTCTGTAACAAGTGAATACTGTTGAAAGTAGCTGGGCTTTATCCCTTTTGAAGATATTCTACCCAAGAAGGCAGTTAGGCAGGCTGAGGGGATAGCAGAACCAATAGAGTCTTGGATATATCACTGGAAGTAAGAAGAGCTGATGGGGAGAGGAGAGTTGCAGAAGGATAGCTGAAAGAAACATCTCTCATGTCATGGAACTATGTAATGCTGAGGTCCCCATGGTAACTCTAAAGAAACCATACATGTGTCCTATGAAAAGACCAGCATTTGGGCACCTCCCACACAGAGAACATTGATGACCAAATAGTGTTGTCAAAGATAGAGCAGCAGGACCTGTTAAACAAGAGTCTGTTTGCCCTTTCTTCTATTACCTACCCTCCCTCACCCCCAGCTCCTGGAAAAGGGAAGAGAAGGCTCAGAAATATTGAAAGAACATACTACACCATTCCCTTTCTTTCTTTCTTTCTTTTTTTTTTTTTTTTGGAGACAGAGTCTCGCTCTATCCCCCAGGCTGGAGTGCATTGGCATGATATCGGCTCAACCTCTGCCTCCCAGGTTCAAGCAATTCTCATGCCTCAGCCTCCCAAGTAGCTGGGATTACAAGTGCCTGCCACCACACCTGGCTAATTTTTGTATTTTTAGTAGAGATGGCGTTTCACCATGTTGACCAGGCTGGTCTCGAACTCCTCACCTCAACACCATTCCCTTTCTATGGATCCTCTAACCATAGGTCAGGCATAACTTACTGAGGTGAGGAAGAGCTTAGAATGAATATAAAATTAAAATTTTGATTTAGATTGTATCTTCAGGTATGAAACATACCCAGAATGAGACTTAATTACTAAAATCAGTTCTTGTCCTGAGGACCCATTACCCTGAGGGCAGATCTCAGTTCTTGCTCCCTTTCCTCACAGAAGTCAGAGACTACACCTTAAAACTCCAATGCCAAGCTCTTTGGCATATATTCAGGCCTGACACTTTCACAGTCAACCGGATAATCAATTACAGCTTTTTACTTTTTAAAAAAATTGTTTGAATCTTAAAATTATAATAGGTGCGACTTTAGCTTCCACTTGCTCAGAAACTTCATATGTACATACAGATTTGTAGAACCCTTGCAACAACAACATGATTATCAATATGTGGCTTGTTGTACTCTAATTGAGCTATTTATGGTTTTGCTTGTGGGTAGGTGTAAAACATTTGAAGGATTTTCCAATTCTGCCAGGAGAAATATTCAAATATAAATGGACAGTGACTGTAGAAGATGGGCCAACTAAATCAGATCCTCGGTGCCTGACCCGCTATTACTCTAGTTTCGTTAATATGGAGAGAGATCTAGCTTCAGGACTCATTGGCCCTCTCCTCATCTGCTACAAAGAATCTGTAGATCAAAGAGGAAACCAGGTGAGTTCTTGCCTTTCCAAGTGCTGGGTTTCATTCTCAGTGTATGTCCCCTTATAACCTGAAGAAAATATAATGGTTTGCAATATAGGTCAGTAAAAGAAATGAGCTTAGCTTTTACTAAATTTGAGTTTCACGTAGTAAACGTGCCTGCTGGATGGATAGGCCATAGAATGTAGGCCCTAGATTTTTCCTATAGTACTCATTCCCAGTCTGGGATTTAGCTCTCTCTAGCTGATCCTCCCCATTTTTATATGTCCAATTACCACCTATTTTCAGATGACCCACAGATTTATATCTACAGCCTAGATTTCTTCCATGGACATCTCATTATGGGTGACTCAAAAGTACCTCAAAATTAACATGTCTGCAGCATGTAGCACTGTTGCAGGAAGTCAGGGACCCCGAACAGAGGGACTGGCTGAAGCCACGGCAGAAGAACATAAATTGTGAAGATTTCGTGGACATTTATTAGTTCCCCAAATTAATACTTTTATAATTTCTTACGCCTGTCTTTACTGCGATCTCTGAACATAAATTGTGAAGATTTCATGGACATTTATCACTTCCCCAACCAATACTCTTATAATTTCCTATGCCTGTCTTTACTTTAATCTCTTAATCCTGTCATCTTCATAAGCTGAGGATGTATGTTGCCTCAAGACCCTGTGATGATTGCGTTATCTGCACAAATTGTTTGTAAAGCTTGTGTGTTTGAACAATATGAAATCTGGGCACCTTGAAAAGAACAGGATAACAGCGATTTCCAGGGAACAAGGGAGATAACCATAAAGTCTGACTGCCTGCAGGGCCAGGCAGAACAGAGTCATATTTCTCTTCTTGCAAAAGCGAATAGGAGAAATATCACTGAATTCTTTTTCTCAGCAAGGAACAGCCCTGGGAAAAGAATGCATTCCCAGGGGGAGGCCTCTAAAATGGCCGCTCTGGGAGTGTTTATCTTATGCAGTTGAAGATAAGGGATAAAATATGCCCTGGTCTCCTGCAGTGCCCCCAGGCTTGCTAGGATTAGGAAATTCCAGCCTGGTGAATTCTAGTCAGACCAGTTCTCTGCTCTTGAACCCTGTTTCCTGTTAAGATGTTTATCAATGACAATGCATGCACAGCAGGACATGGAACCTCATTAGTAATTCTAATTTCGCCCTACCTTGTGATCTTGCTCTGTCCCTATTTGCCTTGTGATATTTTATTGCCTTTGAATCATGTGATCTTTGTGACCCACACCCTATTCGTACACTCCCTCCCCTTTGAAAATCACTAATAAAAACTTGCTGGTTTTGCGGCTTGGGGGCATCACAGAACCTGCCGACATGTGATGTCACCCCTGGAGACCCAGCTGTAAAATTTCTCTCTTTTGTACTCTTTCTCTTTATTTCCCAGACCGGCCGACACTTAGGTAAAATAGAAAAGAACCTATGTTGAAATATTGGGGGCTAGTTCCCACAATATAGCACAGTGCATCTCACTTAGTAAGAGCTTAATAGGCTACGTGCGGTGGCTCACGCCTGTAATCTCAGCACTTTGGGAGGCCGAGACAGGAGGATTGCTTGAGCTCAGGATTTCAAGACCATCCTGGGCAAAATAGTAAGACCTTGTCTACAAAAAAAAAAAAAAAAAAAAAAAATTAGCTGGGCATGGTGGTGTGTGCCTGTAGTCCCACCTACTCAGGAGGCTGAGGTGGGAAGATAGCTTGAGCCCAGGAGGTCGAGGCTGCAGTGAGCCTGGATGACAAAGCGACACCCTGTCTCAAAAAAAAAAAAAAAAAAAAAAAAAAAAGCTTAATAAATACTTTTGGGCAAAACATAGGGAAAGATATAAAATATTTCAAAATATGGCTAGAATTTGGACCATTTCTACTGCTTTAAAAAATAAAGCTAAATTCTCTGAACAAGAAAAGCTTAGTTCTTCACAAAAACTCATTGCTCGGCCCCAGAATAACTCAGTGCCATATTGCTGAGGCTTGACTACATGTCCATTTGATTATATTTATGATACATAAGATCCCTACTAGTCTGAAAACATTTCATATGTTTAGAGAGTAAAGTATATGAACTTTGGTGCCAATAAAACACATGGCACATAAACTCAGAGAAGTATAAATTTTGCCAAGTACTTGTCCTGACCGATTTTTCCTAACTATAGTTTTTTCGTCACTTTTGGGAAGAGAACTGAAATATTATTCTATATTCTCCAATCTCCTCTCTTCAGTATTTTGGTTTATATAGCTATAGGTTATAAAAAATGAGGTTTATACATATTAGTGAGGTTTACATATGAAATCTTAGCAGATCCAATTAGCAAGCGACTAATTCATAAATCTGGTTCATATACAAAATGCTCTTCTGAAAAAAATTTGAATGTTTTAAACAGAAAATTTAAGGTATTAGTGTTGTTTGACATTTTTGTGGTTCACCTTATCTTTCTTATTTGATTTCTGTTTTTCTATTTTTAATTTTTTATAGCCTTGTGGAAGGTCAGTTGCTAGATGGAAGTTTAGGAAAGTCAGTATCTCATTTGACTTAACTAACTTAAGAAAGGCACTGAATAACCACTTGGTTCTTTAAGGAGTTAAATCTTCTAATCTGAACATGAAGAGAATAAGGCTACAGACTGTACCAAATAAATCAGCTAGCATATGGCCTTGGGTGCAGAAAAAACTAAGTTCAGTGGGATCAGTCACCCTCTTGTCCTGGGGACACATTTGTTGTAAGCATATACTCACTGCTCATAGCACCCACCCTCAACTCCCAAGCCCTGGTACATGCCTAAGAGGAAATGGAATTAAACCAATGGATTAGATATATCACATGCATGCCATCGCTTTCATCATAGACTGCTAGCTCCTACCTGACAACATCAGTAGCATTTCTTTACCCCTTTCAATATATGTAATTAACAGATAATGTCAGACAAGAGGAATGTCATCCTGTTTTCTGTATTTGATGAGAACCGAAGCTGGTACCTCACAGAGAATATACAACGCTTTCTCCCCAATCCAGCTGGAGTGCAGCTTGAGGATCCAGAGTTCCAAGCCTCCAACATCATGCACAGTGAGTAAAGCAGCACTTAAGTCCAGTGGGTGGTGAATAAAGAAAAATTGATGTAATCAAAGTGATGTCCAGATAATGAATGAATTGTATGTGCACATAAATTTAACAATTATGTTACCTATAAATGTATAATTTTTACTCAAACACACGTGATCATATAACCCATATTTTAAAAATCCAGTCACCATTTTTTCCTTTCAATATTTACTTGATTTCCCTCTCCCTTTTAATTCCCTATCTCCTTCTATATTACATCTTTTCACCAACCATTCCATGCCCAGGTAACATATTTTAAGACATATTTTCTCTATAATTATATAATCATATATAAACACATACATACATTGTATTAGTCTTCTAGTGCTGCCATAACAAAGTACTGCAGACTGGGTGGCTTAACCAGCAGATATCTATTGTCTTACAACTCTGGAGGCTTGAGATCAGGATGTGGGCAACGTTGGTTTCTTCTGAGGCTTCTCTCCTTGTCTTGTAGATGGCTTTCTCCCTTGTCTTCACATGGTTTCTCCTTTATATATCTTTGTCCTAATCTCCTCTTCTAATAAAGATACCAGTATTGTTGGGCTAGGGCCCACCGTAATGACCTTATTTTAACTAACTACCTATTTAAAAACACTATCTCCAGGTATAGTCACATGCTGAGGTACTGGGGTTTAGGACTGCAAGGTATAAATTTGGGATGGGGGAACACAATTCAGCCCATTGCATACATACACATGTGTATATATTTATATATACCACAAATCTGAATGGTCAAAAATATGGTAAAAAATTCCAATTGCACTATCCTACAGGGAAATGCGAAATAGAATAACAATAGGATAGCACTTTATACCCATCAAACTGCCAAAATTATAATTACTAGTGGGCTTGTGGATAAAAGAGTGTTCTCATGCTATATTAGTGGATAAGTAGTATAGTCTTTTCAAAACCAATATATGCCTTTTGAAATTCTGATTATTAAGATGTTTAAGATGGAGTGAGCCACATTTCCCTGTGTGTCCCACTGGATGCAACTAAAAATCCTGAACAGGCCGGGCACAGTGGCTCACGCCTGTAATCCCAGCACTTTGGGAGGCCGAGGCAGGCGGATCACGAGGTCAGGAGATCGAGACCATCCTGGCTAACATAGTGAAACCCCGTCTCTACTAAAAATACAAAAAATTAGCCGGGCATGGTGGCGGCCGCCTGTAGTCCCAGCTACTCAGGAGGCTGAGGCAGGAGAATGGCGTGAACCCGGAAGGCGGAGACTGCAGTGAGCCAAGATCGTGCCACTGCACTCCAGGCCGGCGACAGAGTGAGACTCCGTTTCAAAAAAAAAAAAAAAAAATCCTGAACGAAATGCATGGGAACCTTGAAAAGTTATAATGTGAGTTATACTCACCTACCAGAATGTGGCATATGTTACAATTCTATGCCCCTCCTCTCAAAGCTTTAGCCCTTTAACTTTGGGTTGAGCCTCATATTTAGCTTGAATTTCTAGTAATAGTGATATATTATTCTCCAGAGTTAAAGTCCTTTACTATCCATTATTCTAAAAATTTTAAGGTTGTTTAGTCCTTTGAGTTGCATTTTTATTTTTTACATAGTTCAGGGTATTGCTTTCCTTCTGAAGGATTCAGATTTCACATTTGTGCAAGAGTCTAATGCTTAGTATTTAATTCTAGTGGCACAGAGCTTTTTCTTTTCTCCCTCTTCTCTCCAGCCTCATGGCTTTGGTTTAGAATTCCTTCAGCCTGATAGAATATTGTATTTTATAATTTCCTTATTGTGCTATTTACTAGATATTTGTTCTTCTATTTTTTTCTATTCATAATTTCTCCCTTTCCCACCACATCTTTTTCCAAGTAGGATGTGCACTTGCCACAGTATCTGGACAGTTAAACTGTCTCATTTTCTTGGAGACGGTGATGAAAACTAGAGAGATATAGTGACATAAGCAGAGCCAGAAAACAATTTCACTGAAGATGATATATATTTTTTTTCCTCTGGGATTTCTAATATAGCTTTTGGTGGAGATAAGAGTCTGGAATTGAGAAAGAAGAGATTGGAATTGAGAAAAAGAGTCTGAGAAAGCACAGGGAGAGACACAAAGGCAGAGACCAAGAGACACAGGGGAAGGATCTTCAGAGGAAGAGTCCAGGGAGAAAGATGCTAAGACAGAGGGATAAGAAAAGAAGAAAAAAAAGGACCAGGAGGAGAGAGACCCAAACCATAAATCACTCCTATTTCCATTAGCAGTAAAATTGATAATCTATTTTCATACAATGAAATACCATGTGACAATGAAGATTCACAAAAATAAAGCTATACACAACAATATGAATAAGTATCACAAAGACAATTTTTAGTAAAATGGTAAGTGTCAAAAGAATATATACAGTATTATATTATTTACATAAAGTTCAAAAATGGGCAAAATTAACTTATATAGTTTAGGGATACAGAGGAAGAAAAGTATAAAGGTTAGTAAGGACATGATTATAATAAAAGACAAGATAGTGGCTACCTCTTAGAAAGAGTTCATTTGAGAATAAACACATGTGTTTTGTGGGGATAGCAGCAATATTGTATTTCATGACCTAGATGTTTGTTTTATAATTTTGTGTTTTAAAAAATTGTAGGATTTATGATTTATTTCGTAGATGGATCCTACAAATGATAGGGAAATTGCAGTAGGAATGAAGAGGAAGGAACATGTACAGGATTTGTTTAGAAGATAGAAGGCACATGATTTTGTAAATAATTAGCTATGTTTGGTAAAGGACTAAGAGGATTCAAAGATGATTACCAAATTTCTGATATGGGTAACTAGAAGAAGAGTGAGACAAAATGGAAGAAAGTGTATTTAAAGAAATGATAGCAAAAACTTTCCAAATCTGGAGAAAGATGTAAATATCCACGTACAAGAAGCTCAAAGATCTCTAGTCAGATTAGATTCAAACAAGACTATATGAAGACACGTTACAATCAAACTGTCAAATATCAAAGACAAAGAGAGAATCCTGAAAGCAACAACAAAAAAGAAGCAAACCACATACAAGGAAATTCCAATAAGGCAGAAACTTTACAGGTCAGAAGAGGGTGGGATGATATATTCCGAGTACTGGGAAAACTTTACCTAGAAAATGTTTCCTTCAGAAATGCAGAGAGATAAAGACTTTGCCACACAATTCCAGTTAGACAAGAGAAATAAATTAAAGACATCTATTGTACACTATGGTGACTACAGTTAATAAATTACCCATTCCAATATATACATATATAAACATTGTGATGTACATCATAATATATTCTATTTTTCCCTGTCAATTAAAAAATAAATTTAAAAAGATTGGATAGAGAAGAATCAGCCATTCTAGTAATTAAGCCTGAGGAAGCTTACATTCCAGTGATTTCAGATAACCATTATGCAAGTTAAGGAATAAACTGGATAGGATGATATTAAAAAAACAAAACCACCAATGAGATACACCAGAATGGCTAAAATTAAAAAGGCTGTCCATACCAAGTATTGGTAAAGATGTAGAGTAATGAGAACTCTCATAAATTTCTGGTCAGGAAATCCAAACATCGAAAGCCAAACATCGGCATACCCTATTGACTCAGGAAATCCACTCCTAGTATACACCTGTTATGTCCTGAATCATGTCCCCTAGAATTAATATGCTGAAGCCCTAACACTAGTATTTCAGAATGTGACTGTATTTGGAGATAGGGTCTTTAAGGGGTTTATTAAGTTAAAATGAGGTTGTTACAATGGGCCCTAATCCAATATGACTAGTGTCCTTATAAGAAGAGGAAATGTGGGCCAGGCACAGTGGCTCACGCCTGTAATCCCAGCATTTTGGGAGGCCAAGGCGGGCGGATCACGAGGTCAAGAGATCGAGACCATCCTGGCCAACATGGTGAAACCCCATCTCTACTGAAAATACAAAAATTAGCTGGACATGGTGGCGAGCTCCTGTAGTCCCAGCTACTCGGGAGACTGAGGCAGAAGATTGCTTGAACCCAGGAGGTGGAGGTTGCAGTGAGCAGAGATCACGCCACTGCACTCCAGACTGGCAGACAGACCGAGACTCCATTTGAAAAAAAAAAAGAAGAGGAAATGTGTACACACAGAGACACCAGGGATGCATATTCACAGAGGAAAGACCAAGCCAAGGAGAGGTGTCAGTAAAAACCAAACCTGCCAATACCTTGATCTTGGAATTTTAGTGTTCAAAACTGTGAGAAAACACATTCCTGTTATTTACACCTCCCAGTCTGTGGTATATTGTTATGGCAACCCTAGCCACTAGTACAGCACCCAAAAGTAGTGTGTACATATTTCACAAAAGACATGTAACTATTTAATCCATGTGGAGTGTCAAAAGGCAAAAATACAACAAATGTATTTTAAAGATTGTAATTGGCTTTTATACATGATTCTAGAATCAGATAGCCCTCAGAACCAAATACAGAACAGCAGCCAGCAACATAGTATGGATAGAAATTGGAAGTGAGGTTTAGAGACAGCTTAATTGATTACAGTTGGGCATTTTTGCCTTATTTGAAGCTGTTAGTCGCCTGCAATTGATGGAAGTTCAGCTGCTATAATCGGCTGAGACTGAGCTGTTTGTTATAAAAGCATATTCCTAAATTAGGCTTTCAGTTAGTTCATCAACTAAGCCAGGCTGCAACTTTGTTGTGCAAGGACTCAAGTGCAAAGGTACCCTTAGGCAAAATTCAGATTAATTTAAAAGGACTTTACTTTTGTTAGTTATGTGAAATGAAGTGGAATCTATTTTTTCCAAGTGGATAGTCATATTTTCTATTATCATTTACCAACTAGCTGATTTTTTTCCTGTACTGGTTGGAGATGCTGCCTTTATTATATATTAAGTTTCAACTTATTATATATTAAGTTTCCGCTTACATCTTGTCAGTTTCTGGACTCCATATTTTGTTTGATATATTTATCTATTCTGCATTAAGACTGCATTTTTAATTATAATAGCTTTATAATATCTCAATGTTGTATAGGAAAAAAACTTCAATTATTAATTAGTTATACTAAGCCAATGTCTAAGTATTGCTTAGTGGTTTGTGGGCAACCATCTTACACAGTACCTAGTAACAGAGTAGACAAGTGTTTATTGAATGGATGGATGAATGGATGTGTGGAAGAGGCTTTCAGAAACAATTCCCTTCATAGACTAAGGCCAATGTTACTTTTGCTTAGCTCTTTAGTTTGAAATAATTTAAAATGTACAGAAAAGTTACAAGAATAATACATGGAACTTGCACACACCCTTTACCCAGATTCACAAATGTTTAACATTTTGCAATTTTGTTTTTCATTTTCTTTTCTTTATATACACACTTCTGTTACTTATTTTCTATTTGAAAATTAGTTGCAGACATCACATCCCTTTACCTCTCAATACTTTAGTACACATTTCCTGTGAATAAAGATATCTTTTACATAACAGACACTTCAAATTGATAAAGCACATTTCCATAATTTACAACTGGTATTCCAGTTGTATCAACCAATGCTGTCATTTATAGCATTTTCTTCTTTGAAGTACAGGGATCTAGTACAAGTAACTACTTGTCCTGCTTCTTTCATTTCCTTGAATCTGGACCTTCATCAGATGGTAACTTTAAGCACCCAAAGGTTTTTTTCTGGTTTCTCCTCTGTGTAGTTTAAGACCATGCAAACATCTTGCTACTCATCAAAATGCCCCCCATATAACATCCAAATTAATCTTTATCATGATGGTTTATGACTGTCTCCTCACATTGGGATTGGGGCCCAACTGATTATTAACAATCTACTTTTTTGGAAGATATAATATCTCTTCCTGGGAATAAGATAATGGGCATAACATATAATAATTCCTAATTGTATCATGACAATCACAATCCAAAATACTAAATCTGTGATGTGTCTAAATCTCTTTTCCCCATTGTTTTTGCAGGCATCAATGGCTATGTTTTTGATAGTTTGCAGTTGTCAGTTTGTTTGCATGAGGTGGCATACTGGTACATTCTAAGCATTGGAGCACAGACTGACTTCCTTTCTGTCTTCTTCTCTGGATATACCTTCAAACACAAAATGGTCTATGAAGACACACTCACCCTATTCCCATTCTCAGGAGAAACTGTCTTCATGTCGATGGAAAACCCAGGTTAGTTATTATATTTTTCTTGTACCAACAGCTGTGAATGCTTCACTAGCCATTCGTATGCTCTTTTGCCCACTAGCTCACATGCTGTCATTTATAGCATTTTCTTCCTTGAGGTACAGGGATCTAGTTTCTCCTCTGAGTAGTTATTATTTTCACCCTTGCAACTAATAAACAGTTTGAAGGATCACGTAGTAGTTCTATTTTTAGTTTTTTGAGGAACCTCCTTACTCTTTTCCACAGTATTTGTACTTATTTACACTCCCACCAACAGTGTACAAGCATTCCCCTTTTGCCACATCCTCACCAGCATTTTTTAATTATTTTGTCTTTTTGATAAAAGCCATTTAACTGGAGTGAAATATCTCATTGTGCTTTTGGTTTGCATTTCTCTGGTAATTAGTGATGTTGAGCAGTTTTTCATATACTTGTTGGCCATTTGTATGTCTTCTTTTTTTTTTTTTTTTTTTTTTTTTCAGACGGAGTCTCGCTCTGTAGCCCAGGCTGGAGTGCGGTGGCACGATCTCGGCTCACTGCAAGCTCCGCCACCCGGGTTCACGCCATTCTCCTGCCTCAGCCTCCCGAGTAGCTGGGACTACAGGTGCCCGCCACCACACCCAGCTAATTTTTTGTATTTTTAGTAGAGACAGGGTTTCACCGTGTTAGCCAGGATGGTCTCGATTTCCTGACCTCGTGATCCACCCGCCTCGGCCTCCCAAAGTGCTGGGATTACAGGCGTGAGCCACCGTGCCCAGCCTGAATGTCTTCTTTTGAGAAATGTCTATTCAGATCTTTGTCCATTTTTAATAGGGTTCTTTGTTTTTTTTGCTATTGACTAGAGTTTCTTATATATTCTGGTTATTAATGCCCTCTCAGTTGTATAGTTTGCAAATATTTCATCCCATCCTATAAATTGTCTCTTCACTTTGTTAATTGTTTCCTTTGCTGTCCAGAAGCTTTATGGCTTGATATAATCCCATTTGTCTACTTTTGCTTTAGTCCCCTGTGCTTTTGAGGTCTTACCTGCAAAATCTTTCCCAGACCAATGTCCTGGCGCATTCCCCCAATGTTTTCTTCCAGTAGTTTCATACTTTCAGGTTGTATATTTTAGTCTCTAATCCATTTTGATTTGATTTTTGTATATAGTGAGAGATAGGGGTATAGTTTCATTCTTCTGCATGTGGATATCCAGTTTTCCCACACCATTTATTGAAGAGACTATTCTTTCACCAGTGCGTGTTCTTGGCACTTTGTCAAAGGTGAGTTGGCTATAAATGTGTGGATTTATTTCTGGGTTTTCTGTCGTGTTCCACTGGCATATATTTCTGGTTTTATGCCAGTACCGTGCTGTTTTTGTTACTACAGCTTTGTAGTATAGTTTCAAGTCAAGTAGTGTCATGCCTCCAGCTTTGTTCATTTTGCTCCAGATTATTTAGCTGTTTGGAGTCTTTTGTGGTTCCACACAAATTTTAAGATTCTTTTTTCTATTTCTGTGAAAAACTTCACTGGCATTTGGATAGGTATTACATTAAATCTGGTAGCATTGATATTTTAACAATATTAGTTTTTCCAGCCCATTAAAATGGGATAGATACCTTTTCAGTTTTTTGTGTGTTCTTCAATTCCCTTTATCAGTATTTTAGTTTTCATTATAGAGATATCTCAGCTCTTTGGTTTAATTTATTCCAATATATTTATTTTTATTATAGCTATTGTAAATGATTTTTAAAAAATTTCTTTTTAGGTTGTTAGCTCTTGGTATATAGAAATGCTACTGATTTTTGCATGTTGGTTTTGTATCCTGCAACTTTACTGAATTTGTTTATCAGTTCTAATAGTTTTTTGATGGAGTCTTTAGTTTTTTGTGAAATATAAGATTATGTCATCTATAAACAAGGAGAATTTGACTTCTTCCTTTCCAATTTGGGTACCCTTTATTTCTTTCTCTTGCTTACTTGTTCTGGCTTGGACTTCCAGGACTACATTTTATAGAATTGGTGAAAGTGGGCATCCTTATCTTGTTTCAGATCTTAAAGGAAAGGCTTTTGGTTTTCCACATTTGGTATGATATTAGCCGTAGTTTGTCATATATGGCATTTATTGTTTTGAGGTAAGCTTTCTATACCCAGTTTGTTTAGAGTTTTCTCATGAAGGGATGTTGAATTTAATCTTTTTGGCATCAATTGAAATGATCATTTGTTTTTGTCCTTCATTCTGTTGATATGATGTATCACATTGATTCATTTCCATATGTTGAACCATCCTTGCATCCCTGGGATGAATCCCCCTTGATCATGATGAATGATCTTTTACTGTGTTGTTGAATTTGGTTTGCTAGTAGTTCGTTGAGGATTTTTGCATCAATGTTCATCAGAGATATTGGCCTGTAGTTTCTTTTTGTGTATGTGTGTGTCTTTGTCTGGTTTGGTTTCAGGGTAATACTGGCCTTGTGGAATCAGTTTGGAAGTATTTTTCCCCCTTGATTTTTGGGATAGTTTGTGAAGAGCTGGTATTAGTTCTTTTTTTTTATTATTATACATTAAGTTTTAGGGTACATGTGCACAATGTGCAGGTTAGTTACATATGTATACATGTGCCATGCTGGTGTGCTGTACCCATTAACTCGTCATTTAGCATTAGGTATATCGCCTAATGCTATCCCTCTCCCCTTCCCCCACCCCACAACAGTCCCCAGAGTGTGATGTTCCCCTTCCTGTGTCCATGTGTTCTCATTGTTCAATTCCCACCTATGAGTGAGAATATGCAGTGTTTGGTTTTTTGTTCTTGCGATCGTTTACTGAGAATGATGATTTCCAATTTCATCCATGTCCCTACAAAGGACATGAACTCATCATTTTTATGGCGGCATAGTATTCCATGGTGTATATGTGCCACATTTTCTTACTCCAGTCTATCATTGTTGGACATTTGGGTTGGTTCCAAGTCTTTGCTATTGTGAATACTGCCGCTATAAACATACGTGTGCATGTGTCTCTATAGCAGCATGATTTATAGTCCTTTGGGTATATACCCAGTAATGGGATGGCTGGGTCAAATGGTATTTCTAGTTCTAGATCCCTGAGGAATCGCCACACTGACTTCCACAATGGTTGAACTAGTTTACAGTCCCACCAACATTGTAAAAGTGTTCCTATTTCTCCACATCCTCTCCAGCACCTGTTGTTTCCTGACTTTTTAATGATCGCCATTCTAACTGGTGTGAGATGGTATCTCACTGTGGTTTTGATTTGCATTTCTCTGATGGCCAGTGATGGTGAGCATTTTTTCATGTGTTTTTTGGCTGCATAAATGTCTTCTTTTGTGAAGTGTCTGTTCATGTCCTTCGCCCACTTTTTGATGGGGTTGTTTGTTTTTTTCTTGTAAATTTGTTTGAGTTCATTGTAGATTCTGGATATTAGCCCTTTGTCAGATGAGTAGGTTGCGAAAATTTTCTCCCATTTTGTAGGTTGCCTGTTCACTCTGATGGTAGTTTCTTTTGCTGTGCAGAAGCTCTTTAGTTTAATTAGTTCCCATTTGTCAATTTTGGCTTTTGTTGCCATTGCTTTTGGTGTTTTAGACATGAAGTCCTTGCACATGCCTATGTCCTGAATGGTATTGCCTAGGTTTTCTTCTAGGGTTTTTATGGTTTTAGGTCTAACGTTTAAGTCTTTAATCCATCTTGAATTAATTTTAGTATAAGGTGTAAGGAAGGGTTCCAGTTTCAGCTTTCTACATATGGCTAGCCAGTTTTCCCAGCACCATTTATTAAATAGGGAATCCTTTCCCCACTGCTTATTTTTCTCAGGCTTGTCAAAGATCAGGTAGTTGTAGATGCGTGGCGTTATTTCTGAGGGCTCTGTTCTGTTCCATTGGTCTATATCTCTGTTTTGGTACCAGTACCATGCTGTTTTGGTTACTGTAGCCTTGTAGCATAGTTTGAAGTCAGGGAGCGTGATGCCTCCAGCTTTGTTCATTAGGCTTAGGATTGACTTGGCGATGCGGGCTCTTTTTTGGTTTCATATGAACTTTAAAGTAGTTTTTTCCAATTCTGTGAAGAAAGTCATTGGTAGCTTGATGGGGATGGCATTGAATCTATAAATTACATTGGGCAGTATGGCCATTTTCATGATATTGATTCTTCCTACCCATGAGCATGGAATAGTCTTCCATTTGTTTGTATCCTCTTTTATTTCCTTGAGCAGTGGTTTGTAGTTCTCCTTGAAGAGGTCCTTCACATCCGTTGTAAGTTGTATTCCTAGGTATTTTATTCTCTTTGAAGCAATTGTGAATGGGAGTTCGCTTATGATTTGGCTCTCTGTTTGCCTGTTATTGGTGTATAAGAATGCTTGTGATTTTTGTACATTGATTTTGTATCCTGAGGCTTTGCTGAAGTTGCTTATCAGCTTAAGGAGATTTTGGGCTGAGACAATGGGGTTTTCTAGATATACAATCCTGACATCTGCAAACAGGGACAATTTGACTTCCTCTTTTCCTAATTGAATACACTTTATTTCCTTCTCCTGCCTAATTGCCCTGGCCAGAACTTCCAACACTATGTTGAATAGGAAAGGTGAGAGAAGGCATCCCTGTCTTGTGCCAGTTTTCAAAGGGAATGCTTCCAGTTTTTGCCCATTCAGTATGATATTGGCTGTGGGTTTGCCATAGATAGCTCTTATTATTTTGAGATACGTCCCATCAATACCAAATTTATTGAGAGTTTTTAGCATGAAGGGTTGTTGAATTTTGTCAAAGGCCTTTTCTGCATCTATTGAGATAATCATGTGGTTTTTGTCTTTGGTTCTGTTTATATGCTGGATTACATTTATTGATTTGCATATATTGAACCAGCCTTGCATCCCAGGGATGAAGCCCACTTGATCATGGTGGATAAGCTTTTTGATGTGCTGCTGGATTCGGTTTGCCAGTATTTTATTGAGGATTTTTGCATCAATGTTCATCAAGGATATTGGTCTAAAATTCTCTTTTTTGGTTTTGTCTCTGCCCGGCTTTGGTATCAGGATGATGCTGGCCTCATAAAATGAGTTCAGGAGGATTCCCTCTTTTTCTATTGATTGGAATAGTTTCAGAAGGAATGGTACCAATTCCTCCTTCTACCTCTGGTAGAATTTGGCTGTGAATCCATCTGGTCCTGGACTCTTTTCGGTTGGTAAGCTATTGATTATTGCCACAATTTCAGAGCCTGTTATTGGTCTATTCAGAGATTCAACTTCTTCCTGGTTTAGTCTTGGGAGGGTGTATGTGTCGAGGAATTTATCCATTTCTTCTAGATTTTCTAGTTTATTTGCGTAGAGGTGTTTGTAGTATTCTCTGATGGTAGTTTGTATTTCTGTGGGATTGGTGGTGATATCCCCTTTATCATTTTTTATTGCATCTATTTGATTCTTCTCTCTTTTCTTCTTTATTAGTCTTGCTAGCGGTCTATCAATTCTGTTGATCCTTTCAAAAAACCAGCTCCTGGATTCATTAATTTTTTGAAGGGTTTTTTGTGTCTCTATTTCCTTCAGTTCTGCTCTGATTTTAGTTATTTCTTGCCTTCTGCTAGCTTTTGAATGTGTTTGCTCTTGCTTTTCTAGTTCTTTTAATTGTGATGTTAGGGTGTCAATTTTGGATCTTTCCTGCTTTCTCTTGTGGGCATTTAGTGCTATAAATTTCCATCTACACACTGCTTTGAATGTGTCCCAGAGATTCTGGTATGTTGTGTCTTTGTTCTCATTGGTTTCAAAGAACATCTTTATTTCTGCCTTCATTTCGTTATGTACCCAGTAGTCATTCAGGAGCAGGTTGTTCAGTTTCCATGTAGTTGAGCGGTTTTGAGTGAGTTTCTTAATCCTGAGTTCTAGTTTGATTGCACTGTGGTCTGAGAGACAGTTTGTTATAATTTCTGTTGTTTTACATTTGCTGAGGAGAGCTTTACTTCCAACTATGTGGTCAATTTTGGAATAGGTGTGGTGTGGTGCTGAAAAAAATGTATATTCTGTTGATTTGGGGTGGAGAGTTCTGTGGATGTCTATTAGGTCCGCTTGGTGCAGAGCTGAGTTCAATTCCTGAGTATCCTTGTTAACTTTCTGTCTCGTTGATCTGTCTAATGTTGACAGTGGGGTGTTAAAGTCTCCCATTATTATTGTGTGGGAGTCTAAGTCTCTTTGTAGGTCACTCAGGACTTGCTTTATGAAACTGGGTGCTCCTGTATTGGGTGCATATATATTTAGGATAGTTAGCTCTTCTTGTTGAATTGATCCCTTTACCATTATGTAATGGCCTTCTTTGTCTCTTTTGATCTTTGTTGGTTTAAAGTCTGTTCTATCAGAGACTAGGATTGCAACCCCTGCCTTTTTTTGTTTTCCACTTGCTTGGTAGATCTTCCTCCATCCTTTTATTTTGAGGCTATGTGTGTTTCTGCACGTGAGATGGGTTTCCTGAATACAGCACACTGATGGGTCTTGACTCTTTATCCAATTTGCCAGTCTGTGTCTTTTAATTGGAGCATTTAGTCCATTTACATTTAAAGTTAATATTGTTATGTGTGAATTTGATCTTGTCATTTTGATGTTAGCTGGTTATTTTGCTCGTTAGTTGATTCAGTTTCTTCCTAGCATTGATGGTCTTTACAATTTGGCATGATTTTGCAGTGGCTGGTACTGGTTGCTCCTTTCCATGTTTAGTGCTTCCTTCAGAAGCTCTCTTAGGTCAGGCCTGGTGGTGACAAAATCTCTCAGCATTTGCTTGTCTGTAAAGGATTTTATTTCTCCTTCACTTATGAAGCTTAGTTTGGCTGGATATGAAATTCTGGGTTGAAAATTCTTTTCTTTAAGAATGTTGAATGTTGGCCCCCACTCTCTTCTGGCTTGTAGAGTTTCTGCCGAAAGATCAGCTGTTAGTCTGATGGGCTTCCCTTTGTGGGTAACCCGACCTTTCTGTCTGGCTGTCCTTAACATTTTTTCCTTCATTTCAACTTTGGTGAATCTGACAATTATATGTCTTGGAGTTGCTCTTCTCAAGGAGTATCTTTGTGGCATTCTCTGTATTTCCTGAATTTGAATGTTGGCCTGCCTTGCTAGATTTGGCAAGTTCTCTTGGATAATACCCTGCAGAGTGTTTTCCAACTTGGTTCCATTCTCCCCATCACTTTCAGGTACACCAATCAGTTGTAGATTTGGTCTTTTCACATAGTCCCGTATTTCTTGGAGGCTTCGTTTGTTTCTTTTTATTCTTTTTTCTCTAAACTTATCTTCACACTTCATTTTATTCATTTCATCTTCCATTGCTGATACCCTTTCTTCCAGTTGATCGCATTGGTTACTGAGGCTTGTGCATTCATCACATAGTTCTCGTGCCGTGGTTTTCAGCTCCATCAGGTCCTTTAACCACTTCTCTGCATTGGTTATTCTAGTTGTCCATTCGTCTAATTTTTTTTCAAAGTTTATAACTTCTTTGCCATTGGTTCGAACTTCTTCCTTTAGCTCGGAGTAGTTTGATCTTCTGAAGCCTTCCTCTCTCAACTCATCAAAGTCATTCTCCATCCAGCTTTGTTCCATTGCTGGTGAGGAGCTGCATTCCTTTGGAGGAGGGGAGGTGCTCTGATTCTTAGAGTTTTTGGTTTTTCTGCTCTGTTTTTTCCCCATCTTTGTGGTTTTATCTACCTTTGGTCTTTGATGATGGTGACGTACAGATGGGTTTTCGGTGTGGATGTCCTTTCTGTTTGTTAGTTTTCCTTCTAACAGTCAGGACCCTCAGCTGCAGGTCTGTTGGAGTTTGCTGGAGGTCCACTCCAGACCCTGTTTGCCTGGGTATCAGCAGCAGAGGCTGCAGAACAGCAGATATTGGTGAACTGCAAATGCTGCTGCCTGATCATTCCTCTGGAAGTTTTGTCTCAGAGGAGTAGCTGGCCATGTGAGGTGTCAGTCTGCCCCTACTGGGGGGTGCCTCCCAGTTAGGCTACTCAGGATTCAGGGACCCACTTGAGGAGGCAGTCTGCCCGTTCTCAGATCTCAAGCTGCGTGCTGGGAGAACCACTACTCTCTTCAAAGCTGTCAGACAGGGACATTTAAGTCTGCAGAGGTTATTGCTGTCTTTTGTTTGTCTGTGCCCTGCCCGCAGAGGTGGAGCCTACAGAGGCAGGCAGGCCTCCTTGAGCTGTGGGGGGCTCCACCCAGTTCGAGCTTCCCGGCCGCTTTGTTTACCTACTCAAGCCTGAGCAATGGCGGGCACCCATCCCCCAGCCTTGCTGCCACCTTGCAGTTTGATCTCAGACTGCTGTGCTAGCAATGAGCAAGGCTCCATGGGCGTAGGACCCTCTGAGCCAGGTGCAGGATATAATCTCCTGGTGTGCCGTTTGTTAAGCCCGTTGGAAGAGCGCAGTATTAGGGTGGGAGTGACCCGATTTTCCAGGTGCCATCTGTCACCCCTTTCTTTGACTAGGAAAGGGAATTCCCTGACCCCTTGTGCTTCCTGGGTGAGGCGATGCCTCGCCCTGCTTCGGCTCACGCACAGTGCACTGCACCCACTGTCCTGCACCCACTGTCCGGCACTCCCCAGTAAGATGAACCCGGTACCTCAGTTGGAAATGCAGAAATCACCCGTCTTCTGCATCACTTATGCTGGGAGCTGTAGACTGGAGCTGTTCCTATTCGGCCATCTTGGCTCCCAATGCAAAGACCTTCAAACAACGTGACTTCATTTTCTCACTCCTACCTTTTGTGCTCTTGTCATTTATTTGAATTCTACATATATTTTAAACCCCATAAGACATTATTATTGTTTTATATAATCAATATCATTTATATATATATATATATTTACACCTTTCATTTCTTTCATTCTTTTCTGCATTTCTTGCTTCCATCTATGATCATTTTCTTTTTGTCTGAAGAAACTTCTTTGGAACTTCCTTCAGTGTGTGTTGGCTAGTAAAAAGTTCTCTGTCAGTTTTTGGTCAGAATGGGTCTTTATTTTGCCTAGATACAAGTCCTTGGTTGGATTTACATATTGTGAATGTTTTCTCCCAGTCTGTGGTTTGTCTTTTCACTCCTTTAAGGGTGCATTATGGTTAATAGAAGTTCTTACATTTAATTAATTCTTATTTTTCAGTTTTTTATGGTTAATGCCTTTTGTATTCTGTTTCAGAAATTTTTGCCTATCCTAAGAACATGATGCCATCCTTCTATATTTTCTTTCTACATATTTTAAATATTTTCTTCTAGAAGTCTGATTGCTGTGTTGTTCACAATTAAGTTTATGATTCATTTTTAATTAATTTTGATGGAGTGATGCAGATAAAAGTTCATTTTTCCATATGGATATTTAATTGCTCTAGCACCAATTGTTGGAAAAAAATAATTTCCTCACTGAATTGCACTGTTGTCTTTGCCATGAATCTGATGACTGTATCACTGTAGCTTTGTTTCTGTACTCTATTTCAGGGGTAGGTTATGATCCACAAGCCAAATTTGCAGCTTGTTTTTATATGGCATTGAGCTAAGAATTTTTTTACATTTTTAAAGAATTGTCACACAAAACAAAAAAAAAGCAAAAAAACAAATAAGGATATGTATCATGGACCATATGTGTCTACAAACCTAAAATATTTACTATGTTGCTTTTTACAGAAAAAGTTTGCCAACCCCTGATCTCTTATATTCCATTGACTTATTGGTCTATCTTTGTACCAGTAACATACTATCTTATAGTAAGTTTTAATATTTGTTAGTATAATTCCTCCAACTTTGCTCTCTTTGATTTTTATATAAATTTTAGAATCATCTTGTCAATTTTATCAATAAAAATATCTTCTGAGGTTTTGATAGGGATTACATTGATTCTGCAGATCAATTTGGGGGAGCATACCTCTTGACAATATTGAGTATTCCTGTCCATGAGCATGGTTTAGTTATTTATTTACATCTTTTAAATTTTCTCTTGGCAATGTTTTTGTAAAATTTTAGTGTACAGGTCTTGCACATTTTTGTAAAGTGTATTCTTTGGTATTTAATGCTATTATAATATTTTTTATGGTATCAGTTTTTGTCAATTGTGTTTTTCTAGAAATATGTCCCTTTCATCTAAGTTGTTTAATTTACTTGAAGTAAGTTATTTGTAATGTTCTTTTATCATCCTTATAATGTCTGTACTGATGTCTCCGTTTTCATACCTGATATTGTTATTTATATTTTATCTATTTTAAGTTTATCGCCTGCACCCACTAACTCGTCATCTAGCATTAGGTATATCTCCCAATGATATCCCTCGCCCCTCCCCCTAGTGCACATGTACCCTAAAACTTAAAGTATAATAAAAAAAAAAAGTTTGTCGCCTTTGTTATAGGTTCATCAAATTTACTAATCCTACCATAGGATCAAATTTTTGCTTTGTTCATCAGGTCATGGAATTAAAAAAATTTTTTTGTTTTGTTTATTTTCTATGTTGAATTTTTATTTTTATTTTGCTTTGCATTTCATTTATTTCTGGTCTTTTGTTATTATTCCAATACTTTCTCTGGATTCAGTTTTCTTTTTCTTCTTGACTTCTTGAGATTAAAACTTGGTTCATTGATTTTCAACATTTCTTACTTTTTAAAAGTTCATACAAAGCATAAATTTCCCTTTATATACTGCTTTAACCCCATATCACAAATTTTGATGAGTCATATTTTTATTATCATTGAGTTTAAAATATTTTATAAATTTTACGTTATTTCTTGTTTTATTCATAGTTATTTTACAGTGTTTTACTTAATTTCCCAATATATGGCGATTTTCTGGCTCTCTCTCTGTTGCTGATTTATTTGTTTTACTGTGATCACATAACATACTCTATATTATTTCAATCATTTGAAATTTGTTGAGACTTGCTATATGCCCAGTGAATAATTTAATTTGATTAATGGCCCACTGCATTTGAAACAAATATGTCTTTGCTGTTATTGGGTAGAGTGTCATATATTTGCCTATTATGTCAAGTTGCTTTATCATGTTTTTAAAATCCTTATAAACTTCCTGATATTTTATCTGTTTCTTACAGACATGGAGGAAACTGTGACATCTCTGTGATTGTTGAGTTTGTTATTTTGATTTTTGTATTTGTTAGTAAGAATGTTTCAAAATAAATGAGGCAATATAAAATCAGGTGCTTACAACTTTAAGGTTGTATTCTTATTAAATCAATTCTTTCATCTTTGTGAAATGTCCTTTTTGTCTGAAGTAGTACTTGTTGCCTTAAACGTCTGCATTGTCTAAAATTTATACACCTGCACTATCATATTTATTTTGCTTAATGTTTGTGTGGTATATATTTCCCATTCTTTTCTTTTCAACCTATCTCTATCCTTATATTTACAGTGTGTCTTTTTTAACATTTTCTGTAGTGCAAGTCTGTTGGTTAATTAATTTTGTCAGTTTTTGCTTCTCTGAAAAGTCTTTATTTCTGTTTTTGAATTATATCTTCACTGTGTATAGAATTCTGGGTTTGTGGTTGTTGTTTTTGTTTTATTACATTTTGTTTTATTGGTTTTTCCCTCAGCACTTTAAAAATGCCGCTCCATTGTTTCTACTTGCATAGTTTTTCACAATAAGTTTGTTGTAATTCCCATTTGCATTCAACTGTACATAATGTATCTTTTTAAAAAAATCTGGATGGCTTCAAGCTCTTTACTTTGATTTTTGTGTGTGTGTGTGTGTGTGTGTGTGTGTGTGTGTGTGTGTGTTACTTTGGCATTCTCTAGGCTTATTCAATCTGTAATTTGGTATCATTAATTTTGAAAAATATTTATCATCTGTGTCTTCAAATATTGCTTCTAATTCTTTCTCTTCTTCTGGTATTGCATTTACATATATTATACTGTTCAATTTTGTCACACAGCTCTTGAATATGCTGTTCTAGTTTGTTTTCTAACTATTTTTCCTTCTAGTTGTTCAGTTTTGTTGACATTTATTGACCTATTTTTACTTCAGTAATTGTTTCCTGGGTTGTTGAGTTAATTGATGAACTCATAGATGACATACAATTTATCTTTTTATTCTTGTGTCACTTGTGCTTTTGATGTCACATCTAGGAAGGCTTTGTCTAGCCCAAGGCCACATTTACTTCCATATTTTCTTCTAAGAGTTTGATAGTTGTAGCTGTTACATATATGTCTATGATCTAGTTTGAATAAATTTTTGTGTATGGTGTGAAGAAGAGGTCTAACCTCTTTTTTATTTTTTGCATGTAAACATCCAGTTGTCCCGGCACCATTTGTTGAAAATATGATTCTTTTCCCATTAAGTCATCTTGACACCCTTGTTGAAAATCAATTGACCATAAATGTGAGAGTTTATTTCTGAACTCTCCATTCTGTTCCATTGACCCATACGTCTTCTATAAATTCTTATAGCTAATTCTACATTAGACTTTGGTTTTTCAGATGTGGTCATCTCATTAGATTATGGTGATATGTTTGGTTACAAGTTTTATCTTCTCCTTGGCAACATTTTTTTTATTACTGCTCTTCTTTTATTCGTTTTTGTTGTTCCTTTCTCTTTTTGTGAGACAGGGTCTCACTCTGTTGCCCAGGGTGGAGTAAGTGGTGTGATCATGGCTCACTGCAGCCTCAACCTCCTGGGCTCAAGCAATCCTCCCACCTCAGCCTCCCAAGTAGTGGGACTACAGGCATGCACCATCATGCCAGGCTAACTTTTTTATTTTTTGTAGAGACAGGGTCTTGCTTTGTTGCCCAGGCTGGTCTTGAACTCCAAGCTCAAGCAATCCTCCAACCTCAGCTTCCCAAAGTGCTGGGATTACCAGTATGAGCCACTGCACCTGGCCTTGTTGTTCCTTTCTTCCTTTTATCTTGTAGTATCTTGATCCTTTTTGCTTATTATTTATCATTGAGGTGAGTTTGTTCTAAATAAACTTTTCGCAGAAAGTTTATGTAGATATATTAATATCAATGAGGCATTAGGAGTGAGTTTTAGATTAGCAGGAATTCTCTTATGAAAGGTATTGATTGTATGTGTGAGTTTTCAGCCTTTACTTCTCTCCAGCCCATCAAGATCAAAGCTGCAGAGTTGTTTACATTTCAGAATTTCTTTCCTCCCCTCCCCACCTTGCAAAACAGACTTACAGTGCAAAAATGACTTGTCAATGTGATTCTTTCTTCTGGTCCCATCTTTCCTACCTTTTGAGACTTGTGTTGAAAGGAGTCCAGTAAAACCACCGATGCTAGCTTGTATACCCTGATCCCATTGTTATAATGAATGACTGACTGTTTTTCATATCAAAGTATAATACTTGCACCTTGATAGAAGAAAGAAACAAGGCCAGGCACAGTGGTTCATGCCTGTAATCCCAGCACTTTGGGAGGCTGAAGTAGGAGGAATAATTAGACTTTGATATTAAAAATGGGGAAGATATGGCGGTATAAGATATGAGGAAGTATGTCTTCTTGGACTTTTCTGAAATCTGCCAGCCATGAGCATCCACTCTTTTTATCTTTTGATACCTGTTTTATATTAACTATACTTCTATTTTGTGGTTTCATGGCTTCAGATATCTTCCAGCTTAATTGTACTCTGTCTTTAATTATTTGCAGCAATTTCTGAAAGGAGCAAGAAGAAAGGCCAGCCCTTTCTTCACTACCTTAAAAACTGGTCATCTTTTGAAACCCCATGAAAGGCACAGTGGGTGACCATCTACATCAGGAGTGGGCAAACTATGGCCCTTGGGTAGTCTGGTCTCTGTCCGTTTTTGTAAGGTTTTATTGGAACCCATACACACACAAACTGATCATCTCTTGTTATGTGTTAAGTTTTCTTATAATTATTCTTTTCTATTTCATCCAGCTGAATTACCATTTCACCTTGTGTATGCCCTTTCCAGTCTTAAATTATAGAAGCTATGTCTTTGTGGTTTTAAATTATGGAAGCTGTGCCTTCTTGTGTTTTAGTATGGCAAGATATTTGTTCTTACTTTTCCTCTAGAATCTGCAGTGGATTACTTTCAGAAGTAGGTATTGCCTCTAAGTTTCCTGACTTCTGTTTCCTTCTCCCTGTTCTGTAGTATATTTATAGATTGCATGTTTTCTCGTCCTTAAACAAGGTACAAATATGTTCTGATCAAGGTTTGCTAGCCGAGAGGATAAGTGGCTTGCTCTTAGCCTAACTCTCTGTCTACTTAATGGATGTCGAATTCCCTTCTCAACTCAACAGCTAGTAACTAGTTCCAAGATCGGATAATAGCTTACAGAATTAATTAGTTCAGTGAAAGCCCTGGTTTGATCACAGAGGCAGGAGACTGATCTATATATTTGTAGTGCTGACTAGACCCCAACTTGGCCAGATAGCTTATACCTATGTCAGAAGTTGGAGGAGGAGATTGACAGCTGAGGTGTCTCCAAGGGAATTACAATTATTTTCATTTTCTTTGTGTCTGTAATTATGTCTCTTTTCTTACTTCAAATTTTGTATATGTGAAATTTCTTAATTTTTATTTGGTTATTTATTTTATTGACTTTTTCATCAAACAACCAACTCTAAGTTCTTGGATTGAAATTTATGAATTAATTATAATGTTTTAAATTTACCATTAGTCACACATACAATACAAAAAGATATTTTCATTACAAAATTTTAACCCAAGCCATTAAAACTAAACTCCAGCTTGGTCACCATTCCTAATACCAGGCCCCTCTCAGAGGGGAGGGTAAATAAAAGTCCATTTTGGTAACTAGTTTGACGAGAATCTCTAATTGTTTCCCTGTTTTTCTTATAATGTCTGCCTTTGAATTATCCTCTTTTTTTCAAGAGTTCCATCATATAATGTATTCCTTTTTGCTTACAGATTGACCTCCTAGAGGCATGCATCCCCCTGCTCCAGTCTGAGCTGGTTCTCTCTAGGCCTGAGGCTCAGTTATCAACTTGGGACTTTTATTTACCCTCCCTCAGGATAGGTACCTGGTTCTTGGATACCAGGTCTTACTCTTGTTTGAGATACTCCTTTATTTTGGTGGCAAACATTCCATAATCACTTCCTGATAATGGTGACATTTGAGGTAGATTTTCTGAGTCTTTATATGTTAGAATATGTTTTTATTCTCCTTTGCCACTTGATTGATAATTTGGCTGCACATAGAATGTAAGCATTCACAGGGCTTTTGGGAGCAGCTTCCCTTGAGAAGAAGGTGGATGCAGTTAAGATCTTCCCTGAAAAGACTGTGTGAAATGACAAGGCTATTGAGGTACCCAACGGGTAGCTTGGTAAAGGTGTATCTTGTCTCTTATGTTTATGCATCTACTTTACCACCATGTAATTAGCCTATTATAACTTGTTGCATTCCTTCACTCAGCTAATCTTGTTCATGGTAGAAATTAATATTGCTAGTACCATGGTAGAATTTTATATTAGCTGGATCCTAGACCTAAATGCTCCTTCCTTGTGCTTACATATTCTGCAAGTGGGTGACAGTGGATGCTAGGTATTGTGTTATGTGATTTCAATGTATTATATGATGGGGTAGATACTATTAGCCTCATTTGAAAATTAGAAACCTATTGTTCAGAAAGTTTAAGTGACTTTCTCAAAGTCACACAGCTGGTAAATGGTAGAACTGGGATTTGAATCCAGGCAATCTGATGGATTTAAGAGGAACCTGTGCCACTATGTGATATAGCAATAACATCTAGCCAATATAAATACTTTCCTGAATTAAATCACTGTCATATTCAGAGAGTTCTGTGTCACTATTAAGACCCTCCATTATTGTGTATATTAATTACATTTCCCTATTTTAATCCCAATATCTATTCATTTTTATCACAGTCCTTTCTTATGGTCACAAACAGGCATAGTACAACAGCAGCAATGCAAAAACCACTTTTATATTACATGTTCCAGGGATTTAACCCAATGACCTGTGATATAATGATACTGACTAGTATTTTTTCATTTATCTGGGAATGGGAGAGAACCTCTAACAGAACGTTTTAGAATCTGTGTTATGAGTAACCAGAGTCTTATTCTTCCTCATCTCCAGGTCTATGGATTCTGGGGTGCCACAACTCAGACTTTCGGAACAGAGGCATGACCGCCTTACTGAAGGTTTCTAGTTGTGACAAGAACACTGGTGATTATTACGAGGACAGTTATGAAGATATTTCAGCATACTTGCTGAGTAAAAACAATGCCATTGAACCAAGAAGCTTCTCCCAGAATTCAAGACACCCTAGCACTAGGCAAAAGCAATTTAATGCCACCACAATTCCAGAAAATGACATAGAGAAGACTGACCCTTGGTTTGCACACAGAACACCTATGCCTAAAATACAAAATGTCTCCTCTAGTGATTTGTTGATGCTCTTGCGACAGAGTCCTACTCCACATGGGCTATCCTTATCTGATCTCCAAGAAGCCAAATATGAGACTTTTTCTGATGATCCATCACCTGGAGCAATAGACAGTAATAACAGCCTGTCTGAAATGACACACTTCAGGCCACAGCTCCATCACAGTGGGGACATGGTATTTACCCCTGAGTCAGGCCTCCAATTAAGATTAAATGAGAAACTGGGGACAACTGCAGCAACAGAGTTGAAGAAACTTGATTTCAAAGTTTCTAGTACATCAAATAATCTGATTTCAACAATTCCATCAGACAATTTGGCAGCAGGTACTGATAATACAAGTTCCTTAGGACCCCCAAGTATGCCAGTTCATTATGATAGTCAATTAGATACCACTCTATTTGGCAAAAAGTCATCTCCCCTTACTGAGTCTGGTGGACCTCTGAGCTTGAGTGAAGAAAATAATGATTCAAAGTTGTTAGAATCAGGTTTAATGAATAGCCAAGAAAGTTCATGGGGAAAAAATGTATCGTCAACAGAGAGTGGTAGGTTATTTAAAGGGAAAAGAGCTCATGGACCTGCTTTGTTGACTAAAGATAATGCCTTATTCAAAGTTAGCATCTCTTTGTTAAAGACAAACAAAACTTCCAATAATTCAGCAACTAATAGAAAGACTCACATTGATGGCCCATCATTATTAATTGAGAATAGTCCATCAGTCTGGCAAAATATATTAGAAAGTGACACTGAGTTTAAAAAAGTGACACCTTTGATTCATGACAGAATGCTTATGGACAAAAATGCTACAGCTTTGAGGCTAAATCATATGTCAAATAAAACTACTTCATCAAAAAACATGGAAATGGTCCAACAGAAAAAAGAGGGCCCCATTCCACCAGATGCACAAAATCCAGATATGTCGTTCTTTAAGATGCTATTCTTGCCAGAATCAGCAAGGTGGATACAAAGGACTCATGGAAAGAACTCTCTGAACTCTGGGCAAGGCCCCAGTCCAAAGCAATTAGTATCCTTAGGACCAGAAAAATCTGTGGAAGGTCAGAATTTCTTGTCTGAGAAAAACAAAGTGGTAGTAGGAAAGGGTGAATTTACAAAGGACGTAGGACTCAAAGAGATGGTTTTTCCAAGCAGCAGAAACCTATTTCTTACTAACTTGGATAATTTACATGAAAATAATACACACAATCAAGAAAAAAAAATTCAGGAAGAAATAGAAAAGAAGGAAACATTAATCCAAGAGAATGTAGTTTTGCCTCAGATACATACAGTGACTGGCACTAAGAATTTCATGAAGAACCTTTTCTTACTGAGCACTAGGCAAAATGTAGAAGGTTCATATGACGGGGCATATGCTCCAGTACTTCAAGATTTTAGGTCATTAAATGATTCAACAAATAGAACAAAGAAACACACAGCTCATTTCTCAAAAAAAGGGGAGGAAGAAAACTTGGAAGGCTTGGGAAATCAAACCAAGCAAATTGTAGAGAAATATGCATGCACCACAAGGATATCTCCTAATACAAGCCAGCAGAATTTTGTCACGCAACGTAGTAAGAGAGCTTTGAAACAATTCAGACTCCCACTAGAAGAAACAGAACTTGAAAAAAGGATAATTGTGGATGACACCTCAACCCAGTGGTCCAAAAACATGAAACATTTGACCCCGAGCACCCTCACACAGATAGACTACAATGAGAAGGAGAAAGGGGCCATTACTCAGTCTCCCTTATCAGATTGCCTTACGAGGAGTCATAGCATCCCTCAAGCAAATAGATCTCCATTACCCATTGCAAAGGTATCATCATTTCCATCTATTAGACCTATATATCTGACCAGGGTCCTATTCCAAGACAACTCTTCTCATCTTCCAGCAGCATCTTATAGAAAGAAAGATTCTGGGGTCCAAGAAAGCAGTCATTTCTTACAAGGAGCCAAAAAAAATAACCTTTCTTTAGCCATTCTAACCTTGGAGATGACTGGTGATCAAAGAGAGGTTGGCTCCCTGGGGACAAGTGCCACAAATTCAGTCACATACAAGAAAGTTGAGAACACTGTTCTCCCGAAACCAGACTTGCCCAAAACATCTGGCAAAGTTGAATTGCTTCCAAAAGTTCACATTTATCAGAAGGACCTATTCCCTACGGAAACTAGCAATGGGTCTCCTGGCCATCTGGATCTCGTGGAAGGGAGCCTTCTTCAGGGAACAGAGGGAGCGATTAAGTGGAATGAAGCAAACAGACCTGGAAAAGTTCCCTTTCTGAGAGTAGCAACAGAAAGCTCTGCAAAGACTCCCTCCAAGCTATTGGATCCTCTTGCTTGGGATAACCACTATGGTACTCAGATACCAAAAGAAGAGTGGAAATCCCAAGAGAAGTCACCAGAAAAAACAGCTTTTAAGAAAAAGGATACCATTTTGTCCCTGAACGCTTGTGAAAGCAATCATGCAATAGCAGCAATAAATGAGGGACAAAATAAGCCCGAAATAGAAGTCACCTGGGCAAAGCAAGGTAGGACTGAAAGGCTGTGCTCTCAAAACCCACCAGTCTTGAAACGCCATCAACGGGAAATAACTCGTACTACTCTTCAGTCAGATCAAGAGGAAATTGACTATGATGATACCATATCAGTTGAAATGAAGAAGGAAGATTTTGACATTTATGATGAGGATGAAAATCAGAGCCCCCGCAGCTTTCAAAAGAAAACACGACACTATTTTATTGCTGCAGTGGAGAGGCTCTGGGATTATGGGATGAGTAGCTCCCCACATGTTCTAAGAAACAGGTATGAATGCATTGGTTATTCCTTTGCTCTGCTCTTGTGACATTTGACTTTACCAGATGATGACACCAACAATGAGAGTTAGAGGATGAAAAATCAAGGTGTCTTGAAACTCTTACTCTGGTGAGATAGAGAGAAGAGAGGTTTACAAGAGGGTAGAGGAATCAGGGACAAGAAGGAGCAATGGGGAGCAGGAAGAAAGTCAACCTCACCTATCAACCTTATGAGCTGCAGGGGAAATCTTAGTCTCATCAGAGAACTTTAAGCAAGGCAGAAGGAAGAAGCAAGTTCGTGTTAAAGAGGTTAAGGACTTGGGGAGGATTGGTTTTCATGATACTGGGGATCCAGAGGGCAAAGTAGGATGATTTTATTTTTAGGTGAGTAGAGGGAGGTTGAGCAGTCAAGTAGTACAGAGAAATGTGGAATATAAACATAAGGAGAGTCAGTCAGTCACAAATATTTATGGAACACCTACTACATGCCAGACACTTTTGTACACATTGGAGTGCAGCACAGCAGGAGCTTATATTCTATTGGAAAGAGCAAGAGACAAGTTAGTACAAAACTAAATAAGGCAATCTCAATTGTGTTGTTCAGAAGATAGAATAGAATAATATGGTAGAGAGAATAATATGATAGAGTAATACGGTAGAGTGTTACATTAGCTGTGGTGGTCATAGAAATCATCTTTGAGGAGTTGAGACCTAAATGATGATAACAGGCCAGCTGATGGAGCTCTGAGAGAAGATGTTTCCAGACAGAGGGAAGAGAAAATGCAAAGGCCCTGAGAATGGAAAAAGTTTACCATGTTTGAGGAACAAGAAGGGACAAGCATGACTTGTCACTTTCCCACCTTGCTTTCTAGCTCAAGTAAGCCCTTATTGCTGCATTGCAACCATAGACTATTTCCCTAGTCCACTGACTTTCTCATTCTCCTGGACCTCTATCTTAGATTTTCTGTGTTTTCCTTAAATCTCGAGCACCTTTTTTCCATTCTCCAATGCCCATTTTCACTCTTAGCTGATGCTGTGCAATGAACCTCCACAGACTCCCAACATCACATTTACTGGCATTTGTACCCATATACTCTGCCTGCACACTTATTACAATAAATAGAGTGTCTGTGCTCCTAAGGCCAACCTCTCCAGTTTTGTACTTGATTCCCATCTCTTCTCCCTTCATAAAAAATGTTGCTCCAGCAATTTCTCCTTTTCTCCCTTACATCATCAATTTATCTCTCCACTAGATTAATCTCATCAACATCAATCATGCTATTATTTCCTCCCCTATCTTTACAGAAACCGTCTTAAAATAATTGTCCCTGCTTGCAGCCTTTGCATCTTTTCCTGCCATTCTCTCCTCTTTAACCCACTCCAAAGAAGCTTTTATCTCTATTATTTCATAAGAACTACATTTTCAAGGTCATTATTGATCTTTACATTACTGATTACTAGCCCTCATCTTATTTGAATTCTCAGTAGTATTTGAGAGGTGATTACTCCATCGTTGATACAGGTTCTCACTTGGTTTCTCTAACACCACTTTTCTTCACTTTTCTACTAAACTTACTGCCAATCTTTGTCAACTTTGCGAGTCCTTCTTCATCCCCCTAATCTTTAAAGGTTAGAGTGCTCCAGGGATTAGTTCTCCAACTTCTTCTTTATTCTATTTATACTCACTCTGTGACGACATTGTTTAGCCTCATGATTTTAAGTACTATCTATCTGCAGATAATTCCAGTTGAATATCTGGAGATATTCTCAGATCTCTCTCCTGAAGTCAAAATTTACATATCAACTCCCTACCTTAACATGCACACAATTAGACTCTTAATTCCTGCCCCTTCCCAAAACCTGCTGATTGCTCAGCCTTCTCCATGGCAATCAAAAACCATTCCTGGCCGGGCATGGTGGCTCACTCCTGTAACCCCAGCACTTGGGGAAGCTGAGGCAGGTGGATTGGTTGAGCCCCAGAGTTCAAGATCAGCCTGGGCAACATGGCAAAACCTCATCTCTATTAAAAATACAAAAATTAGCCAGGCGTGGTGGTGCACACCTGCAGTCCCAGCTACTCAGGAGGCTGAGGCACGAGAATCGCTTGAACTGGGGAGACGGAGGTTGCAGTGAGCTGAGATGGCCTCACTGCACTCCAGCCTGGGCAACAGAGTCAGACTTGATCTCAAAAAAATAAATAAGTAAAACCATTCCCTATTTCAGTTATTCAGTCACAGATCTTGAAGTTTTCCAACTCTTTTTTTCTTACATTAACATCTAATCTGTAAAGGATCCTGTATTAGTCCATTTTCACACTGCTAATAAAGACATACCTGAGACTGGGCAATTTACAAAAGAAAGAAGTTTAATGGACTCACAGTTCCACATGGCTGGGGAGGCCTCACAATCATGGCAGAAGGCAGGGAGGAGCAAGTTATATCTCACATGGATGGCACAGGCAAAGAGAGAGAGCTTGTGCAGGGAAACTCCTCTTTTTAAAACCATCAGATCTTGTGAGACTTATTCACTATCATGAGAACAGCAAGGGAAGGACCTACTGCCATGATTCAGTTACCTCCTATCAGGTCCCTCCCACAGAACATGGGAATTCAAGATGAGATTTGGGTAGGGACACAGCCAAACCATATCATTCCACCCCATCCCCTCCCAAATCTCGTGTCCTCACATTTCAAAACCAATCATGCCTTCCCAACAGTCCCCCAAAGTCATAACACATTTCAGCATTAACTCAAAAGTCCACAGTCCAATGTCTCATCTAAGACAAGGCAAGTCCCTTCCACCTATGAGCATGTAAAGTCAAAAGCAAGTTAGTTACTTCCTAGATACAATGGGGTATAGGCATTGGGTAAATACAGCCATTCCAAATGGGAGAAATTGGCCAAAACAAAGGGCCTACAGGCCCCATGCAAGTCTGAAATTCTACGGGGCAGTCAAATCTTAAATCTCTAAAGTGATCTCCTTTGACTCCATGTCTTGCATCTGAGTCATGCTGATGCAAGAGGTGGGTGCCCATGGTCTTGGGCAGCTCCACCCCTGTGGCTTTGCAGGGTACAGCCTCCCTTGTGTCTGCCTTCATGGGCTGGCATTTTCTGTAGCTTTTCCAGATGCTGGTGCAAGTTTCTGATGGATCTACCATTCCGGGGTCTGGAGGACGGTGGCCCTCTTCTCACAGCTCCACTAGGTGGTACCCCAGTAGGGACTCTGTGTGGGTGCCCTGAGCCCACATTTCCCTTCTGCACTGCCCTAGCAGAGTTTCTACATGAAGGCCCACCCCCGCAGCAAACTTCTGCCTGGGCATCCAGGCACTTCCATTAATTTCTAAACAACAAAGCATTCAAGAGGCGACTTGGGTGCTATTAAGGGCATTCAGTTTCATAAGGGAAGCAGAGCATAAAAGTTTGGAAAATTTGCAGCCTGATAATGTTAGAGAAAAGCAAATCCCATTTTCTGAGGAGAAATTCAAGCAGGCTGCAGAAATTTGCATAAGTAATGAGGAGCCGAATGTTAATCCCCAAGACAATGGGGAAAATGTCTCCAGGGCATGTCAGAGGTCTTCACACCAGCCCCTCCCATCACCGGCCCAGAGGCCTAAGAGGAAAAAGTTGTTTCATGGGCTGGGCCCAGGATCCCCATGCTGTGTGCAGCCTAGGGAGTCGGTGCCTTGTGTCCCAGCCGCTACAGCCATGGCTGAAAGGGGTCAATGTAGAGCTCAGGCTGTGGCTTCATAGGGTACAAGTCCCAAGCCTTGGCAGCTTCCACATGATGTTGAGCCTGCGAGTGCACAGAAGTCAAGAACTGGGGTTTGGGAACTTCCGCCTAGATTTCAGAAGATGTATGAAAACACCTGGATGCCTAGGCAGAAGTTTGCTGCGGGGGTGGGCCCTCATGGAGAACCTCTGCTAGGGCAGTGCAGAAGGGAAATGTGGGCTCAGAGCACACACACAGAGTCCCTGCTGGGGTACCACCTAGTGGAGCTGTGAGAAGAGGACCACCGTCCTCCAGGCCCCAGAATGGTAGATACCCTAAATCATCTCTTTCAAATTCGAAGTTCCACAAATCTCTAGGACAGGAGCAAAATGCCACCAGTATCTTTGCTAAAACATAACAAGAGTTACCTTTGCTCCAGTTCCCAACAAGTTCCTCATCTCTATCTGAGACCACCTCAGCCTGGATTTCATTGTCCATATCATTATCAGCCTTTTGGTCAAAGCCATTCAACAAGTCTCTAGAGAGTTCCAAACTTTCCACATTTTCCTGTCGTCTTCTGAGCCCTCCAAACTGTTCCAACCTCTGCCTGTTACCCAGTTCCAAAGTCGCTTCCACATTTTTGGGTATCTTTTCAGCAGCACCCCACTCTACTGGTACCAACTTACTGTATTAGTCTGTTCTCACACTGCTGATAAAGATATACCTGAGACTGGGAAATTTACAAAGGAAAGAGGTTTTATGGACTTACTGTTCCACATGGCTGGGGAGGCCTCAAAATCATGGCAGAAGGCAAGGAGGAGCAAGTCTTGTCTTACATGGATGGCAGCAGGCAAAGAAAGAAAGCTTGTGCAGGAAAACTCTTTTTTTTCTTTTCTTCTTTTTAGACAGAGTCTTGCTCTGTCACGCAGGCTGGAGTCAGTGGCGTGATCTTGGCTCACTGCAACCTCCACCTCCCGGGTTCAAGTGATTCTCCTGCCTCAGCCTTCCAAGTAGCTGGTACTACAGGCATGTGCCACCACATGAGATGAGATTTTGGTAGGGACACAGCCAAACCATATCATTCCCCCTGTCCCCTCCCAAATCTCATGTCCTCACATTTCAAAACCAATCATGCCTTCCCAACAGTCCCCCAAAGTCATAACTCATTTCAGCATTAACTCAAAAGTCCACAGTATTTTTAGTAGAGATGGGGTTTCACCATATTGGCCAGACTGGTCTCTAACTCCTGACCTTATGATCCGCCCGCCTTGGCCTCCCAAAGCACTGGGATTACAGGTGTGAGCCACCATGCCCAGCCAAAAACTCTTCTTTTTAAAACCATCAGTTCTCATGAGACTTATTCACTATCACAAGAACAGCATAGGAAAGATCTGCCCCCATGATTCAATTACCTCCCACCAGGTCCCTCCCACAACACATGGGAATTCACGATGAGATTTGGGTGGGGATCCTCTTGGCTATCATTTCAAAAAATAGTCAGGGTTGATTATGGACTTAGTATTGAATAAGATGAAAATGTACTGAAATGGAACGATGAAGATAATTGACCAGGGAAAGCAGGTTACAAGCCAAGAGAGGATACAGTGTCACTTCAGATGCTATAAAAGTGATGTTTTTATTTTTTGAATGTTATTTGGCTATATTTTCAAATTATCTGCACTGCATATGCACTGCTTCTGTAATAATAAAAGGGTATTAAAATAATAAAATCAAGTCTATAAATCACACACACACACCCCAGCCTCTTCTCTACACCTCAGTGACTACCAACCACATCTAAATTATCATCATTTCTCATCTGAATTATTGCAAGAAGCCATTGCAATAATTCAGATGAGAGTTGATACAAAGCCTTCCTGTTTCCAACCTTACCCTCATATAGTCTTTTCCCAACATTGCATCTAAAGTAATTTTTCAAATTGCAATTCTGATCACTGTTCTCTGCTTCAGATCCTCCAGTGGATTTTCATCTCACTCAGTAAATTCCAAAGCCTTCACCATGGCCTTCAAGACCCTACGAAATTTGACCCTCTGCAACCTCTCTGCCTTCATCTGTTACCATTGTCTCCTGTTAATCCTGCCTCAGCCACACTGACCTCCTTGTTCTTCTCAAATGGACTAGATGTGTGCCTATCTCTAGACCATTACAGTTTCTGTTCTCTCTACTTAAAATTATGTCCCTGATACTCTAATGCAAGTTCTCTTACTTCCTTCAGGACGCTGCTCAAATTTCATTTTATCAGTGAGGCTTTCCCTGAACACTGTATGTAAATATTGCTCCCACCATTTTTTTTCAATGCACTTAACAGTGCCTGAAATATTATATATTTATTTCTTTATTGTCTATCTTCTCTGACTATAAGTTAAGCTCATTAAGAACACAAACTTTGGAGGTATTGTTCAATGTTGTGTCCCCAGAACTTTGAACAGTGCCTGGCACGTGGCAGATGTTCAAATAAATGTATGTTGAATGAATTAGAAAATGATAAATGTAGGGAGACAAAAGCAGGTCTCCCATTTATATCCAAACTCTAGGACTCTAGGAAAGACTGATTATATGGAATCGTGTCACACAGCATCCATGGGCAAGAGTGGAGGCAGAGATACCAGTTAAGATGCTATTGCAGTCATACAGATAAAAGAAGACAGTTATTTAGACCAGTGTGGTGGTGACAGAAATGGAAAGAAATGGAAGGATGTTGGGTATAATTAAAGATAAGCATATAAGACTGGCTGTTAATTGAGTATGGGAAGAATGAGGAGAGAGGATGTAAAGAACATTTCTTTTTGTTTGTTTGTTTTGTTTTGTTTTTGTTTCTTTTTATTATACTTTAAGTTCTAGGGTACGTGTGCACAACCTGCAGGTTTGTTACATATGTATACATGTGCCATGTTGGTGTGCTGCGCCCATTAACTCATCATTTACATTAGGTATATCTCCTAATGCTATCCCTCCCTCTTCCCCCCACCCCCCAACAGGCCCCGGTGTGTGATGTTCCCCTACCTGTGTCCAAGTGTTCTCATTGTTCAATTCCCACCTATGAGTGAGAACATACAGTGTTTGGTTTTTTGTCCTTGCGATAGTTTGCTGAGAATGATGGTTTCCAGCTTCATCCATGTCCCTACAAAGGACATGAACTCATCCTTTTTTAGGGCTGCATAGTATTCCATGGTGTATATGTGCCACATTTTCTTAATCCAGTCTATCATTGATGGACATTTGGGTTGGTTCCAAGTCTTTGCTATTGTGAATAGTGCCGCAATAAATATACGTGTGCATGTGTCTTTATAGCAGCATGATTTATAGTCCTTTGGGTATATACCCAGTAATGGGATGGCTGGGTCAAATGGCATTTCTAGTTCTAGATCCCTGAGGAATTGCCACACTGACTTCCACAATGGTTGAACTAGTTTACAGTCCCACCAACAGTGTAAAAGTGTTCCTATTTCTCCACATCCTCTCCAGCACGTGTTGTTTCCTGACTTTTTAATGATCGCCATTCTAACTGGTGTGAGATGGTATCTCACTGTGGTTTTGATTTGCATTTCTCTGATGGCCAGTGATGATGAGCATATTTTCATGTGTCTTTTGGCTGCATAAATGTCTTCTTTTGAGAAGTGTCTGTTCATATCCTTTGTATAAGATTATTAGTGGATTTCTCAGAAGAAATATTGTAGACCAGAAGGGAGTGAAAATATAGATTTAAAATCCTGAAAGGAAATAAAAACTAGCAATGAAAAATACTATATCCAGTAATTTTATCTTTCAGAAATGAAGGGGTGATAAAGATTTTCTCAGAAAGACAAAAGCTAGATCTGCTTTATAAGAAATGCTAGTAGGAGTTCTTCAAGCTGAAGAAAGAGGATGCTTATTAGTAATATGAAAACATATGAAAGGATAAAACTCACTAGTAAAAATAAGTACATTGTCAAATCCAAAACACTCTAGTAGTGTAATGGCAGTGGGTAAATTAATTATATCTTTAGTATAAAAGATAAAAGACAAAGAAAGCTATTTTAAAAACTAAAGCTATAATAATGTGTTAAGGAATGCAAATTATTAAAATATGTAAACTGTCACATCAAAAACATAAAATAGGCTGGGCACAGTGGCTCATGGCTGTAATCCCAACACTTTGTGGGGGCCAAGGTGGGAGGATCACTTGAGCCCAGGCATTTGAGACTAACTTGGGCAGGATAGTGAGATCTCATCTCTATAAAAAATTTAAAAATTAGTAAAGCATGGTGGTGCATGCCTGTAGTCCCAGCTACTCAGGAGGTGGAGGTGGGAGGACTGCTTGAGCCTGGGGGGGTCAAGGCTACAGTAAGCAATGATCACACCACTACACTCCAGCCTGGGCAACAGAGCAAGACCCTGTCTCAAAAAAAATAATAATATGTAGGAGGAAGGGAATAAAAGTGTAGAGTTTGTGGATGCAATAAAAATTAAGTTGTTATCAGTTTAAAATAGCCTGCTAATTTTGTGTAAGCCTCATAGTAACCACAGAGCAAAAGCCTATAGTAGATACACAAAACATTTTAAAAAGGTCCAAAGCATACCACTACAGAAAGCCATCAAACTATAAAGGAAGAATGCAACAGAAGAAGAAAGGATCAAAGGATCTAAAAAAAAAAAAAGAAAGAAAGCAATTAACAAAATGACACAAGTATGACCAAAGTCCACTGCTTCTTTATTACTGATATAGAATATCTTTCAGATCTTAAGGGACTGATTAATTACTTGGGAGAGAAAGTTTGTGTTGAGAAGATTTGCTTGTGTTGCAATGAGAAGGGGAAGTTCTACTCAACAGAAGCTGTACAGGCACATATGACAAAAGCTGGTGTAAGCTTTTTACAGATGGTGATGCTGCTTTGGAATTTGCAGACTTGTATGAGTTTAGGAGTAGCTACCCAGATCACAAGGAAGGGGAGGACCCTAATGAGGCTGAGGAGTCGCCCTTAGGAAAGGACTTAGAATATGATGATGAAAGCATGGAACTGATTCTGCCTTCTGATGCCAGAGTGGGTCATCACTCCTTGATGAGATACTACAAACAGTGATTTGGCTTGTCAAGAGCTGTGGTAGTTGCTAAATATTGTGAGGCCATGGGCCGAGTGCTTCAGTAATAGAGAGCCCTGGGATAGACTGGCAACACAGGAGCAGCTGTTACATGAAAGTGAGACATGCATTATATCCAAAGGATGAAGTCAAAATGGATGCTGAAGACAGAAATGAAGAACAATGCCACCAAGCAGATGCACTTTAGGGTCCAAGTGAGATTCTGAGAGTCTGCCAGGATTGAGTGATTGTCTGCTGCCCAAGTTTCCTCCTTGCCCTGAGGACCAGGGAAAGCCAGATTGTATGATGGACACTTTTGCTGCTACTTCACTTGCTCTAACATAATAATAAAAATGAAAATCTAAAAAATATTTTATTGAAGAATGAAGGTGAAAGAAATACATTTTCAGACAAGCATAAACAGAGAAACTTCACCATTAGCAAAAGTCCACTAAAATATTCTAATGTTATACTTGAGACAATAAAAAAGTGATACAGAATGGAAGGCATGAGAGACAAGATGGGATAAAGAGCAAACAAAGTTAAATATGTGGATAAATAGAGATAAGTATCATAAAACATGGTCAAATGTTTTATGAGCGTTAAGATATATAGAATTGCTTTATTCACAGTTGGTTTGCTGTCATAACACAAGTATCATGAAAATCACTGCTAAATCTAAGCCAAAATTGGGAAAGGAAAAGGTTCATGTCACTATCATCAACGTTGGACATGTAGACTCAGGAAAGTTCAACACTACTGGTCATCTGATCTATAAATGTGATGTGATCAACAAAGGAACCATTGAAAAATTTGAGAAAGAACCTGCTGAGATGGGAAAGGGCTCATTTGAGTATGCTTGGGTCTTGGATAACTATAAACTGAACATGAATGGAATATCACCATTGATATCTCCTAAAGAAACCTGAGGCCAAAAATATCCTGTGACCATCATTGATGCCCCAGCACACAGGGGCTTTATTAAAAAAAAAAAAAAAAAAAAAAACATGATTAGAGTGATATCACCAAAATGGTGGATAGAAGCAATCTGGCTTCACTCTCCTCCAGAAAAACCAAAAACAACTATTCAGTGTCTAGCTTATCACCAGGAATATCCCATAACTCAAAACAGAGGCTGTGAGGATCTGAGTGGCCACATAGAAGAGAAAAACTGCAAGCAGAAGATAACAAAAATGGGCCTGTTTAACTGCAGCATCCCCTTCCCAAGCTGCCAGGCACCATGCAGAAAAGTTCCCCCAGACTGACAGTATGTACATCAGAAAAAGTGACATCTAGATGAAGAGCCAGCTTTCCCACCATCTTGGGTTCCTTTGCAGAAAAATCATTCCTGCCTCAATCCGTGGGAAGCAGCCTGATTGCCTCTAGGGTAAAAAAATCCTGAGGGCAGCTAGAGACAAAGGATGGAGGCGGGGCTAGCAACCCCAGCATGCAAAACACATTGGCTGCTCTTCATCTAAGCCAAAGAAGACACCAAATGAGAGAGAATGTTCAGCCCGTGGTTCCTCTGGACACAAAATCCTAACCAGATGTCTCACCCAACCAGGATATCCAGTTTGGGACCTCCCCCAAATCGGGAATAGGCAGTAATCCAAGCCGTTGCAAGAGCTGCAGCAAATCTGGGCTTACAGCACCATCTAGTGCCAAAAAAGAGGCAGTAATCTCAGAGTAAGGAAGCTCTAATTCATACATAACCTTTAGACAGGCATACTCCTGAAAAACCAAACTAAGCCAGACACAAAGACTGGAATAAATAACTTAGCATTCATACAAAGACATAGATATATGTGCATAAAAAACAAGAGCAAATAGGGAGCTATGACCTCTCCAAATGGAAACAGCATGGAGCCAGTGACCAACCCTAATGAGATGGCAAATTGTAGCTCTCAAATCAATAATTCAAAATAAAAGTTCTGAGGAAACTCAAAGAACACAAAAAAGCAACTGAGAAATTTATGAGATAAATTTAACAGAGAAATCAAAATAATAATTTAAAAAACCAGAAATGCTGGAGCTGAGAAATACAACTGAACGGAAAAAAAAAATGCACTGGAAAGTCTAAACAGCGGAACTGATCAAGCAAAACGAACAATCAATGAGCTCAAAGACAGGCTATTTGAAAATACACAGTCAAAGGACAAAAAATAATTAAAAGGAATGAAGAACACTTGCAAGATCTAGAGGACTGCCTCAGTAGAACAAATCTAAGAGTCATGGGCCTTCAAGAGAGAAAGAGCAATGAATAAAAAGCTCAAAGAAATAACAGAAAATATTTCCAAACCTACAGAGAGATGTAAGTATCCAGTTATAGGAAGGCTGAAGATCACCAAACAGATTCAACCCAAATAAGACTACCCCAAGGCATACAATAATTAAACTCTCAAAGGTCAAAGACAAAGAGGGGATCCTAAAAAGAGCAAGAAAAAAGAAGCAAATAACATATAAAGGAGCTCCAGTTCATCCGGGAATATACTCTGGACCAGATGAACCTACCTGACATTTTACAGAACATTTTATCCAACTACTACAGAATATACATTCTTCTTATCAGCACATGGAACATTCTCCAGGATAGACTATATATTAGGCCAGAAAACAAGTCTCAACATTTAAAAAAATAAAATTATATTAAGTATCTTTTCTGACTACAGTAGAATAAAACTAGAAATCAATGACAAGAGGAACGTTTGAAACTATACAAATACATGGAAATTAAACAACATGCTCCTGAACAACCAATAAGTCAATGAAGAAATTAAGAAGGAAATTTATTGAAACAAATGAAAATGGAAACAACATACCAAAATGAATGGGATACAACAAAAGCGGTACTAAGAGAGAAGTTTATAGCTATAAATGCCTACATCAAAAAAGAAAGACTCAAATAAACCTGGTAATGATGTAACTCAAGGACATAGAAAAACAAGAGCAAACCAAACCCAAAATTAGTAGAAGGAAAATAATAATAATAATCATAGAAATAAATAATATTGAGAAAAAGAAAACAATATGAAAGACCAATGAAATTTTTAAAATGGCTTTTTGAAAGATAAAATTTAAAATCTTTAGCTAGACTAAGGAAAAAAAATGAGAGAAGACCCAAATAATTGAAATCAAAGATGAAAAGAGTCATTAAAACTGATAACACAAAAATACAAAGTTTCACTAGAAACTATTATGATCAACTATATGCCAACAAACTGGAAAAACTAGAAGAAATGGATAAATTTCTGGACACATACAACTTACCAAGATTGAACTATGAGGAAATAGAAAACTTGAGCAGACCAATAACTAGTAATGAGATTGAAGCAGTAGTAAAAAGTCTGGCATTAAATAAAAGTCCAGGACCTGATGACTTCACTGCTGAAGAAAAACTTACACCAATTATACTGAAACTATTTAATATTGCAAAAAATTGAAGAGAAAAGAATGTTTCCAAACTCATTCTACAAGACCAGCATTATCCCAATACCCAAACCAGACAAAGACACAACAACAGCAAAAAGAAAACTACAGGCCAACTTCGCTGATGAATATAGATGCAAAAATCCTCAACAAAGTACTAGCAAACTAAATTCAACAACACATTAAAATGAGTATTTGTCATGCCCAAGGGGGATTCATCCTAGGAACACAAAGATAGTTCAACATATGGAAATCAATAAATGTGATACACCACATTAACAGAAGGAAAGACAAAAACCATATATTTATTTCAATAAATGTCAAGAAAGCATTGAATAAAATTCAACATCCCTTCATGATAAAAACTCTCAACAAATTTGGTTTAAAGGAGCATACCTCAAAACAGTAAATGTTATATATGACAAGCCCACAGCTAACATTACACCAAATGGGAAAAAATTGAAAGCCTTTCCTCTAAGATCTGGAACAAGACAAGCATGCCCACTTTCATCAATTCTATTAAATGCAGTCCTGGAAGTCCAAGATGGAGCAATTAAGCAAAGGGCCTTCAAATTAGAAAAAAAGAAATCAAATTCCCCTTGTTTGTAGACGATATAATGTTATATTTAGAAAAACCTAAACACTCCACCAAAAAACTGTTAGAACTGATCAACAAATTCAGTAGAGTTGCAAGAAGCAAAACCAACATACAAAAATCAGTAGCATTTCTATATACCAAGAGCTAACAATCCGAGAGAGAAATCATAAAAGCATTTTCATTTTCAATAGCTATAATAAAAATAAATATCTAGGAACAAATTTAACCAAAGAGGTGAAAGATCTCTATACTGACAACTGTAAAACCCTGATGAAAGGAATTGAAGAAGACACACAAAAAATGAAAAGGTATCTATCCCATGTTCATAGAATGGAAGAATTCATATTGTTAAAATATCAATACTACTAGATTTCATGTATTACCTATCAAAATACCAATAACATTTTTCACAGAAATAGAAAAAGCAGTCTTAAAATTTGTACAGAACCACAAAAGACCCAGATATGGTTTGGCTGTGTCCCCACCCAAATCTCATCTTGAATTGTAGTTCCCATAATCCCCACATGTCGTGGGAGGGACCCAGTGGGAAGTGATTGGGTCATGGGGGCAGTTTTCCCCCATGCTGTTCTCGTGATAGTGAGTGAGTTCTCATGAAATCTGATGGTTTTCTAAGTGTTTGGCATTTCCCCTGCTGGCACTTATTCCCACTGCCACCTTGTGAAGAAGATGCCTTGCTTCCCCTACGCCTTCCACCATGATTGCAAGTTTCCTGAGACCTCCCCAGCAATGCGGAACTGTGAGTCAATTATACCTCTTTCCTTTATAGATTACCCAGTCTCCAGCAGTTCTTTATAGCAGTATGAGAACAGACTAATACAGTAAATTGGTACCGAGGTAGGGGGGGCACTGCTATAAGGATACCTGAAAATGTGGAAGCAACTTTGGAACTGTGTAACAGGCAGAGGATGGAACAGTTTGGAGGGCTCAGAAGAAGACAGGAAAATGTGGCAATGTTTGGAACTTCCTAGAGACCTGGAGGGCTCAGAAGAAGACAGGAAAATCTGGGAAAGTTTGGAACTTCCTAGAGAATCATTGAATAGCTTTCACCAAAATGCTGATAGTGATATGGACAATGAAGTTCAGACTGAGGTGGTATCAGATGGAGATGACGAACTTGTTAGGAATAGGAATAAAGGTGGCTCTTGCTATGCTTTAGCAAAGAGATTGGCAGCATTTTGCCCCTGCCCTAGAGATCTGTGGAACTTTGAACTTGAGAGAGATGATTTGGGGTATCTGGCAGAAGAAATTTCTAAGCAACAAAGCATTCCAGAGTGACAGAGCATAAAAGTTTGAAAAGTTTGCAGCCTGATGATGCAGTAGAAAAGACAAACCCATTTTCTGGGGAGAAATTCAACCCAGCTACAGAAATTTATATAATTAACAAGGAGCCAAATGTTAATCACCAAGATAATGGGGAAAATGTGTCCAGGGCATGTTAGAGACCTTCGCAGCAGCCCCTCCCATCACAGGCCTGGAGGCCTAGGAGGGAAAAATGCTTTCGTGGCCTGGGTCCAGGGCTCCCCTGCAGTGTTCAGCCTGGGACTTGGTGCCCTGTGTCCCAGCCACTCCAGCTATAAGAGGCCAAAGTACAGCTTGGGCTATAGCTTCAGAGGGTGCAAGCCCCCAGCCTTTGTTCTGTGGGTGCACAGAAGACAAAAATTGAGGTTTGGGAATGTCCACCTAGATTTCAGAGGATGTATGGAAATGCCTGGATGTCCAGGCGGAGGTGTGCTGCAGAGGCAGAGCCCTCGTGGAGAACCTCTGCTAGGGCAGTGAGGAAAAGAAATGTGGGGTGGGAGCCCCCACACAGTCACCACTGGGGCACTGCCTAGTGGAGCTGTGAGAAGAGGGCCACTGTCCTCCAGACCCCAGAATGGTAGATCCACTGAGAGCTTGCACCGTGGGCCTGGAAAAGCCACAGGCACTCAATGCCAGCCCATGAAAGCAGCCAGGAGCAGGGCTGTACCCTGCAAAGCTATGGGGGTGGAGCTTCCCAAGGCTGTGGGAGCCTGCCTTTTGTATCAGGGTGACCTAAATGTGAGACACGGAGTCAAAGGAGAACATTTTGGAACTTTCAGGTTTAATGACTGCCCTATTGGATTTCAGACTTGCATGGGGCCTGTAGCCCCTTTGTTTTGGCCAATTTCTCCCATTTGGAATGAGTGTATTTACCCAATGCCTGTACCCCTATTGTATCTAGGAAGGAACTAACTTGCTTTTGATTTTACAGGCTCATAAACAGAAGGGATTTTCCTTGTCTCAGATGAGACTTTGGACTTGGACTTTTGGGTTAAGGCTGGAATGAGCTAACACTTTGGGGGACTGTTGGAAAGGCATGATTCTGTTTTTAAATGTGAGGACATGAGATTTGGGAGGGGCCATGGGTGGAAACATATGGTTTGGCTCTGTGTCCCCACCCAAATCTCATCTTGAATTGTAGTATATTGTTTGTAAAAATTCCTGCCTATCCAGAGATTTTTTAAAAAAAAACAATACTTTCTTCAATTTTCTCTTACAATTTAATTTTTTACATTTAACTTTTTAATACTTCCTGTAGACTAAAAGTTATTTTGGTGCATTGTGTGAACCAAAGATCAAAGTAGTTTTATTTTTTTCTGAAAACATCTATTCATTTTTTCAATTAATTGATTGTTTATATTAAGGATCTAGGAGGATCTAAAATTATGGAATTGTGGGCAAGGGCAATTTTTGCCTTACATTTCATGTAAGGCAAAATAATCCCCATGTGTCATGGGAGGGACCCAGTAGGAAGTGATTGGATCATGGGGGCAGGTTCCCCCATGCTGTTCTCATGACAGTGAGTAAGTTTTCATGAGATCTGATGGTTTTATAAGCATCTGGCATTTCCCCTTCTGTCACCTCTCCCTCCTGCCACCTTGTGAAAAAGGTGCCTTGCTTCCCCTTCACCTTCCACCATGATTGTAAGTTTCCTGAGGCCTCTCCAGCCATGTGGAACTGTAAGTCAATTAAACCTCTTTCCTTTATAAATTATGCAGTCTCAGGCAGTTCTTTATACCAGCAGGAAAACAGACTAATACAGACCCTAAATATCCAAAGCAGTCCTGAGCAAAGAGAACAAAGCTGGAGGCATGATGCTACTTTATTTCAAACTATACTACAAAGCTGTAGTAACCAAAACAGCATGGTACTGGCATAAAGACAGAAACATATGCCAGTGGAACACAACAGAGAACCCAGAAATGAATCCACACATTTAGAGCCAACTCATTTTTGACAAAGTGCCAAGAATATGCATTGGTGAAAGAATAGTCTCTTCAATAAATGATGTTGGGAAAACTGGATATCCACATGCAGAAGAATTAAACTAAACCCCTATCTCTCACTGTATACAAAAATTAAATCAAAATGGATTAGAGACTTAAATATACAACCTGAAAGTATGAAGCTACTGGAAGAAAACATTGGGGAAATGCTCCAGGACATTGGTCTGGGAAATATTTTATGGCCTGGGAAATATCAAAAGCACAGACAACTAAAGCAAAAGTAGACAAACGGGATTATATCAAGCTATAAAGCTTCCGCACAACAAAGGAATCAATTAACAAAGTGAAGGGACAACCTACAGGATGGGATGAAATATTTGCAAACTATACAACTGAGAGGGTATTAATAACCAGAATATATAAGGAACTCAAACAAGTCAATGGCAAAAAAGCAAAGGATCCTATTAAAAATGAACAAAGATCTGAATAAACATTTCTCAAAAGAAAACATACAAATGGCCAACAGGTATATGAAAAACTGCTCAACATCACTAATTACCAGATAAATGCAAACCAAAAGCACAATGGATATTTCACTCCAGTTAAATGACTTTTATCAAAAAGACAAAAAATAATGAATGCTGATGAGGATGTGGCAAAAGGGGAATGCTTGTACACTATTGGTGGGAGTGTGAATTAGTACAGATACTATGGAAAAGAGTATGTATGTTCCTCAAGAAACTAAAAATAGAACGACCATGTGATCCAGCAATCCCACTGCTGGATATATATCCAAAGACAGGAAATCAGTGTATCAAAGAGATAGTTGCACACCAACATTTATTACAGCACCATTCACAATAGCTAGGATATAAAATCAACCTAAGTATACATCAACAGATGAATGGATAAAGACTGTGTGGTATATATACACAATAGACTATTACTCAGCCATTAAAAAGAATGAAATCCTGTCATTTGTGGCAACATCGATGAGCCTGGATGTCACTGTGTTAAGTGAAATAAGCCAGGCATAGAAAGACAAATATCACGTTTTCACTTACATGTGAGAGCTTAAAAAGTGGATCTCACGGAGATAGAGAGTAGAATGGTGCTTAAAGGAGTTTGGGAATGGTATGGGGGGGTGGGATGGAATGAAGAGAGGTTGATTAATAGGTGTAAAATGAAGGGGTGGCCTGCCCCTCGTCACCCACAGTGACGAGAAACACTGTGGGTGTTTCTCGTCAGGTGGGACGAGAGACTGAGAAAAGAAATAAGACACAGAGACAAAGCACAGGAAAGAAAAGTGGGCCCAGGGGACCGGCGCTCAGCATACGGAGGACCCGCGCCGGCACTGGTCTCTCAGTTCCCTCAGTATTTATTGATCATTATCTCTACCATCTCGGAGAGGGGGATGTGGCAGAACAATAGGGTAATAGTGGAGAGAGGGTCAGCAGGAAAACATGTGAACAAAGGTCTCTGTGTCATAAATAAGTTTAAGGAAATGTGCTGTGCCCTGATGTGCACGTATACAAACATCTTGGTGCATTAAAGAGCAGTATTGCCACTAGCCTGTCTCACCTCCAGCCTTAAGGCGGTTTTCTCTTTTCTCAGTAAATAGAACATACAATCGGGTTTTACACCGAGACACTCCATTGCCCAGGGACGAGCAGGAGACAGATGCCTTCCTCTTATCTCAACTGCAAAGAGGACTTCCTCTTTCACTAATCCTCCTCAGCACAGACCCTTTACGGGTGTCGGGCTGGGGGACGGTCAGGTCTTTCCCTTCCCACGAGGCCATATCTCAGGCTATCACATGGGGAGAAACCTTGGACAATACCTGGCTTTCCAGGGCAGAGGTCCCTGCGGCCTTCCGCAGTGTATTGTGTCCCTGGGTACTTGAGATTAGAGAATGGTGATGACTTTTTTTATTATTATTATTATACTTTAAGTTCTAGGGTACATGTGCACAACGTGCAGGTTTGTTACACGTGTATACATGCACCATGTTGGTGTGCTGCACCCACTAACTCGTCATTTACATTAGGTATATCTCCCAATGCTATCCCTCCCCCCACCCCATGACAGGCCCCGGTGTGTGATGTTCCCCCTCCTGTGTCCAAGTGTTCTCATTGTTCAATTCCCACCTATGACTAAGAACATGCGGTGTTTGGTTTTTTGTCCTTGTGATAGTTTGCTGAGAATGATGGTTTCCAGATTCATCCATGTCCCTGCAAAGGACATGAACTCATCCTTTTTTATGGCTGCATAGTATTCCATGGACAAGCATACTGCCTTCAAGCACTTTTTTAACAAAGCACATCCTGCATAGCCCTAAATCCATTAAACCTTGACTCAACACCGCACATGTCTCTGCGAGCACAGGGTTGGGGCTAGGGTTACAGATTAACAGCATCTCAAGGCAGAAGAATTTTTCTTAGTACAGACCAAAATGGAGTCTCTTATGTCTACTTCTTTCTACATAGACACAGTAACAGTCTGATCTCTCTTTCTTTTCCCCACAGTAAAATTACACTTAAATAGAAGGGATAAGTTGTAGTGTTCGATATTACAGTAGGGTGACTATAGTTAACAATGATTTATTGTATGTTTCAAAATAGCTAGAAGAGAAGACTGGGAATGTTCCCAACACAAATAAATGACAAATGGTTGAAGTGATTGATATTCCAATTACCATCATTTGATTATTACACATTGTATTCATGTATCAAAATATCACATGTATCCCCAAAACATGTACAATTATCGTGTATCAATTTAAAAATACATCATGATAGGCACCTCTCAGGTTGACTGTACTGTCCTGATTATTGCTAGTGGTGTTAACAAATTTGAAGCTAGTATCTTTAAGAACGGGCAGACCCATGAGCATGCCCTTCTGGTTTACACACTGGAAGTGAAACAACTAATTGTTGGTGTTAAAAAATGGATTTCACTGAACTATGCCATCGCCAACAGAGCTATGTGGAAATCAATAAGGAAGTCAGCCCTACATTAAGAATACTGGCTACAACCGCAACACAGTAGTATTTATGCCAATTTCTGGTTGGAATGCTGACAACTTGCTAACATGCCTTGGTTAAAGGGTGGAGAGTCACCTGCAGAGATGGCAATACCAGTGTAGCACACCGCTTGAAGCTCTGGATTATATCATACCACCAGCTCATCCAACTGACAAGGCTTGTGCCTACCTCTCCAGGAAGTCTACAAAATTGGTAGTATTGGTAATGTCTTTGTGGGCCTAGTGGTGACTGGTGCCCTCAAACCCAGCATGATTGGTCAGCTTTGCTCCAGTTAACATTACAACTGAAATAAAGTCTTTTGAATTGCACCATGAAGCTTTAAATGAAGCTCTTCTTGGGGACAATGTGGGCTTCAGTGTCAAGAATGTGTCTGTCAAAGATGTTTATCATGGCAATATGGCTTGTGACAGCGAAAATGACTCGCCAACGGAAGCAGCTGGCTTCCTGAACCATCCAGCCCAAATCAGTGCTGGCTCTCCACCTCTGTTGGATTGTCACACAGCTCACATTGCTTGCAGGTTTGCTGAGCTGAAGGTGGTTGATTTCCTTCTGGTTAGAAGCTGGAAGATGACCCCCATTGTGATTTTTATTGCTATGGTTTCTTTCTAATTTAGTCTTGAGGTCTCTCCCTTGAGAATGGTCATAAGCCAAGAGAGCCACTTTCTAGGAGAGTCCTGACCAGGGGGAAAGTTAAGTTTGAGTGTGTCAGCTTGGTGAGACACAATGAGGAAGTAAAAACAAAATAAATAGTGGAATAGAATACTAACAAGTACCTAGAAATAAGTCTAGCTAAAAATTTGCAAAATGTCTATGGAAAAAAAAACTATGGAAATTTACTGAGAAACTTTAAAGAGTACCTAAATAACTTTCAAGATATACCACGTACATGAATTGGAAAACATGATATTTGAAAATGTCGGTTATTCCCAAACTGATTTATAGATTCAGTGCAACCTGAATGAAAATCCCAAGACGTTCCTTTTGTAGAGCTCAACAAGCTGATTCTAAAATTAATATGAAAATGTAAAGGTTTATGAATAGCCAAGTCCTTCTTGAAGAGGAAGAATAAGATGAGAGTAATTGCTGTCTAATATATTGAGACTTATTTTAAAGCTATAATAATTAAAACAATGTAGCAGTTGGTATAGGGATAATCAAACAGGTAAATGAAATAGAATAGAAAATCCAAAACTAGTCTAACACATATAGAAACTTGATTTATGACAAAGGTGTCACAGAAGTAGAGTTTCAATAAAATGCTGGAAAATGTTGGTATCTATATAGATAAAACATTACATTGGATTCCTAACTCACACCATACACAAAAATCCATTCACATTGCATTACAAGTCTAAAAGTGAAATATAAAATCATAAACATTTTAGAAAGAAAATGTAAAAGAATATATCAATAACCACAGGGTAGGGAAAGAAAGAGAATTGACATCAAGATACAAAAAGCCCTAGCCAATAAGGTTTTTTTTTATAAATTCCACACATTAAAATTACAAACTTATGCTCATCAAAAGATAACATAAAAACAATGAAAAGATTAGCCACGGAATGGTAAATGTTTGCAATACATAACACAAAGGACACACAAAGGAAACTTATATAATAGATTTTAACAGGCTTCTCTGTGTCCTTCTTCTCCAGCAATCAAGGAATATATAAAAAAGCATATCAAGGATATATAGGGTACTCTTTTGATTCAACAAGAAAAAAGCAGATTATCCAAGAGAAAACTTGGCAGAAAAAAGCTTGGATAGGTGCTCCACAAAAGAGGACATCCAAATGACTGCTACTCATAAGAAAAGATGCTCAACCTCATAGAACATCCAAAAATGTAAAAACACAGTCAATACCAGATATTTGTAATAATTTGGAGCAAATGGAACTCTCATACATTGCTAATGAAAATGGAAAATGGTCCAGCTGCTTTGGAAAACAGTGTGGCAATACCTACCAAAGCCAAACACATGCATACCTAGTAATTCCGCCCAACAGAAATGCACATATATGTTCACCAAAAGATATGCACCAGAAGGTTATAGCAGGTCCATATGAAAGTGCCAAAGATTATAACAACTCAAATGTCCGTGATTAGGGTATATTCATATAATACTATACAACAATGGGAATGAACAAACTATAGCTACATATGATAATATAGATGAATCTCACAACCAGAATGCTAAGTGAAAGAAGAAACAAAAGAATATATGTAGTATGTTTTATTTACACACTTCAAAACAGGCAAAACTAAACTATATTTTTAAAGGATGTATACGTAACTGGTAAAATTATAAAGAAAAGCAAAGAAATGATTATCATAAAGATCAGAATGGTGGTTACCTTCAGTGGGAAGGGAGAAAGTATGATTGAAAAGGGACATCCAGTGAGTCTTGTGGGTTGTTGGCAATGTTACTGATCTGGGTGATGATTGCATTTATGTACCAAAGGCATTTGTGTTTTATGCACTTTATTGTATATGTTTTAGTTCACAATTTTTTTAGTTCACAATTTTAATAGGGCTTTAAAAAGTAAAAAGAAAAGAGATCCAAGGGCTTGACCATGGGACTCTCTTATATTTGGAGTATGTTTATAAACTTTACATTCATTCAACATTCGACAAATATTTTTTGAGCACCTACTTTGTGCCAAGCACCGTTACAGGTGCTGGGAATACAACAGGGAACAAAACAGACAAAACCCCAGCTTTCATGGAACTTACATGCTAATAAAGCTTGGCAAGAGTATTTCAAGGAAGATGAAGTGGTTAACTATGCAAAATGCTTCTCAGGCACCTAGGAAAATGAGGATGTGAGGCATTTCTACCCACTTGGTACATAAAATTATTGCTTTTCCTCTGCTTTTTTTCTCCAGGGCTCAGAGTGGCAGTGTCCCTCAGTTCAAGAAAGTTGTTTTCCAGGAATTTACTGATGGCTCCTTTACTCAGCCCTTATACCGTGGAGAACTAAATGAACATTTGGGACTCCTGGGGCCATATATAAGAGCAGAAGTTGAAGATAATATCATGGTGAGTTAAGGACAGTGGAATTACAAGAAAATTAATTTTATATATTTATTTTCTTGCTGACTATAATGTATTCCCACTTTTGGAAATTTTTAAAGTATAGAAAAATAATTCCATAATTATCTTTGTGTACGTTCTATTTTTCCTATGTATTTTTCTCCTTATGTATTCAAATTATACCATGCAGAATTCTGATTCTTGTTTTTTTACTAAATATCACATCATAAACATTTCTTACGTCATTAAAAACACTTCCTATGTATGTTTTTAAAATACTGCATAATAGTCTATTATATGAATTTATGGAACCATAGTTTATGTAACCATTTATTTTGAACAAGCTTTTAGACAGTTTCTTTTTTCACTATATAAATAACGCTGTAATCACAACAGTTTTTCTAAGATAAAATTCCAGAAGTGCAATGTATTTGAGCATCTTAAGAGTTTTTCTTATTAATTATTTGGTAATGTCCCTTGCACATTTGTCTTTCATGGAGGAAGTGCTTTTCTTATTGATTATGTTACCTTATATATTAGATAGTAAACCACTGAACATTTTAATGAGAGGTACTTTTTCAAGTTTTTGTTTTCTCTTAATTTTATAAATGATGGTTTTTGAAATAAAACAGGTTTTAATTTTTAGGTAGTAACCCATCAATCTTTACTTTTTGACACTTTCATTGCTTTTATGTTTATAAAAATTCCTGCCTATCCAGAGATTTTTTAAAAAACACCTATACTTTCCTCAGTTTTTCTCTTACAGTTTAATTTTTTACATTTAACTTTTTAATACTTCCTGTAGACTAAAAGTTATTTTGGTGCATTGTGTGAACCAAAGATCAAAGTAGTTTTATTTTTTTCTGAAAATATCTATTCGTTGTTTCAATTAATTGATGGTGTATATTAAGGATGTAGAAGGATCTAAAATTATGGAATTGTGGGCAATTTTTGCCTTACATTTTATTTTACTTTCCATTATATTCTATGATAAATATGTATAATTTTTAATCTGGAAAGTAAGCCTTTTTTAAAAGATAATATGCATTCATTCTAGAATTTGTCATGAAGAACCTTAACTTACATATCAACTCCTGGCGTTATGGTCTCTTATAACCCCTGCAGTAACATTTTCCCTTTTACTCTGGAATGGCTTTTATGTGTTTAGGAATTTTCTCCTTTGCAACTTTGAGTTCATACCTTAAATTTAGAATACAAAACCTCCTCAGGATTAGGTTTGAGTTCTAACAGCATCCATCTTCTGTACCACTTCTTCCAGGGTATTAAAAACTTTGATAAAGACCAAAAGACAGGTATTTCTTTTAGGGATGTAAACCCTAAGGACCTTAAGATCCTAGAAGATTATTCTTGCTTTTTTTTTTTTGTCGTTATTGTTCTACAGGTAACTTTCAGAAATCAGGCCTCTCGTCCCTATTCCTTCTATTCTAGCCTTATTTCTTATGAGGAAGATCAGAGGCAAGGAGCAGAACCTAGAAAAAACTTTGTCAAGCCTAATGAAACCAAAACTTACTTTTGGAAAGTGCAACATCATATGGCACCCACTAAAGATGAGTTTGACTGCAAAGCCTGGGCTTATTTCTCTGATGTTGACCTGGTAAGCAGGTGTCTATTGTGCTGACCACTTTTTGGTTTAAAAGAAATGGTCTTTGTGTACTAAGAATTTTGATATTTATCCTACGTGCAATAAGAAGCTTTAAATAGGAGAGTTGATCATTATATTTGTGTTTTAGAAATGTCATTCTGGAATCTACTGAAGAGGATGGATTATATTTTTGGAAGGTGGGAGGCAGGTTGGACTGGCATAAAAATTGATGAGAAATCCACTCTGGTTCATAGGTGAGAGAGCTTATACTCATAGGATTGATGTCTTCCCTCCCTAGGAAAAAGATGTGCACTCAGGCCTGATTGGACCCCTTCTGGTCTGCCACACTAACACACTGAACCCTGCTCATGGGAGACAAGTGACAGTACAGGAATTTGCTCTGTTTTTCACCATCTTTGATGAGACCAAAAGCTGGTACTTCACTGAAAATATGGAAAGAAACTGCAGGGCTCCCTGCAATATCCAGATGGAAGATCCCACTTTTAAAGAGAATTATCGCTTCCATGGTAATATATTCCACATCCAAACATTATCACTGTGAAATGCAGATTGCACTTTGACAAATGAGACTTGATCCAGGGACTTGAACATTGTATTTATTTAGAGTATATCTGTGGGAGTGGAATCCTCATAGATGTCAGTTTTTTTGGTGGAGTGGAGAGAAAGAAACTTATATAATAGATTTTAACAGGCTTCTCTGTGTCCTTCTCCAGCAATCAATGGCTACATAATGGATACACTACCTGGCTTAGTAATGGCTCAGGATCAAAGGATTCGATGGTATCTGCTCAGCATGGGCAGCAATGAAAACATCCATTCTATTCATTTCAGTGGACATGTGTTCACTGTACGAAAAAAAGAGGAGTATAAAATGGCACTGTACAATCTCTATCCAGGTATGAGCTTGTTTGTGCTCTTTCTTCTACCTACTCTATTTGTTGAGTACTTACTTTAAATGGTCTAGGCACTGGGAACACAATCAGTGATCAAAGCAGACAAGCTCCATGCTCTTAAGTAATACTTTTTCAAATGCTTTTTAAACCATTTGTTCAAAGCAAATGAACAAGATAATTTCAGATATAGAAAAATTGCTAAAAAGGAAATAGAACAGAATAAATGGATAATTAATGTCACAGTACTTTCCTAGGGAAAAGGAATTTATTCCTTTATCATTTACCATCTCAAATCCCATAGGGCACCAGTAGTCATCCAAAGAGTCATTTGTTTATGTATGTAACCAGTATATTGATTAAGCACTACTCATAATGTTGATCACAACACAATTTTATTTTGGTTCTTCACTGTCCCTTTAAAATAGATTTGGCCAGGTGCGATGGCTCACACTTGTAATCCCAGCACTTTGGGAGGCCAAGGTTGGAGGATTGCTTGAGGCCAGGAGTTCAAGACCAGCCTGGGTGACAAAGCAAGACCCCCATCTCTACAAAAAATAATTAGCCAGACATGTGGTATATACCTGTAGTCCCAGCTACTTCACCTACTTGGGTGGCTGAAGTGGAAGGATTGCTTGAGCCCAGGAGGTTGATGCTGCAGTGAGCTATGAAAGTGCCACTGCACTCAAACTTGGACAACAGAGCAAGACCCTGTCTCTAAAAAAAAAAAACCATCCAGTTTAATAGCGGGGGTAAACTTTCCTTATTTCTTCGTAAAAATTCTGATAAGCCCTGTAACTTTTCTGCTCACCCTTAAGTAATAAACAGGACTAAAGTCACTTTATGTCACAAATACAGTTCAAATCAGAAATTACAATGTCCATCCCAAGATATTAATCAAAATTGTAAACTTGATTTAACTTCAATCTCCCCTCCTCCAACTTGAGCCTGCATCAGGCTGGAAGTCTGCATTGGAAAAGGGAGACATGGTTGAGTCCTCTGTTTCTGTACCTTGTGATGATCGTGCTTCCCCACAACCCCTTTATAGCTGCTGTTTTGAACTCCAACATGGATAGGTTAAAGGTAAGGGGATAAGATAGTTCTTACCTATTTACAGCTGGCACCATTGTTGTAAACTAGCTTAACACTGTTTGTGCCTGGCAATACTTGTTGACTCTTTCTCCTGCAGGGCACTTTCAGGGAACTCTTTAGAGACTCCCTTACGTGACTGTCATGAAATCCCCTTGACATGATTTCTTCCACCTTTACTCTGGGTGGTCACTTGTGACTCATTTCTCAGCCCTCAGTGTTCACCTGCAGCTTCTTGTTGCTGGGGTAACTTTACCCTTGTAGGCAGCTCTAGTGGACTGGATCCAGAGGGAACTCACCCTGACTTATCTGTTTCACAGAGTCCACATCTGGCCAATGGGAAACACACCTTTTGCTCAGAAAGACCCTGGGAATGTAGGTCAATCATAATGCAGTAGCATTCTCCTGTCCCAACCATCAAAGAATTCAGTCACCCTGTTTCTCATCTCCTGGGGGGAGGGGAGTGGTCAGAACTCAATCTCCACAACCCCCAACTGTAAGGGTCACGTAGCAAGCACTTTGCATTTGAGGGGTCCAAAAGTAGTGGAACTACCAAATTTGGTAGGTCTACTCTGATATTTCGCATAAACCAATGTATCTCATGCTCATTTTTTAGTGAAAAGAAATAATTTCTGTTCCTGTTGGTTTTTATAAGGTGTTTTTGAGACAGTGGAAATGTTACCATCCAAAGCTGGAATTTGGCGGGTGGAATGCCTTATTGGCGAGCATCTACATGCTGGGATGAGCACACTTTTTCTGGTGTACAGCAATAGTGAGTAGCAATGTGGGCAGAGGTTCCCTACCTACTCAGCCTACTTCTTTACAGCTTTCTTCCTTTCTGGAATGGTTGCTTGTGTCAGGAAATAAATACAAGTTTACATCATTATCAAATTTAAAATGAATATTGCTGGTAGAAATCATCAGAGTTCTCAGAGTAGGGCAGATATACTTGAAGCTTTGAACACTTTGTACCTGAAGCTCTAAATAATTGACAAAAAAAAAATACCACCTCATTTTCACAACTTGGTAAAGCTCGAAGATCTCCAGTAGCAGATTTTGGAATTTAATGTTGATTTAGTTACCAGATAACTTAGAAATACTACTTGGAAGAGTTTGGAGATTTAACCCTAAACAAGTAAGAGAGCCACTGGTCTATTTATGTACGGACCCCAGTTTCTTCAGCTGTAAAATGTGAATCATTCTAGCACCTGTTAGGATTAATTAAATGAACTAATACAGTAAAACGTTGAGTACAGTTCTTGGCACATTTAAACACTAAAAAATAGCATTTGTTGACGTTCTCCCATTTTCATTGACTTACATTTGAGAAGCTGAATTTTGTGCACTTCTAGTTACTGTGTTCCACCCGTTTCATTTCAGAGTGTCAGACTCCCCTGGGAATGGCTTCTGGACACATTAGAGATTTTCAGATTACAGCTTCAGGACAATATGGTAAATACTATTATTTTTGCTCCAAGAACCTGGGCTGATTATATCTTTTTTTAATAATCTGGTGGAGAATCTCAGATAATGAATCCATCTCCATGCTTCTATTAGTTCTATTCCATAAGTGCCTCTCAAATACATCTCCTCCTCTCCACTTCCCACTGTGGCCATCTTAACTCAGGTCACCATCATTTCTTACCTGGGCAATGACACTGCCTCCTTAAATATCCTCCCTACCTTCAGTATTTCTTCCTTGAGTCAATTCTTTTCAGTGCAGCAGGAAGCTATACTTTCCTATGAGCAGTAATGGTAAAGTTTGACTAGGGTCTATAGAGAATTCTCAGAAATTGTTTTAGAGCACTACTGCCCACAGGCTAAATGCAGCACACTGCCTGTTTTTGTATGGCATGTGAGCTATGAACAGATTTTCCATTTTTAAATAATTGTCAAAAAGATGAAGACTATTTCATGACATGTGAAATTATAAAATTCAAATTTCAGCATCCGTAATAAAGCCTTATTTTGGAACACAGCCACGTCCATTAATTTACATATCATCTATGGCTACAGCAGCAGTAACATAGTTGCAACAGAGACCATATAATATGCAAAGCCTAAATGATTTACTATCTGGCCCTTTACAGAAAAAGTTTGCCAACCTATGTTGTTGTGAGGTAAAAAAAAATCCTCTTGAAAAGGAGGCGTGAGAGTTTTACACCAAAATAGTAACATTTTTCACTAGGTGGAAGGGTTACATTTTAAAATGTCTTTTATTTGTATTTTTACTAATTTTTACTTTTCATTTTCTGATTTTTCTACAATGAACATACATTGCGTAATAAATAATAGGCGGGGCACGTTGGCTCATGCCTCCCAGCACTTTGCAAGGCTGAGGCAAGCAGATCACCTGAGGTCAGGAGTTCAAGACCAGCCTGGCCAACATGGTGAAACTCCGTCTCTACTAAAAATACAAAAATTAGTCGGGCATGGTGGTACGCGATTGTAGTCCCAGCTACCTAGGAGACTGAGGCAGGAGAATTGCTTGAACTCAGGAGGTGGAGGTTGCAGTGAGCCAAGATCATGCCATTGCACTCCAGCCTGGGTGACAAAGCAAGACTCCATCTCAAAAAAAGAAAGAAAAGAAGAAATAATATTATTATTTGGTAGTGTTGGTAACAAATTGCAGTATCAGCTAGTTAGAGGTGCTAACAATTAACAAAATTATAAATTTTAGAAAATAAAATGGACAACAAGGATAAGCAATATCCTTAGATAGTAATTGATACTGGTATGCCATAAAGCCTTTATGTTTTTCTCTATTTTCACCACAGCTTAGATTAACCTTTCTCAAGACAATAATTTTATTCTCAAGTGTCTAGGACTAACCCAGCTGAATTTAATCTCTGTTTCTTTACTTGGGCAAAGGACAGTGGGCCCCAAAGCTGGCCAGACTTCATTATTCCGGATCAATCAATGCCTGGAGCACCAAGGAGCCCTTTTCTTGGATCAAGGTTAGAAAATGTAATCAATGATGGGAAATGTATCACATTCAATCAATTGCATTACTTATTCCTCTTGCAAGCTCAAAGGATTCTATGAATATGAGAAAACTAAAGAACAGAATGCCTTAATGATTTGTACAAAAGCAGTCATGAACAAAGAGATATGGGGATAGAATTGAGTATATTGATATGTCCTGTTTCTGTATTTTAGTCCTTCTACTGGGATTAGAACATCTGAATATTTTCTATAATATTGAACTCGTCATCTCTCAAGACAGTATATGTTATTATTAGATGCTTCCAACTGCCCACGTGTCCTTAAGTACTCCAATCCCCTTTATTTTAACATAAAACAAATGGTTCACAAATGCAAACCACATGTGTACTTTTACATTTTCTGTAGCCACGTTTTCAAAAATGTGAAATTCACTTTAATAATACATTTTATTTAACTCAACATATCTGAAAATACTATCATTTCAACATATGATCAATGAGGCCCCTTCAAAGACAGACAGATGGAAACTCTTGGGTCTCTTCCATGCCTCACAAAAGCTGAGGGCAGCTTGGAAGTGCCTGCTCAGCCTCTCCACCTAAACATAAGGCTAGATGCCTTCTAGAAGCCCAAACAGGAAATGGAGAAAACATTTTGGTTTCCATCTTTGCAAATAGCATGTCTATTAATGCCACAGCATTGTTTTGTAGACACTGCCAATTTTGACTCAATCTGAGCTGCTGTTCACTAATCCCTAAGTATTTTTTGTTGGTTTGTGCTTCTGCCAAACAACATGTTATGTTCTTCACCTTGTATTTCTATGGTTATTTTCAACCTTAAGTGTATCCCTATATAGAGAACATGTTTATCTATTTGGCCACCCTGTGTCTGTCTGTGCTATTTAATTTTTTGTAATAACATTCTTATTTGGGAGGGCGGAATTATATCTTCCTCACTAGATACAACCTGATAAGACTAGTAAATAGAGTGTCCTGTCTGTGCCTAGCCAATGAACCCTGAATGATATACTCTGTTGTTTCCACTTACTAGATTTGGCCCATTGTTTCAGCTTGCCGATCTTCAGTGTCCCAAAGTATTTCCTAGTTTTTCCAGTTACTGATTTGATCAGTAAACTTTCTAATACTGCAGCAAAGTCATGATCAAAATATTGAAGTAGACAAGACTTCCTTAGTATGTGCACAATACAAATCAAGCTGTTAAGTCCTTACTACAACCTTGTGAGGTAGATGTTACTATCATCTTCATTTCAGATAATGAAATTGAAGCATAGAGAGGTTATTGTGGCCCAAGTCACATGGCTAATAAGTGACTGAGCCAAAATTCAAATTCTGATAGTTGGGCTCCAGAACCCTAACTGGTAATCGTTGTACTACACTGTTTCCGGAATGCTCCCTTTAAGTTGATAACCATCTATTAACTGTCACTGTTCACTTGTGGTAATTAAACCAGTTACAAATCCACCTAGTTATGTTATCATCTACCACTATTGAATCGCCTTATCTTCAAGGTGGTTTTGCCATCTGTCCTACTAAGGTCCAGCTAGACTTTTTATAGATCTCGTAACTTTATAAAATAAACCATGGAGATGGAGTTGAAAGGGGGTGCTGACAAGGAAGGGAGTTGGAGAAGGCATCTATTCTCGTGAGAAGGCCTGAAGAGTGCACAACAGCCTGGCCCCAAGACACAAGAGCACTGGGCTGGCTTGAGGAGCACCAGGTGACCAAGACCAGGCAATGCACAGGGGGAAGTCAGCAGGCCCCATGGAGATACGCAGCTGCAGTGTTTGTACTTTTATACAGTGAAACTCATTACCACCTTGCTTACTTCCTAGTAGAGAGATGTGTCTTGTAGTTACACTGAAACACCTGGCTGGGCACATAGGTGAAGCTGTTGAGTCTGTAATTGTCAAACTGCTCCCAGGTGCCAATTATAATGTAGAAGAGGCACAAGAAGATGAAGTGGATAAGCCTGGCAGTTTGTCAAGCATTCATCAGTTGTCAAGCATTTGTCAGTTGCAGAATGTAGGTAGGCTGCCAAGGCTTTATTGTAGCCTGGTTCTATTGCAGCTTTATTCTAGCAAGGCTGCTGGAAAATACAATAATCACTGGTCCAAGAAAGAACTCTTATACTCTATCTATATGAAGAAACAGTAAAAGTCAATTCAGTAGAAATCATGATTTTTGTGCCTGGTGCTTTCACTTTTTTATGCCACAATACCAAGAGGTTAAAATGAAGTGTCTTTGATTGGGAATACCATCTATCTGGGAAAAGACAGGGCTGCAACTTCTGAAGACCTTGACACTCTGTCCTGTTACCCTGCTTCATTTTTCTCCTGCGCTTATCACTACTTGATGCTATAAACAAATAAAAACATATATGATATAAGGTCTATTTCTCCTACTCAACTGTAAGTTCCATGAGGGCAGGGCTTTCTTTCTTGTTTACTACTCTATTCCCTGTATCTAAAACAGTGCTTGGCACATAGCAAGTGCTAAAAAATATTCTTTGAATGAGTGTATGAATGGAACTTACAGTCAGCTGAAGGAGACAGTTATTAAGCATAAGAGTGATGACCAGTCCAATTGTGTGTGTCAGGCATGTGTGAAAACGTGCTAAATTTGACTTGCTTATTAGGACAGTAACTGATACTTCTAATGTTCTTGCAGCCCATGACCTCTTCTTTAAGAAGTGTCCATTCTGTACTACTTTCCCATTATTCACTCATTCATTCCAAAGCATTTGCTATACAGCAGTATTATACCAGATACCATATTAGGTGCTGGGGCTAGAGAGAATATAAAAGCTAACATTGATTGAGTGTTTAGTATGCGCCAGGCCCTGAACTCAGCACATTACATGTATTAACTCTTTAACCCCTATGGCAGCCCTTTGAGATAAAAACTAATATTATCTTCACTTTACAGATAAGTTGAGACACAGAAAGTTAGGTGACTCAAATGGGTTCACTGCCTTAAGGATCTCAGTCTAATAAGGAAAGCAGAAAAGCAAAGCAACCTTATAATATGGTGCAATAATTTGCTATAATGAAGTTATATACAAAGTGAAGTAGAAGCATAGAAGAAGCAGCACTAAATTTGTCTGGGTGAGTCAGAGAAGGCTAACCAGGAAAAATAGTTTCTGAACTAACACTTGAAGGAGGTGTAGCAGTTCATCACTGACAGTGATGTTGGGGTGGGTCTGGTTTCAGGAGAGGGGAGGAAATTGGCTTTGGTCTGAGGCTGAGGTGTGGGCAAAGCATTAGCTTATGTGGGTCCATTAGCTTATGTGAGTCCACAAAAGGTGTGTGTGTGTTTGTGTGTATGTGTGTGTGTGTGTGTGTGTGTGTGTGTGTACGAAATGGGGGCTCAATGATTTGGTAGTGGTTTGGTTTGTCAAGAAGCAGGCTGGGAACTCAATAAGCATCTTTCCATTCATTTCTACTGTGTATCCCACAGCTTCACACACACATGCACATTTCAACATTGGTGACTGCTTCACTTGCACACCTAAGGTAATGATGGACACACCTGTAGCAATGTAGATTCTTCCTAAGCTAATAATTAGTTTCAGGAGGTAGCACATACATTTAAAAATAGGTTAAAATAAAGTGTTATTTTAATTGGTAGGTGGATCTGTTGGCACCAATGATTATTCACGGCATCAAGACCCAGGGTGCCCGTCAGAAGTTCTCCAGCCTCTACATCTCTCAGTTTATCATCATGTATAGTCTTGATGGGAAGAAGTGGCAGACTTATCGAGGAAATTCCACTGGAACCTTAATGGTATGTAATTAGTCATTTAAAGGGAATGCCTGAATACTTTAAAGAATTTTGGCAGATTTCAGATATTGGACAAACACTCTTAGCTTCCACAAACTTAATTCCAAAAAATAATTTTTCACTTATGAGCAATAGAGTTATTACGGACATATCAGCAAAAATGTAGTAGTGTCAAGGCTCATAGATGATAGAAATGAAGAGATGCTGTATTGATAGAAATATGTGATTCAGGACTGTGTGGATTGATGATTGTGAGCTTGCTTATGGATATCCTAGGTTTGAGGTTATAGTAGGACAATCAGGTTGAAATGTCCAGCAGGCAGTAGGTGAAAGACAAGTTTAGGGGGCAAAACCATGGATGGAGATGAAGATTCATGACTTCCACATAAAAGGATGGGTGAAACTTTGGGAATTGATGAATTCTCTAGAGGTGAGCTCAAGACCCTTAAAGGCTTAAAACCTCAGCGTTATTGTCTACTCTTCCCTCATTTTTATGCCCACAAATCTGGTCAATCCTTTATTTGCAATGCCTCTCACATCTCTTTCTTCTGTTTCCATTTATACCGCTGTTGCCACAGCCCAGGGTCCCATCACCTCACACTTGATCTATTGTATTACATTCCTAACTAGTCTTCCCCCGTTTCTAATCTGTTCTCCGATAAAAGCTGCACATCATTTTCAGGATAATCATCAGTCGCCTGCCTAAAACTTTTCAATGTCTTCCCATTGTCTTTAGAATAAAGTTCAAAGTCTTCAAATGACCCCAAGCAAGATAACTTTTGTTTGCCCCTTTAGATCCATTTTCCTGCTTCTCTACCCTGCTTCTTGTTCTGTGAGGTGAGCTTGTATAGAATACATCAACAGGTTACCTTGTCCTCCAGCTTTTGGTTGGATTTCACCAACAGGGAGCACTGGCAAAAGATTGGCATATTTATTCTTCTGACTTTCTCCTTGCAGAGGAGTTCACTGTATCTCCCCACTTAAGGTCACTGTTTCCCTCAGAGTGGCTTTTTCTACCTGTACTAGCTACTATTGCTGTGTACCAAGCCACTTCAAAACTTGCTGTCATAACAATAACCATTATGTTTTGCTCACAGATTCTGTAGATCAAGACTGGGACACAGTGGGGATGGGTGGTTTCTGGAGCCTCAGTTAGGATTATTTAACAGCTGGGTGCTGGAATCATCTGGAAGTTCCTTCTCTTGCTTTTCTGGTGGTTGGTACTGACTGTCAGCTAGGACAGAATCTGGGGTTGTTGACTGATGTAACTTTACATGGATTATCCCTGAGGCCTGGCCTTCCTTACAGCATGTTTCAAGGTAGTTGGACTTCTTTTTGAGGGGGGGTAGGAAGGTGGGGGGAGGACAGAGTCTCACTCTGTTGCCCAGGCTGGAGTGCACTGGTGTGATCTCGGCTCACTGCAACCTCTGCCTCCCGGGCTCAAGTGATTCTCCTGCCTCAGCCTGCTGAGTAGCTGGGACTACGGGCTCATGCCACCACACCCAGCTAATTTTTGTATTTTTAGTAGAGACAGGGTTTTGCCATGTTGACCAGGCTGGTCTTGAACTCCTGACCTCAGGTGATCCGCCCACCTCAGCCTCCCAAAGTGCTGGGATTACAGGCACCCGGCCTGTAGTTGGACTTCTTACACGTCATTTTAGGGCCTCCAAGTGTGAGTGTTACAGTTAACAAGGTGAAGACTACATAACCTTTTCTGACCGAGTCTTCTAAGTTATGTAGCATCACTTTTGTTGACAAAAAGTGTTGAACTCTATAAAATATTTGAAGAGATTTATTCTGAGCCAAATATGAGTGAGTATGGCCCATGACACAGCCCTCAGGAGGTCCTGAGAACATGTGCCCAAGATGGTCAGGGCACAGCTTGGTTTTATACATTTTAGAGAGGCTTGAGACATCAATCAAATACATTTAAGAAATACACTGATTTGGTCCAGAAAGGCGGGACAACTCAACCTGGGGGCTTCCGGGCTATAGGTGAATTTAAACATTTTCTGGTTGACAATTGGTTGAGTTTGTCTGAAGACCTGGGATTGATAGAAAGGGAATGTTCAGGTTAAGATAAACATTGTGGAGACCAAAGTTCTTTTGAAGTCTTATAGTGGCTCCCCTTAGAGACAATAGATGACAAATGTTTTGTATTCAGATCTTAGTTAATCTCTTTAGGATTGGGAGGGGCTGGGAGAAAAAGATCTAGCTATGTTAATAGAGATTCTTTACAGTTGCAAATTTCCCTCCACAAAGAACAGCTTTGCAGGGCCATTTCAAAATATGGCAAAAAAACATGTTTTGGGGTAAAATATTTTGATTTTCTTCCTTGTCTCATAATGTTATGCCAGAGTAAGGTTGGAAAGTAAATCATGACATATAAGGTTAAATAAAACCCATCTGATGAGAATTTATGATTTGTAGGGCATGACTCCCCAGACCCCTTAGATAGGAATTTGGGCAAGATAAAAAAAAATCAGAGTTTAGTCCTCACTTTCAATACATTCTATTGGTTATAAGCAAATCGCATATCCACCCAGATTCAAGGGGAAGAGACATAGACCCTAATTTTTAATGGGAGAAATGTTAAATAATTGGTGGTCATTTTTTAAAGCCACTACAATAATCTATCCAATTCTCTCTTTCAGGATGTTTCTCTCTTCTGATCCTTTCAGGTTTAGGGATTGTCAACAAACAAAAAGTTAAACCCTGTAAAATACTTGAAGAGATTTATTATGAGCCAAATATGAGAGACCAATGGCCTGTGACACAGCCCTCAGGAGATCCTGAGAACATGTGCTCAAGGTGGTCTGGCTACAACTTGGTTTTACGCATTTTAGGGAGACATAAGACCGAAATCAATAGATGGAAGATGTACATTCATTGAGTTTGGAAAGGCAGGACAACTGGAAGCGAGGCGGGGCTTCCAGGTCGTAGGTAGATTCAAAGATTTTCTGATTGGCAATTGGTTGAAAGAGTTAAGTTATTGTGTAAAGACTTAGAATCAATAGAGAGGAACATCGGGGTTAAGATAAGGGGTTGTGAAGACCAAGGTTCTGTCATGCAGATGAAGCCTCCAGGTAGCAGGCTTCAGAGAGAATAGATTGTAAATGTTTCTTATCAGACTTAAAGAGTCTGTTCTATCAGTCTGAAGGTCTGTGTTGATGTTAATGCTGGTCAGATTTTTCTGAATTCCAAAAGGGAGGCGGGTATAATAAGGCATATTTGATCCCCACTTTCCCATCATGGCCTGAACGTTTTTCAGGTTAACTTTGGAAGGCCCTTTGCCGAAAGGAGGGGGGATTAGAATTTTATTTTGGGTTTACAGGATGGTAATACTCTGTTCCCACCCTCCTAACTAGTATCTTTATTAAACCTTCCACAAATTATCCTAATTTCCATGTTTTCTGTTCCTTGCTGGATCCCTTGTTTCATACAGTAATTGGTGCTAGAAGAAACCCCAGGAAACAGATTTTCAAAATGCAATTCTAAGGTTATGTTGCTAATATATTCAAGAAACACAGAGATAACATATTTGCCAAGGAAGAAAATGAGCAGTTAGGGAATCCATGACATGTGTTAGTATTATAGTTTCTCAGATTATCACCAGTGATACTATGGGATGAGTTGCAGATGGCAAGTAAGACACTGGGGAGATTAAATGACAGTGGCATTTAGTCACTGTGGCAACAAACGTAGCATTACCTGATTGTAGAGTGGTCTGTCTTCTTACAGCCCTAGAGGGCATACACATGGAAAAAGAAATGAAATGTTATGAATATATACAAAATAAGAACACTGATGAACATACATGGAAAATCAGGATGCATGCATAGAGCTTTTGAGGAATACTCCGTATCCTGTGGTTGTAGGCAGATACGACTTAGGGGCTGAGCATAAGTTGCAGAGCTGCAGTGACAATTAAATGCTTAACTCCACCAGATCTATTATGCTGTGGTAAGAGTACCGGTGGGAAGGAGTGAAACTCTGAGGCCTGAGATGGAGGCATTTAGGCAGACATGGATGAGGCTGAGAATTGCAAACCTCCAAATTCCCCTGAACCTCCTTTGCCTGAGGAGGCAACCACTCCCCAGTCTCTGAAGCAGTCATCCCTCTTTTGTGTAAAAGCCTTTCAGTGGCTATAACTGAGATAGGTGCCTCACAAACCAGTGACTATTCTCCTTAGAGACCCTGTTTGGACACTACGAAAGCCAGGCGAGTCACAGAAAATGACAGCAGATCACAAATTTAATCAGGTGGTGATGCCAAAAAACAATTGCAATTCCAGATATCATATCTCTGTTGAAGCAAATTTACACAGCCCCAGGCACCTGATATGGAAGTATTGACCTAGAGAATGTTTTTTCTTCATTTCCATACATTAGTAAAATCAGAATACATTTGAATTTACCAAGTAGGAACAAGAGTATTAAGTTTACTGCCCATGCATCAGGGCAATGTTAGCTCTCTTGTTTTCTATCATAATATAGACTCAAGGGACCTCAAACATCTTTACATCCCACAAGCACAATGCCTGTCCATTACACTGATGACATTATGCTGACAGGATCTGGTAAACACATAACAAATAAGCCTGTCTTGCTCTTGACTTTAATGAGAATGTAACCTGTGTTTCACTGTTTAATATAATGTTCACTGTTAGTTTCAAATACTTTTTATGATGTTTAAAAAGTTTTCTCCTATCCCTATTTTATTTGCAATGGCAACTGAATTTTATCAAATGCTTTTCCAGCATCTTTGACATGGTCACATTTCTCTTTTGTGTTGTCAAATTATACTTAACATTCAATAGTGTGCTGACAAGAAATTAACAACCCACAGGGGAGCAAAGTGAGAAGAGGTTAAGAAGTAAAGGCCTTGATTTATAGCATTGGCAGATTTCCCTGACATAAATACTACTCCCATCATGCCTGGCCCCAGGGATGGGAAGAGATGCTTACTTACAATTGGCTCTCACAGACCAGTGCAAGAGCACTACTGTGCTCCATTTCTGGGAAAACTTTCGTCAGTCATAGTGTGTTAGTTATTTAAAACTTAGCTGGATCCAATTTGCCAACATTTCATTTATAATTTCTATATCTATATTCATGAATGAAATGGGTTTAGCTTTTTCAGTAGCTCTACTTACCAGGTTTTGGCATGAGGGTTATATTAAACTTGAAAATAAAGTGGGAAAGCTTCCATTTTTTTCCATGAAGACTATTGCTCTAGAATAGCTTATTTAATGTAGGAATCCAGTATTTAATGAGAGTAAATGAAAAAGCCATATGAGCCATGTGCTTTATTTAGTGAGAGATACTAGGCTATATTTTCCAATCGTTATATGATTATTGCTATTCTCATTTGTGTTGCCTTGAGTTAATGTCTGCAAATGTGCACATTAGAGTCATATATCCCTTCCTGTGCCATACATCTATATCTGTATACACACATATGTCTTTTCTCCTTTTTTCCCTTCTGTATCAAGAGTTGGCAAGTGTTTGTCTATTCTATTAATTTTTCAAAGAATCAGCTCAGTTTTAAACCCAAACGTGGTTTTGAAAGAGCTGTTTCTAGTTCATCAATCTCTGTTCAAAACTTTAAAAATTCTATTTTCCTTTCTTTTGGTTTGTTTCCTACAATCTGGAGGTGAATGCTTAGTTCACTTATTCTTCAATCTTTGTATTTTAACGATAAGGATAAATTACTTACAGTTATTAACTACTCTCATGAGGTTCATTCCTTGAACAGTCACTGAGCAACTACTATGTCCTGGGTTCTAATTCAGGGGTGGGCAAACTATAGCCCCAGAATTTGGCCCATAGCCTGCTTTTGTACGGACTGTGAGTTAAGAATAGTTTTTACACGTTGAAAGGATTGCAAAGACAAACATACAAAGAAACAAAGAAGACTGTGCAACAGAGACCACCTGTGGTCTGTAAAGACTAACACATTTCTATCCCGCCCTTGACAGAAAGAGTCTGTGGGCTGCTGGTCTCCTCTAACGGTGGTAGAGATGCCTGCACGGTTAACATTAATCCTTGGCACCAGAATCCTCAGCACCTAGGAACCAGATCTTGCCTAACACGCTAATTTCAGTCTTGACCACCTTCCTCCGGCGTAGCGGTTCTCAAACGTCTTTGTCTTTGTACTATTCACGTATAAAATATTCTTTCATAAGCAACATTTATCCTTTTGGGAATACCTCACAATGGGGAGAAGGGGAACCCCAACAGCCTTTAAGGGTTCACTGCTTCGCTGCCACCATTTCCGACGGTTTACACTGTTTTAAGTGTGAATTTGGAATTGTTTTCAAGTTAAAAAGCAAACTAATCATGTCCTCTGAAAGTATTTGCTTTTGGCATGCTAGAAATCAGTGTTGACTTTTGATACTGATGTGATACATTACGAGGGAATTCTCAAAACTGCTGAAATCTGGCCTCGGCCCAGTTATCACTGCTCTTAAGCTTCTGAGGGAGATACATGAATGAGCCCACGGCAAATGGAAAACGAGGAGTTTTAGTGTTTCCTAGAATTATGCTCAGATACCCACTACCTGACCGTCTGGTTATCCTTCCCCTCACCTCCCTGACGCAAGGAGTTTGGACCAGAGGCCTAAGGAGGCTTCTCCTGAAGCCCAAATCCCAAACTGGTCACCAGTCATGCTCCGTAACTCCTGAACCTGACAAGAAGCCAGCCGGCCAGGTCTGCAGCCCGGGTTAAGAGGAGCATACCAGGAAAGAGCCAAAGAGCAAAGGAGCATGAGCCCTTCAACCGCTTTTACAATAATTTGGGCTAGGCGTTCAGGGCTCCGTAGGACCCTTCCTGGCAGCCAAGTGAGAGAAAGAGGAATGATGGTGGAATGGGCCTCTCCTGTGCTTCCCATTACTTCCACACTGTCGAAATAGAAATAGAAGCAGAAAAGAACACCCTACAAGTCCCACCCATTTGGAGGCACTCAACTCACAGTGACAACCCTCCACACCTCTCCCCTGCAAAAAGACGCAAAACAAAAACACCTACTCCAAACTGTGTCCTTACATCTCAGCCCCGAAGATCAGGATTGTGTGCAACTTCGGCCCAAAGGATGCATTTCCCCAGGGTTGAAAGTTTGAGAAAGAGGCTATATTCTGAAGAGTTCTTGTTGTCACCATCAAAAGGATTAAAAAGACGCAATAAATAAGAAAACAGCGTAGTTGGGGGGCATGCTCCATTTGAGCCAGAAAGCCTTGGAAACTTAAGTGTTCTCAAACGGAACGCCATCCTGCTTTGGGGGAACACGGAGGCTGCCTTGCAGTCACGTGATCGCACAACACCAAAGGGCCACGCACTCTGATTTCACCTACTTAACTAAAAGTTGCAGCAAAATCCCTATTACAGGCCAGGCGTGGTGGCTCATGCCTGTAATCCCAGCACTTTGGGAGGCCGAGGAGGGTGGATCATTTGAGGTCAGGAGTTGGAGACCAGCTTGGCCAACATGGTGAGACCCCATCTCTATTAAAAATACAAAAATTAGCCCAGCGTGGTGGTGCACGCCTGTAATCCCAGGCACCCTGGAGGTTGAGGTAGGAGAATCGCTTGAACCCAGGAGGCGGAGGTTGCAGTGAGCCGAGATCACGCCACTGCGCTCCTGCCTGGGCGACAGAGTGAGACTCCATCTCGGGGGGAAAAAAAAAAAAAAAAAAAAAAAAAATCCCTATTACAAATAAAAGCTGTTGTGATCCAGACTGCATATACCTCTGCGAATGGAACCAGAACCGTGAATTCCAATGCAAATCGATGCATCGGCACCAGACCCGCTGCACTGGATGTATCTGCATTGCAGTCACCCGAGTACGGAGCACATCATAGATGATCTCTGCAGGTTCGTTGCCCACATAGGAGGCATAGCGCAAATTTCAAAGGAACGAATACATCCTGGAGCCCAAACAGCTATCTGGTTCTGCTGCTGGCCTCCTGACAAGTAGGTAAGAGAGTCACATTTTATAGACGACGGACACCAAAACCACACATGAGGAGTACAAGAGTAGCTTTATCATGGATTTAGGGCTGTGGTTACAAGGAAGCTGTAAGGAATAAAATGACTCCCATGAAGACGTACCGTGCGGACGAGTGGAAGGAGAAATTTGGCCATTACAAAGACACAGGAATATGTTAAGAAGTGAGGGGCAGGATGAAATCATCTAGGGTAGGTATTTAGAGGGAGGGCGCCGTGCAAAATAAAATCCTCACTATGAAACAAAGGCGGAGGCAGGAGGCTGCGTTAGGTGGAAGCAGCGGAGGAAGGAGACGAAAGGGATTGTCATTTTCATGTCGTGGCTTTTTAGAAGACAGCCATGTCCTCTACTCTGATTCTATCAAAATGTGTTCTCGGGGTGCTGGTAACGTTCAGCCAACGAAATAATTCCTATGGCGGCAGTAGGAATAACAAAACGCAGAAGCGGGAACGATGTCTTTTTATTCCTCCCCAGACGCAAACGTGGATGCATGAGGTTTGGTAACAGGCAAAGTCATCTGGTTAACGTGACTGATGCAAAAAGTCCAGGCCTGGGCAAAAAGAAGTCACTGGGTGAATGGGATGGATCAGACTCCCTGTCCTGAGGGGGAGATGGTTTCTTGCAGAACGAGGTGAAGGAGGTGGTTCTGCTCAGCAGTCAACAGTGGCCACATCTCCACCTGCAGCGACTTGATGGCTTCCGTGTCCTTTTCGTGGGTAGCCATGACCAAAGACTGGAGCAGCAGAAAGAGCTCCTCGGGAAGCTGGCCGCTGCTCTCCTGCCCGTGGCTGTCAAAAGCCTCCCAGGAGTACTTCTCCAGGGTCTGGGCGTGCTCCGGCAGCAGCTTGGCGGGCGGTGGTTGCAGGAGGAGCAGCAGCAGCACGCGGGACACCTCGCAGCGGACCAGCACGTCCGAGAAGGCGCCCAGGGCGGCGGGAGAGGGCGCCGCCGAGCCGGAGTTCGGAGGAAGCAGCGCGGCCGGTAGGGCGGGCGTCGCCCCGGGCCCGGGCTGGGGTGCCGGCGGCGGGGGCGGCGGCAGTGACTGCACCGGGTGGCTGCCGTGCTCCCGCGCCAGGCGCTGCATGCGCGTGAAGACCGCCAGGGCGCCGGTGTAGTCGCGCGCCAGCAGCTGGCAGGAGGCGGCCTCGCCAAGCGCCTGCAGCGCGGCCAGGGGCAGCTGGGGCAGCTGGAGCTGGGCGGCGCGCTGGAAGTGACCGGCGGCGGCGGCCGGCTGGCCCAGGTCGCGCAGGGCGGCGGCCAGCTCGAGGCAGAGGGCGGCGGCGGCGGCCGGCTGGCCCAGCTCGAGGTGCAGACGCACCGCGGCGCCCAGGGCGCTGGCGGCGGCCTGCAGCGGCTCCCCGTAGGCGGCGGGGCAGACCAGGCGCTGGCGCGCGTCGCGCTCCTGCCGCAGGAAGAGGCGGGCGGCCTCGGTGAGGGCCAGCGCCTCCCCGGGCCCGTGGAAGAGCGCCTGCTGGCAGCGCGCCACCGCCAGCTGGCACCAGGCCGCGTAGGGCAGACACTCCTGGGCGCGCAGCTCCCGGCCCAGCTGTCCGAACTGCTCGCCGGCCTCCGCCACGTTCGGCTTCCGCAGGAACCGCTTCTTCAGCTTGTTCGATACCAGCCGGTAGCGGGCCAGGAAGTCCCCGGCCTCGGGTCCCGGGCCGGCGCCGCCGCCGCCCAGGCCTGCAGCCGCTGCCGCCATGCTCGCCGCCCCAAGCACTTCCCGACGCGCCGCCGCAGCTGGCGGGCGGGCCGGGGCGGGGCGACGTGCCCTGCGTCCCCCTCGGCGGGCTGCCGCCGTGCCCGCGCCGGCTCCCCAGCCCGAGCCTGCCCCTTGCCCTGATGAGGTGCAAAGAGCGGGATCGGAGGCGGGGCCTGGCCGGGCTGTGAGCGGCGTATGCAAATCGAGGGTCTCGGGGATGCGGATCCAAGACCCTGGGAAGGTACGCGGGGCCTGGCGGGGCACCAGCTGCTGCTAGCTCGGCTGCAATGCAAGTGGTCTAGGTTGCTAAAGGCATCCCACAGCCTCTCCATCTGAACATGACCCAAACGAAACTCGTGACCCTAATTCCATGTCTGCGCATTTCTAGACTGTTGTCCCCCCCCCCCCCCGCCCCGACTACTCAGTCCTCCGTCTTCCGGTCCAGGGCCCCTTGCCAAGCACCGGGTCCACCTCTCCGTCCCCACCCCGGTTGCCTTAGAAGTCCGTCCTGTCGCAACACTGCAGTCATGGTCTTGAGGCCCACCCGCCCCAACGAACACCATCATGCTGAGGACTTTCCCGGGCAGGCCCTGACTTGCTCAGAACCAGCGGGGGTGTCCCCTTCCCACCCAGGGCCACTCCCCTGCACTGTCACCCGGAGAGACTGCTCCTCTGTGCCATCCCTGGCTCCCACCCAACCCCAGACCCCCACCACCTCTCCATCCCTCCAGCTGTGGAGGTCTCACAACCCCCCAACCCATCTCACCGCCCCCCCACCCCCACCCCAAGGCAAAGTGACTGAAGCGGGCAGATGGCTTCCTTGAAACATTTTATTGACAGAATTAATGAAGGCCCAAGACTTTGGGGCCTGGGTTGTGGGGGGAGGGTGTTTAAGGCCGGGGGTTCAGGCCGGGGGATTTGGGGCCGGGTGGGTGGACGAGTGGACCTGTCAGGTCCCAGGGGCCGGGTGTCAGAAGCTAGTCCTCGCCAGGGGCCACTTGAGAGATGGTGGTCGTGTTGAAAAGGGTGCTCAGTAGCCTGTCGTTGTGAACCACCATGTCCAGCAGCAGGGGAGTGATGTTCCGCTCTCCGCTGTTCTGGGCCTCGTTGCCCGCCAGCTCCGGGACCTTGGCCGTCAGGTACTCAATAACCGCAGCGAGGTAGACCGGCGCCGTGCGACTCAGGCGCTGAGCGTAGTGGCCCTCCCGTAGACTGCGCTCCACCTGGCTCACTGAAAACGAAAGCTCCGCTCGGACGGTGCGAGAGCAGGTCCGCCCCCGGCCGCCAGCACCGGAGGACCCTCGGCGTCTCCTCCTCCTCGGCATGCTGGGCGTTGAGTGTGCTATCTCGGCTTGGCCCAGCTAGGCAAGATGGCTCTCAAGAGGACAGTTACCGCGTCCAGTACTGTGTATCCTAGCGACCAGGGCCCAGCCCCTCATTGGCTAGGGAGCCGAGACCAATGGGCACGCACATCCGGCGACGGGCACGCATGTGGTGACGGCCCCTCACAAGGGACACACGTCCGTCAGGTGACCTCATCACTTTCCCATTGGCCTCGAGGGAGCAGGCCTGGGCCTAGAAGTGGCTGGAGGGCCGTGGGGGTGGGGTGGGGCGGGGCAGGGGGAATCGCGCTGGTGACCCTCTCTTTGCCAGTGGGAACTTTCCCTTTCTACTGGATGGGAACACCGTGGGAAAGACAAAGGGGTGGGCGAGGGGAGGACGGGTACCACGCCTTCACAATGTTGCACATCCATCACGACCACCTAGTTCCAAAACGTTTTCAACACCCCGAAAAGAAACCGAAACCCCTGTACCTATAAGCAGTCACTTGCCGCACGCCTCCTTCCACACCACCACTACCAGCCCCCACACCCTCCCACACACACCCCCTGCCCCCGCCCATACACACGTTCCCGATAGTCCCTGGCAACCCCTAGTCCATCTGCTTTCTGTCCATAGAGGTTAGCCTGTTCTGGAGATTTCCTATAGATGGAATTATACGACCAAATGTGAGGCCGTGTGTGTCTGGCTGCTTTCACTTAGCGTAATGGTTTCATCAGGGTGCATCCATGTAGAGGCATGAATCACTACTTCCTTCCTTTGAATGACTGAGTACGATTCTGTTGTATGAATAGGAGGCCACATTTTGTTTACCCACTCGTCAGTTGATGGACAGGTTATTTCCCCCTTCTGGCTATTGTGAGTGGCACTGCCATGACCATCTCTCTACAGGTTTTTCTTTGAATATCTCTTTTCAGTTCTTTTGGGTCTATTTCTAGCAGTCAAACTGCTGGCTCGTGTGGTAATTCTGTTTAACTTATTGAGGAACCACCAAACTGATTTCCACAGCAGCTGTAATCTTTCGCATTCCCAACAGTAGTGCATGAGAGTCCCAATTTCTTCACAGCCTCATCAAAACCTGTTTTCTGTTTGCCTCATTTTGTTTTGTTTACAGTAGCCATCCTACTGGGTGTCAAGTGCTATCTCATGGTGGTTTTCATTCGTATTTCCCAAATGGCTAATGATGTTGCTGTGGTTTGAGTGCATCCCCCAAATTGTGTGTCTTGGAAACTTAATCCCCAAATTCACATGTTGATTGGAGGCGCAGCCTCTGAGACGGTAATTAGGATTAGATAAGGTCATCGGGGTGAGACCCCCAGGATGCGACTGGTGGCTTTATAAGAATAGGAAGAGAGGCCTGAAACGACATACACGCTCTTGCCCTCTCGCCGTGTGATACCCTCTGCCGTCCCCAGATGCCGGGTCACTTCCCAGTCCCCAGAACGGTAAGAAATAAATTTCTTTTCTTTATAAATTGTTCAGTGTCGGGTATTCAATTATGGCAACAGAAAACAGACTAAGACATCTTTTCATGTGCTTCTTGGCCCTCTGTACCTCTGCTTTGGAGGAATGTCTATTCAAGCCCTTTGCCCATTTTTTAATTCGGTTGATTGTATTTTGGCTGTGGGCTTCTAAAACTTATTCATATATTCTGGAAAATAGACTCTTATCAGATATGTGACTTGCAAATGTTTCTCCCATTCACTTTCTGGATAGAGCCCTTTGTTGCCCAAAAGATTTACATTTGGATGTAGTCCAACTTGCCAAATGAAAAGATATCTGTGGCTTTGCCTTTGGTGTCATACTGAAGGAGCTGTTGCCTAATCCAAGGTCGTGCAAAGTTACATCTCCGTTTTCTTCTTAGAGTTTTATAGTTTCAGCCCTTACATTTAGATCTGTGATCCATTTTGAATTAATTCTTTACATGATGTGAGGTAGGGGTCCAGGGGCCTTCTTTTGCATGTGGCTATCCAGTTGTCCCAGCGCAGTTTGTTGAGGGGATTATTCTTCCCCTCCACCCATTGAGGGGTGCCGGAACTCTTACTGAAAATAAACTTTACATAAATATATGGGTTTATTCCTGACTCTGAGTTCTGTAACATTGACCTAATGTATCGATCACGATGGCAGTACCACCCTTTTCGGATTACTGCGGTTTTGTAGTACGTTTTGAAATTGGGAAGTGTGAGTCCTTCAACTTTTTTCTTTTCTGAGATTGTTTTGGCTATCTGAGCCCCTTACATTTTCTTATGAATTTTAGGATCAGCTTGTCAGTTTTTACAAAGAAGGCAGGTTGGATTCTGACAGGCATCACGATGAATCTGTATATTGCCTTGGAGATTATGGGCATCTTAACAATATTAAGTGTCCCAATCCGTTAACACAAAATGCCTTTCGATTTATTTAGGTCTTCTTTAATTTATTTTAGCAACGTCTTGAAATTTTCAGAGTATACATCTTGTACACCTTTAGTTAAATTTATTCCTCGACATTTTATTGTTTCGATGCTACTGTAAAATGAATCATTTCCTTAATCTTATTTTCATGTTATTCATTGCTAGGGTGTAGAAATACAACCGACTGTTGCAGATTGATCTTGGATACTGCAACTTTGCTGAGCCGAATATGCTTTGCTGAGCATACTCAGACAGGGTTGGCATATTAGTCCGTTCCTACACTGCTATAAAGAACTGCCTGAGAATGGGTAATTCCTAAAGAAAAGAGGTTTAATTGCCTCATGGTTCTGCAGGCTGTACAAGGCTTCTGCTTCTGGGCAGGCCTCAGGAAACGTGCAATCATGGCGGAAGGCGAAGGGGAAGCAAGCACCTTCTTCACATGTTGGAGCAGGAGGAAGAGAGAGAGAACGCACGCAAAGGGGGAAGCGCTGCACATTTTCAAACAATCATCAGATCTTGTGAGCGCTCTATCAGAAGAATAGCAAGGGGGAAGTCCGCCCCCATGATTCAATCACCTCCCACTAGGCCCTTCCTTCAACAGGTGGGGATTACAATTCGACATGAGATTTGGGTGGGGACACAGAGCCAAACCGTCTCAGTTTTTTTTTTTTTTCTTTTGTTGGACTCTTTAGTGTCCTCTATATAAGAACATGCCATCTATGCATCTATGAATAGAGATGGTTTTACTTGTTCCTTTCCGATCTGGATGCCTTTTATTTCTTTTTCTTGACTAATTGCCCTGACTAGAACTTTGAGTACGATGTTGAGTTACAAGTGGCATTCCTGATCTTAGGGGGAAATCAACCAGTCTTTCACCATTAAGTATGATATTATCTCTGGGTTTTTCATGGATGCCCTCTATCAGGTTGAAGAAGTTTCTTTCTGTTCCTGGTTTGTTGAATTTATTTTCATGAAAGGGTACTGCGTTTTGTCAAATGATCCTTTTTGTACATGATTAAGATGACCATGAGCCCCCTCCCCCGCCCCCGCTCCGCCATGCATTCTGTTAATATGGTGTATTATATAAATTGATTTTCACATGTTGAACCAACCTTACATTTGTGGGATAAATCCTATTTGGTCATAGTGTATAAAGAGTGGTCAATAAACATTTCGTTGAAAGAATAGGAGTGGATCTGGCAAGCTTCTTGGAGGACAATGTGTGTGTTAAAGAATCTGTAGCATGATGAGAAGCCAAGGCACCGGTGGGAGGAGGGGAGTTGCAACCAATTCATTAAGGCTGGAGAGTACGATGCCAGTGGAGCAGTAGTGGTTGATGTGGCTGGGAAAGAGGTAGGCAGGAGCCAAGACATGGAGGTTCTATTATGCCATGCTCAGGTTTTAGAATACCCTGTAGGCTACACTGAACCCACTGTGGTCTTTCAGCTTGGGAGTGACGTGGTCTGATTTGCCTCTAGAAATATCACCCTGGAAGCTGTGTGGAGAATAGAACAGAGAGGATTGTGTGTGGAGAATAGAACAGAGAGGACTGAGATTGGAATTAGAAAGCTGCTGTATTATACCAGTCAAGAAATGACAGATATCTCAACTAAGACAATGGCATTGGTAGATAAGACTAGGGGACAGAGTCCATAAAAAGTTTAGGTAGTAAAATGGCACACAGTAGACACTCACTACATATTACTCATACTGGTGAACCTAGCTGGAGACATGATAATTCATGTGCTCATTCTTCAAAAAATATTGAAGGGTAGTGCCAGGTATACTGTGTTAAGCATTGAGACAACACCAACGAGAAATATTCTGTTGTATAAATAGGCCACATTTTGTTTATCTACTCATCAGTTGATGAACAGTTCATTAAATGATTTCCATGGCAGGGGAGGTAAATGTTGTCCTCTATCCTCTTAGATTCTCCAGCTAGGACTTAAATAAGATAGATTAACAAAAGAAAAGCATACAAAATTTTATTTGGCATTTTTTACATGTACATGGGAGCCCTCATAAGAAATACGAAGACTCAAGTGATTAATTACAGCTGAATACTTACATACTAGGGTGGGAAAAGTATGGTAAATTGTGAAAACATAACAAGACATTGGGGTTTGGGCTAGGAGAGTTAATTGTGGAAAAGTCACTAAGAAGGTAAGAGTTGTGTAACAAGGTTTTTTGGTGCAGCTTTCCCTCAAGCCTGGACTCCCCATCTCTGGCAATAAGAATGTGTTTCTTCTTCCTGGTATACAGATAATACCTTTCACATCAGAGTTTCATCTCTTCCTTTCATGAAAAAAAAAGGAAGGTCAGTGTGCCCTTCTTGCATCTGCTACTTTCAAGTGCCTTTAAACACAAAATAATCAATATGCCAAAGTGGCATATTTTGAGGTGGCATTTGATCCCCTACATTACTGATTGGATAGTGTGAATAGTGCTGCCATGAACGCTCCTGTACAAGTGTTTGTTTGAACAGATGTTTTAAATTGCAGACGCTCCTCAACTTGGGATGGTATTATATCCTGATAAACCCATTGTTAGTTAAAACCATTATTAGTGTAAATTCATTTAATACAGCTATATTAGTCCATTCTCACACTGCTATAAAGAACTACCTGAGACTTGGTAATTTATGAAGAAAAGAGGTTTAATGGACTCACAGTTCTGCAGGCTTAACAGGAAGCATGACTGTGAGGCCTCAGGAAACTTACAGTCCCAGCAGCAGGTAAAGGGGAAGCAAGCACGCCTTACCATGGTGGAGCAGGAGAGACAGAGAGTGAAGGACGGAAATGTCATACACTTTTAAACCATCAGATCTCATGAGAACTCACTCACTGTCTCAAGAACAGCAAGGGGAAATCCACCCCCATGATCCAATCACCTCCCACCAGGCCTCTCCTCTGACACACGGGGATTACAATTCGATGTGAGATTTGGGTGGGGATACAGAGCCAAACCATATCAGCGGCTAACCTACCAATCATCATAATTTAGCCAGGCCTACCTTAAACATGCTCAGAACACTTACAATTAGGCTACAGTTGGGCAAAATCATATAACGTAAAGCCAAATTTATAATGAAGTGTTGACTATCTCACGTAATTTATTCAATATTGCACTGAAAGTGAAAGGCAGAATGGTTGTATGTGTACTTTAAGTACTTTTATGCATATGGATTCTACTGAATGCATGTTGCTTTCATACCATCATAAAGTCAAAATATTGTAAGTCCAACCATTATAAGCTGGGAACCATCCATATTTGAGGTACATACCCATGAATATATTTATGGGTTTATTTCTTGCTTCTTAATTCTATTCCATTTATATATATGTCTGTCCTTATGCCAGTACCACAAAGCATTGATAACTGTAGCTTTATACGAAGTTTTGAATTTGGGAAATGTGAGTTATCCAGCTTTGTTATTTTTTAGGATTATTTTGGCTATTTGAGGTCTTGCACAATTACACATGAATTTTAAGATTGGCTTTTCCATTTCTGCCAAAAAAAAAATGGCCATTGGGATTTTGATGCAGATTGTATTAAATCTGTAGATCACTTTGGGTAGTACTATCATCTTAATAATATTGTCTTCCAATTCATGAACACAGGATATATTTTCACTTCTTTATGCTGTCTCTAATATCTTTCAGCAATGTTTTGTAGTTTTCAGTGTACAAGTCTTTTACCTCCTTAGCTGAATTTATTCCTAAGTATTTTATTCTTTTTGATGCTATTTTAAATAGAATTATTTTTTATTTTGTTAATTTCATCTCAGATTGTTCATTGCTAGTGTGTAGAAATACAACTGATTTTTGCACGTTGATCTTATATCTTGCAACTTTGCTGAATTCGTTTATTAGCTCTATAGTGTTTTGTGGATTCTTCGGGGTTTTCCATACATAAGCTCATGTTCATCTGAGAATAAGATAGCTTTACTTATTCCTTTTCAATTTGGATGCCTTTTATTTCTTTTTTTCCTAATTGCTCTGGCTAAGACTTCCAATACAATTTTGAATAGAAGCAGTAAAAGCAGGCATTCTTGTCTCGTTTCTAATGTTAGGGAAATATCTTTCAGTCTTCTACCATTGAGTGTGATGTTAGTTTTGGGTATTTTATGAATGCTCTTTATCATGTTGTGGATTTTCTCTTCCATTTCTAGTTTGCTTAGTGGTTTTTTTTTTTTTTTTTTTTTTTGGTCATGAAAAGGTGCTCAGCTTTATCAAGTGATTTTTCTGCATCAACCAGAATGAACTTGCAGGGGTTTTTTTCCCTATATTTTATTAATGTGGAGTTGACTGGGGGATTGATTGTCTTATGTTGAACCAGTCTTGCATTATTGGGATAATTTCCACTTGAGCATGGGCTATAACCTTTATAACATGCTGCTGGATTTGGTTTGCTAATATTTTGTTGAAGATTTTTGCACCTAGATGCATAAGGGAATATTATACTCACATATTCAATTACATGCAATTTGTAATTTTCTTTTCTTGTGATATATTTGTCTGGCTTTGATATCAAGATATGGTGGCCTCATAGTATGAGTTGTAAAGTTTACTCTCCTTTTCTGTCTCTTGGAAGAGTTTAAGAAGGATTAATGTTAATCCTTCCTTAAACATTTAGTAGAATTTACCAGTGAGGCCTTCTAGCACAATGCCTGGCACATAATATATGGAATCTAGGATTTGTATAGTCAGTCATTAACTATTTGTTGAATTAATAAATTGTCTCCCCAAGCAGGTTTCTAATCAAGGCACAAAGATTGAGTAACGAATGAAGGCAAAGCCAATGTATACAGGGTATTAGTTTTCTAATGCTGGGGTGGCAAATTACCACAAACTTAATATGGCTTAAAACAACACAAGTTTATTATCTTACAGTTCGATAGGGCAGAAGACTGACCCAAGTCTTACTGGGCTAAAATCAAGGTGTCATCAGGGCTGCATTTCTTTCTGGAAGCTCTAGAAAAGGATCCTTTTTCGGTCGCCTGTAGTCCCAGCTACTCGGGAGGCTGAGGCAGGAGAATGGCGTGAACCCGGGAGGCGGAGCTTGCAGTGAGCGGAGATGGCGCCACTGCACTCCAGCCTGGGCGACAGAGTGAGACTCCCTCTCAAAAAAAAAGAAAAAGAAAAGGATCCTTTTTCCTTTCTTTTCCAGCTTCTAGAGGCCACACACATTCATTAACTCATGGCTTCCTTCCTCCATCTTCGAAGCCAGTAACATTGCACCTTTGTGACTATTCTTAAGTAGTCACGTCTCCCTTTGACTCTCCTCTTCTGCCTCTCTCTCTCACTTTCAAGGCCTCTTGTGATTACATTGGGCCGACCTGGATAATCCAGGATATTCTCCCTATTTTGACATCAGCTAATTGGCAAACTTAATTCCATCTGCAACCTTAAATCCCTCTTGCCATGCAACATAACACAGTCAAATGTTCTGGGGATTAAAATGTGGACATCACTGAGAGATCATATTCTTCCTAGCACATACGGTTTAGTCACAAGTTAATGATCAACATTTATTAGCTATATAATACTCTTAAGTTCAACATAAACTTTTTGGATGCTGATAAAACGGAATGGCATTTTACATTGATATATACTTCATTTCAAAACTTCTTCTACTTCTCAATGATTATTCTGTAGCAACAAATTTCTTTTAAATCAGAAATTTGGAAACATAACGAGACCTATCTCAAATCAAAGATGACTATCCCCTTTTGGAGTCAGACTACACATTCATTATTTTAGTCAAAATGAGACATAAAATTCAGGCCCCCAAGAGCTGCCAGTACCCACTTACGCAGGAGGTAGCTAGACGAAACAGGTAGCTTTCTACAAATGATTTTGCACCATCCCACCCCAGAGAGGTGGTTTGGAGTGTTTACTTATTACCTGGGATTTAATTATACTAGCTCTTGCAAAAGCCAAATCTAAAGGCCATAAATAGAAGGTCAAATTTTCTCCTATATAGAAAGGAGAGCAGCAGAGAAAACAAAATCCTTGGTAAATCTTTAAACAAAGTTATATGGTTTGAATATGTTATTCATTCTATTTTAACCCCCCAATACAGATATATTTATAAAAAAGAATATTGTGATTTCTGGTATAACTTGTTTAGGAACAAAGCCACAAATTTATTAATATTTTCTATTCCCTGGGAAGAAAAAAATGCTACATGGCAGAATAATTTTTTAAAATTTCCAGCCGGGCACGGTGGCTTATGCCTGTAATCCCAGCACTTTGGGAGGCCGAGGTGGGCGGATCACAAGGTCAGGAGATTGAGACCATCCTGGCTAACACGGTGAAACACCGTCTCTACTAAAAATACAAAACATTAGCTGGGTGTGGTGGTGGGCGCCTGTAGTCCCAGCTACTCGGGAGGCTGAGGCAAGAGAATGGCGTGAACCCGGGAGGCGGAGCTTGCAGTGAGCCGAGATCGCGCCACGGCACTCCAGCCTGGGCGACAGAGCGAGACTCCGTCTCAAAAAAAAAAAAAAAAAAAAAATTCCCATGATACTAAACTGATGTGTGATCATATAATAGACTTACACTGATACCTATTTTAGTGTATTCAAGCAGATAAAAAATCCCAGGTGTTCTATGAGTGATATCATTTTCAGTATTTCTTATGCTGTATGCCATGGTTTAAATCTAGGCCTTTCGAATTGGCATTACTACCATATTTCTCAAACTGTATTCCCTTTCTCTTGAATATGTTATGTAATTTTGTCCAGAACCCAGACATGTCAAGGTGTCAAATCCCACGTTTTGGATACTAACGTGTCTCATTAATTCATACAGTGGGATCATTCATTAATGCCCACATTATAGACTCTCTCTCTCTCTACACACACACACACACACACACACACACACACACACACTACATTCTTAGAAGATCATTCTGAGACCAGGGTGGAGGATAGGCTGTGCATTCCCAGTACTCTTTCACAGCTGACTGTGTCCTCTGCCAGTGTTTTCAAACTTTACTGCTTATGAAACAGCTAAGGGTCTTATTAAAATTTAGATTCTGATTCAGTAGAACTGACATGGTGCCCAAGGAACTGCATCTCTTTTAAAAAATCTTTATTTAGGTATAATTGACAAAAGTTGCATATATTTAAGAGGTACAACTTGATGTTTTGATATATTTTGTTTTTCATATATGATGTTTGATACATTGTGAAATGGTCACCACAAGCAAGCTAATTAAGATATATCTATCTCTTTGCCTAGCTACCTTTTTTTGTGGTGAGAACATTTATGACCTACTCTTTTAGCAAATTTCAAGTATACAATATTGTTTACTATAGTTACTATATCGTACATTAGATCTCCAGAACTAATTTATCTTGCATAATTGAAATTTTGTACCCTTTGATCAACATCTCCCTGTTTCCCCCACACCACAGTCCCTAGCACCTAAGATTCTACTGTCTGCTTTTATGAGTTTGACCATCTTAGATTCCACATATGAGGTCATGAAGTATTTTTCTTTCAGTGTCTGGCTTATTACACTTAGCATAATATTTTCCAGGTTCATCCATGTTATCACAAGTGGGAGGATTTTCTTCTATTTTAAGGCCAAATAATATTTTATAATTGTGGGAATATTCCATCAGATATATATATATCAGATTGTCTTTATCCCTCCATCCATCAATGGACACACTTAGGTTGTTTCCATATCTTGACTATTGTGAATACTGTTACAGTGAACATGGGAGTGCAGATATTCAACATACTGATTTTGTATCCTTTGGATATATAACAGAAGTGAGATTGCCAGATCACATGGTATTCATTTTTAGTTTTTTTGAGGAACCTCTATGCTGTTTTTCATAATGGCTGTACCAATTTATTTTTGCAGCAACAGTGTACAAAGGTTTCCTTTTCTCCACATTACCACCAACATTTGTCATCTTTTGTCTTTTTGATAATAGCTATTTGCTATGGTTTGAGTGTTTTCCCCAAAAAACATGTGTTGGAAACTTAATTCCCAATGCGACAGTGTTGGGAGGTAGGGCCGAATGGGAGATGTTTAGGTTATGAGGACTCCACCCTCATGAATGGATTAATGCCGATTACAAAAGCACCTAAGGCTGTGAATTTGAATTGCTCTCTCTTGCCCTCTTTTTGCCCTTCTGCCATGTTATGATATAGAAAGAAGGCCTTTGCCAGATGCTGGCCTCTTGATCTTGGACTGCCCAGCCTCCAGAACTGTGAGCCAAATACATTTCTGTTCACTACAAATTACTCAGTCTGTGGTATTCTGTCATAGCAGCATAATAAATTAGAGTCCATAATAAGTTATAGTCCATAACAGACTAAGACACTATTCTAATAGATGTGAGGGAATATCTCATTGTGTTTTGATTTGCATTTCCCTGTGGGTTAGTGATGCTGAGCATCATTTATCTGTTGGCCTTTTATATTTCTTCTTTTGAAAAATTCTATTTGGGTTCTTTGCCCATTTTTAATTGGGTTGTTTCTTACTAATGAGTTGTTTGAGTTTCTTACCCATTATCAGATATACAGTTTGCAAATATTTTCATCCATTCCATAGGTTGTCTTTTCACTCTGTTGATTATTTCTTTTGCTGTGCAGAAAGTTTTTAGTTTAATGCAATCCCAGTTTCTATTTTTGTTTTTGTTGCCTGTGCTTTTGGTGTCATATAAAAAAATTATTGCCCAAATCAATATCAGGTAGCTTTTTTCCTGTTTTCTTCTAGGAGTTTTATAGTTTCAGGTCTTATATACAAGTGTTTAATCAATTTTGAGTTGAATTTTATGTATAGTGTGAGAAAAGGGCCCAATTTCTTTCTTCTGCATGTGGATATTCAGTTTTCCCAATATCATTTATTGAAGAGACTCTCTTTTCCCCGTTGTGTGTTCTTGGCACCCTTGTCAAAAATCTGTTGACTGTAAATGTGTGAACTTATTTCTGGGCTTTTCTATTCTGTTCCCTTGGTTGATGTGTCTATTTTTATGCCAGTACCATACTATTTTGATTACTGGAGACTTGTAGTATATTTTGAAATCAGGAAGTATGATGCCTCTAGCTTTGTTCTTCTTGCTTAAGATTGCTTTGCCAGGCTGCATGTGGTGGCCCACGCCTGTAATCCCAGCACTTTGGGAGGCTGAGGTGGGTGGATCACTTGAGGTCAGAAGTTTAAGAGCAGCCTGGCCAACATGGTGAAACCCCGTCTCTACTGAAAAAATACAAAAATTAGCCAGGTGTGGTAGCAGGCCCCTGTGATCCCAGCTAATCTGGAGGCTGAGGTGGAGAATCACTTAAACCTGGGAGGCAGAGGTTGTAGTGAGCCAAGATCGCACCACTGCACTCCAGCCTGGGCAACAGAGCAAGACTCTGTCTCAAAAAAAAAAAAAAAAGATTGCTTTGCCTCCTTGGGGTCTTTTGTGATTTCATATTAATTAAAATTTTTTTTTTATTTCTGTGAAGAACACCATTGAGATTTTGATAGGGATCACATCAAATCTATAGATTACTTTGGGTAGTGTGGACATTTTAACAATACTAATTCTTCCAATCTAGGAATATGGAATATCTTTTATTTATCTGTGTCTTCTTTAATTTCCTTCATAAATGTTTTCTATATTTTCATTGTACAAGTCTTTCATTTCTTTGGTTAAGTCTATTCCTAAGTATTTTATTCTTTTGTTGCTATTGTAAATAAGATTATTTTCTAATTTCCTTTGGGATATTTTATAGTGTATAGAAACACCACTGATTTCTGTATGTTGATTTTGTATCCTGCAACTTTACAGAATTCATGTATTAGTTCTAACAATTTTTTTTTGAGTCTTTAGAGTTTTCTACATGTATGATCATGTCATCTGCAAAAAGAGATAATTTTACTATTCTCTTCTATTTGGATGCTTTTTATTTTATTTATTTTTTAAATTATATTTTAAGTTCTGGGTTACATGAGCAGAACATGCAGTTTTGTTACATAGGTATACACGTGCCCTGGTGGTTTGCTGCACCCATCAACCCGTCACCTACATTAGGTATTTCTCCTAATGTTATCCCTCCCCTAGCCCCCCACCCCCCAACAGGCCCCAGCGTGTGATGTTCCACTCCCTGTTTCCATGTGTTCTCATTGTTCAGCTCCCACTTATGAGTGAGAACATGCAGTGTTTGGTTTTCTGATCTTGTGATAGTTTTTGAGAATGATGGTTTCCAGCTTCATCCATGTCCCTGCAAAGGACAGGAACTCATCCTTTTTTATGGCTGTATAGTATTCCATGGTGTATATGTGCTACATTTTCTTAATCCAGTCTATCATTGATGGACATTTGGGTTGGTTCCAAGTCTTCGCTATTGTGAATAGTGCCACAGTAAACATACATGTGCATGTGTCTTTATTGTAGAATGATTTATAATCCTTTGGGTATATGCCCAGTAGTGGGATTTGCTGGGTCAAATGGTATTTCTAGTTCTAGATCCTTGAGGAATCGCCATACTGTCTTCCACAATGGTTGAATTAATTTACACTCCCATCAACAGTGTAAAAGCGTTCCTATTTTTCCACAACCTCTCCAGCATCTGTTGTTTCCTGACTTTTTAATGATCACCGTTCTAACTGGCGTGAGTTGGTATCTCATTGTGGTTTTGATTTGCATTTCTTTAATGACCAGTGATGATCAGCATTTTTTCAAATGTCTGTTGGCTGCATAAATGTCTTCTTTTGAGAAGTGTCTGTTCATATCCTTTGCCCATTTTTTGATGGGGTTGTTTGTTTTTTTCTTGTAAATTTGTTTAAGTTCTTTGTAGATTCTGGATATTAGCCCTTTCTCAGATGGATAGATTGCAAAAATTTTCTCCCATCCTGTAGGTTGCCTGCTCACCCTGATGATAGTTTCTTTTGCTGTGCAGAAGCTCTTTAGTTTAATTAGATCTCCTTTGTCAATTTTGGCTTTTGTTGCCATTGCTTTTGGTGTTTTAGACATGAAGTCTTTGCCCATGCCTATCTCCTGAATGGTATTGCCCAGGTTTTCTTCTAGGATTTTTATGGTCCTAGGTCTTACGTTTAAGTATTTGATCCATCTTGAGTTGATTTTTGTAAAAGGTGTAAGGAAGGGATCCAGTTTCAGTTTTCTGCATATGGCTAGCCAGTTTTCCCAACACCATTTATTAAATAGGGAATCTTTTCCCCATTGCTTGTTTGTGTCAGGTTTGTCAAAGATCATATGGTTGTAACTGTGTGGTGTTATTTCTGAGGCCTCCATTCTGTTCCATTGGTCTGCATATCTGTTTGGCCCCAGTACCATGCTGTTTTGGTTACTGTAGCCTTGTAGTATAGTTTCAAGTCAGGTAGCATGATGCCTCCAGCTTTGTCCTTCTTGTCCAGGATTGTCTTGGCTATGAGGGCTCTTTGTTGGTTCCATATGAAGTTTAAAGTAGTGTTTTCCAATTCTGTGAAGAAAGTCAGTGGTAGCTTGATGGAGATGGCATTGAATCTATAAATTACTTTGGGCAGTATGGCCATTTTCATGATAATGATTCTTCCTATCCATGAGCATGGAATGTTTTTCCATTTGTTTGTGTCCTCTCTTATTTCCTTGATCAGTGGTTTATAGTTTTCCTTGAAGAGGTCCTTCACATCTCTTATAAGTTGTATTCGTAGGTATTTTATTTTCTTAGTAGCAATTGTGAATGGGAGTTCACTCATGATTTGGCTCTCTGTTTGTCTGTTATTGGTGTATAGGAATGCTTGTGATTTTTGTACATTGATTTTGTACCCTGAGACTTTACTGAAGTTGCTTATCAGCTTAAGGAGGTTTTGGGCTGAGATGATGGGGTTTTCTAAATATACAATCATGTCATCTGCAAAGAGAGACAATTTGACTTCCTCTTTTCCTATTTGAATACCCTTTATTGCTTTCTCTTGCCTGATTGCCCTGGCCAGAACTTCCAATACTATGTTGAATAGGAGTGGTGAGAGAGGGCATCCCTGTCTTGTGCCAGTTTTCAAAGGGAATGCTTCCAGTTTTTGCCCATTCAGTATGATATTGGCTGTGCGTTTGTCATAAATAGCTCTTATTATTTTGAGATATGTTCCACCGATACATAGTTTATTGAGAGTTTTTAGCATGAAGGGGTGTTGAATTTTATCGAAGGCCTTTTCTGCATCTATTGAGATAATCATGTGGTTTTTGTCATTGGTTCTGTTTATGTGATGGATTATGTTTATTGATTTGCATATGTTGAACCAGCCTTGCATCCCAGGGATGAAGCCAACTTGATTGTGGTAGATAAGCTTTTTGATGTGCTGCTGGATTTGGTTTGCCAGTGTTTTATTGAGGATTTTTGTATCGATGTTCATCAGGGATATTGGCCTGAAATTTTCTTTTTTTGTTGTGTCTCTGTCAGGTTTTGGTATCAGGATGATGCTGGCTTCATAAAATGAGTTAGGGAGGATTCCCTCTTTTTCTATTGTTTGGAATAGTTTCAGAAGGAATGGTACCAGCTCCTCTTTGTGCCTCTGGTAGAATTTGTCTGTGAATCCGTCTGGTCCTGTACTTTTTTTGGTTGGTAGGCTATTAATTACTGCCTCAATTTCAGAACTTGTTATAGGTCTATTCAGGGATTCAACTTCTTCCTGGCTTAGACTTGGGAGGGTGTATGTGTCCAGGAATTTATCTATTTCTTCTAGATTTTCTAGTTTATCTGCATAGACGTGTTTATAGTATTCTCTGATGGTAGTTTGTATTTCTGTGGGATCAGTGGTGATATCCCCAATATCATTTTTTATTGCATCTATTTGATTCTTCTCTCTTTTCCTCTTTATTAGTGTGGCTAGAAGTCTATCTATTTTGTTGATTTTTTCAAAAAAACCAGCTCCTGGATTCAATGATTTTTTGAAGGTTTTTTTGTGTCTCTATCTCCTTCAGTTCTGCTCTGATCTTAGTTATTTCCTGTCTTCTGCTAGCTTTTGAATTTGTTTGCTGTTGCTTCTCTAATTCTTTAATTTTGATGTTAGGGTGTCAATTTTCAATTTTTCTTGCTTTCTCTTGTGGGCATTTAGTGCTGTAAATTTCCCTCTAAACACTGCTTTAAGTGTGTCCCAGAAATTCTGGTACGCTGTGTCTTCATTCTCATTGGTTTCAAAGAACATCTTTATATCTGCCTTCATTTCATTATTTACCCAGTAGTCATTCAGGAGCAGGTTGTTCAGTTTCCATGTATTTTTGTGGTTTTGAGTGTGTTTCTTAATCCTGAGTTCTAATTTGATTGCACTGTGGTCTGAGAGACTGTTTGTTATGATTTCCATTCTTTTGTATTTGCTGAGGAGTGTTTTACTTCGAATTATGTAATCAGTTTTAGAATAAGTGTAATGTGGTGCTGAGAAGAATGTATAATCTGTTGATTTGGGGTGGAGAGTTCTGTAGATCTCTATTAGGTCTGCTTGGTCCAGAGCTGAGTTCAAGTCCTGAATATCCTTGTTAATTTTCTGTCTCATTAATCTAATATTGACAGTGGGGTGTTAAAGTATCCCACTATTATTGTGTGGGAGTCTACGTCTCTTTGTATGTCTCTAAGAACTTGCTTTATGAATCTGGGTGCTCCTGTATTGGGTGCATATGTATTTAGGATAGTTAGCTCTTCTTGCTGCATTTTTCCCTTTACCATTATGTGATGCTCTTCTTTGTCTCTTTTGGTCTTTGTTGGTTTAAAGTCTGTTTTATCAGAGATTAGGATTGCAACTCTTGCTTTTTTTTTTGCTTTCCATTTGCTTGGTAAATATTCCTCCATCCCTTTATTTTGAGCCTATGTGTGTCTTTGCAAGTGAGATGAGTCTCCTGAATACAGCATACTGATGGGTCTTGACTCTTTATCCAATTTGCCAGTCTGTGTCTTTTAATTGGGGTATTTAGCCCATTTACATTTAAGGTTAATATTGTTATGTGTGAATTTGATCCTGTCATTATGATGCTAGCTGGTTGTTTTGCCCATTAGTTAATGCAGTTTCTTCATAGTGTCAATGTTCTTTACAATTTGGTATGTTTTTGCAGTGGCTAGTACCAGTTGTTCCTTTCCATGTTTAGTGCTTCTTTCAGGAGCTCTTGTAAGGCAGGTCTGATGGTGACAAAATCCCTCAGCATTCGGTTGTCTGTAAAGAATTTCATTTCTCCTTCACTTATGAAGCTTTAAGAGGTTTAATTGACTCACAGTTCTGCATGGCTGTCCCATAAGTCCCATGTTCTTTCCTCAGGAAACCTACAGTCATAGCAGAAAGGGAAATAGGCACATCTTACATGGCAGCAGGCAAGAGAGAGTGTGTGAAGGAGGAACTGTCAAACACTTATAAAACCATCAGCTCTCATAAGAACTCACTATCAGGAGAACAGCGTGGGGGAAACCATCCCCATGATCCAATCACCTCCCACTAGGTCCCTCCCTTGACATGTGGGCATTATGGGGATTACGATTCAAGGTGAGATTTGAGTGGGAACATAGAGCCAAACCATATCAGTATCTAAAAGGAAAAACCTTCAGTTTTTCCACATTTGGTTATGATATCAGCTGTGAGCTTTTCCTATATGGTCTTTATTGTGTTAAGTTCCTTCTGTATCTATCTTGCTGAAAGTTTTTATTATGAATGGATATCTAGTTTTGTCAAATTCTTTTTCTGTATTGATCGAAATAATCATGTGTTTTTCATCTTTCATTCTGATAATGTGGTATATCACATTGATTGATTTGCCCATGTTGAACCATCCTTGCATCCTAGGGATAAATACCACTTGTTCATGATGAATGATCCTTTTAATGTGCTGTTGAATTTGGTTGGCTGGTGTTTTGTTGAGGATTTTTGTATCCGTGTTCATCAGGGATATTGGCCTGTAGTTTTCTTTCTTTTCTTTTCATTTTCTTTTTCTTTCTTTTTTTTTTTTTTTTTTTTTGAGACAGAGTCTTGCTCTGTCACCCAGGCTGGAGTGCAGTGGTGGTATGATCTTGGCTCACTACAACCTCCACCTCCTGGATTCAAGCGATTCTCCTGCCTCAGCCTCCTGAGTAGCTGGGACTACTGGAACATGCCATCACACCCAGCTAATTTTTGTATTTTTTTAGTAGAGATGAGTTTTCACCTTGTTGGCCAGGCTGGTCTCGAATTCCTGACCTCAAGTGATTTGCCTGCTTCAGCCTCCCAAAGTGTTGGGATTACAGGCTTGAGCCACCACACCTGGCCTGGCCTGTAGTTTTCTTTTCTAGTGTTGTTTTTGCCTGGATATGGTATCAGGGTGATGTTGGCTAATAAATTGTATTTTGAAGTGTTCTCTCTTGTATTTTTTGGAAGAGTTTAAGAAATACTGGTATTAATACTTCGTTGAATGTTTGATGGAATTCATCCATGAAGCCATTGGTCCTGGGCTTTTCTTTGTTGGAAGGTTTTTGATTACTAGATTTAATATCCCTATTTGTTGTTAGTCTGTTAAGGCTTTCTATTTCTTTGTTATTCAGTTTTGGTATGTTATATGTTTCTAGGAATTTATCCATTTCCTCTAGGTTAACCAATTTGTTGACACTTATAATAGTCCCTTATGGTTCTGTCTGTTTCTGTGACATCAGTTGTAGTGTCTCCTCTTTCATTTATATTTTATTTATATGAGTCTTCTCTCTTTTTTTCGTAGTCTAGATAAGGACTTGTCAATTTTGTTTATTTTTTCAAAAAAATCAACTCTTAGTTTTGTCAGTTATTTCCAATTGTTTTTTTATTCTCTTTTTTATTTATTTCTGCTCTAGCATTTATTATCTCCTTTGTTCTGCTACCTTTGGGCTTAGTTTTTTTTTTCTTCTTTTTGTAGTTCCTGGAGGTGATAAGTTGGGTTGTTTATTTCATATGTTTCTTCTTTTTAAATATAGGCATTTATTGCTATAAATTTCCCTATTAGTATGCTTTTACTGCATCCTTTAAGTTTTGGTATATTATCAAGATTTTGGTTTCTTCTGTGACCCAATGGTCGTTCAAGAATGTGTTGTTTAGTTTCCACATATTTGTGAATTTTCGTGTTTTCTTATTGTTATTGATTTGTAGTTTCAATCCATTGTGGTCAGAAAATATACTTGGTATGATATTAATCTTCTTAAATTTATTATGACTTGTTTTGTGACCTGAAAGGTGATCTGTCCTGAAGAATGTTTTGTGTGTGCTTGATAATTCTACTGTTGGGTGGAAAGTTCTGTATATACATTTTAGGTCCATTGGGTCTATTTTATTCTTCAGTTCTGTTTTGTCCTTATTGATTTTCTGTTGGGATGATCTATTCATTATAGAGAGTGGAGTATTGAAGTCAACTATATTATATTGTTATCTATTTCTCCTTCCATGTCTGTCAATGTTTGCTTTATATATTTAGGTACTTTCGTGTTGGGTACATATATATTTATAATTATTACATCTTCCTGTTCAAGTGACCCTTTTATTATATAATGACCTTCTATGTCTCATGTCACAGTTTTTTACTTAAAGACTATTTTTTCTCATACAAGTATAGCCACCCCTGCTCTCTTTTGGTTACAGTTTGCATGGCATAACTTTCTCCACCCCTTCACTTTCAGCCTATGTATGTCCTTAAATCAAAAGTGAGTCTGTTATCAACAACATGTAGTTGGGTCCTGTTTATTTTTGTTTCTTACTTCCCATCTCTGAATTGTTGGCTTTTTAAAAAGCCCATTCAGTTACTCTGTGTCTTTTGACTGGGGAGTTTAGTCAATTTACACTTAAAGTAATTATTGATAGGTTAGGACTTTCTGTTGCCATTCTGTTAATAGTTTTCTGTTTTGTAGTTTTCTTGTTCCTTTCCTCTTTTTCTTTCTTTGTGGTTTGATGATTTTTGCTTGGATGTGTTTTGATTCTTTTCTCTTTATCTTCTGTATATCTACTGTGTGGGGGGGCGGTCGGGGGGGTTACCACAGGGATCAAATTGAACACTTTATAGTTATGGCAGTCTGTTTTAAGCTGACAACACCTTCAATCACATACAGAAACTCTATACTTTACTCATTCCCCCCGCCACAACTTTATGTAATCGACGTCATATTTTACTTCCTTCTATATTGTGTTTCCATTGACAAATTTCTGTCACTATAGTTACTATTACTATTTTTGTCTTTTAATTTATAAATTAATATTAATAGTGATTTATAACAATCATTATAGTGTTACAATAGTCTATGTTTCTCTTTATATTTACCTTTAGCAGTGAAAGGATTCATATGCTTTTGTGTTACTGTTTTTTTTTTATTTCAACTTGAAGAACTATTAGCACTTCTTATAAGGCAGGTCTCATGGTGACAAACCCCCTCAGTTTTTGTTTGAGAAAGGCTTTATCTTTGTGTTCATTCTTAAAGGACAGTTTTTCCAGATAAAGTATTGTTGATTGGATTTTTTTCTCTCAGTACTTTGAATATATCATCCCACTCTTTCCTGACCTGCAAGGTTTCTGCTGAGATATCCACTCATAGTCTTATGGAGCTCCCCTATAGGTGACAATTCACTTTCTTCTTACTACCCCAAAATTCTCTTTTGTCTTTGTTGAAAATTTAATTATAATGCATCTCACTGTAGACTTCTGTGGGTTTAATGTATTTGGTTATCTTTGGGCTTAATGAATCCAGATGGCACTTCCCCTCCATAGATTTGGGGAGTTCTCACCTATTATTTCTTTAAATAAGTTTCCTTTCTCTCTCTCTTCTCCTTTTAAGATTTCTATAATGCATCTATCATTTTGCTTGATGATGTCCCATAAGTCCTCTGTTCTTCCTTCACTCTTTCTCATTGTTCTTTTTATTCCGCTAACTAGATAATTTCAAATGACTTGTCTTCAAGTTTACAAATTCTTTCTTCTGAATGATTGAGTCTGCTATTAAAGATCGCTATTAAATTTTTTAGTTCAGTCATTCTTCAGCTATATTCAGCAATATTCTTTAGCTACAGGATTTTTATTTGGTTCTTTTTTATGGTTTTTATTTCTTTATTAAACTTCTAATGTTGTTCATGTATTGTTTTCCTCATTTTGTTAGTCGTCTTCCTGTATCCTCTTGTAGCTAATTGAGCTTCTTTAAATGATTATTTTGAATTCTTTGTCAAAAATTTCATGAATCTCCATTTCTTCAGGGTTGGTTACTGGAGCTTTATTAGTTCCCTTTGGTGATGTCATATTTGCCTGATTCTTCATGATCCACATAGCCTAGCATTGGTATCTGTGCATTGGAGTGAGCTGACACCTCTTCTGGTCTGAAGTTGGGTACTCAGACAATGGGCCCATTACCAGGGCTTTGGATAGGTGTAGCTCTCACTGGGTCCTTGAGTGGGCAGGACTGCCTGCAGACCATGATGCAGTGGGCCTGGAGCTGGGTCAAAGGGCTGCTTCAGGGTCCCCACTTGGGCCCACAGTCAGTGGGCCTGTTATGGGGGCACAGGTAAGTGTGGATTCAGGCAGGACTGTCTCCAGAACATGGTACAGCAAGACTGGAGTTGGCTCACAGGGTTACTTCTGAGTCCACAGTCAGGTCTAGTTGGTGGGCCTGCTTCCAGAGGTGGACTGGCATGACTCCCACCTGTTTCCTAAGTAGGCAAAACTTCCCCAAGACCATGGTAGTGTGGTACTGAAGCTGCTTTAGGTACAGGGCTGCTTCAGAGTCCACAGTTGGGAGCCCTGTTACTGGGGTTGCCAATGGGAGTTGCTCCTCCCAGATTCCTGGGCAGATAGGGATAGTGGTAGGACCACATACAAACAACTCTGGAGCTAAGTCCCCAGGGTGGTGGGCTGCTTCTGGGTCCACAACCAGAACTACAGTTGACAGGCCTGCCGCTAGAATGTGGGCCTGCCTTATTAAAGTATTCATCTTTGTTCTTGAGCTCTACCAGGGTTTCTCAACCTCCTACCTGAATCCCAAGGCTCCCACAAAGACACTTTTGTCCATAGATCATTGTCAAATTATTGTTCCTGTGGGGGAACAAGAGCTAGGGACCTCCTATCCCATCAACTCACTGATACCGTTCTCCTGATGCTGCATTTTGAATTGCCCTCAGGTGATGCTGCTACTCCTGGTCTGTGGACCATGCTGGAGTAGCAGAGCCCAAATGGCTTCCTCAACTTTTATGAGCCTTTTACAGGAACTCAAAGTAGAAAATAACTTCACTTGCCCCAGACCTAATAATTTCCTTTGTTCCCACTTCTTCTTGGTGCTTTCCTCCTTTGTGTCTACCATCGTAACATCCATCTAACCATAGTTGTCTTATGTAGATGTTGGATGCTGTTGAGAAACGCACAAAGCAAATTAGAAGGAAGATATGATTGACAGAAATTGCTTTTTACTCTGTATTCACTTTCCATGTATTTGTGCTAATCTCTCCATACAGGTCTTCTTTGGCAATGTGGATTCATCTGGGATAAAACACAATATTTTTAACCCTCCAATTATTGCTCGATACATCCGTTTGCACCCAACTCATTATAGCATTCGCAGCACTCTTCGCATGGAGTTGATGGGCTGTGATTTAAATAGTAAGTGCCAAGTCATCCCATATCCTTCTTCCCTCAACCATGGGTAGGGTGACTAACTGTTCTAGTTATCCTGAGACTGGGGGAGGGGTTCCCGGTATCAGGACACAAAATTGTCAGTGCTAAAACCAGCATAGTCCTGGGCAAACCCAGAAATACCATTCAACCCAGCAGTCCCATCACTGGGTATATAATCAAAGGAATATAAATCATTCTGTCATAAAGACACATGCACGCATATGTTCATTTCAGCACTATTCACAATAGCAAAGGCATGGAGTCAACCTAAATGCCCATCAACAACAGATTGGATAAAGAAAATGTGGTACATACATACCATGGAATACTATGCAGCCATAAAAAAGAATGAGATCATGTCCTTTTCAGCAACATAGATGCAGCTAGAGGCCATTATCATAAATGAACTAATGCAGGAACAGAAAACCAAATATCATGTGTTCTCATAAGTGGGAGCTAAACATTAAATGCACATGGACACAATGATGGACACTCAGGAGGGGAGAGGTTGGGAGGGGGGTGTGGGTTAGAAGGTTATGTATTGTGTACTGCACTCACTACCTGAGTGAGGGGATCATTCATACACCAAGCCTCAGTGACATGCAATTTACCCATGCAACAAACCTACCCATGTACCCCTAGAATCTAAAATAAAAGTAGAAGAAGAAAAGAAACAAAGAAAATTAAAGAGTCACACAAAGTGGGAAGAGCTGGCTGGAAAACAGATAGCAATAACAGAATTGGCCGGGCGTGGTGGCTCACACCTGTAATCCCAGCACTTTGTGAGGCCAAGGCGGGTGGATCACGAGGTCAGGAGATCAAGACCATCCTGGCTAACATAGTGAAACCCCAACTCTACTAAAAATACAAAAAATTAGCCGGGTGTGGTGGTGTGCGCCTGTAGTCCCAGCTACTCGGGAGGCTGAGGCAAGAGAATCGCTTGAACTCGGGAGGCAGAGGTTGCAGTGAGCTGAGATCATGCCACTACACTCCAGCCTGGGTGACAAAGCGAGACTCCATCTCAAAAAAACAAAAACAAAACAAAACAAAACAAAAAACCAATAACAGAATCTGTGCAAAAGTTAAAACCTGAGAAATGATATTATGATGACAGTAGCCCTAGAATATCAGTGGAAGCTGCTCAGTATAACTGAGGCTGAAGCATGTCCTTGTGATAACCTTCTTTTTTCTTTTCTTTGAGGTTGCAGCATGCCATTGGGAATGGAGAGTAAAGCAATATCAGATGCACAGATTACTGCTTCATCCTACTTTACCAATATGTTTGCCACCTGGTCTCCTTCAAAAGCTCGACTTCACCTCCAAGGGAGGAGTAATGCCTGGAGACCTCAGGTAAGAGGCAACAGATTTACTGTTTAACTGACTCAGAGCAGTGGTTGGGGAAAAAATCGGGGAAGGCCTTGACTGTTTCTTCTGAGGTATTTCTGTCAACTGTTAGTTCTAAAAAGTGTGTCAAGGAAGTTTGGTTATGGGCAGACAACCACACAGGCATTTGGGGGAAATGATCTCTAATTGAACCTCCTGGAAGAAGAATCTCTATATCTAGTACTGAGCTAATATCTGTCAAAGAATTGTAGAAGCTAAAGTCCATTTTACAGATAAATATCAACAATTAGCTTTCTTTCCAGGTTTCTCATTACATCAATGAAAAGTAAACATTTACTGCACATCTTAGTATCCCTAGGATGAGCCTAGGGATACAAAGGTGAATTGTGAAAAATTTTGGCCCTGAAGTTGCTTAGAGTTGAATAAGAGAGACTGACTAGCCAATAGAAAGTGGAGGCTGGGTGCGGTGGCTCATGCCTGTAATCCCAGCACTTTGGGAGGCTGAGGCGGGCCGATCACAAGGTCAGGAGTTCTAGATCACTCTTTTGCTGAGGCAGGATAATCGCATGAACCTGGGAGGCGGAGGTTGCAGTGAGCTGAGATCATGCTATTGCACTCCAGCCCAGGCAACAGTGCCTGACTCTGTCTGAAAGAGGCAGAGAGAGAGAGAGAGAGAAAGAAAGGAAAGAAGGAAGGAAGAAAAAGAAAGAAAGGAAGGAAGGAAGGAGGCCGGGCAGAGTGGCTCACGCCTGTAATCCTAGCACTTTGGGAGGCCTAGGTGGCAGATCACCTGAAGTCAGGAGTTCAAGACCAGCCTGGCCAACCTGGTGAAACCTCATCTCTACTAAAAATATAAAATTATCTGGACATGGTGGTGGGCACCTGTAACCACAGCTACTCGGGAAGCTGAGGCAGGAGAATCGGTTGAACTCGGGAGGCAGAGGTTCAGTGAGCTGAGATCATGCCATTGCACTACAGCCTGGGTGACAGAGCAAGACTCCGTCTCAAAAAAGAAAGTAGAGTGAGAAGTGCTGTGGTATGGTTAAGAGGGATTTGGGAATTTCTGGGAGTAAATGGTGACCAAGAGGCTACTAGTCCAACTCTATTGCCCTCAGGTGAATAATCCAAAAGAGTGGCTGCAAGTGGACTTCCAGAAGACAATGAAAGTCACAGGAGTAACTACTCAGGGAGTAAAATCTCTGCTTACCAGCATGTATGTGAAGGAGTTCCTCATCTCCAGCAGTCAAGATGGCCATCAGTGGACTCTCTTTTTTCAGAATGGCAAAGTAAAGGTAAGCTGGTCTCCTTGGAAAGAAAGAAAGAAAGAAAAAAAATACCACCTCTCCTAGAGCTTAACATAACATAAAAAGGTTGATATATGACCAAATTTTCAGAGCAAAATTTATTAAGTACCTATGGTAGCAAGACATTGTAAAAGGCATTCTGAGAGAACACAGTGACTTTAAGAAAAAGGTAAAATACTGAGAAAAGGGCAGAGTAGATCCAAGAGTTAATTCTCCTCATCAGCACCTTGATTCCCAAGCCTTTTTGACCTTTAAGTTTAGTGGTCCAGGAAGTCTTCATTCTTAATCTGGGTTTGCTGGATAATTCAACAAATTGTCCTGATTAAAAGACATGACATAAAGTCTTATCACCCCATGAGTAATGGGGGAAGGAATAGTTCCTCTCTTTGGTATTTTTTATATTCTTTTTTCACCAAGAATTAACCATGATGTGGTCCTTACCAATCTCTCTAATACAGTCTCTTGCCACTTGGCTCTTTAAGCTCCATCCATACTAAGAAATTCTCAGGTCACTAAATACAGCCATTATATCTCATACCAGGCTTTTAAATAGATACTATTTCTTCTACCTGGAACATTTTTCTAGCTACCCTCTACTGCCACTTTCACCTGACTCATTCGTTAAGTCTCAGGTAAACATCATGTCCAAGAAGAATTCCCTTATCCATCAAGGCTGGATGAAAGACTTCACCAAACTGGCAGTTTGGTGAACTGAAGTCTAGACATTGGATATTCTAGAAGAAAAATTCCCATTTAAAAAAGGTTATATCTCTGATTAGTGCCACAACATGATGAACTTTCAAAATATGCTAAGTGAAGGCCGGGCGCGGTGGCTGATGCCTGTAATCCCAGCACTTTGGGAGGCTGAGGCAGGCAGATCACGAGGTCGGTAAATTGAGACCATCCTGGCTAACACAGTGAAACCCCATCTCTACTAAAAATACAAAAAATTAGCCAAGCGTGGTGGCGGGTGCCTGTAGTCCCAGCTACTCGGGAGGCTGAGACAGGAGAATGGCATGAACCCGGGAGGCAGAGCTTGCAGTGAGCCGAGATCGCACCACTGCATTCCAACCTGGGCAACAGAGTGAGACTCCATCTCAAAAAAAAAAAAAAAAGAAAATACGCTAAGTGAATAGGCCAGACATAAAAGGATAGATATTATATGATTCTACTTATATGAGTGTGTTAGTCAGGGATATCCAAAGAAATAGAACCAATAGGAGATTCTGTCTGTCTGTCTCTCTCTCTCTGTCTCTCTGGATGAGCTAAACTGTTTTAGTTCAAGACTGAAAGCAGGAAAAAGCTGATGTTCCAGTCCAAAGGCAGACAGGCAGCAAGAATACTTTCTTACTTGGGGAAGACTCAGTCTTTTTGTTCTATTCAGGCCTTCAACTAATTGGATGATGCCTCCCACATTAGGGAGAGCAATCTGCTTTACTCAGTCTACTGACTTCGATGTTAATCCCATTCAAAAACACCTTCACAGAAATAACCAGAATAATGTTTGAGTAAATATCTGGGCACCTTATGACCAAGTAAAGTAGATACATAAAATTAACCATGACAAGTCCACCCCTTGTCAATGTAGCACCCATCATACACATCTCCTTTATCTCTAAGTAGAGACAAAAATGAGGTCATAATTCCACCTAACATGATATAACAAAACTTGGCTGGTATTGATAACTACCTTCTTCTACTACCCATTCTGTATTGACTTTGCCTTCAGCAAGCATCTCAGCTGATTGTGGTTCTTTACCTGATGAGGTGACCCAAACCTTTATTCCTGAAGAGCCTGGGCCACTAGTAGTCCTGCATGGATTGGGTTGCTGTAGTTTCCCATTGACCAGAATCATAGGGCCTGGTAATACTAAGAGACACTCTAAGGGATCTATTGTATTCCAGACACACTCTTCCATACCTCCATTGTGAAGCAGTAGTTCAGTTTCCTTCCAGGAAGGACAAAACGCTGCCCCTTCCATGATGAACATATTCCAATGTAATCAACCTGCTGCCAGATAGCTGGCTGATCATCCTGGGAAATACTGCCATACTGAGGACTCTGTGTTTGTCTCTACTGCTGGCAGATTGGGCACTTAGCAGTGGCCATAGCCAGGTCAGCCTTGTTGAATAGAAGTCCATGTTGCTGAGCCCATGCATAGCCTCTATCCCTGCCACCATGGCTACTTTGTTCATGAGCCCATCAGGCAGTGACATAGGTGGCTGAGTAAAAAGGATGACTGGTATCCACAGAACAGGTCATCATATCTACTTTTTTTTTGAGATGGAGTCTTGCTCTGTTGCCCAGGCTGGAGTGCAGTGGCACAATCTCAGCTCACTGCAACCTCTGCCTCCCAGGTTCAAGCATTTCTCGTGCCTCAGCCTCCCGAGTAGCTGGGACTACAGGCACGCATCACCATGCCTGGCTAATTTTTGTATTTTTAGTAGAGACAGGGTTTCACCATGTTGGCCAGGCTGGTCTTGAACTCCTGACTTCAGGTGATCCTCCCGCCTTGGCTTCCCAAAGTGCTGGGATTACAGGCGTGAGCCACTGCACCCGGCCCATCATATTTACTTGATTATTGAAATCCTTATCTGCTGAGGTCACCCTTCGTTGAGCACTCACATGGGACATAAATATATTCACATCCTTTGCCCATTCAGAGAGATCTGTCCACATACCTCTTCCCCAAATTTCTTTGTCACCTGTTTTCTAATCATGTTCCTTCCAAGTCCCTATCTGGACAAAGCACTGACTACAGCCCATTACTTGACATATAATTGCACACCTGGCCATTTCTCCTTCTAAGCAAAGTCCACAACCAGGTACACTGCCTAAAATTCTGCCCACTGTCCTTCATGGGTATCTCAGATCGGGACTGTCCACTTTTGTGTAGTACCTGCATATCGTGCAGAACCGTCTGTAAACCAGGCCCAAGACTCCTCTTCCTCTGTAAACTGATCATAGGGAACTCCCAATGGGGCCATAAGTGCAGGCTGGGAGAGAGAAGGCAGGGTAGCAGAAACAGGCACCATGGACATTTGGGCTACTTCTTCATGTAATTTACATGTGTTTTCAGTACCTGCTCAGACATGATCATGTATATACCACTTCCATTTGATGATGGAGTGCCATTGTTCATACCCAACTTTATGGCTTGGTGGGTCAGATAACACCTAGTTCATGATGGGCAGTTCAGGTCACATGGCAACTTGGTGGTCTGTGGCTAAGCATTCAGTATCTACTAAGGCCCAGTAGTAGGCCAAGAGCTATCTCACAAAAGGAGAACAGTTATTCACAGAGGATTACAGGAGGATTTCTCACTACAGTAGCCCCTGCTCCATAGGTCAGGGAACCAATGTGAAGATCCTGCTAGCTGCTCAATATATCTGTTCCAATTACGCATTCCAGGACTGGGGAAATAACCACAAGATAGTCTCACAGATCCTCTGCATCCACTTTGAGATGGACTTGAGCTAAAATTCCATTGATCATTTGACCCTCCATAAGCCCATACTCTGACTGGTGGACCACAGTGACATTTTGGGTCTCCTGAAATTAGTGCCAGTTCAGAGCCATTGTCCAGTAGTCCCTGAAAGGTCTGATTAATTATTTTTCTTCAGTGCACATTTATTCTGATAGAAAGGCCATATGTCCCTTTGGGGAAGGCTGAGAGAAAGAGTGGCAGTATTCTTGGCAGTGTACCAGAGTCCTTCCTCAAGGAGACTGAGCCTCCCCTTCATTCAAGGAGTGCTGGGTCTGTAAACCTGCTCAAGTCTGGGAATTGATTGAGAGGCCGTGACTCTGTTTTTATTATTCAGGTTAGACTTTTGTTCACTTGACCTAGAACTTTTCCACTTATGCAGTTCAAGAATTTGGTAGGCATTCTATCTATATCACATCTAGGAACACTATAATCTACTAGCCAACACCATAGGTCTGTGCAAGTCATACTATTCTAACTGCTGCTTTGACTCTGCTGTCCCTTATGGTAACCACACTTACCTTGCCTTTGGCAGTTGAGTGCTGCCCATTGGCCCCTTCCACCCCAGGATCCAATTATTCCCATTGTATTTAGGTTTTCTAATTCAGTGACTGCAGGTCCTGCTGTAAGGTGTCACCTACAGAGAAGAGTGATCACAGAGCCCTTCAAGGATGCTGAGGTTCCCCTCACAAATTTATTCCTCAAAGTAATAGTGAGATCTGTGTCTTCTGAACTCTCCCAGTGTTGGTGAGTATGTCTTAAATGACAAATTCACTCTAGCATTTCAATCTCCTTTCTTCTACATTAAACCAGGGCAAGTCTGAAATTTCTAGTTTGCTCACTGTGGGCCATCTTTTGGTCTGTGTTTCAGCCAACCAATTAAACTGTTAGAGGCCTTCCTAATTCCCTGAGATGCAACATTAAGTCCAGAATCTCTGCTTAGTGGGCCCATGTCAATAAATTTGGCCTAATCCAACTTTACGTGCCTTCCACCGTTATCTCACATCCTTAGTACCCATTCCTATACATATTCTCTGGATTCCTGCTTGTGTAAATTAGAAAACTCAAGTCATGATTTTGGAGTGTAGTGCACCTTGTCATGGGTCACCTTCATACCTCACCTCGCCTGCTGGGACTTGAGTGTAGTTATAGATCTAATAACAAAGAGGGGTGGTAGGGTGGGTCCTGAAGGAATCAGCATTATCTTGCATGGCAGTTGCCTCAGGGGAAGCCATTACAGTTTCCTCAGGCAGTGCAGGGTTAATCCACTTAGACTGGAGTAGAGATACTGCCACCACAGGGCTGGAGAGAAAACTTTCACTGACAAAGAAGACTCATCAATATTTAGGAGCTCAATGTCCCCAGCTTAATCAGGGTCTTCCACACATACCTAATCCAACTTGTAGTGCCCCATTCTTTCCCAATCACTGCCCTTGCTTTAACAGTAGACACCCTGCAAAGCTGGGAGTTTGGCTTGCTTTGTAATTCAGTTAGTCACAGGATGAGATTTGGCATTTGATTTTCAGCAATCTCAGCTCTGTGGCTACAGTAGATAAGGGTCTCCTTCAGGGCATACATAGAATCTGTCAAGTCATTTATGCAGCTCTTGAGCTGGGAATTCAAATTCCTGAGCTCCTCCTTTTCTTTCATCACTTTTTCCAGCAACATTAGGAGCAACCGACTAATCCCATCATATTCATTAGTTTGACAAATATGTTCACAAGTGTCAATATACATAGTCACCAAGACCCTTGCTTCTTAAAAGTAGTTGATTAGGAGTATCCAATGGAGATATTTTGCATATACATATTTTTTGAGATGGAGTCTCGCTCTGTCACCCAGGCCGGAGTGCAGTGGCATGATCTCAGCTCACTGCAACCTCCATCTCCCAGGTTCAAGCGATTATCATGCCTCAGCCTCCCGAGTAGTTGGGATTACAGGCACCTGCCTAATTTTTGTGTTTTTAGTAGAGACAGGGTTTCATCATGTTGGCCAGGCTGGTCTCGAACTCCTGACCTCAGGTGATCCATCCACCTCGGCCTCCCAAAGTGCTGGGATTACAGGCGTGAGCCACCGCGCCCAGCCTGGCCTACATATTTCTATTGCCAGATCATGCCATGGACAATTTTTACTACTGAAAATAGTCATTAGTGTCTTTAAATTTCATCAGGTTACAGAACCAATTCCAGAAATCCAATAACAAATTTATAAAATTTATCCTTAAAATTCTGTTCCTTTAGAATCACTCTTGGTGTGAAAATCTGTATTAGTCATGGTTCCCAAAGAAACAAAACCAGAACCAAGAGGAGATACATACACACACACACACACACACACACACACAAGGAATTAGCTCATGTGATTATGGAGTCTGCCAAGTCTCAAGATCTGCAGGGTGAGTTGGCAGCCTAGAGACCCCAGAGAGCTGATTCGTAGTTCCAGTTCAAAGACCAGCAGGCTACAGACCCAGAAAGAGTTAAAATGTTTTAGTTCGAGCCCAAAGGCAGGAAAAAAACTGAAGTCCCAGTTTAAAGGTAGTCAAATAGAAGGAACTGTCTCTTACTAAGAGGACAGTAAGCCTTTTTGTTATATTTAGGCCTTCAACTGATTGGATAAGTTCTACCCACACTGGGGAGAACAATCTGCTTTACTTAGTCTACCAATTCAAATGTTAATCTCACCAAAAAACACTCTCACAGACACACATAAAATAAAGTTTAATCAAATATATGGGCACCCCATGGCCCAGTCAAGTTGACACATAAAATTAACCACCATAATGAGGTATCTAGAGCAGGCAAATTCATAAAGACAGAAAGTAGAAAAGAGGTTACCAGGGTCTTGGAATGGGGAAGAAATGGAGAGTTATTTTTAATGAGTACAGAGTTTCTGTTTGGGGTGATGAAAAAGTTCTGGAAATGGATAGTGGTAATGGGTGCACAATATTGTGAGTATACTTAATACCACTAAATTGTACACTTAAAAATGATTAAAATGGTAAATTTTATGTATATTGTACAACAATAAAAAAGGCTATATCACTGACAATGCATTGTTGTATTTAGCAAAGAAAGGGGAATCTCCAGCCTCCCCATCAACAAAAACCCCCACAAACTTCTATTTTAAAATAATGAGCTGAAATCATAGCGGAGAGGTGAATAATGAGCAAATATAAAAAGGAAGACCTTTCCTCAGACAGAATGCCCATATTAATGTTGTTACTGGAAGACTAAGCCTTGAGCAAAATGCAAGGAGAACTCAGTGTGAGAATTCTGCATTGTCATGAATCCCAGAAGGAAGCTAGAGAAGTTGCAGATAAATATTATCCTCTGGCACCTGGAAGAACCATTCTCAACCTACTCTAGAAAAAAAGCACCTCCAGTTTAGGCCTCCAGGATTCCTACATATTAAAATTATAAGATCACAGACATAGATCAGCAAACATGCAAGACAACAAGACAACTTGAGTACAAGTGAACAGAAACAATCAATTCAGATTTAAAACTTGAAGAACACCAGATATTGACATTATCGGATACATAATATGAAATAATTATGTATAAAATCTTTAAAGTAATAACATATGGAAACATGAAAATAAAAGACAAATTATCCAACATTATTAGGCAGTTGAAAAAAACCATTGCAGGTTACAAAGTCAACATGCAAAAATCAATTGTATTTTTATATACTAACAATTACAAATATGAAAAGGAAAACAGAAAAGTCTATTTACAATAGCATCAAAGATAATACAATATTTAGGAATAAATTTAACGAAGGAGGTGCAAGTCTTGTCCACTAAAAACAAAAAAACCCAGTTGAAAGAAACTAAAGAACTGTCTGGTCTGAAGACAGCAAATATGGAAAATTAGCAACTAGAAAAAAATTAAAAATTAAAAATTAAAAGAGAAATTAAATAACTAAATAAATGAAAAGGCATCCTGGATTTATGGATTTGAAGACATAATATTCTTAAGATAAGAATATTACCACAAACCATTTGCAGATTCAAAGCAAGCATTCTGGGTTTTTTTGTTTGTTTGTTTGTTTTTTGATTTGAGACGGAGTCTCACTCTGTCGCTCAGGCTGCAGTGTGGTGGTGCAATCTCCACTCACCATAACCTCTGCTTCCTGGGCTCAAGCGATTCTCCGGCCTCAAAGCATTCTCTATCAGAATCCCAAAGACATTTTTTTTTTTGAGGAATAGAAAAATCTATCCTAAAATTCAGATGGAATTTCAAGGGACCCTGAATAGCCAAAACAATCTTGAAAAAGAACAACGTTGGAGGAGTCATACTTCCCAATTTCAGAACTTACTACAAAGCTACAAGAATCAAAACAGGGCAGTACTTACATAAATATAGACACATAGATCAATGGAATAGAATTGAGAGTCCAGAAATAAGCCTATACATCTATGGTCAATTGATTTTCAATAAAAGTGCCAAGACCATTTTGTGGGAAAAGAATAGTCTCTTCAACAAATGGTGCTGGGACAATTGGATATCCACATGCAAAAGAATGAAGTTGGATCTTTACCATATACAAAATTTAACTCAAGGCTGGATGTGGTGGCTCACATCTGTAATCCCAGCACTTTGGGAGGCTAAGGCTGGTGGATCACTTGAGCTCAGGAGTTTGAGACCAGCCTGGGCAACACAGTGAGACTCTGTATCTACAAAACAAGAAAAAAAAATTAGCTGGCATGATGGTACACACCTGTAGTCCCAGCTACTAGGGAAGCTGGGATAGGAGGATCGCTTGAGCCCAGGAGGTGGAGGCTGCAGTGAGCCATGATCGCACCACTGCACTCCAGCCTGGGTGTCAGAGCAAGACCCTGTCTGTAAAAAATCATTTAACTAAAAATGTATCAAAAAACTAAATATAAAAGCTAAAACCATAAAACTGTAAGAAAAAACAAAGAGGTAAATTGTTATGATACTGGATTTGGCAATGGTTTCTTAGATGTGACACCACAATCACAAGCAACAACTCTATAAAAATATATATAGTAGGCATCTTTAAAGTTAAAAGCTTTTGTACATCAAAGAACACTATCAAGAAAGTAAAAAGATGATCTACAGTATAGGAGAAAAAAATTGCAAATCATATATCTGATAAAGGGCCTAGTATCCCAGAATATAAAAAGAACTCTTACAACTCAACAACAGAAAGACAACCAAATTTTAAAATGGGTAAAGGACTTCAATGGAACTTCTCCAAAGAAGATATACAAGGATCCAACAAACTCATGAAAAGATAGACAACATCATTAGTTATTAGGGAAATGCAAATCAAAACCACAATGAGATAGCATTTCAAACCTGCTAGGATGGCTAAATTAAAAAAAAAACAAAAACAAAATGTCAAGCGGGAAAATAACAAGTGTTAGCAAGAATATAAAGAAATTGGAACCTTCCTTGATGATGAGAATGTGAAATAGGGCAGCCACTGTAGAAAATATTTTGGCAGTTCCTCAGTAAGGAAAACATAGAATTAACATAGACCCAGCAATTCTACTCCTGGGTGTGGACCCAAAAGAATTAAAAGCAGGCACTCTAACAAAAACTAATATACAAATGCATATAGAAGTACTATTCATAATAGCAAACAGGTGAAAACAATTCAAATGTTCATCAAGTGATGAACAGATAAACAAAATGTGGTCTATCCATATATGGACTATTATTTATTCATAAAAAATCAAAGTACTGATCCATGCTAAAACATGGATGCTCCTTGAAAGCATTATGCTAAGTGAAAGCAGCCAGGCACAAAAGGCCACATTCCACTTATATGAAATACCCAGAATAGCAAATCCATAGAGACAGAAAACAGATTAGTGGTTGCCAGAAGCTGGCAGAAGGAGTGAATGTGGAGTGGCTTCTTAATAAGTATTGAATCTCCTTTTGGGGTTATAGAAATGTTCTGGAACTAGATAGTGGTGATGGCTATATAACATTGTGAATGTACTAAATGGCACTGAACTTCACACTTTAAAATTGTTAAAATGGTAAATTTTATGTTTGCGAATTTTGCAATAGATAAGTCAGAAGACATGTACATTACCATAATGAGTAACAAACTGACAGCTGATTTCTAAATAATAGCAAATATCAGAAAATAATGAATGATGTCTTCACAATGCTAAAATAAACAATGTGAACCCCTCTCTCAAAAAGAAAACCTAATGAAAATATCTTTTATGCGTTAAAGCAAAAGAGGAAATTAGGACACAGACAGGCACAGAGGGACGACCACATGAAGATATAGAAAGAGGACAGACACCTACAAGCCAACGAGAGAGGCCTTACAAGAAACCAACCCTTAGCCAGGTGTGGTAGTGTGCACTTGTAGTTCTTGTTACAAGGGTGCAGTGAGCTAGGGTTGTGCCACTGCACTCCAGCCTGGGAAACAGAACAAGACCCTGCCTCTAAAAAAAAAAATAAAGAGAAGGAGAAGAAGAAGAAAAGGAAAAGAAAAAAAAAAAGAACCAAGCCTGCTGGCCAGGCGTGGTAACTCATGCCTGTAATCCCAGCACTTTGGAAGGCTGAGGCAGGAAGATCATCTGAGGTCAGGAGTTCAAGACCAGCCTGCCCAACATGGTGAAACCCCCCTCTACTAAAAATACAAAAATTAGCTGGACATGCTGGCATGCGCTTGTAATCCCAGCTACTCGGGAGGCTGAGGCACAAGAATTGCTTGAGCCCAGGAGGCAGAAGTTGCAGTGAGCCCAGATCGCGCCATCACATTCCAGCCTGGACTACAGAGGGAGACTCCATCTCAAAAAACAAACAGACAAAAAAAAAATACACACACACACACACACACACACACACACACACACAAAACAAGCCTGCCTACCCCTTGATCTTGGACTTGTAGCCTCCAGAACTGTGAGAAAATAAATTTCTATTGTTTAAGCCAGGTGTGCGTGTGAAAATTTAGAACATATGACAACAGCAAAAAAGTCAGCATGTGGATAAATAGAATAAAGGATTCTAAAATCCATGTATTATCTAGGAGGTAAAGATGTTAATATTAAACCTTCATAATTTGATTAATGTTGTAGTTTATAGGATAGCCAGTAAGTAATAGAAATACACACAATGTAAGACTCCCAAAATGGTAGAAGAAAAAATATGAAAGGATAAAATATACTCAACAAACCTAAATGAAAGCAAGCAAAGAGAGATAAAGAAACATAAAACAGGTAGGAAAAATAGCAAGATAAGATGGTATATTTAAATTGAAATATAACAGTAATCATATGTAATATGAATGGACCAAATATTTCAGTTAAAAGACAAAGATTGTCAGATTGATAAAAAAGCAAAAGTAGCTGGGTGTGATGGCTCACACCTGTAGTCCCAGCTACTTAGGATGCTGATGTGGGAGGATCACTTGAGCCCAGGAGGTTCAGCCTGGACAAGATAGTGAGACTTGTCTCTTTAAAAAAAAAAAAAAAAAGCAAAAGTAAATTGTGTGCATTTTATGAGTCATATCTAAAACATTAGATACAGAAAAGTAGCAAGACAAAAATGGGAAAAGAAATTATGCAAATATCTAAAAGATATCGATTACAGCTCTATTGATAGCAGAAAAATAGACTTTAAAGCAAGAAAGTATTGCTGAAGATTAAGAATGTGATTTCATGGCTGGACGCGGTGGCTCACACCTGTAATCCCAGCACTTTGGGAGGCCGAGGCAGGTGGATCATGAGGTCAGGAAATTGAGACCATCCTGGCTAACATGGTGAAACCCCGTCTCTACTAAAAAAAAATACAAAAATTAGCCGGGTGTGGTGGCGGACACCTGTAGTCCCAGTTACTCAGGAGGGTGAGGCAGGAGAATGGCGTGAACTCGGGAGGCTAGATTTTAACACATCTCTCGTCAATTGATGGAACAATGTATAGAAATAGAACAATTAACATGATTCACAAGTTTGATCTTATAGACATATTTAGAAAATAGCACCTTGAAATTGCAAAATTACAAGGGTGGTTCCAACATGGCCGAATAGGAACAGCTCCAGTCTACAGCTCCCAGCATGAATGACACAGAAGACAGGTGATTTCTGCATTTCCAACTAAGGTACCAGGTTAATCTCACTGTGGCTTGTCGGACAGTGGGTGCAGGACAGTGGGTGCAGCCCACCGAGCATGAGCCGAAGCAGGGTAAGGTATCACCTCACCCGGGAAGCACAAGGGGTCAGGGAATTCCCTTTCCTAGCCAAGGGAAGCTGTGACAGATGGCACCTGGAAAATTGGGTCACTCCCATCCTAATACTGCGCTTTTCCAATGGTCTTAGCAAACGGCACACCAGGAGATTATATCCTGCACCTGGCTCAGAGGGTCCCACACCCACGGAGCCTCGCTCATTGCTAGCACAGCAGTCTGAGATCAAACTGCAAGGTGGCTGCAAGGCAGGGAGAGGGGCACCCGCCATTGCTGAGGCTTGAGTAGGTAAACAAAGCGGCCAGGAAGCTCGAACTTGGTGGAGCCCACCGCAGCTCAAGGAGGCCTGCCTGCCTCTGTACGCTCCACCTTTGGGGGCAGGGCAAAGACAAACAAAAAGACAGCAGTAACCTCTGCAGACTTAAATGTCCCTGTCTGACAGCTTTGAAGAGAGTAGTGGTTCTCCCAGCACAGAGTTTGTGATCTGAGAACGGACAGACTGCCTCCTCAAGTGGGTCCCTGACCCCCGAGTAGCCTAACTGGGAGGCACGCCCCAGTAGGGGCAGACTGACACCTCACACAGCTGGGTACCCCTCTGAGACCAAGCTTCCAGAGGAACGATCAGGCAGCAACATTTGCTGTTCAGCAATATTCGCTCTTCTGCAGCCTCTGCTGCTGATACCCAGGCAAACAGGGTCTGGAGCGGACCTCCAGCAAACTCCAACAGACCTGCAGCTGAGGGTCCTGTCTGTTAGAAGGAAAACTAACAAACAGAAAGGACATCCACACCAAAACCCCATCTGTACATCACCATCATCAAAGACCAAAGGTAGATAAAACCACAAAGATGGGGAAAAAACAGAGCAGAAAAGCTGAAAATTCTAAAAATCAGAGTACCTCTCCTACTCCAAAGGAACGCAGCTCCTCGCCAGCAACGGAACAAAGCTGGACAGAAAATGACTTTGACGAGTTGAGAGAAGAAGGCTTCAGATGATCAAACTTCTCTGAGCTAAAGGAGGAAGTTCGAACCCATCACAAAGAAGCTAAAAACCTTGAAAAAAAAGGTTAGATGAATGGCTAACTAGAATAACCAGTATAGAGAAGTCCTTAAATGACCTGATGGAGCTGAAAACCATGGCACGAGAACTATGTGACGAATGCATAAGCTTTAGTAGCCGATGCGATCAACTGGAAGAAAGGGTATCAGTGATTGAAGATCAAATGAATGAAATGAAGCGAGAAGAGAAGTTTAGAGAAAAAAGAATAAAAAGAAATGAACAAAGCCTCCAAGAAATATGGGACTATGTGAAAAGACCAAATCTATGTCTGATTAGTGTACCTGAAAGTGACAGGGAGAATGGAACCAAGTTGGAAAACACTCTGCAGGATATTATCCAGGAGAACTTCCCCAACCTAGCAAGGCAGGCCAACATTCAAATTCAGGAAATACAGAGAACGCCACAAAGATACTCCTTGAGAAGAGCAACTCCAAGACACATAACTGTCAGATTCACCAAAGTTGAAATGAAGGAAAAAATGTTAAGGGCAGCCAGACAGAAAGTTCGGGTTACCCGCAAAGGGAAGCCCATCAGACTAACAGCTGATCTCTTGGCAGAAACTCTACAAGCCAGAAGAGAGTGGGGGCCAATATTCAACATTCTTAAAGAAAAGAATTTTCAACCCAGAATTTCATATCCAGCCAAACTAAGCTTCATAAGTGAAGGAGAAATAAAATCCTTTACAGACAAGCAAATGCTGAGAGATTTTGTCACCACCAGGCTTGCCCTACAAGAGCTCCTGAAGGAAGCACTAAACATAGAAAGGAACAACCGGTACCAGCCACTGCAAAAACATCCCAAATTGTAAAGACCATCGATGCTAGGAAGAAACTGCATCAACTAATGAGCAAAATAACCAGCTAACATCATAATGACAGGATCAAATTCACACATAACAATATTAACCTTAAACATAAATGGGCTAACTGCTCCAATTAAAAGACACAGACTGGCACATTGGATAAAGAGTCAAGACCCATCAGTGTGCTGTATTCAGGAGACCCATCTCACATGCAGAGACTCACATAGGCTCGAAATAAAGGGATGGAGGAAGATCTACCAAGCAAATGGAAAACAAAAAAAGAAAAGCAGGGGTTGCAATCCTAGTCTCTGATAAAACAGACTTTAAACCAACAAAGATCAAAAGAGACAAGGCCATTACATAATGGTAAAGGGATCAATTCAACAAGAAGAGCTAACTATCCAAAATATATATGCACCCAATACAGGAGCACCCAGATTCATAAAGCAAGTCCTTAGAGACCTACAAAGAGACTTAGACTCCCACACAATAATAATGGGAGACTTTAACACCCCACTGTCAACATTAGACAGTTCAACGAGACAGAAAGTTAACAAGGATATCCAGGAATTGAACTCAGCTCTGCAGCAAGCGGACCTAATAGACATCTACAGAACTCTCCATCCCAAATCAACAGAATATACATTCTTCTCAGCACCACATCCAAAACTGACCACATAGTTGGAAGTAAAGCACTCCTCAGCAAATGTAAAAGAACAGAAATTATAACAAACTGTCTCTCAGGCCACAGTGCAATCAAACTAGAACTCAGGATTAAGAAACTCATTCAAAACCGCTCAACTACATGGAAACTGAACAACCTGCTCCTGAATGACTACTGGGTACATAGCGAAATGAAGGCAGAAATAAAGATGTTCTTTGAAACCAATGAGAACAAAGACACAATATACCAGAATCTCTGGGACACATTTAAAGCAGTGTGTAGAGGAAAATTTATAGCACTAAGTGCCCACAGGAGAAAGCAGGAAAGATCAAAAATTGACACCCTAACATCACAATTTAAAGAACTAGAGAAGCAAGAGCAAACACATTCAAAAGCTGGCAGAAGGCAAGAAATAACTAAGATCAGAGCAGAACTGAAGGAGATAGAGACACAAAAAACCCTTTAAAAAATCAATGAATCCAGGAACTGGTTTTTTGAAAAGATCAACAAAATTGATAGAACACTAGCAAGACTAATAAAGAAGAAAAGAGAGAAGAATCAAATAGACGCAATAAAAAATGATAAAGGGGATATCACCACCAATCCCACAGAAATACAAACTACCATCAGAGAATACTATAAACACCTCTATGTAAATAAACTAGAAAATCTAGAAGAAATGGATAAATTCCTGGACACATACACCCTCCCAAGACTAAACCAGGAAGAAGTTGAATCCCTGAATAGACCAATAACAGGCTCTGAAATTGAGGCAATAATTAATAGCTTACCAACCAAAAAAAGTCCAGGACCAGACGGATTCACACTCAAATTCTACCAGAACTACAAGGAGGAGCTGGTACCATTCCTTCTGAAACTATTCCAATCAATAGAAAAAGATGGAATCCTCCCTAACTCATTTTATGAGGCCAGCATCATCCTGATACCAAAGCCTGGCAGAGAAACAACAAAAAAAGAGAATTTTAGACCAATATCCCTGATGAACATTGATGCAAAAATCCTCAATAAAATACTGGCAAACCAAATCCAGCAGCACATCAAAAAGCTTATCCACCATGATCAAGTGGGCTTCATCTCTGGGATGCAAGGCTGGTTCAACATACGAAAATCAATAAACGTAATCCAGCATATAAACAGAACCAAAGACAAAAACCACATGATTATCTCAATAGATGCAGAAAAGGCCTTTGACAAAATTCAACAACACTTCATGCTAAAAACTCTCAATAAATTAGGTATTGATGGGACGTATCTCAAAATAATAAGAGCTATTTATGACAAACCCACAGCCAATATCATACTGAATGGGCAAAAACTGGAAGCATTCCCTTTGAAAACTGGCACAAGACAGGGATGCCCTCTCTCACCACTCCTATTCAACATAGTGTTGGAAGTTCTGGCCAGGGCAATCAGGCAGGAGAAAGAAATAAAGGGTATTCAATTAGGAAAAGAGGAAGTCAAATTGTCCCTGTTCGCAGACGACATGATTGTATATCTAGAAAACACCATTGTCTCAGCCCAAAATCTCCTTATGCTGATAAGCAACTTCAGCAAAGTCTCAGGATACAAAATCAATGTGCAAAAATCACAAGCATTCTTATACACCAACAACAGACAAACAGAGAGCCAAATCATGAGTGAACTCCCATTCACAATTGCTTCAAAGAGAATAAAATACCTAGGAATCCAACTTACAAGGGATATGAAGGACCTCTTCAAGGAGAACTACAAACCACTGCTCAATGAAATAAAAGGGGATACAAACAAATGGAAGAACATTCCATGCTCATGGGTAGGAAGAATCAATATTGTGAAAATGGCCATACTGCCCAAGGTATTTTATAGATTCAATGCCATCCCCATCATGCTACCAATGACTTTCTTTACAGAATTCTAAAAAACTATTTTAAAGTTCATTTGGAACCAAAAAAGAGCCCGCATTGCCAAGTCAATCCTAAGCCAAAAGAACAAAGCTGGAGGCATCACGCTACCTGACTTCAAACTATACTACACGGCTACAGTAACCAAAACAGCATGGTACTGGTACCAAAACAGAGATATAGACCAATGGAACAGAACAGAGCCCTCAGAAGTAATACCACACATCTACAACCATCTGATCTTTGACAAACCTGACAAAAACAAGAAATGGGGAAAGGATTCCCTATTGAATAAATGGTGCTGGGAAAACTGGCTAGCCATATGTAGAAAGCTGAAACTGGATCCCTTCCTTACACCTTATACAAAAATTAATTCAAGATGGATTAAAGACTTAAATGTTAGACCTAAAACCATAAAAACCCTAGAAGAAAACCTAGGCAATACCATTCAGGACATAGGCATGGGCAAGAACTTCATGTCTAAAACACCAAAAGCAATGGCAACAAAAGCCAAAATTGACAAATGGGATCTAATGAAACTAAAGAGCTTCCGCACAGCAAAAGAAACTACCATCCCAGTGAACAGGCGAGCTACAAATTGGGAGAAAATGTTTGCAATCTATTCATCTGACAAAGGGCTAATATCCAGAATCTACGAAGAACTCAAACAAACTTACAAGAAAAAAAGACCCCATCAAAAAGTGGGTGAAGGATATAAACAGACACTTCTCAAAAGAAGACATTTATGCAGCCAACAGATACATGAAAAAATGCTCATCATCACTGGCCATCAGAGAAATGCAAATCAAAACCACAGTGAGATACCATCTCACACCAGTTAGAATGGCGATCATTAAAAAGTCAGGAAACAACAGGTGCTGGAGAGGATGTGGAGAAATAGGAACGCTTTTACACTGTTGGTGGGACTGTAAACTAGTTCAACAATTGTGGAAGACAGTGTGGCGATTCCTCAAGGATCTAGAACTAGAAATACCATTTGACCCAGCCATCCCATTACTGGGTATGTACCCAAAGGATTATAAATCATGCTGCTATAAAGACACATGCACACGTATGTTTATTGCGGCACTATTCACAATAGCAAAGACTTGGAACCAACCCAAATGTCCATCAATGATAGACTGGATTAAGAAAATGTGGCACATATACACCATGGAATACTATGCAGCCATAAAAAGGATCTGTTCATGTCCTTTGTAGGGACATGGATGAAGCTGGAAACCATCATTCTCAAAAACTATCACAAGGACAAAAAACCAAACACCGCATGTTCTCACTCGTAGGTGGGAATTGAACAATAAGAACACTTGGACACAGGTAGGGGAACATCACACACCGGGGCCTGTCATGGGGTGGGTGGACAGGGGAGGGATAGCATTAGGAGATATACCTAATGTAAATGACGAGTTAATGGGTGCAGCACACCAACATGGCACATGTATACATATGTAACAAACCTGCACGTTGTGCACATGTACCCTAGAACTTACAGTATAATAAAAAAAAAGAAATTGCAAAATTACACATTCTTTGTAAGCACACAAAGGAAACATGTTAGAATTTTCCATTTTAAGCTACAAATAAGCTACAAATAAAGTAGTCTCAAATTTCAGATAATATAAAACATGTTTTCTGGTCACAATACAATTAAAGTTGATATAAATAAGAAAGATAACTATAAAATCTTCCTATGTTAGAATCAAGAACTATACTTTTAAACCCATGTGTCAAATAAGAAATCATAAATTAGAAAATATTTTAAACTGAATGATAACAAGGCATGACATATTAAAATGTGGGAATCAGCTAAAGCAATATTTAGAAAGAAATGTATAGCGTTAAAAACATATATTGGAAGAGAAGAAAGCCTGACAATTAATGAGCTAAGGTATGTCTCAAGAAGCTAGTGAAACAGCAAAATAAACCAAAAGGAAGTAGAAGCAAGGAAATAATAAAGATATGAAGTAAATGAAGTAAAAAAGAAACATACAATAGAGAGAATAAAGAAAACCAAAAGTTGGTTCCTTGAAAATTGACAAACTTCTGGCAAGAGCAATCAAGATGAAAAGAAGGCACAAATAATATCAGAAACTTTAAAAAACTGGACATCAATAAAGATCCCACAAAAATTTCTGCCAATATAAAAATATAAAAAATGAGGATACTTATTAATATTAAATGTTCTTTCTTGTTGTATTTACCAGGGATTAATCCATTTTACCTAATTTTCCAAACTTAGTGTTAAAAGGTTATTAATTTAAAAAATCCAGATCCAGATGGCTACACTAACTATATTCTACCAATTTTTCAAAGGAGAAATAATATTAACCTTGCAAAAATTCTTTCAGAAAATGGAAAAAGATGGAATGTTATTCAATTATCTTATGATAATAGCATAACCTTGACAACCAAACCGAACAAGAACAATATTAGAAAGGAAGATAATAGGCCCGTTTTATTCATAAACATAAATCCCAAACAAAATATTAGCAATATGGATCCAAATTGGATTTATGCTAGGAATGCAAGTTTGGCTTATACATTAGAAAACTGATATAATTTATCACAGTGACAGACTGAAGGATTATACATATTGGCTGTCCTAAGCAGTGCAATAAGATGAGAAAAAGAAGGAAAATATGTAAGGATTGAATATGATGAAACAAACTCATTGTATGTGGAAGATATGATGGCATAGATAGAAAATCCAAAGGAATTTATATATAAATTATTAGAATTTTTAAAATTTTTCAAGCTTGCTGAAAACAAAATAAATACCAAAATTAATTGTATTTCTGTATACCTGAAACAGTTGGAAAAATAGTTTTAAATAGCATTTAAAAATTCCAAGCAGGAGTTGCACATTCCTGTCAGATAATGGCAGCTGCCTAAATCTCTCCACAGTCTTCAAAAACCATACATACACATACACACACAATTTTAAATTATGACTAAAACCACCCATAACCCATCTATAGAATAACCAGAAGACAAAAAGTACTATAAGTTTATATTTACAAGTAGAAAATAAATATATAAATCTAGCCAACCTTGCTCCAGAGAGAAACCCTGTCTCAAAAAAAAAAAAAAAAAAAAAAAGAAGAAAGCAAATGTTGGAAATTAACTGTCCTATAAAAACAAAAGTGAATTACTAAATCACAAGACCCACAAACCTCTTTGGTCACATCTATTAAATAAATTACACTTCCATTTATCAACAGTAGAGGGTACTCCTGGCTAAGAAACCTAGTAAGCCACCCAGCCCTCATGTCTGCCTGCATAAATCACCTCTTATTGCTGAAACAAGAAAATGTAAGGAATTTCTAAATGAACAGAAAATAGCATATGAAGCAGATGGTATTAATGTTCTTGAGTTTTTATTCCCTCTTTCCTTGAAAACCTCATCAACTTTAGGCATGGCCGTACGGCTCATCTTGATCAATAGAATGTGATTGGACATGACATATATACCACTTCCAAATAGAAGCTTTAAATGTGATTTTGTGTTTGACACACTCTTTTGTGCCTCTGCTCCAGGCTCCAGACTTTAAGCCTCTAGAACGATAAGTGAATAAATTTCTTTTGTTTTAAAGGCACCAAGTGTGTGGTGAATTTGTTACAGTAGCCCTAGAAATCTAATACTAACAAAAAGAATGTTAGAGTTGAATTAGAAGTGTCAGTGAGAACTTAGGAATTTAAAAAATCATATTCTTAGCACTGTTCACTGAGGGAATCTAGAAGTAATTACACTGCAGTAATAACGAGCCCATCCCATGCCCAAATCTTGGTCTCTAACTACCATTTTCCAGTCAAAAGAATCTGAGCTCCCTAGAGAAATGACTTTTTCAAGGCTGGATCAAGGAAACTGCCAGGCAATCTTAGATGATCTTGGTGATCTTGATGTGCCAGAAGATTAATGGGATCATGTGAAAAGAACACAGAAACTGGTCTGAAGGGCTTCCTGTTGGCCAGATTTGAGACAATTTGAGCATCAAAAGGAATAATGAGGGTAATGGATCATAACTGGAAAATCAGTTTGCAACCATCAATGTACTTACTATTGAATACTTGTAAAGAACTTTAAGGGTTGCTAATACCATTGGATAAAAGCTTGTTGTGAAACAGAATATTTGCATGGTCTCAAAGTCTCACTCCACAGATTGTTAGGAAAGGGAAAGGGTTACCTTTATAAATATAGAGATTAGGTGGACATCTTAACCAAGTGATCAAACTTAGCATCATCAATAATGGGACAATCTGGCATCGCATGCCCCCTGATTTAATGCAGTAAGGATTAAGTCTAACAAAAGATGTACAAAGCCTCCAAATACAGCGTAAACATTTGTAAAATAATCTCAGAACAGGGACCTTAATGTTTCTCAAAAATTTTTCCAAATACAGAACTTTATTTCTATAGATGTTTATGGTATATTTGCCATGCTATATACATTATGCTATATATTCTATGTGCTGAAGATACAACAATGACCAAGGTCTTTGCCCTTGTGGAACTGACATTTGGTGGCGGAGACAGAGGAAACAGTCAATAAGCATGTAAAGAGATAAAGGAAAAGATACTGAATGCTACAAAGGAAACAAATAAGTTGAGATTTAGAACAAAAAAGAGTCCTATTTTACAAGAGGAATAATGAGGAAGACCTTTCTAAAGAGGTAGCTCAGCACTTTGGGAGGCCGAGGCGGGTGGATCACGAGGTCAGGAGATCAAGACCATCCTGGCTAACACAGTGAAACCCCATCTCTACTAAAAATACAAAAAATGAGCCGGGCATGGTGGCGGGCACCTGTAGTCCCAGCTACTTGGGAGGCTGAGGCAGGAGAATGGCGTGAACCCGGGAGGCGGAGCTTGCAGTGAGCCGAGATGGTGCCACTGCACTCCAGCCTGGGCGACAGAGCGAGACTCCGTCTCAAAAAAAAAAAAAAAAATTGAGGCAGAATTTCGCTATGTTGCCTAGGCTTGTCTCAAACTCCTGGGCTCAAGCAATCCTCCTGCCTCAGCCTGCTGAGTAGCTGGGACTCCAGGGGCATGCCACTATGCTTAGTTTAAGAGGTGGTATTTAAACTGAGACCCGAAGGGTAAAAAACATGGATAAAAGAAGAAACAGAAGGGGTAAGAGCCTTCCAAGCAGAGGGAATCACATATACAAAGGCTCTCATGTTAAATAAAACAAGAGTTGACATTGTTGAGAAACTGAAAGATCAGCTCATCTGCGATGCGGTAAAATAGGAGGAATGCAGTGGGAGAACAGATCAGAGACTTGGGCAGGGGCTATATTAGGCAGAACTTGGAGACCAGAGTAAGGGGGCCAAGGTGGGAACAGACCGATTAAATTGGCATCTCTTGGGGGGGTGGGGGGGTGGGGAACTTACCCATGCATCATTTTTTAAAAGCTCCAAAGGCGATTCCAATAAGCAGCCAGGGTTGGGAACCTAGGGGGAAAATGTAGCTAGATGAATGAAGATGGCCCAAACGTCTTTTGTTCTGATAGCTAAACTCTCTGTAGGATCACAGTGTTACTTCACAGTGCATTTGCCAGGAAAAGTCTCTTCCCATTTGGAATCCGAAGTAAAACTGACACCACACTTGAAGATGCCAGGATTGTTAGAGGAAAATGTCACCCAATAGCTCCAGGAAGCAGGAGCCCTACTGTTGCTGTTTAACCACTTCTTTCCCATTTTGGTGGCAAGTTGCCTCCTTTTACACAAACTGCCTCAGGAGATCCTAAAGATATCATGGTGTCTGTCTGTCCTTGCAAGAGCATGCATTATGGTAGGACATTGCCTTCATTCTGTTCCTTTTTCTCCAAGACTCTTGCTTATTCTCACCATTTGGCTGGACTTTCTACTGTAGGATTACCTCGGAATCCACACAAAACCCACAGGGTTTCAGAGTTGCCTTGAATTACACGTTTTGAACATTCAGATCTTCATTTTCCCAAACATCCACCCAGTTATAGGTGACCTTTGCTCCAAAGTCCTGGAGTAGCAAGGTGCCTTGAGTCTTAGACTCTTCCCACTTCTTTCTCTCTTCTGCATCCCCTCCTGCCAAGGTTGCCCAGCCACACTAAATTGCATGCCTTGCTGTGTTGCATTCGTTATCATTCTAAAGTTGTCACCAACATGTGCGAAACCAGTTTATCTAATAACGATAGCTACCATTTTCTGAGCTCTTGCCATGTACTCCTCTTGCCACAGCAAATGCATTGACAAGGGAGTCTGCTGGCCAAAGCCTGACTCTCATCTCCAGATGGTCCAACACAGATGCTGTGTGTGACCCAGGACAAAGCACTTAATGTCACTGAGGTTTGGGAAGTGGGTGAGAACACTGTAGATATAAGGCCTAGCTAGAGTGAAGGCCTCCAAAGCAGGGTGCTCTTAATTCTAGATGTCCCAGATGCGTAGGACAGAGTCATCTAGTCATCTTCCAGGGTTTAATCCTGGACTACTGGAAACAACTAGAAGTGAGAAAAGCGTCTGTGCTTTGCAGTGACCATTGTCCTGTCAGACAACCAATAAATGCTATCTTTCCTCTTTCAGGTTTTTCAGGGAAATCAAGACTCCTTCACACCTGTGGTGAACTCTCTAGACCCACCGTTACTGACTCGCTACCTTCGAATTCACCCCCAGAGTTGGGTGCACCAGATTGCCCTGAGGATGGAGGTTCTGGGCTGCGAGGCACAGGACCTCTACTGAGGGTGGCCACTGCAGCACCTGCCACTGCCGTCACCTCTCCCTCCTCAGCTCCAGGGCAGTGTCCCTCCCTGGCTTGCCTTCTACCTTTGTGCTAAATCCTAGCAGACACTGCCTTGAAGCCTCCTGAATTAACTATCATCAGTCCTGCATTTCTTTGGTGGGGGGCCAGGAGGGTGCATCCAATTTAACTTAACTCTTACCTATTTTCTGCAGCTGCTCCCAGATTACTCCTTCCTTCCAATATAACTAGGCAAAAAGAAGTGAGGAGAAACCTGCATGAAAGCATTCTTCCCTGAAAAGTTAGGCCTCTCAGAGTCACCACTTCCTCTGTTGTAGAAAAACTATGTGATGAAACTTTGAAAAAGATATTTATGATGTTAACATTTCAGGTTAAGCCTCATACGTTTAAAATAAAACTCTCAGTTGTTTATTATCCTGATCAAGCATGGAACAAAGCATGTTTCAGGATCAGATCAATACAATCTTGGAGTCAAAAGGCAAATCATTTGGACAATCTGCAAAATGGAGAGAATACAATAACTACTACAGTAAAGTCTGTTTCTGCTTCCTTACACATAGATATAATTATGTTATTTAGTCATTATGAGGGGCACATTCTTATCTCCAAAACTAGCATTCTTAAACTGAGAATTATAGATGGGGTTCAAGAATCCCTAAGTCCCCTGAAATTATATAAGGCATTCTGTATAAATGCAAATGTGCATTTTTCTGACGAGTGTCCATAGATATAAAGCCATTTGGTCTTAATTCTGACCAATAAAAAAATAAGTCAGGAGGATGCAATTGTTGAAAGCTTTGAAATAAAATAACAATGTCTTCTTGAAATTTGTGATGGCCAAGAAAGAAAATGATGATGACATTAGGCTTCTAAAGGACATACATTTAATATTTCTGTGGAAATATGAGGAAAATCCATGGTTATCTGAGATAGGAGATACAAACTTTGTAATTCTAATAATGCACTCAGTTTACTCTCTCCCTCTACTAATTTCCTGCTGAAAATAACACAACAAAAATGTAACAGGGGAAATTATATACCGTGACTGAAAACTAGAGTCCTACTTACATAGTTGAAATATCAAGGAGGTCAGAAGAAAATTGGACTGGTGAAAACAGAAAAAACACTCCAGTCTGCCATATCACCACACAATAGGATCCCCCTTCTTGCCCTCCACCCCCATAAGATTGTGAAGGGTTTACTGCTCCTTCCATCTGCCTGACCCCTTCACTATGACTACACAGAATCTCCTGATAGTAAAGGGGGCTGGAGACAAGGATAAGTTATAGAGCAGTTGGAGGAAGCATCCAAAGATTGCAACCCAGGGCAAATGGAAAACAGGAGATCCTAATATGAAAGAAAAATGGATCCCAATCTGAGAAAAGGCAAAAGAATGGCTACTTTTTTCTATGCTGGAGTATTTTCTAATAATCCTGCTTGACCCTTATCTGACCTCTTTGGAAACTATAACATAGCTGTCACAGTATAGTCACAATCCACAAATGATGCAGGTGCAAATGGTTTATAGCCCTGTGAAGTTCTTAAAGTTTAGAGGCTAACTTACAGAAATGAATAAGTTGTTTTGTTTTATAGCCCGGTAGAGGAGTTAACCCCAAAGGTGATATGGTTTTATTTCCTGTTATGTTTAACTTGATAATCTTATTTTGGCATTCTTTTCCCATTGACTATATACATCTCTATTTCTCAAATGTTCATGGAACTAGCTCTTTTATTTTCCTGCTGGTTTCTTCAGTAATGAGTTAAATAAAACATTGACACATACAAACAAATGCCTTTGAGAATTGTGTTTTTACACTGGAAATAAAAATGTGAACACTGATTTTTAAAACAAATAGGGGCACTGAATAGCAAGATGGACACTCTAGAAAACCAAATTAGTGAGTTAGAAAACCAGATTAAATTGAACTCAGAGTAAAAATGATATAATTCATGAGAGTCTGAATAAAATAAATCAGAAATGGAGCCTCAATCCAGGAGAACAGCTTATATGGAGAGAGAGAGACTGAGAGAGAAATGGGAGTTTCTGTTCAATGGGCATAAAGTTTCAGCTATGCTGCTGGGCACAGTGGCTCATGCCTGTAATCCTGGCACTTTGGGAGGCCAAGGCGGGCGGATCACCTGAGGTCGGGAGTTCAAGACCAGCCTAGCCAACATGGCGAAATCCCGTCGCTAATAAAAATATAAAAATTAGTTGGGCATGGTGGCACATGCCTGTAGTCCCAGCTACTTGGGAGGTTGAGGCACAAGAATCGCTTGAACCCGGGAGGCGGGTGGAGGTTGCAGTGAGCCAAGATCGTGCCGTTGCATTCCATCAGCCTGGGCAACAGAGTGAGACTCCATCTCAAAAAAAAAAAAGTTTCAGTTATGCAAGATGAATTAAGTTCTACAGATCTAATGTACAACATTGTGCATATAGCTAACGATACCATACTGGGCACTTAAAAATTTGTTAAGAGAGCAGATACCACGTTGTGTTCTTACTACAGTTTTACAACAATGCAAAAATGCATTGTAAACACTATGTGCAAATAGAATAGCAAAGAATGTATACAGTGCCCATGAGCATAACATTCTAGTGGACCCACAATGCATCAGAGTTCAGTGAGACTCAAAGGGAGAAGAATGTTGGCAAAGTCAGTGGGGAGGAGAAAATGAGTGTGATGAAATAGGCGGTCTCATTAAACTTCCCTTACAAAACACAAGATCAAAGATAAAATTATTAAGAATTTCGAGACAGTGACATCAGAGCAAACGAAACATAGGGCCCCTCAGGGTGTGGGGCCCTGTAGACCTGCATAGATCAAACTCCCATGAAGCCAATCCTGAGTCCCAGGCAAGCTGGGACTTTTGGTCATCCTAGCAATAGTCATGTGAGTGCACCATCTTGGAAGTAGATCCTCCAGTACAGTCAAGCTTTCAGATGACTGCAGTCCCAGCAGATACATGACTCCAATCTCATCATCCACTCCAAAACTAACCTACAGAAACTATAAGGTAATAAATGTTTTCTTCACAGTTGCTAAGTTGGAGGTCATTTTTCATTCAGCTAAAGTTAACTTATATGACAGCCATATTCTTTTTACAATGGAAAAGTCAGACAGGCATACAATGCTCATTTTCAGCTTATTCACATTGTCACTATTTTGTGGGGTTACCTGGTGGGCACAGGACAGTGACCAAGTTTGCAGGTCCTCCAGCTCCTGCTGGATCTTTTAGCTTCTCCAAATCCTAGAAAAGTTGTGTGTTTAGCTCTTTCAGAAAACACCTGACCTTCTCATGCATGTTACTCCACCATCGAAGTTAGAAGCTTGGAGATAACATGAGACTGATGCAGGTTTTAGTCCATTTCATGGGCTCTTCTCTTTTCAGGCTTCCAGTGTATACTTGCTTTCTCCACTTCACCTCACCTTTCCTTCCACAGAAAGGTCAGGGTATGGAGCTCATATGAGGGTTTAGAGGAATTTGGCTCAAGGGCCAGGGCCAGCTTCCTCCAGTGTTTCGGGTCACAACCTAGATACACCTTTATCAGCGCCTGGGAATGTTCAAGGTCCTAATTTTCATTCAGGCCTGTTGGCTGGGTCACAGAATGATCAAGCCACTCCATGATTTTCTAGCATGACACAGCAAGAAACTGGGGGAGACTGGAGGACTCTACAAAAACTTTCATTTTATGTATTTCCTGGTAGCTCTGTTTTCTGATAGAACCTAACTGAGATACCATTTTTGCCAGTTCTTCTATGGATAAGTATTATTTTTTTAATTTTTTTAATATTTTATTTTTTGTAGAGACAGTATCCTGCTATGTTGCCTCGACTTGATTTGCATTTTTTTTTTTTACTTTAAGTTCTGGGATACATGTGCAGAACATGCATGTTTGTTACGTAGGTATACATGTGCCACGGTGGTTGGGTGCACCCATCAACCCATCATCTAGGTTTTAAGCCCCTCATGTCCCCCAGGCTGGAGTGCAGTGGCATGATCATAGCTCACTGCAGCCTCAATCTCCCAGGCTCAAGCCAGGCTACTGCCTCAGCCTCCCGAGTAGCTGGGACTACAGGCATGCACCACCACACCCAGCTAATTTTTAAATTTTTTGTAGAGACAGGATCTCGCTATGTTGCTCAGGCTGGTCTCGAACTCCTGGGCTCAAGCTATCCTCCTGTCTCAGCCTCCCAAAGTGCTGGGATGACAGGCGTCTGCCACTGTGCCTAGCCAGTACTATTTCTTTTTAATTAGTTTGTAAGAGTTCTTTGTACGTTAACAATCTTAATTGAATGTCTGTCGTATATGCTGTGAAATTACTTAATTTGTCATTAACCTTTTATCTTTTTTAAACAATGTTTTGCTATATGAAAGCTTTACATTTTTATGTTATAAATTTATCAGCATTTTCATTTATGGCTTTGGGTTTTATGACATGCTTAGAGTAGCTTTTTCTGCACCAAGATTATAAAAATATCCACACATAGAATTTTCTATCATAAAAGTATGACAGAAAATGTCATATTTTGTATATAATTTTATTTTTTGTTTAGTCCTGGATCCATCTAGAATTTCTATTTTGCATAGCATGGCAAAGGGCTCACACCCAACATCATATTAAATAAGGTCTTTTTCCCTGATATGAAATGCCACATATATATGTTATTATAATGCATAGTTAGATACCATGTGGTGAATAAAATATCTTAGAATTATTCAAGCCTAAGAGGATAGAACTACTGCAAGGATGGGTTTTGGTATCAACACAGATGTTTATACATAGAGAGAAAATGATGTCTGTGTGCTTAGCTGTCAAATAAGGAGACTGGGGGAGGGTTAAATGTAATCAGTGATATCATAAGGAGTGGTGGAATTCTGTTTGGAACTTCAGAGACCTAAGGAGAAGACTGACCAGCTTCTTCTGAAGACTTCTGCCCTCTAAAGACTAAGGCCTAATTCCACTGGTTTCTTTGAATTCCGTGGTCCTAAGTCCATTTTCAGGTAAGTGGTTTCCCGCTGGATGTGGGTCTCTTTAAGCCGTATCAAACAGTAGGTGAGTGTATCAGTTATAAATGTCTTAAGTAATAGGAGGCCCAAATTATAATGGCTCAAATAAAAGTATATTTTTCTCATACCATGCAGTCCAGAAGTAAGCAGATACAGGTGTTAGTTTAGTGGCTTGAAATTATCAGAGCAACTTCAGGCAACATTTCTTAAGCAATATTCAAGGCAGCATAAAGGGAAAATGGTAGCACCATCTCTTTTATCAAGACAGCAAAAAGCCTTCCCAAAAGCTATCCATCAGATTTCCCTTATGTTTCATTATCCAGAGCTATGTCACATAGCCATGCCTAACTTCAAGGATGGCTAAGAAAGGGAGGATTCAGCTTTTTCAGCTTATCTAGTTGGATGTAGTAAATGAAAAATGGGTGGGAACAATATCTGCCAAAAGTCGCCATTCATTCAAAAAATATTTATTGAGCACCTGGATACCCTATGTGCTAGGTACTGTTTAGCAGTGAACAAAACAGACAAAAATCCCTGCACTCATAGAGCTTACATTATATTCAGGAGATACATATAATAAAGTAAAGTAAAATATATTCTACTAGGTTCTGATGAGGTTCTGGAGAAAAATCAAGCAGGTAAGACAATTAGGAAGTTTGTAGGAGGGTGGTACAATTTTAACAATGGGATCTAAGGAAAATCCTCATTGAGAAGGTGATATTTGAGTACCTGACAGAGGTGAGGAAATAAATTCTGAGAATACCTGGGGGAAAAGCATTCCCTGGAAAGGGAAAAGCAAGTTAAAAAGCCCCAAGGTAGGAACATGCCTAGCTTGTTCAAAATGAAATGAGGCTAAGTTGGAGTGATGATCAAGAGGAGACTCATAGGATATGTGGTCAGCAGTAACTAGGACATAATCTGACCTACAACCTACCAAGATCTCTTTGGCCACTCACTGGAGAAGAGGCTTAAGGGAGGCAAGGACGGAAGCAGAAAGACAGAGATGATGGTGGGTAGCAGTGGAGGTGGTGTGAAGTGGCAGGATTCTGGATACGTTTTGTAAGTAAAGGTGACTAGACTTTTCTGATGGATAAAGTGTATGAGAGAAAAAGAAGAGTCATTACTATATATGTAAATCTAAGCAAACATTTACTTTTTAAAGCAATTTAAAGTTTGTTACTTGAATATATAAAATATATCATGGAGTTAAAAATATATAGAAATTTATTATATTTGGTATCTAAAGTAGTCAAATTCATAGAAACAAAAATGAGGAGCTGTTTAGAGTTTCAGTTTTCCAAGTTGAAAAAGTTCTAGAGATCTGTTGCACAACAATGTGAATGTACCTTTTTCAGCCTGAACAGGTGAAAGAGTTTCTACTAATTGAGTTGGGGAAGATTGAAAAGGTATCAGGTGTAGGAAGGAATGTCCGGTATCTGACCTGATAGAGCATAGTCAGGTTTTGTTTTGTTTTCTTGGAGGGGATATATTTTGCTTTGGAAACTGACCATTTTCAGGAGTCACCTGTGTAAGTCAGTCAATTGTCCTTATGTTCGTGATGGTGAGAAGATTTTTGGAATATGAGCTAAACCATCATTGTCTAACTTTTCAGACAAAGTTTCTGTGGAAAGACCTACGGACAAAGACATCTCTCCTTGGCAGAGTGAGCTAGGATTACCAGCTCTTCAGCCGCAGCTGAAGGCGGGAGTCCATGGAACCCCAGAAGCTGCTGATAATTGGATTTCTGCTATGCTCTCTAACTTGCCTCTTGTTGGAGACAGTAGCTTCCTCTCCTTTGCCTTTGTCTGCCTTGGGAATACAAGAAAAAACAGGATCGAAACCACGCTCAGGGGGTGTGTTTGCTGTTAGGATGAATGTTTCTTTCTTCATAGGACTTAAGATTCATGTTTCAGTTCAGGTCAGGTAAAATGAATTTCATGTTTAAAAAGAATGTTCATAGGAAAGCAAACTATTCTGGTTTGGTTCAATTTAGTTCAACAAGCATTAACCTACCTACTACGTACCAAGCCCTTTTCTGAACTACATGGATTAGGAATTGAACAGCCTCTGTTATGAAGGAGCTCACAGATAGGCAGACAAAGCCATAGATGCCAACCTTCCATGGAGTATGATCAATGCTCCCAGGGGACAAGGGGATAATTTAAATTGTTTTGGGGGAGGGGTCAGGAAAGACTTGACAAAGGAGGTGAAATTGAAAATAAACCTGATGGTCCACTGATCCACAATCTAGGTTCCAACATGCACACACATGCTATTCAAGTGTCTTGCTGGTTAGTGGTGAATCCTCTCAACTCCATGCTGCAGACACTTTCGTTTTCCCCTCCTTCTTTCTTCAGGGTCAAAGCACTGTACCTTCCTCCCCCAGTTGCTAATGAAAAGACCCAACATCCCCAGCCTTACATTGATCAGCAAACTCCCCCTAGAGGTCCTTCTTCCAGTGGCCCTGGCCCCTTTCTCCTCTGCTCTTAGGGCTGGTGGCCTTCTCCTTTCTCTTCCTGGGATACTCCCTCTCCTCAGCCTCCTGCAGGACTCCCAGATATACTCTAGGCAACAACACCTTAGTAAAGACTTTCTTGTTATCAAGTCATGCTTCTCTTTCAAAAAGTACCCAATATACTCAAGATATCCGAAACAACAATTATTGTTCCTATTTGACTTACAAGGAGGCAAAAATTATATCCATCTCAGGATACTTTAAAAACAAAATGTTTGCCCTTTGAACATCTTACAGCCAGCACAGCAAAGTAGTTTAGAATATGGGCTCTGGACAACTGTAAGAACATGATATCTGGGACAACTATTTGAACTCGAATTTGGATTCAAACGCCAGCCCTATCATTTACTTGACCTCTCCTCAATGAATGTCTATGCTCTTTCTGCAGGTAATCACAGGTCCTGGCTGAACAACTTCAGGGATTACTTATGGCAACTTATCAAGAGTGCCTTACCTCCAGCAGCCATTGTTGCTTTTCTTCTCACCTCAGCACTAATGGGGATCCTCTGCTGCTTCACGTAAGCTTCTGTGGGAAGAAGAGACAGGGAGGAGAGAGGGAATGTGAAGGGGGGTGGGAACAGAAACAGGTTGCTCACCAGCCTGCATATCTGTAATTAAGGGAAAGTTTTAAGAAATTCAATTCTGGGAGGAAAACTGTGAAAGGTCATGCAACCCCCTTTTAAAATGTCTACTTTCTCTTTTACTTCCTCCAACTTGCTCCATTTGTTACCAGTGACTGACAGGTCACATTTAATGACTAGTGTTTCCAATGGTCATTTCTTTTATCAACTTTATTAACTCCTAATTTTTCTTCCCTGTGGCTCAAGAACTATACATAGAAAATAAATAATTAGCTGTGCTCTCAATTTCCTGAAAATTTATCATAATATTTATCTACATAAATCATATGAAGCCAAAAGAATCCTGAGGAAAACAAAATAGTTGAGCTAAATTTTGTTAATTCAGTCAGTATTTACCAACAAATGACTACTTGCTTGTCTCTGTGCTTGTTGCTAGAAAGGCAGAGAAAGAAGACAATTAAAAATTACAAATTGGTAGGTCATTGCTATTGTGGGAGACAGAGTCCAAGTGGGGAGACCTATGAAAGTGATCAACAAAGGTGTTAAAGAGATGAGGTCAGGAAATAGTTGGCCAGTTTGCAAGAGGAACTAAAAGGGAATAGAGAATAGAAATGGGGGGTCCTGCAGAGCTCAAAAATCTAATAAAAGTGGCTGAGGATAAAGATCAGATTAAGGGTGTGGCATCACCTATGGCTCCTGTAACCTCAAAATGATCACAGGATCAAGAACTGTGTCTAGGAAGCAACCTTGGATGTGGTTACTGGCACATGGAACTGATTGGAGACAAATAGATTAGAAGTCAGCTAAGCTTTTGAGAGAAGCTTATTGCCAGAGAAACCATAAGCCAGAACTAAATGAGCCATCTGTTGTAAACAATAGTTAGGCCTCCACCTTTCCATGAAAAAGAAGGACACCAGCTTCGAAGGTCCCAACATTTGCTTCAGATGCAGCCATAGAGAATAATGGATCAGTAGAGCCTCCCAGAGAATGGACAATGGGCCACAGAGTCACCCTTTGAAAGCAGGATTTGGGCCTAATCCATGCCTACCTACCAGGACTCCAGGATTGCCACAGAGCAGTGACTGCTGTGTGTCTCTCATTCTTCCTATTTCCAAATGGGAATGTTTATGGTGCTTATCCTCTTCCTGTTCCATCATTATTCTGGGGTGTGGAGATCAGGAGCATATAACTCGTTTTAGTTCATAGGTCACTTAACCAAGCAGAGCCACCCTCAGACTTGAGAGAACTAAGCATCACCCAGATACTCTGGACTTTGAGCTGGACACAGTGATGAGTGTGACTTAGTACTGAGGAAAGGGTTTGCCACAAGTCAGGTATTCTGAAACTAGACAGGGAGACCGGAATTTGGCATTCAGAGTATAATTAATGATCAATGCCTGTGGAAGATAGGGGGTGGAAGGGAGAAATCAAACTGCCTTGCAAGCCCAACAAAGACTCAGTCGGCCCCATCAGGGTTGTCCCACATGGCTGAAATGGCTGGACCTCTCTAACCCCACCTCAGTCATTCACTGGATGTGGGCTGCCCCCAGAAAGTACATGGAAGCTCTCTGCAGCTGAGGCAGACTCTGAATGAGCTGACAGGTAGAGGCTTTCTGCTGACAACACTCTCAGCAGCTAGGGAAATAAGGCCTTTCTCAAGCGGAAATATGGGTGGAATATTTCCATATGCATGACAGGGTGGCTGTGTTCCACGTATGAAAGGAAAAGTGAAACAGATACTGGGTGATCAGAAAGACAGACTGTAACAGAGACTGGCTATATGTTCAGCAATCCTGTTCCTTCTTCCCCAAGCACAGAGTAACATTATATTCTTAACCTTCCTTCCAGTTAGGCTGGGACCACAGTACTGAGATTTGGCCAGTTAAATACGAGCAAAAGGAATGTATGACATTTCCAGGCCTAGCCATAAAATGTCTTGCACATGTGTCCATGCTGCCTCTCTCTTTCACATATGCAGGGCTTCAACTGAAGGACTCTAAGATGGTGAAACCACATGATGGAAGGAGCTGGGATCCCTGAATCACCTTGTGGAGGAGAACTTAACTTACATCAGAATGAGGCATGAGTGAAGGATCAATTTTATTGTGTTAAGCTACTAAGATCTCAGGATTGTTTGTTATAGCAGCTGAATATCCCTGACTAGTATACCTAGCAACCAACCAAGGGAGCTGGAACTCAAATCAAGATATGTCTGGTTCCACATCTTTGAAGTCATTGTTACTCAAACTGTGGTCAGCAGGTCAGCTGCATCAAAAGCATCTGAAGTATTGGTTAATTAATATTCAGAGGGACTTCTGTGAAGATAAAGCAGGCAATATGCCAAGAAAAAGAATTCCTTCTTTGAAGTAGATGGCTTAACCTGAATAGAAAAGCCAATAAGCCCTTGCTGGGAACAAGCAAGCTAACTAGTGAAAGAAACATTTCTGGACCCAGTTGGGCACCAAGTAGAAGCCTAACAGGTAAATTGGAATGAATAAGCATATAGGCAAGCCATATTTTTAAGAAGCAGTTTGTTGAGGCAAGAAGGTAAAGTCTGAAACTTCTTTATGCTCAGACCTACATCTGCTGCTCTCACTTGACTGGAAAGAAGTAAAGGCTACAAGAGCTCACACATACCTCAGCATCATGAAGAGAATTTGTTAGTCCAAAGTATAGCTCTGGACTTGTGCACATCTCCTGTAAATAACTGGTCCAGTAAGAGTTTACCTCATTCAACAGGAAACAGCACCAGATCTATGCAGAGTTACTATATGGAAAACACAAGAAACGTATAAGCAAGAAATGGCAGATGAGGAATACTCACTAGAAAAATATCTCAGGGCAGATAAAAACCATGTACTAACATATTGCCATAAATTCAAAACATTTGATACAAAATATAAAATAATAGCTAAGGTCGGGCATGGTGGCACATGCCTGTAATCCCAGCATTTTCAGAGGCTGAGGCAGGAGGATTGCTTAAGGCCAGGAGTTTGAGACCAGCCTAGGAACATAGCAAGACCTCATCTCAATAATAATAATAGTAAATGCTATATGCAGAAATACAACAGGGCAGATAAGGTATACCAAAACAAAAGAAGAAGATGAAAATTAGTTGGAAAATCCCAAGAAAAATGTAAAAGACAAAAAGTAAAACTATCACCAAAATGAGGAAGCATGAAGAAAAAGAGACATTGGTGCAAAATATGAAAGAAAATATGGAAAATAGGATTATATAGGCAAGCAGTATTAAGTAAACAGTTTGGTGAAAGTAAGATTAGAGAAGAAATGGTAGATGCAGGAGGCACAGAATGATTTCTTCGATGAAGAGAACCAAAATAATCCAACAGAAGAAAAAGTTATAATTTTTTCTTTTTCTTTTTTCTTTTTTTTTTATTGTTACTATACTTTAAGTTTTAGGGTACATGTGCACAACGTGCAGGTTTGTTACATATGTATACATGTGCCATGTTGGTGTGCTGCACCCATTAACTGGTCATTTAGCATTAGGTATATCTCCTAATGCTATCCCTCCCCCCTCCCTCCACCCCACAACAGTCCCCAGAGTGTGATGTTCCCCTTCCTGTGTCCATGTGTTCTCATTGTTCAATTCCCAGCTATGAGTGAGAACATGTGGTGTTTGGTTTTTTGTCCTTGCGATAGTTTGCTGAGAATGATGGTTTCCAGCTTCATCCATGTCCCTACAAAGGACATGAACTCATCCTTTTTTATGGCTGCATAGTATTCCATGGTGTATATGTGCCACATTTTCTTAATCCAGTCTATCATTGATGGACATTTGGGTTGGTTCCAAGTCTTTGCTATTGTGAATAGTGCCGCAATAAACATACGTGTGCATGTGTCTTTATAGCAGCATGATTTATAATCATTTGGGTATATACCCAGTAATGGGATGGCTGGGTCAAATGGTATTTCTAGTTCTAGATCCCTGAGGAATCGCCACACCGATTTCCACAATGGTTGAACTAGTTTACAGTCCCACCAACAGTGTAAAAGTGTTCCTATTTCTCCACATCCTCTCCAGCACCTGTTGTTTCCTGACTTTTTTTTTTTTTTTTTGAGGTGAAGTCTCAGTCTGTCACCCAGGCTGGAGTGCAGTGGCACCATCTCGGCTCACTGCAACCTCTGCTTCCCGGGTTGAATCGATTCTCCTGCCTCAGCCTCCTGAGTAGCTGGGATTACAGGCACGCGTCACCACGCCCAGCCAGCTGATTTTTGTATTTTTTGTAGAGACGGGGTTTCACCATGTTGGTCAGGCTGGTCTTGAACTCCTGATCTCGTGATCCACCCGCCTCGGCCTCCCAAAGTGCTGGGATTACAGGCGTGAGTCACCGCGCCCAGCCAAGTTATAATTTTTTAAGTGTTGCAGAAATTAAAGAAGACTGGAGTCTGTGGTCATAAAGGACACATCAAGTCCCAGGAAAAATTGGGACTTGCTACTGGGCACATAGTAGACTCTCAGTAATACTTGTTGATTTTTAATTAAGACATTTCACAGTGAGGATTGCACACAGCCTCTCTGTGCCTCATTCTTCCTCCTCTATACTCACCTGTGTATACCATTAGCTGCAGCTGTAATGAAGGCTTAAGCTAGCTGCTTATTACCTGAGGCACATGGAAGCTTGGCTAATCTCCCAGCATTCCAGAAGCAGAGGTGGAAATCAGGAGGACTGACAGGCTCTAACAAGTCCACAAAGATATGTGTACAAGGAATTTTTAGTATGGTTTACGATAGTGAAGAAATGGAAACTTAAATGTCCATCAGTCTGGGGCTAGCTAAAGAAAGTATTGCACATTCATACACTGAGTACTAAGGATAATTACACAGAAACATATTCATGAAATATCATTGAGTGGAAAAAGCAGATTATAACAGAAGATATATAGTTTAGTCTAATTTCTTATTAAAAACTAATTGTATAGGGGGAAAGCCTCTAAGAACCTAACCCAAGTATTAGACATTGGTTATCTCCTTGTGGTAGTGAATAGGTTGTTTTATTACTATTGGCGGTGGTGTTAACTTTTGTTTTTCCTGTCTAATTGCACTTTCTGATCTTTCTTTTTTTTCTTTTTCTTTTTTTTTTTTTTTTTTTTTGAGACGGAGTCTCGCTCTGTCGCCCAGGCTGGAGTGCAGTGGCGTGATCTCGGCTCACTGCAAGCTCCGCCTCCGGGTTCACGCCATTCTCCTGCCTCAGCCTCCCGAGTAGCTGGGACTACAGGCGCCCGCCACCACGCCAGGCTAATTTTTTGTATTTTTAGTAGAGACGGGGTTTCACCCTGTTAGCCAGAATGGTCTCGATCTCCTGACCTCGTGATCTGCCTGCCTCGGCCTCCCAAAGTGCTGGAATTACAGGTGTGAGCCACCGCGCCCGGCCCACTTTCTGATCTTTCTACAATGAGCTGTATTGTTTGATCAGTTCATTTTTAAAAAGATACTTTAAAAACAAAAGAAGAAAAACTACCTAACCATACTTATACCACTACCTCCAAGCCCCACTGTACTGGAAACACATTCTTATTCTGCTTTTTCATCAAAGTATTTTGTTTGTATGGAATTATTTGGTTCATATTAAGAGAAAAACTGGTGTCAAATCCAATCTTTGAAAAGGTTATATAATTATATAGCAACTCTGTGCAGAGCATTCACCATTTTATCTTCCTTTCCCAGCATTCTTGTAGTTGATCCAGTCCACTGAAGAACTAGAAGATTCAACAGGGCAAGTGTGGTCTCTCCAGTTGGACTCCAAAAGAGTGGGGCATTTGCTATCTGCTTAAAATGAGGAAGTATCTATCAGTTGAAATTAAATCGTCTTCCAACTTGAATCATCCTTTGCCTTCATTTTCTCCTTCAAAAGTTGCAATTTTAAAATGTGAATATCCTTATTACTGTTTTGGTTATAATAGTAATACATATTTATTGCAAAAAAAATTTGAGAAATACAGAGAAAAGAGTAAGTTTCCATAATTCTAGCAACCAGAAATAAACATCATTAACATCTTGATGTACCTCCCTTCAATTTTTTTCTATATATGTATTACAAGTTTTCCAAAGTCTGTTCTGTGAAACAATAGTTCTGTTTTAATAAAAGTCACAAAACAGTGAGGGCCCTGTGGTCAGTTATGTTTGGGAAATGCTGGATTAAACAAATTTAAAGCTATCTTTCTTTGCTCAAGGACTTCTAAGAACTTTTAACAGGCTAATACTAATCTCCACAAGGGAGTATAATATATAGCATTTCCCAAACTAATTTAAACATGAGCTTTTTTTTTTAATGTAGTGGAGATGACATAAGTCATTTAATGACCTCTCCATATAATAATTATTTAAGGTATTTCTATTTATTGACTATTATAAATGTAATACAGGTAATATTATTAAAAATTATTGGCTGGGTGCGGTGGCTCATGCCTGTAATCCCAACATTTTGGGAGGCCGAGGCGGGTGGATCACCTGAGGTCAGGAGTTCGAGACCAGCCTGGCCAACATGGTGAAACCCCATCTCTACTAAAAATGCAAAAATTAGCTGGCCATGGTGGTGAGCCCCTGTGATCCCAGCTACCCAGGAGGCTGAGGTGGGAGACTTGCTAGAATCCGGGAGGTGGAGGCTGCAGTGAGCTGAGATAGTGCCATTGCACTCCAGCCTGGGTGATAGAGCAAGACCCCGTCACAAAAAAATATATATTAATTTGCTTTTCCTTTTTGCTGTTCTGAGTTTGAAATCATTCATTCAACAGACACTTGTTGATCACCTACTGTGAGCCAGACACTGAACAGGTAACAAACAGACGGGGTCTTGCTCTGTCACCCAGGCTGGAGTGCAATGGTGCTATCTAACCCCAGCTCTTGTGGAGCCACCATGCTAATGTGAAGATTCAGAGAAACCAGATTAAGCGAGGGGCAGAGTAGATATTGTGAGCCATTGAAAGGATTTAGGCTCTTCCTGGGGGCCATAGTGGGGGCCAACAGAAGGTTTAGATCGGAGGAGGGATGTGAAGGGAGAGCAGATGGGATTTGATTAGGATTTGGATGAGATGAGAGAGAGAGTGAGGCTTCAAGCATGCCTCCGAGGTTTTTGGCCCAAGCAGATGAAAGAATGGGGTTGTCATTTATTGAGCTAGAGAAAACTGCAGGAGGTTAGGAATTTACTACAGAGAAAATGCAAAGAGAAAGAAAAACTGAAGTGAAATTCTAATTGATGCTGAGGTGAGATCCAGTGGGCTGCCACATGGCCTGTCATGTGGCCTGCTGTGGCAAGCCAAGGTGAACTCAGAAAAGACTTGGAGTTTTGCTTAAGTCCAATGTTTCCTTTTTGACTGTCTTTCTGGATGATGCGTCCACTGTTGAGAATGGGGTGTTGAAGTCCCCGTGTTGCTGTCAATTTCTCCCTTGTCTTCTGTAAATATTTGCTTTATATATTTAGCTGCTCCAATGTTGGGTACATACATATATATATTTACAGTTGTTATGTCTTCTTGATGGATTGACCCCATGAAAGGAAAATAAATCGCCCCCAAATGACCAAGCGAAAGGGAAAAGTCAAGCTGGGAAGTGCATTGGGCAAACCTGCCTCCTATTCTATTCCTAAATAAGATAACTACAAAGATTTTTTTTTAAAGCTACATACCTTCCTCACAATTTGCCCATGAAGAAATTCCTTGTAAACAAAGGACAGGCAGAACTCAAAGTCATCCCTCTGCTCACATGAGACAAATGCATATCTGATTGCTTCCTTTGCCCTATTGTTTCACAAAGTCAGACTAAAGCATAAGTGACTCTTCCTGCTCTCACATGTAAATTGTGTATTCAGTGAAAGGCTAATCAGCAACTCAAAAGAATGCAACCATTTTTCTCTTATCTAACTATGACCTGGAAGCCCCCTCCCCACTTCAAGTTGTCCCACCTTTCTGGACCAAACCATTGCATATCTTACATATATTGATTGATGTCTCATGTCTCCCTAAAATGTATAAAACCAAGCCTTGGGCACATGGCATCAGGACCTCCTAAGGCTGTGTCATGGGCATGTCCTTAACCTTGGCAAAATAAACTTTCTAAATTCACTGAGACCTGTCTGAGATATTTGAGGTACACATTTGGTGACCACAAAGAGACTCTGAGTGGAGGTGGCCCTGACCTTTGACAAATCTCCTATCAGTACTTGGTACCAACTCGAGCTATCTTTATGGCTCAAACCAATAGAACAATTTGCTGAGGCCTGGGAGCTCCCCTCCCTCCAGAGAATCCCTCATCTCCCAAAATTTGGTTGAGATCTAAAGTTTATTTTGCTGTACAACTCCTTTTCTGGAGTTTTGCTTGCTTCCAACAAGGAAGGCAAGTTTTCCTGCTTCCATGACAATGAAAGGCAAATAACTGCATTCTGGAATTTGAGCTCACTTCCAACAGGGAAGGTGAGTTTGAGTTTTTTCCTACTTCTGGGATGGTAGAGAGCAGTCTTCAGCCTGAGACCCACTCCTAGGTAAGTAGCTGAATTGGAGTTTTCTCTTGGCTAAAGTTATGATTCACAGTCGGCTGGTCTTAATTTCTCCTTACCATTAGAGGACTCAGTAATCATATTGTTGGGGTTCTTTTGTTGTTTGTTCCAGTCTTTCTCCCATCAGATTTGGCCAATTCTACCTGACTTGGTCAAATTTGAATGAGAATTCCAAATAGTGAGTAACAAGGTATCTCTGAATTGGCTAAAATTCCTCGCAGCTGCAAAAGAGAAAAAAATGACCAAACATGCAGTTGGTTTGTGTGTTTGCTCCCTGTCTTAAAAAAATAACTGTTCTTTCGTTTACTTTTCTTCCACCCTATTCCTCCTTCTCCCCTCGCCATCTTTGGTACCAAGAAGAATATAAAGAAGGCATCTAATGACTCTAACCCTTTAAAGAACTCAGGACAAAGGCACCGTTCACTCCTTTGGGGCTGTTCTGTTTTCTTTGTGGAGTTTCAAGAGTCATGGGCAGATTCTTCTTAGGTGTAAAGCTCTGCTCTCCTGTATTGCATTACCTGACCTCTTTGGCTTCTGGGGGTGAAGTGGCTACATTGTCTGGGGTATACACCCTGGGGTTCGTTGTCATGCACCAGGAAAATTTAGGACATGGACACACACAAGTCTAGGAGCAGAGGTTTAATGAGCAGAAGAGAAGAGAAAGAGAAGCAGCTTTCTCTATAGAGAAAGGGGTCTCCCGGTGGAAAGGACCAGCGGGTGGTGGATGCGCCAAATTTTAGTCAGGTTTGAGGAGGTGGTGTCTGATTTACATAGGGCTGACAGATTGGTTCGATCAGGTATGACGTTTACATAGTGCGGGGGAAGGCTGGTGGCCCCAGCTGAATATTATTATGCAAATGGACTTTCCAGTTGATTGGAGCCATCTTGCCTCTCTATGTCTGCAGCTGAACTTTACAGGCTGCTCTTTGTTAGAAAATCATTTGAGGCTGCTTTTCATTAAAAAGAAAAACTTTACTGAGGATCCCCATACCCTTACTGTCTGCCTAAGTGATTTCTTCTTAAGTCCTGTATCAGGGGTACCAGAGATTACCTTGTCCTGTGAGAGGATTTGACCTTGGCATGTGTAATAGCAGACAAGAGCTACAGTTAAAGGTGGCCGAGGACAGTTTACAGAAAGTGGTCTTGGCTGGGCTTTTTTCCTCCTAGGAGGTTGTTTAGGATCTCAATTCTAATTCAGAGGTGCATTTTAAAGAGTCTTCTCCATTGCCTTTCCTGCCCAAATTAATCTCCATTGGCTTGTCTGCATATTTGCATGAGGAACTGCACTGTCACTTTCATAGATAAATGAGAGACTGAGTTTCCTCAACCCCAAAGAGAAAGGGCATTTTGCTCCTCCCAGTCAAAAGGTGCTCCTGGGTGACTGGAGGCCAAGTGGGAGTGTCTGGGGGTTGCCTCCATGTGATGTGCAGTAGCCCTACAGGGAATTGCCAACAAAATTAGTTTTAAAAGCCTCGTCCAGGGAGCACATATAGGAGCTGCTCACCCCAAGCTTTGAGCCCTCCCAGAGGTGCTAGACCTCTGGAGAGAGAAACTGAGACACAAAAGAGGGCCGAAACAATTCAGTGGTGATGCATTGTGGAGTCCTGTCCGCAACCAGCACACTTTGACCCACCACACTAAACCCTAGGCCACAGCTCAGTTCCTCCTTTTAAGAAAAAAACAATGTGGGAAACACATCATCTAAGAATAAGGAAAGACAAGGAGAACAAGCCCCCTTGGAAGCCCATTTGGTTTCATGGCTCCTGTACTCGCAAGTGGCTGTGTAAATGGAAGGGCCGGATTTCCTACGACTCCAGCTGCTCACGCGTTAGGTCTGTTATTGTGCACGTTTTAAACTGACAGGCAGATTACATCAAGGAAAATTCCGAGCCTGAAGGTCAATCTGCAACTATAAAGCTCCTGAGTTCTCTATCTCTCTGCTTTCTTTTCTGCCTGCTTTAAGTCTGTTGTTACTTTTCTACTGAGATAAAATCCACTGTTTGCACCTAACCGTTTCTTTTTGTTATTGTTTTTGCAAACCAATGAGTTGTTATTAATATCGCATGGCTAGAGTTCTGAAGTAAATGCTCTAGGATATTTGTTTATATGAGTGTGTATGTGTGTGTGTTTACGTGTATGTAGATGTATTTGGTTATATGTTTTCTGCCACAAGGTACCAAATTTGGCTTAAAGAGTACTCATAAATTAAATAATAAGCCCAAATGCTTTTCAAGCTCACATGACTTAAGTAGAGTTTTTACTAAGCTAGCTTTAAAATTATTGGTAGAGTAATATTACAAATATCTTCAGAAATGTCAGTATACATTTTTGTTTGCATTTATTGATCAAGAGATTTCATACTTATCCCTGCCAAATATTATAAGGTGTCAAAATTTGTCATAAAGCTTATTTTATTTTATTTTTTGAGCGGAGTCTGCCTCTGTCGCCCAGGCTGGAGTGCAGTGGTGCGATCTGGGCTCACTGCAAGTTCCGCCTCCGGGGTTCACGCCATTCTACTGCCTCAGCCTCCCAAGTAGCTGGGACTACAGATGCCCAGCTGATTTTTTTGTACTTTTAGTAGAGACGGGGTTTCACCGTGTTAGCCAGGATGGTCTCGATCTCCTGACCTCGTGATCCGCCCATCTCGGCCTCCCAAAATGGTGGGATTACAGGCCTGAGCCACCGTGCCCAGCTGTCATAAAGGTTATTAAACAATAAACCCAGCCCAAAACAGAATGATCTTTGCTTGTGTAATCTTTCACAAAAAAGACATTATTATTGGTTTAATGAAGACAGCTAAATCCTGAATTATTTGGTAAAATAACCATGTATTCAATCTTAAGATTCTAACTCAGATAAATGCCTGAAATTCACAAGCTATAAAATGGTTGACAGGAAAATAACTTTGGTGACTGTTGCAGTTTTCATAAATAATCTAGGTAAACTATTAAAATAAAATAATTAGGTAAATGTGATGGGATAAATACTTGTAGATAAACTTGCCATCATTTAGAATCTAAAGTTAAATAATAGGTATTTCATTAAATGGGTGTTTTCTAATGAAAAAATATGTATTGTAGGAAAACATTTTTTCTAAAAAATGTGTGTGTTCTTGTTAAAGGGTGAGTAATTTTTGTCTAATTCAAAGGTTATTTAAAGGTTATGTATAAAACAAGGTAAAAAGAACCGGGAAATAAGAGATATGTAAAGAAAGGTATAGAAATGAAGTATTTTTGGTAAGAAAGCTTAAAAATAATTTTATATGATAAAGAATCTTATATGGTAATTTTTTGTCCCAGAATAAAATGATTGTTTATTTAAGAAAGAGGGAAGGTCAGGACAAACCAGAAAGTCCAAGCATATCATGAATGGTCTGGCCACAGCTCAGTTCCTCCTTTTAAGAAAAAAAAAATATGGGATCAAATCTTATATGATCGGTGGGTCTCAGCAGCTCGGGTGGCGGGAGGAGTGGCAGCGGCCAGGCAGCCCAGTTTCGCGAAGGCTCTCGGCGCGCCGCAGCCCGCAGGCACCCGGCACACACCCTCCCTGCCACCAGGATGCCCAAGAGGAAGGTCAGCTCCACCAAAGGGGCCGCCAAGGAAGAGCCCAAGAGGAGATCGGCGCGGTTGTCAGCTAAACCTCCTGCAAAAGTGGAAGTGAAGCCAAAAAAGGCAGCAGCGAAGGATAAATCTTCAGACAAAAAAGTGCAAACAAAAGGGAAAAGGAGAGCAAAGGGAAAACAGGCCGAAGTGGCTAACCAAGAAACTAAAGAAGATTTACCTGCAGTAAACAGGGAAACGAAAACTGAGGAGAGTCCAGCCTCTGATGAAGCAGGAGAGAAAGAAGCCAAGTCTGATTAATACCATATACCATGTCTTATCAGTGGTCCCTGTCTCCCTTCTTGTACAATCCAGAGGAATATTTTTATCAACTATTTTGTAAATGCAAGTTTTTTAGTAGCTCTAGAAACATTTTTAAGAAGGAGGGAATCCCACCTCATCCCACTTTTTAAGTGTAAATGCTTTTTTTAAGAGGTGAAATCATTTGCTGGTTGTTTATTTTTTGGTACAACCAGAAAATAGTGTGGGATATTGAATTATGGGAGGCTCTGACTGTCTCGGGTGTCAGCTTAACATTCCATAGATGGGGGGGTTAGTTTTTATATCCTATAATACAAAGCATATTAAATGGCAATATGGAGTCAGTCCTGCATTTAATGTCTTGAACATTTTAAATTACTTCTATTCCCATGTTGTTTTTTAGTAGAATTGTTTCCTAAAGAAAACCACTCTTTGATCATGGCTCTCCCTGTCAGAATTGTGTGCACTCTGTAACATCTTTGGTTGTGGTTTTCCTAATCACTTGGTTACTGTGCTGTGAAAGATTACAAATTTGAACATGTAGTGTACGTGCTATTCAGTTGTGAACTGGTGGGCCGTATGTAACAGCTGACCAACATGTGAAGATACTGGTACTTGATAGCCTCTTAAGGAAAATTTGCTTCCAAATTTTAAGCTGGAAAGTCACTGGAATAACTTTAAAAAAGAATTACAATACATGGCTTTTTAGAATTTCGTTATGTATGTTAAGATTTGTGTACAAATTGAAATGTCTGTACTGATCCTCAACCAATAAAATCTCAATTATGAAAATAAAAAAACTTACATGATCAAGTTGTCTATAATTAAAGGGAAATCATTTATAATGGTTTTTCTAGAGATTGGGTTTTGATATTTAAAGAAAAAAACACTTATACACTAAAGGATTGATTAGAACAATGATATTTTCTTAAGGTATTTGCTTTACCCTTAATAAAACTATAAGACATTATGATTTTTAATGCAAAGTTCAACTTTGTGTCTCGTGTTTTCAGCTTTCTCTCCGTTAAAAGTCTGAAATAATAACTCTCCTTCAACTCATTTTCAGCTCCTGTACGGTTTTTTTTTTCCTCCTTCGGTTTCTGTTTGTTGTGATCTGATGCTAAAAATGTTTTATCTTAAAGGTCTAAAGAAAGTGTTTCCTTCCAACATAATATTCTGTGCTCTTGGCTTTAAATTGTTCTATGGATCTGAAAATTTGCATTTATGATCCAGGAAACATTCTTCCTATGTCTAACTAGTTCAAGTACCTTTTTCATTAGTTTTGACTCGAACTTATCTAAATGGAACTCCCCATAGGGAACAGCAGTCGCACTGCAGAAGGTCTCTTTTGCCTTTGGGTAACTGGCCTAATAAACAGATTTTATGCTTTATCAAAATAATTTCTATGTCATTATTACTAAGTTTTGATTTGTTTAGGGAAAAAACTGAGATTAAAACTTTTTTTAAAATTAAGGTTATTACATCCGTGTGACTTTCTATATGTGCTTTTAAAGTTCTTGTGCCAGTGAGTCACAGGGCTTTGACTACTGGGTCTGAAAAGAACCCCAAGTCCTGCTAAATATTAAACACTGACGGCAGTTAAATCCTTATCTTCAAACCCCATAGAAGATGCCAATGAAAATAAACTTTGTTCATGAGACACATGGCCAGAAATTAAAACTATTTAACTTCTCAAGGCCCAGGGACTATCGTGGAAGAGGCAAGCACATGAGATTGTAAGGGCTGATTTTGAGAGATAAAGTAAGTTCAGTTTCTCTATAAATTAACCATTAATGTTGAAGGCACACTGATGTAGGACTAGCATAGGGGTCCCTATGTCAGATTAACAAGGTTTTCTTGGAGCGTTAAACTACTCCTTAATAAAAGATTATAAAGGTTATAAAAAGGCTATGGAAATTATATCTTATGGTCAGGATGGTTAACATTTTATAGATTGTTTATAAAATTTTGAAAAAAAAATTTAATTGGCCTCATGCTGTCTTTATTAGGGCTTATTGTTTGGAAAATTAAGTCTCCTCTCTCAAAGACTAAAGATTTTCACCTTTAAAAAAAAAACTGAGTTATCACTTTGGCTAAATGAATGACTTATTTTACAATGACCTGTGATCCTATTTTGTGATATCAAGTGTTTTAAACTTTTTATATTTGACAAACTTTCCAAAATCAAATGTTAACTTCAGTCCTCATTAATTTTTTTATATTAGTTCCCTGAAGTTCAGAAGAGACATATTCAGCTTATTTGGTATAATAAAGTCATACAGGAAGTATTGTCAAATATGAAACAGTGTTTAAGCTTCTTTGGATTATGTTTATATAACTGTGTTATTAGTGTATGTTCCAGAATTGTATGAAATTCCTGTGATTCTGATAGGTCTTAGCATATGTTATCAGTAGTGATTATGATTATTATGTAAAACTGTTGTATGCCACAGAAATAACCAAATTTTCTTGTCAATTGTGTGTTTAACTATGACTATTTTAAGACTTTTGTCATCCACAGTTGTTTTATTTTTATCCTTTTCAAAAGGTGGTTTATAATCAGCATAGGACTCTGACAGGTGCTCTTGATTGCAGGTTTCTGATAACCTTGGAGATTGTGACACTAGATTAGAGGAAAAACTTCCAAGACTCCCATAGAGAGCTGAAATGTTCATGAATATCAAGCAGAACAGGAGTTAACTGCATGGACTAAACTAATAGAAGACTGAAATAAATCCTTTTATGACTTTTTGCCTAAAACATTGCTGATCTTTTGTTTGTTTTTCAGAGCCAAAGAAACTTTTTGAAACTTTTGACAATTAAGTAAAATATATTCCTATAAACAAAATTTGGAGCACATTTCTCTCTACCTGATTTCTCCAAAATTTGGAAAGTAGTTGTGAGTATTCTCAACTTGTGGCAATATTGTTATTTGCCCAAGTACAGTAAGAATCTGCTTTCTTTGGTAACAGGACACAATTGGAGACACTGGTTATTCTACCAAGGTTTTGACTGGAATAACATGCTTTCAAATACAGATTCCTTCAAGTAATCAAAGTTGAATTATAGAGCCAATAAAAGCCCCTTGGGAAAACATGCCTCATACCTTGTCTATGCAGTCCCTATACAGGTTCCTGACCTGTGGTAAGTGAAAAATGTCACTTTCTGACTGGCCCAGGATCCCCAAGTTTTCTTGGAACCTCGAGGTAAGGAATTCACCCAATTAACATAGGTATTTGCAGACATAGGCTGGGCTTAAGACATTAAATTCAAATCTGAGATTCCTTATGGAATAAAGTTCCAGCAAAGCCAATTTTAAAAAAAAAGAGGAGCCTATATGGCAAATAATTATTCTTGCTGACTTTATGTGACTACTCCAGCCAAGTATAATAAGACTAAAACTTATTTTGCAAATGAATTTGTCCTATGATTTGTCTTTACTGAAAATGGAACTGGAGAGAGAAAAATTATGTTTCAAAATAAACTATGGTACACCTGTTATTAGATTCTGGTCTTCCCTAACGTTTTTCCATTTTTATTATTTTCTACAGTTTGGGCTGAATTCTAAAATTTTTTCTGGCTACAAGTCTCCAAAATAACGTTTTCAATTTTTTATTCTTTCCTTTTTTCCCATTTTTCCTGATTTGAAATTTAAAAATTAAGCTGTGCTTTCTTAAAGCTCTGTAAACTAAAGCTAGACAACTTAAACTTCAGAAGAAAACAACAGCAACCAATTTACATATTACACATAAACCAATTTCATGCCTGCCTACTGATGTATGGACTTCAGAGGAATATGGCCTATATTGATTTTCCAGGATTGTTCCTCAGTTTTTGTTTGTTTGTTGTTGTTTTTCTCTCTTCCTACCCCTATTTTCCCTTTGTAGGACATGAGACTTCACAACCTGCTAAAAATGAGCTTTCCTAATAATGTGGGACCTATCTGTCTAGGAATAAAGCATCCTAGCCACGACAGATCAGACAAAACCTGAGACCAGAGGCTCATTTTCTTCTAAAGTGCTTTCTCCGAAAGATTTTAAAAAGAAAAGGGGAGAATATGAAAGGAAAATAAATCTCCCCAAAATCACTAAGCCAAAGGGAAAAGTCAAGCAGGGAACTGCATTGGGCAAATCTCCCTCCCATTCTATTCCTAAATAAGATAGCTATAAAGATTAATAAATAAATAAATAAATAAATAAATAAATAAATAAATAAGTAAGCTACATACCTCCCTCACAATTTGCCCACAAGGAAATTCCTTGTGAAACAAGTGGCAGGCAGGACTCAAAGTCATCCCTCTACTCACATGACACAAATGCATACCTGATTACTTCTTTTGCCCTACTGTTGCACTGAGCCAGACCAAGACATATTGACTATTCCTGTAAATTGTGTATCCAGTGAAAGGCTAATCAGAAACTCAAAAGAATTCAACCATTTGTCTCTTATCTACCCACGATCTGGAAGCTTCCTCCTCTATTTCAGTTGTCCCACCTTACTGGATGAAACCAATGTACATCTTACATATATTGATTGATGTCTCATGTCACCTTATCAAGTGTCTAAATATGCACAAATCTGTTTCTAGCCTCTCCCTTCTGGTCCATTGGTCTATTTCTGTGCCTATACCACACTCTTAATTACCATAGCTTTATTAAGGTCTTGCTATCTGCAAGACAGGTCCCCCACTTTGTTCTTCTTTAGCTAGTCCTGCTCTTTACAACTCCACACATATTTTGAAATTAGATTGTCAAGTTTCACAAAACATACCTGTTGAGATTTTTACCAGGATTGCATTGAATCTATAGGCCAATTTCAGGAGAACCTACATCTTAATAAAATTAAGCCTTCCAAACCATGAACATGTTTCTCTTTCAATTTTTAGCTCTTCTTCAATGTATGCAGATAGAATTTTATAATTCTCTCCATACAGTACCTATATATGGTTCAACTTATTCCTAGGTATTTGATCATTTTAGATGTCATAACAAAATGGTGTCTTTTAAAATTAAATTTTCTGTGTATCTTTGGTGTATAGAAATACAATTGATTTCTTTGTATGACTGTAGCTAACAACCTTAGTAATAGCATTTATTAATTTTAATAATTTATCTGTAGATTTTTAAATATTCTACAAAGACAATAATATATCCATAGATAACAACAATTTTGTTTCTTCCTTCCCAGTCTTTATACCATGATAATTTACTTTTGCCTTATTCTGCTGGATAGAACTTACAATACGACACAGAGAAAAGTGGTTATAGAGGGAGGCATCTTTGTCTTGTTCAACATGTTAAAGGAAATACATTCAGCTTTTTAAAACTATATTCGTTGTAGGTATTTTAGATGTTTTACAAATAGTTTTTTAAAATCGGTTAAAGAGGGAAGATTTTTTTTGTTTGTTTGTTTGTTTTGAGACAGAATCTCACTGTCACCCAGGCTGAAGGCTGAAGTGCAGTGGCATGATCTCAGCTCACTTCAACCTCTGCATCCTGGATTCAAGCGATTCTCTTGCCTCAGCCTCCCGAATAGCTGAGACTACAGGTGCTTGTCACCTCGCCCAGCTAATTTTTGTATTTTTCATAGAGATGGTTTTTAGCTATGTTGGCCAGGCTGTCTCGAACTCCTGACCTCGGGCAATACACCCACCTCGGCCTCCCAAAGTGCTGGGATTACAGGCATGAGCCACCGTGCCTGACTAAAGATGGTTCTTTCTATGCCTAGATTTGATAAAAGATATTTTATCATTAATGGATATTGAATTACATTGAATATTTTCCACCTACTGAGATAATATGAGTTTCTCCATGAATATGGTAAATTGGATTAATAAATTTTCTAGTGTTAACTAATCTTGAATTTCAGTATCTGAAGTTTTTGGTTCAATTTGGTCACCTATCGTTTCTGCTGGATCTCCCTCACGGGACTTTGTTTCCTTGATTGTTTAGCGATTTATCAGTCTATAAATATGTATGGAATTTAAGGTCTGGTATCAATGAGGACTCCTTCAAAAAGACATATTTTGCTCTGCCAGGCACCTTGGGGCTCTATCAGTCAAGAAAACCCTTGAAGTTAAATTATCTACTTAAGGTTTGTCAGGTCACTCAGGTAGTGCAACTTTGAGCTGCCAACCAGAGCAAGGGCCAACTTATACTTATGAATTCTCAGGGCAGGGTTTTTATTAGTCCCTTGTGGTAGATTCAGTTAGTGGTCCTACAGAAAGTAGATTAGTGGTTGCCAGGGACTAGGAATGGGGAGTGACTACTCATGGGGCTGGGGTCCCCGTGGGTGATGAATCCGTTCTGGAATTATGCTACAGTCTGGATATTTGTGTTCCCCCAAATTCCTATGTTGAAACTTAATTCTCAATGTAATGGTATTCAGAAGTGGGGCCTTTTAGAGGTGGGGCCTTTGGGATTAAAGAGGCCCACCTCTTTGCAATGCAAGCTTGTTTTCCCCCTTCCACCATGTGAGAATTCAGCAAGAGGGCACCTTCTATGAGGAACAGGCCCTCAGCAGACACAGAATCTGCTGGCATCTTAATCTTGCACTTCCAGCCTCTAGAACTGTGAGCAATAAATGCCTGTTGTTTATGAGCTATCCAGTTTGTGGTATTTTGTTATGGCAGCCCAAACAGACTAAGACCAATTAGATAGTGGTGATGGTTGCACAACTCTGTGAATATACTAAAAAGCACTGAATTGTTCACTTTAAGAGTCTTATGCTCTGCTGACTGAGCTAGCTGCACCTGTGAATTGCTCACTTTAAATGGATGAATTTCACGGTATGCAACTGTTATCTCAATTTTTTTAAAAGTACTTGTTTCATAGGATTGTCATAAGACTAAATGAAAGTATGTAAAATACACAGTGACTGTATTCAATGAACAGAAGAAAAAAAAAAGTGCACACCCTTGCCCTGGCCTCATGGTAGGTAGAGAATACTTTCTCACTCCTTGACTGTGGGCTTAGTCATGTGACTTCCTTTGGCCATGACTGTATTCAAGAATGTGTTAATATATTTTAACCAGCATTTTCAGTTGTTTTCAGCAACAGATCATCCAGGTACCTGGTCTGCCATGGTGCCAGAAATTGCCTTTTTTTTGCATTATTTCAATCTGGATTTCAAATTACCAGTTTGGTTGAATAACTTGCCATATTTTTTTTCTGTACTTTTATTTGTATTCCTTTCTATTTCTCATTTTTTCTATTGCCTGTTCATAAGTCTGTTGGTGCTTTTCATTATTTATTTTAAAGAGTTCTTTTTAAAATATTTTTATTTTTTATTTCAAAATTATTTGGGTAGAGGTGGTTTTTAGTTACATGGATAAGTTCTTTAGTGGTAATTTCTGAGATTTTGGTGCACCCATCACCTCAGCAGTGTACACTGCACCCAATGTGTAGTCTTTTGTCCCTCATCCCCCTCCCACCCTTTCCCCCGAGTCCCCAAAGTCCATAGTATAATTCTTATGCCTTTTGTCCTCATAGCTTAGCTCCCACTTATAAGTGAGAACATACAATATTTGGTTTTCCATTCCTGAGTTATTTCACTTAGAATAGTGGTCTCCAACTCCATCTGTGAGTTGCCATTATTTTGTTCCTTTTTATGGCTGAGTAGTGTTCCATGGTGTATATATACCATATTTTCTTTATCCATTTGTTGGTTGATGGGCATTTAGACTGGTTCCATATCTTTGCAATTGCAAATTGTGCTGCTATAAACATGTATGTACAAGTGTCTTTTTCAAATAATGACTTCTTTTCCTCTGGGTAGATACCCAGTAGTGGGATTGCTGGATCAAATGGTAGTTCTACTTGTAGTTCTTTAAGAAATCTCGGTACTGTTTTCCACAGTGGTTGTACTAGTTTCCATTCCCACCAGCAGTGTCAAAGTGTTCTCTTTTCACCACATTCACACCAACATTTATTCTTTTTTGATTTTTTTTTATTATGGCCATTCTTGCAGGAGTAAGGTGGCATCTCATTGTGGTTTTAATTTGCATTTCCCTGATAATTAGTGATGTTGAACAGTTTTTCGTATGTTTATTGGCCATTTGTATATTTTGAGAATTGTCTATTCATTCCTTTGCCCACTTTTTGATGGGGTTATTTTTTTCTTGCTGATTTGTTTGAGTTCCTTGTAGATTCTGGATATTAGTCCTTTGTCATCAGATGCATGGTTTGCAAATATTTTCTCTCATTCTGTGGGTTGTCTGTTTACTCTGCTGATTATTTCTTTTGCTGTGCAGAGGCTTTTCAGTTTAATCAGGTCCCACCTATTTATTTTTGTTTTTGTTGCATTTGCTTTTGGGTTCTTGGTCACGAACTCTTTGCCTAAGCCAATGTCTAGAATAGCTTTGCCAGTGTTATCTCCTAGAATTTTTATGGTTTCAGGTGTTAGATTTAAATCTTAGATCCATCTGGAGTTGATTTTTGTACAAGGCGAGGGATGAGGATCCAGTTTCAATTATCTACATGTGGCGTGCCAATTTTCCCAGCACCATTCGTTGAACAGGGTGTCCTTTCCCCATTTTATGTTTTTGTTTGTTATGTCAAAGATCAGTTGTTTGTATTTGGCTTTATTTCTGTGTTCTGTATTTTGTTCCATTGGTCTACATGCCTATTTTTATACCAGTACCACGCTGTTTTGGTAACTACGGCCTTGTAGTATAGTTTGAAGTCGGGTAATGTGACCTTAGATTGTCTATTTGTGCTGTTTTAGACTTTTTGATATGGGCATTTAATGCTATGAATCTTCCTCTTAGCACCACTTTTGCTGTATCCCAGAAGTTTTGATAAGTTGTGTCACTATTATCATTCAGCTCAAAGAAATTTTTGATTTCCATCTTGATTTCATTGTTGACCCAAATACCATTCAAGAGCAGATTATTTAATGTCCATGTATTTGTATAGCAAAAGTCCTATCCTGAGGGTCTGTTTTCTGAGGCCACCCCATTTCTGACACCTGTTTTCTTAGCCTATGTTTGGTAGAAAGCAAAGCCTGGAGCAAAACATATGTGGTAAATCTTTAGTGAAGGATGCAATCCCATGGGTGTAAGAGTGAGGGAATAAATGAAGTGAGGTAGGGAAGGATGGAAACAAAATATACTTTGGTGTGCTACTGAGTTCGCCACTGTTACTCAAGAAAACACAGCTTATCTCACAGTCTTCCTGAATGCTTCCAGAAGAGTTGTATAGAATCACACCATCTTGAAATGGTTGAGGAAAGGAATTGATCTGCCTACGGGTGTTTGTCTCATTTCTGTCAGTGGTCAAAGTTCACCCTATTAGGTGTTTGTTAGTTTCCTCACACCTCTGAGTTGTGTTACCTTGGTCCTGGTAGTCAGTAGGAAAGCCAGATCCCACACACCACAGTTCAATCCTGAATCCAAAAGTGGTAGGAGTCATCAGAGCCTCCATGGATCTGGTCAGGATGAGCTTGAGTGCAGAAGCTCCTGCTGCAGTGAGTGCAGTAGAGGTCATTTCAGAACCTAGCCCTCACTTTAGAAAAGTGAAGGAGTCAGAAGTGTCAGGAGATGTGAAAACGTCAGTGGCAGTCAGGGATTTCCATTGATCAAGTGCCTGATCGCCTGGGAAGTAGATAAGGCTGAGAAAATATGGAAGGAGTATAAATTGGAGCAAGGCCATCCATACTATGGTTTTCGTACCTGGACAAACAAGGCAACTCTAGTCCTGAATATTTTGCAGATGCACAGAGGGAGACCTGGAAGGTTACAGACCAAACTGGGAATAGTTGTTCCCTCTAGGAGCAGAATTGCTGGCTCAGAGGGTAGATGTATGTTCAACTGTAAGAGATAATGGAAACCCGTTTTCCTTACAACTGGTACCAATTTAGACTCCCACCAGCAATATTCAATAAATCATATGGATTCACATCCTCCCCAACACTTGGTACTGTTAGACTTTTAAATTTTTGACAACTGAATGGGTGAACAGTGGTATTTCATTGTAGTTTTGCTTTGCATTTTCCTGATCACTAATGATGTCGAACATCTCTTTATATGTATGTTTATTGGCCATATGCGTCTCTCTGTTGGTGAAATGCCTATTCATGTGTTTTGCCCACTTCTTTACTGGATTGTGTTTTTCTTAATAATTTGTAGTCCTTTATATATTCGCAATTGGAATTCCTTGCCACTTATCTGTATTGAAAATATTTTCTCCCAATGCACAGCTGTGTTTTTTGCTCTTTATGGTGTCTTCATAAATTAAAATTCTTAAAGTCAAAGTTACCACTATTCCATTCTATGGTCAATGGTTTGTCTACATTGTTTAGAAATCTGTATCCCAAAGTCTAAAAGTTCCTTGCCTATGTTTCCTGTCAAGAGCTTTAAGGGTATGTTTTTGACATTTAATTCCTTAATCCATCTGGAATAGATTATTATTATTTTCCATATCACATGAATGAGGATTCCAATTTCATCTTTTCCAATATAAATAACCATTTTCCAGCGTCAGTTAATAAAATGTCCCTGTTTACTTACCTAACATGCCACTTCTATCATATACCACATTTCTATACTTGCATGGTTGCGTTTCGGGGTTCTCTATTCTATGCCATTGCTCAATTAATCTATCCATGCCTCAATATCACAGTCTTAATTTCAATCTCTCCCCCCCCACCCCACCCCCCCCTCCCCCCCCGTTCGTTTAGAGTGATCTTGAGGAAGGGAACCGTCATTCACATGAGTTCGGCCTCTTGGTAGAGAAAACTGGGCAATGCAGCTCTAAACTGTTGCCCTTGGATTTTCTCCTCTTGGCTATGAGCTCCTCCTTCCCAGGAAGCTTTGAGGAAGGTCAGAATAAGATTACATGTAGTGATGAACTGCTTCTAATACTGTGAGGCTACTAGCTTGGGGTAGGGGACCAAGAGCCGTACAAGCCCATTAAATGTTTGTTTTGTTCAGAAAGCCTTCCATCGCTGTGACTGGTGTTTGAATGTCTCCAATGCGTTAGGATGCTAAGGAATCCTCCTCTAGGGTTACTAAGGAATGTTTGCTGCCTTTGCTTTCGCTGAGCCGGAAAAATTTTGTGGCATTTACAGCAGGAGATCTGCCCTAAGTAAAAACAGTTTGGTTTTGAAGGCAATAAGATGTTTCATCATCAAACAGCACACAACAATTAAATGACAGGGTGCAGCAGCACAGCAGCCTTAAAGGCATTTTCGCAATGTCCAGATCTCAAAGGGTAATGCTGCGCCCGCATCAATTTATGGGAAGAGTCTAGAGTTCACCTACATCTTTTGAACTCCACTAAGCCGGCCGATTCTGATTTCCCTTGTTGCCTCCCTGCAATCCCCACGAATTTGGCCAGGGCACCCGGGCGGCTCAGGCCCAACGGGGCGTGGGCCGTGTGCTCAACCACCCAGAAGCTGGGGGCCCCCTCCCCTTTCTTATCTTTCTGGCATTCATCTCACGCGGCCACCTACAGCTACGACTTCCTCAGGCCCTTTAAGGGCCGCTTCTCGGAGCGCAGGGAGCCGCGGAGTCCGGGGCGTGGGAGACTTCCATGGGCGGAGCGAGGGCAGGAGTGGGCGGGCCGTAGGCGGAGCTCCGTCCGCGCCCTCCCGGCGCACCGCCTGCGGGGCGGTGACTGGCCCAGCCGCACCGCGTCTCCCGCCTTCTCCGCAGCCCCGCAGGCCCCGGGCCCTGTCATTCCCAGCGCTGCCCTGTCTTGCGTTCCAGTGTTCCAGCTTCTGCGAGATGACCCTCAAGGCGAGCGAGGGCGAGAGTGGGGGCAGCATGCACACGGCGCTCTCCGACCTCTACCTGGAGCATTTGCTGCAGAAGCGTAGTCGGCCAGAGGTGAGCGGGCCCCGCTAGTCCCAAGGGCGCTGGGCCGGGGCTCGGCCATTCATCTCGGGACTTTCCCTGTCCCGGTCCCTGTCCCCGGGGGGCCTGTCCTTGCGGGTCCTGGCCATAGGTCGGAGACCGCGATAGCCGGCGGGGTGAGGACAAGGCCAGCGCGCGGCCGGGTTCGTACCGGGCTGCTGGTGCAGTGGATCCTTGCCCCCAGCAGTCCTTCCAGTTGGAAATCAGGAGAGGCAGCGGCCTGGACAGTGCGCTTATTAAGGGCAAGGAAAACTTCCTCGTGGACGGAAGTCAGAGTAACAGAAAGTCTTTAAGGAACACATCAAGGAGTAGGTCTGCCTGGTTGTTGTTGAAGTGCTTGTGTTTGGGTCAGCAGAAATGATTGTAAAAGCCAGCTTCTGGTTCTAAAGAGCTCACTCACTGTTCCTCTTCATTTAGGCAGGTCCCCTTGTGCTATGGTGCAAAGAGGGTGGCCAGTGTATATTTGCGGGTGGAACAAGGAATCCAGATTCCAGGGATGGATGGCTGGTAAATAGCTATTAACCTCCGTCCTCAAAGATGCCCTAAGGGTAGGTTGTGCTTATCTGTTACTGGCAAATCTCTCCCAAACTCGCTGGTTTACAACACTGAGCATTTTCTTGTCTCTCATATTTCGTTTTGATTGGGCCCAGCAAGGTGGTCGTCACTCAGGGTCTGTCAGGTGGGGACACGGCTCACTTACTCATTTGGAGCCATGAGCCATGAGCCAGAAAATCAACCAGCAGCCTCTCCCTGTGGCTTGGTCTTCCTCACAGCATGCTGGCCAGGTCCCAAGGGGAAAATGTCCAGAGAGAACCAGAGAGCCAGGCAGAAGCTCAGAAGTCACAGCATGAACCTCCTTCCTAGACTGCAAGGTCTTCTAGGGCAGGGCCGTGTCATACTCACTTCTTTAAGTGCCCAATAAGTGGGTCCTCAGAAATGTTTGCTAAATTAATAAATGACTGAAGAGATGGACATTTGGGATTTACAGTAACCCTCCGATTTCACAGATGAAAAAACTGAAGGTCCCTGCAACATAAGGCAAGCAGTAGAGCTGTAGACTCTTTGGGCTAAGTGGCATTAACTCAAGGAAACAAGTAATGGGCATCAGAACTGAGGCTAGATTTTGTGTCTGCTGCACCGCATTGCCTTACCCTTTATATTCCACTCGAGTGAGGCATTCACACCTGCCTGTCATTTCAAATCAGGATTGCAACAGCCTGAGTTTAAATGAGTGCAGAAATAATACAGGCATGAAAGATGCTATTGTTATACAGATGATGAGACAAAATTACAAGTTCTGTTACCTGATTCCCCATAAACTTGGACTTGTGATTTTTTTCTTCCCCACAATCAGTACTCACTTGGCTGAGCCTCAACTATTTTTAAAAAATCTATTTATTTCTGGAAGTCTTATTGAGGTACACTTAGCATACAGTAGAATTCATGAAATTTAATTGTGTAGTTTGATGACATTTGACAGATGTATATAGTCATGTAACGACAACCACAATCATGACAAAGAATAAACATTTTCAAGGTTCCAGGAAGTTCCCCTGTGACCCTTGGCAGTCAGTCACCTTCCTCCACCTGGAACATGGCAACCACTGATCTGTCACTATAGATTTGCCTTTTCTGGAATTTTATATAAATAGAATCCTACAGTATGATGTATTTTGTGTCGGGGTTCTTATGTAAACCTATGTGTTCCCTTATGGGCATGCTTGAAAGACTGTGCCTTTTTGAAAAGAGGCCCTGTCACCACCAGTGTTATGTTGTGGGCACAACCTCTGAGTAAACAGCACGTTTTGTGGGGCTGTGAGTTTATACTGTAATATTGGAGATAGTCTACCAGTTAGCTAATTTGTTTGGTTTTTACTAACGGATTTGAAGAAGATCAAATAAGAAAACTTACTGAATCCCTGAATGAAATAGTATCCAGCTGTGCCAAAGTGAGCATCTGAGGGAGACTCTTCACACGATGAAGTGTGGCTTGACTCCACAACCTGCGGATTCTTATTTCTTTAGGTTCACCTTCCCTTTGGGGCTCTTACCAGTCTTTGCTGCAGCAGCAAGCTCTGCCTTTCACTTGCTGCATGGTTTTGGGCAAGCTGCTGAAGCTCTCTGTGCCTTAGGTTTCTCTCCTTTATGAAACTGGCAAGTTTGGAAGGTTGTGGCAACATTTACATGAGATAATGCTTGACAAGGACCTTGAGCCACACTGGGACATCCAGGGTAATGACCCAGTATCTCCCTAGGAGCTGCCTGCCCAGTAGTAGCAGTCAGAAAGTTTTCCTATAATGGCAAGATTTGAAGCAGGAAAACCTGTGAGGAAGTTGTTGGCTTCAATAGAAATTATAAAATTATTTTGCTGAAAGTTTCATTTAAAGGTGTCACTTTATGGAAAAAGGCTACCGATTCAAAACAAAGTTTCACTTCCAATTATAATCCACATTTAATACTGAAAGAATATTGTCTAAAGGTAATTTTGCAATAGGTTTGAATGTAGCCTATCTCCCCTATTTAAGTATATCTCCTTCCTTGGATAAACTAATTTTTTTTTTCTTTTCAATGTGGTCTAGGCAGGTTAATGGAGAAACTAATTTTATTAGCTCTCTCTGGCCTTGTTCTTCACAGCAGTATCCATTAATGCACATAAAAGTAGTTGTAAAATTCCCAATACTGCTTTTCTCTTCGGGCCTGTTTGAAGCAACACTTTCCCCAGGACCTGAAGCAATTGGTTGAGAATCCCTGAAAATTCTCTTGGGCCTATCCCACATCAAAAAAAAATCACCTAACAGATAAGTCAGGCTCCAGGCAAATTTCCACCAAGAAAACCTGTTTCTTGGTTCTTAGGCCATCACATGCAGCATTACTCCCCGCTGGTGGTCACTGAGTGTGACGCAGTGTTGTTTGTTGCCTACTCCAGGTCTGCTGCTGGAACTAAGAGGCAAATAAGGAAGGACGCAGACATGGAAACAAATACAGTAGTGTGGTGGTGATGTGATAGAAGCAGCTGTGGAGCGCTGTGGAGCAAGGAGGGGCACCCAGCACAGTGGGCTCTTGCATTTCGCAGTACCTAGGCTGTAACTGGCAGGTGGTACCTGGGCAGAGGGAACAGCCTGTGCACGGACACCAAGGTGCATGCCGAGTGCGGCACCTTCTGCGATGGCAGGAGGTTGAGTCTACGGTGTGCATGATCACTGACTCTGCTTCTGACTAGTTATAATTTCACCTGAGAAAGAACTTTCGCTGCAGACTTGGATCTTGCTGTTTCCTTTGCAAAGGAAATGGTTCCGTTCAAGGCTTTTCTTTTCACAGAACTGATACTAGAAAGTAAAGTGTAATTTTCAAATTATTTAGTCCTCTGCCCAATTTCCCCAGTATGTGGTGTGGTCTCAGCCAGTCTGCCTTTCCTGTCCTTCACTTCCAGGAACTTCATGACTTTTTTCTGTTTTTTGTTTTTTTTTTTTTTTTTTTTTTTTTTTTGAGACAGAGTTTTGCTCTGTCACCCAGGCTGGAGTGTAGGGGTGTGGTCTTGGCTCACTGCAACCTCTGCCTCCTAGGTTCAAGCGATTCTCCTGCCTCAGTCTCCCAGCTAGCTGGGATTACAGGCGCCTGCCAACACGCCTGGCTAATTTTTGTATTTTTGATAGAGACAGGTTTTCGCCATGTTGGCCGGGCTGGTCTCGAACTCCTGATCTCAGGTGATCCGCCTGCCTCGGCCTCCCAAAGTGCTGGGATTACAGGTATGATCCAGCGCCCTGGGCCTTTCATGACTTTTTTTTCAAAACTGGAAGGGCTTAGGATACCTTGCAGATAAGAATCTGCTTTTATTGTGGCTAAGCAGATTTGAGTTTCATCATGAACGTTCTATTCTTTTCTAACTCATTTGTTCTCCCTACACAAGACACTGAAGTATAATAGAATACCAGGAACAGATATTTCAGGTTAAGATCAATTCCCTTAAATTGGAGTTTGCCAACCTGGGCACTGTTAACACTTTGGGTCTGATAATTCTGTTGTAAAAAGTAATACCTCGCCGCTAAGTTGTGACAATCAATAATGTCCTGAGACAGTGTCAAGAGGGGAGACAAAATTAGTTGATGCAGAGATTTTTCTCCTAAGCAGTGAGTTGTCTCTAACCTTTCAGTGTTGCTAAAAAAGAACTCTGGGTGTGGAGTGTAGAAAGGCAAGACTAAATAGCCATATTTCCAAAATTGGCTGGGGTAGGGGAAGTGACGCCAGAGGAGGGGAAGAGGAACTTTCGTAACATAGTCTTGCTTTTCTTTTTTTCTTTCATATGAAGAAATATACATGAACAAAACACATAATAGGTTTTCCCTCAAAAGTTATCTTCCTTGCGAGGCCTTTTCTGCTTTATTTTCCTCCTTAGCACCTGCCATCATCTCTGAATATTCTGCACAGTGCAGAGGCAGCCTTTATGTGAGGGACACAGCACCTGCATTCTCTCCATGTACCTGCACAAACTCCAAAGTCCATGCTTATAGTTTAACTTCTGGAGTCTGAGGCTTACTCATCCTTTAAGCTCAGACAGGTTTCTGAACCATTTCATGTCTTCAAATATTGACCACAGAATGGGGATGAGCATTTGATTTAACGAGTGTTGTTATTTGCACACAGCTCCGGCACTGGTTTAATGGCAGTGTGGGGACTCAGTGCCAGGTATCTGCAGCCCTGTGTTTCTGCTGTGTGGAACGGTGCTACTTGAGTTTCCTGTTGTTTTTTTTCCCCAGTGGAAGCAAAAGCCTTTGCATGTGTACTGAGAGCATGGGGTAGAAAAAGCTCGTTGGGAAGGGATCTCTAGAGACTTGGCCTTTAGGTTGATGTATGTGTTCCCAGATGGATTTAGTACCTGAGAAGCAAAGCACCTGGTTAATGTATGATTTTAAGACAGTACCTGCCAGAATATCCTGGCTCTTAGGCCTTCCTCTCTCCCTAGTTCCTGTCATTTGTGGTTAAACAGTGCTAATCTCTTTCTAATACTTCAGAATACCCTTGGCTTTCTCAGTTTCTCTTGTTTTTTCCCAAAGTGGAATAGGATACTGCCCATGCAAAGAGAGGGAATTTGCGAGCACCTGGGGCCAGGGCTTGCTGGGCAGCTGTCTGGCATCATCTCGCCTTCTTGGACTTGGCTTTCTAAGTCTCCACGTGGGAGCAGTTGGCAAAGAGCCTAACAGTAGGCTGAGCAAATATTTGTTCTTTCCTATGTTCACTGTCACTTAATCTAATTGTTTGGATTAGAAAGCCAACTTCAGTTGCCCCTGCTCTATTCACCCCCGCCACCGCCCGCCCCCCGCCAAGTTTGTTTTTCATCTCTTTTTAAATTCCAGCTTCCTTTGAGCAACTGCCTCTGCCCTTTGAACCCTGCTGCAGATGTTTCCTCTGAAGGGGCTTTCAGAGCGGCAGGCATTGCCACTCCAGCACTTTGTCTGATTAAAGGCCAGAGGCTGCAGAACAAAGGCCAGACATGGAGTCCTGGGTGAGTGTTTATTCCCTGGCTCCTCCTGAATCCCAGCAGTCATCCTTAACAGAGCCACTTCCGCCCTGCCTTGTCACTGGTCAGGGGCAGGCCTGCCATAGCTCTGTGGCCTCCTATATCCACTACAGATGATGGTGGCTGCTTTGAGAGGATGATGTGGAGGTTGTGAACTGAACTCTGAGAAATAGAATCTAGTACCTTTGACCTTTATTATTTGTTCAGCATTACTCATGTCACTGACAGTATATGTCTGCATATCTTTTCTCCTATGATGTGTCAGTAATGAGGAGACATGGGGACTAGTTGAAGGAGTTCTGTAAGATGAGGTCACAGAGAGCTGACCCTCCCTTTCTGAGAGTCTCATGAAGACAGGGTGGCTCAGGGACAAGTTCACGGTGGAGAAAATTGTGCTTTGCTTTTGGAAAACTTACTGTTGCAAGTGTGTACTTTAGTTACCACGTTGGAAGTTTCCGTTTTTCTTAGTCATCATTTGCAACTTCTGGGTAAGCGTGATAGTGACTCTTAGTCATCGTAAAGAGGAACGTCTTGTTGGATAAGCACATCTGAAAGACCAACCTTTGGGATGGCAACTCTTGAACTTTTCCAGCTGGAATGGTTCTGCCTCTAGTAAGCTTTGCTGAGTCTTTAATTTAAAGGCTGACATGTAAAAAGCAATCACTGTAATAAAGCTGGATAAGAAGAATATGACATAGCTAGGCATGGTGGCTCACACCTGTAATCCCAGCACTTTGGGAGGCCGAGGCGGGCGGATCACCTGAGGTTGGGAGTTCAAGACCAGCCTGGCCAATGCGGAGAAACCCCATCTCTACAAAAAATACAAAATTAGCCGGGCGTGGTGGTGCATGCCTGTAATCTCAGCTACTCGGGAGGCTGAGGCAGGAGAATCGCTTGAATCCAGGAGGCGGAAGTTGTGGTGAGCCGAGATCGTGCCATTGCACTCCAGCCTGGGCAATAAGAGTGAAAGTCTGTCTCAAAAAAATAAAATAAATAAAATAAAATAAAATTCCTCTAGCCACCACCACAATGAAGATAGAGAACTGTTCCATCCCCACAAAGGCCTCTCTCCTGCTGTCGCTTTATAGTCACACTTGTCTTCCTCCCTACCCCATCCCCGCAACTCCTTGCAGTCACTACTCTGTTCAATGTCTCTATGATTTTGTCATTTTAGGAATGTTATATAAGTGGAATCATATAGTATGTGATGTTTTGAAATAGATTAGCTTTCTTTCAGTCAGGATAATGCCTTTGAGCTGGATCCCAAGTTGTTTTAGTATCAATAGTGTTTTTTGTTTTAATTGCTGAGAAGTGTTCCATGGTATGGATGTACCACGCTTTAACTGTTCACCTGTATTTTGGTTCTTTATAGATTTTGGCTGTTATAAATAAAGCTGTTATGAGCATTCATGTACAGGCTTTTGAGTGAACATAAATTTCCATTTCTCTAGGTGAATATCCAGGAGTGTCATCCCTGGGTTTTATGGTAGTTGTGTGTTTGGTTTTTTAATAAAGTGTTCAACTATTTTCTATGGAAGCCATATCACTTACATTCCCACCAGCAATGTATGAGATGCCCAATTTTCCCTCAGCTTCACCAGTTATGAGTATTGTCACTATTTTTTTATTTCAGCTATTCTGATAGATGTGTAGTGATATATCATTGTTGTTTTAATTTGCATTTCTCCCTGATGGCTAATGATGTTGAATATCTTTTTATATCCTCATTTGCCATCTTTATATATCCTCTTTGGTGAAATATCTGTTCATGTTTTTTGCCCATTTTCTAATTAGATTGTTCGTTTTTACTGTTGAGTATTGAGCACTCTCTTTTTATATTCTATATACCAGTCTTTTATTGGATATGTGGTTTGTAAATGTTTCTCCCGGTCTGTAGCTTGTATTTTCACAATCTTCATGTGGGCTTTCACAGAACAAGAGTTTTTCATTTTGATGAGGTCCAATTTACCAATTTTTCCTTTAATGGATTCTGCTTTTGATGTCATGTATAGGAACTTTTTGCCTAGCTCTAGATCCTGACAAGTTTCTTCTATTTTTTTCAAATATATTTTCTAGTTTTGCACTTTACATGTAAGTCCATATCCATTTTAGAAGGTAAGGTTCAGGTCAGCATTTCCCTTTTTGGTGATGAGTTTCCAATTGCTGCAGCACCATTGAGTTGCTTTTGCATCTTTGTTAAAAATCAACTGGGCATATCTCTGTGGGTCTGTTTCTGGGTTCCCTATCCTGTTCCCTTGATCTGCATGTCTATACCACATAGTCTTTACTGAGACTATACTACAGTAAGTTTTGAAACTGTGCAGACTGAGTCTTCCTACTCTCTTGTTTTTCAAAATTATTTTAGCTTTTCATGGGTCTGTACCTTTCCATCATGTATACGTGCTTTTAGTGTAACCTACATGGACCAAGTGAGTGAAAGCACTCGTGTATGAGAAAAATAACACCCCAGATATAGGGTGATCGGTAGCCAACACTGGCTTCTGGCTGAGGCATCAGTAAGGAATGTGAGAGCTGGGGCCACCTGGAGAGCGATGCCAGATCTTCTGATACTTTAAAAAGAAGTTGGAGTCCCCTGATTTTTACTAAACAAAACAGAGACATGTGGTCGAAATAAAACAGTTTGCAACTTCTGCTTTGGAGATTTTTTCTTTTCTTTTTCCAGAGATAGAGTCTCGCTCTGTTGCCCAGGCTAGAGTACAGTGGTGCTATCATAGCTCACTGCAGCCTTGACCTCCTGGGCTCAAATGATCCTCCTGCCTCAGCCTCACGAGTAGCTAGGACTACAGGCACATGCCACCACACCTGGCTTGGAACTTTATGTAATGCATTCACTCCTTCATTTATTGTCCAACCAATGCAGATCCTACTTCTTGACTCCCCACTTTGTAACAGAACAAGATTACAGGCCTCTTCCTTTCGATTTTTCTCCCCTTTTTACCTGCCAACTTCCTATCATGGACATGTGTACCTTAATATTGTCATGGTGCTGATATTTACAGTCTGTTATTTGTTTCATGATTTGTTTCTAAGTGAGTTCTAAAAAGTAAAAATCAATAAGTGGTTTTTAGATTATTATAACTGGTTGCCAATCCAACATCCCACTTCTCACTTACATATCCCTGATCTTGTTTGGGATGGCAAGATGCTCAACTAAACTAATCTTCCCAGCCTCTTTGGCTGGTGCCTCCTGTATGCACATTCTAGGCTCTAGCTGTCTCAACTCTCCTTGGTCATTCCTCCATCTGCTTTCTGTCTTCTGGAAAGCTATTGAAATCTTGGCCGGGCATGGTGGCTCATGCCTGTAATCCCAGCAGATTTGGGAGGCCGAGGCAGGTGGATCACTTGCGGTCAGGAGTTCCAGACCAGTCTGGCCAACATGGTAAAACCCCGTCTCTACTAAAAATACAAAAATTAGCCAGGTGTGGTGGCGCTTGCCTGTAATCCCAGCTACTCGGGAGGCTGAGGCAGGAGAATCGCTTGAACCCAGGAGGCGGAGGTTGCAGTGAGCCGAGATCACGCCACTGCACTCTAGACTGGGTGACAGAGTGAGACTCTTTCTCAAAAAAAGAAAAAAGAAAAGAAAAGAAAAGGAAAAAAAACAAAGAGAAAGAAATCCTTCAACCCTGATGACTTTTTGTGGGTTTCTATTTCCCTCCTCCCGTTTACTCTTACTTAAACAGGGTCAAGGTTGAGGCAGGACAAGATCCACACAAGTACTTGAACCTGAGTCCCAATCACTTTGGAAAATTCTTTTACTAATTTATTTTATTAAAGTAACACAAGCACATAATACATAATTTAAAAGGTATAACTTGATACACAGTGAAAACAATTTCCTTCTCACCCCATCTTATAGCCACCCAGTTCCTCTCCCTAGAAGCAACCACTGTTTCTTATGTCTCCTTCCAGACATAGTTTATGTATTTTCATTTATTTTATTTTTTGAGACAGGGTCTCACTCTGTCACCCAGGCTAGAGTGCAGTGGTGTAATCACAACTCACTGCAGCCTTGACCTCCCGGGCTCAAGCAATCCTTCTGCCTCAGCTTCCCGAGTAGCTAGGATTACAGGTGCACGCCACCATGCCCGGCTAATTTTTTTATTTTTTGTAGAGACGAGGTTTTACTATGTTGCCTAGGCTGGTCTCGAACCCCTGACCTCAGGTGATCCTCCCACCTCAGCCTCCCAAAGTGCTGGGATTACAGGTGTGAGCCACTGAACCTGGCCAGTTTATGGATTTTTAAGCAAATATGAATATAATCATTCTTTCACTGTTTATGATGAAGCTAGTATACCCTTCATCACATTATTATTATTTTTTGCTTAACAATAAATCTTCAAGATCACCCTCAGAACCTCCTTTTCCTACCTACATGGTGTATCCCGGGTATCATAAGTCAATTTTTTAAATATAAGCCTATCTTAGACAATTTTGTTATAACAGCAATGCCATATGACTTGGTGTCATGTGAGTTTTTTGAAGTTCTAGTTGCTAGAGAAGGCAGTTTCTCTTTCTCAGTACTTCCCTCATTTGAGGTCACCTGATAGCGAATACTACTTCAAACCTCACCATGTTTTTTGTTTGTTTGTTTGTTTGTTTGTTTTTCTGAGACAGGGTCTTCCTCTGTTGCCCAGGTTGGAGTGTAGTGGTGTGATCATGGCTCACTGCTGCCTCCAACTCCTGAGCTCAAGCAATCCCCCTGCCTCAGCCTCCTGAGTAGCTGGGACCACAGGCTTGCACCACCACACTCAGCTAATTTTAAAATTTCTTACAGAGGCAGGAGTTTCACCATGTTGCCCAGGCTGGTCTCAAACTCCTGGGCTTAAGCGATCTCCCCACCTTGGCCTCCCAAAGTGCTGGGATTACAGGTGTTAGCCACTGCACCTGGCCCAAACCTCACCATCTTATCAAAGTTTCTACTTAGAAATCAGAGTCCCTTAGAAATGATGTAAGCCTCTACTCCAGACTTCCTTCTCTCTCATCTTCTAGTCCTTTTCTAGGCCTTGGGCAGGCCAGTGGACACTGCTCAGGCATACCATCTATTCCCATCTAGGGACCCTTCTCCTTCCCCACACAGTGAATGGCACACTCCTCACAGTTCTGCCTATTGGGAAGATCTTCCCTCCCTACTGTCTTTGAGGGTCACCTCTGGGTGTGACTGGAATGCAGCTATCCCCTATTTTCAGCAGACCCTTCCATAAGCCCACTTCAGGCCTATTCCTCCTCCTCGTCCTCCTCCTCCTCCTCCAGGTGGCTATATCATTTTTGATTTAATATTTTATCTGGGGTGGGCAGGGAGCATTTTCAGAGGTTTCCATAGTTTTTCCCCATTGTGATTGCTCTTACCCAGATCAGTAAGATGAGGAAAGAACAGCAAAGCAAACTGAGAAGGAGCATTTTAAGGAGAAGAGAGTGATCACCTGTGAGACTGATCCACAGGTGATCTACCATGGAGTGGTGTAGCAGTAGCCATTCATTGCCATTGATGTAGGGTATCCACTTGGATATGCTTCAGTTTATCCATTCTACTGTTGATGGACTTTTGGGCTATTTTCAGGTTTGGGCTTTTAAGAGTAGTGTTGTTCTGGAAAGGGCACACCACTACTTTCCTGGAATTCCTGCCAAAAATGCAAAATCCCAGTCTAATCTTGAAAAAACATCAGATGATAACCCCAAACTGAGAGACATCTACAAAATAACAGGTGTGTACTCTTCAAGAATGTCAAGGTCATGAAAGAAGAAAAAGAAAGGCTGAGGAAATTTTCCAAATTAAGGAAGAGTAAGGAAATGTGAAATGCATGATTGGATTCTGGTCTTAGATTGGATTCTGGGACCAAAAAGTCCTAGGTTGGATTCTGGACTGGGGAAGAAATATATAGCTATAAAGGACATTCTTGAAAGGGTTGGCAGATGACAATATTGTGTCAATGTTAAATTTTCAGTTTTGAAAATGCTCGTTCCTAACATATAGAGACATCTATGGGTAAAGGAGAATGAAGTCTTCAGATTACTCTCAAATGGTTCAAAAATTAAATTTTATAATATTTTTTAAAGAGTACTGGCTGCTCTTGGAATGGCGCCAAAAAGATGAAAGAATTTTATAGTGACACCCATATAGCCACACCTCCTAGATTCTACAGTTAACATGTTGCTGTGTTTGCTTTATCACATTTCTATCCAAAAACTGCCCATCTATCCACCTTCTTTTTCCTGGTATTTCAAAATAAGTTTCAGATATCAGAGCACTTTACCCCTGAAAGCTTCAGCATGCATATCATTGGCTCAAGTTCAGGATTTGTTTATGGTTCTTTTCATCCTGTTATTAAATTGTAAGAGTTCTTTATATGTTCTGGATACAAATCCTTTGTCAGATGTAAATATTGCAAATGTTTATTCTCAGGCTGTGTCATACCTGTCTAGTTTCTTATGTAAGATGTTTGAATTTGATGAAGTCAGTTGTTTGCTTGTATGATGATTGCTCCGTGTCTCGTCTACTAAATCTATGCTTATCTCAGTGGAGTTTTTTGATGAATAGACTTCTTACTTTTAAAGTGTTTGTCTTTTTAGTTTTCATTTTATACTCGGGACCTTTTATGACATTTATCGTGCAGACCATTTTTCCCCGCTGCACTGCAGTGTCACCTGACTATAAATGTGTGGCTCTGTTTTTGCACTCTCTGTTCCATTACATGGGTCGTTTGTCTTTCTTCTTACCACAGTGCCTTAAATTACTTTAGATTTATAATAAAGAGGCCTTGCTGCCTGGTAGAGTAACTCATTTAGCTTTGCTGTCTTTGAGATCAGGGGAAGAAGTCACAGTGGCAATGTATTATTGTTATCACCGCGGTTCGGGGCCCAGTCCTAAGTGCCTAATTCTACAGGTAGAAGTTCTTTGTAGCCTAAGGGGTGATTCATGAGAAACTGATGCTAACCTGAATTACCTTTATTGCTGTGTGACCGAGAGCATCAGGTTGTTCAAGGAAATACAAAGGAGAAGAGAACATGCCAGAAACCCTTGGAGCCTGAGGTGCCGCAGGATTCAGAATCTTTCTAATTTTGTTATATATTATGTAATACCCCAAGCAGGATCCAGGAGAGCACCATGTAAATCAAGGCACATTAATATTTCTGCAGCAACCTAGATAAACATGTCTATTTTATTTATTTTTAGAGACAGGGTCTCACTCTGTTGCCCTGGGACTGTAGCTGGGACTACAGGTGCACACCACCACACTTGGCTGACATGTCTATTAAGTTGGAGAAATAAAGCTTACAAACAGCTTCATGTCAATTCAAATAAGAATGAGGCCAAACTTATGAAATAAGTTTTCAGAGCCTCTTGAATGTTAGAATTGCAGATTGTGGACTGGCTGTGGGCCTTGCTCCTGATTTCATACGTTGCTTTGTTGTTTTGGCTTGGCAGGCTGTATCGCATCCATTGAATACTGTGACCGAGGACATGTACACCAACGGGTCTCCTGCCCCAGGTAGCCCTGCCCAGGTCAAGGGACAGGAGGTGCGGAAAGTGCGACTCATACAGTTTGAGAAGGTCACAGAAGAGCCCATGGTAATCCCCCGTCATATTGTCGCCCACCAGTTACTCTCTGCCCCATGAGTCACTGGGCCAGAAGAGTCAATGCAAGAGGCTGCTCATGGAGTTAGGGAATTGGCCAACCCCAAAATTGTCTTTTCATTCTTATCTCAAATTCCTCCTCAAAGCAGGCTTCATGCCTGTTCTAGTTGAGGACTATCCTGGGTATAAATGGAAAATATTTTCCTGAGAAATTACCGTAAGTTCTTTCTAAAATAACCTCAGAAAGAGCTTAAAATAAAGCTTATTGTGCCGTCGCCTTTATTTCAGGGAATCACGCTGAAGCTGAATGAAAAACAGTCCTGTACGGTGGCCAGAATTCTTCATGGTGGCATGATCCATAGACAAGGTACTCTGTGGGAGCTCTGGGTGGGGTTTGATTCAGGGATTAATAATTTACTCCCTGTTCAGTGGTGTGGGGCATGAAGCTTATAATCCTCCAAACTGGTAGCATTTTTGTGAGTGTGCCAAGAGACTTTTTGTGGCTTAATAACTGGCTCTGTAGAATCAGTACATGATAAGATCTCTATGTGAATTGCCCAGTGCCACCATCTCCCTATCTGAGCCTTCTTTCACACCTATTTATACCAATATTTTTCTAGTAAGTTAATATTTGAGCAATTGCCACATGCCACCCATTGCATTAGACTTGGAAAGGACAGCAGTACCACTTGGTAGCATTTTGGGGTTTGAGCTAAACAACAAAGAAACATGGAGCTTGCTGGTGAAAGAGGAGTACTGAGTTCTTTGCCTTGCTTTGTTATTCTTTTTAGTGTATACATCTGTGTCATAGTCTGGAGTCAGTAGCCACTCTAGTTCCAGGAATTTGAGGACAAGGTGTTTTATTGTGCTGTTGGACTACTGAGGCCAAGGAGGATGAGACCATCTTAAACTGTCAAGTCAAATGTTTTCAATCCTGAGTATTTGACACAATCTGTTTCATAACATGCTGTAAATCCTGGTTTCTCTTCTATGGTATCTTGAGTTACATTGACAGCTCCTGTTTGAACTTTTGTTCTTTTGTGGATTGATTTTTCATTTCATGGCAGGCTCCCTTCACGTGGGGGATGAGATCCTAGAAATCAATGGCACAAATGTGACAAATCATTCAGTGGATCAGCTGCAGAAGGCGATGGTGGGTATTTTCTATGCTAGATGAAGACCTTCCATTGTCTCCATAAGTGTTGATCCACATTGGTATCAGTGACCTCATCTCTCTGTCAAAGTATTTGTACCTTCTTGAGGGGGCTCTTTTCACTGCTAGTCTTTAATCTGTGTAAGAAATGATAATTTTCTGCCTTTATTTAGTAAAATTCTAAAGCAGGGCAAATAACCCAGAGCATCAATCTGGTGTTCCATGAAGTAATGCCAAATGAAGTAAAGCAAGCTATAACGTATATAGTAGAATCCCATTTTTGTTAAAAACAAACAATACATATGTATGCATAATGTATGTAAATATTTGTAATGCTTTTGTTGGTATGGGGAAAGGCGTGGATATATATGCGCCATAGTTCATTTTTAGGAACTTCTTCAGGACTTTTTGGGGTAAAGAATGGGGAAGAAAAGTCTTTTTTTTTTTTTTTTGAGATGGAGTTTCGCTCTGTCACCCAGGCTGGAGTACAATGGCGTGATCTCGGCTCACTGCAACCTCCGCCTCCTGGGTTCAAGCGATTCTCCTGCCTCAACCTCCCAAGTAGCTGGGATTACAGGTACCCACCATCACGCTGGCTAATTTTTGTATTTTTAGTAGAGACAGGGTTTCACCATGTTGGCCAGGCTAGTCTTGAACTCCTGACCTCAGACGATGCGCCCACCTCAGCCTCCCAAAGAGCTGGGATTACAACAGGCGTGAGCCACCGTGCCCAGCTCGGAAAAGTCTTTAGTTAGCTTTTCTTTGTTACTCTTTGCATGTCTTCATATTGTTATGCTGATTTATGGGGCACATGACACTTTTGTATTAAAGGAGGAATTGTCCTACAAAATCTCAAAATGTAAAGATGGTTGTTGGGGAAAAAAACCTGGGACTTTGAATGAATGATCACATCATTCAACTTAGTTTTCTGTACAATTTTATGTCCATTTTTTTTAATAGAAAGAAACCAAAGGAATGATCTCATTAAAAGTAATTCCCAACCAGCAAAGCCGTCTTCCTGCACTACAGGTGGGTGGCACCATTTTCTCTGTTGTCATGATGGCAGGAGTCGGGCCATGTTGTCTTATATTCTTTGAAATTTGATTATAAGGGATGTGAGTCTAACTTTAAGTTCTAAGTATCTCGCAAGTGTGTAGCTGCTTGGCTCAGGGTCCCATTATTCCCTGCCTGGTATAAAATACAGGAGCTCATTCCCCTTTCCTCAATGGAGAACATAGTGACGACAGGAGTAGAGAATGAATGAGCCTTTGCTGCTAGTGGTCAGGTAGGAAGGGAGAGGGTAATTTTATTCTACAGATGGTAAGGAATCAATACAGCTCCAAGAGGAAAATGGGTAAAGGGAATGAAGAGATCATTCACAGGAGGAAAACTACAAATGAGCATTGAACATATGAAAAAATATTTTATCTTACCGATCATCAAAGAAATGCAAATTAAAATATGCATGAGACACCAGTTTTCACCAAGCAAATTGGCAAATACTTTTTAAAATAGCAATAATAAAGCCCCGTGATTGATAGTGGCAAAGTAAAGAAAGAAACAAAAGATAGATAGAATCTGTTGAGCACTTATTCACAATTTATTGAGGGTCTACCATGTACAAAGTACTGTGCTAGAACATGGAGGTGATATAAAGAGAAATGGTTCCCAGTTCACACATAGCTCATCAGCCAGTAGAGGAATAGATTGGACAGGGCCATGGCAAGTCAATGTGGAAGAAGGAGATATTTAAAAGAATAAATCTGAAGTTTCTATTGCAGGTTACTTGTAGTGTGACGGTATAATTTTCTTAAGTAAACTTTTAAATTGCAGTTTTGGCATATATGGGCATATATTCAACAAAGGGCACAAATCACAAGTATAAAACTGGATGAATTTTCACAAACTGAGTACACCCATGCCTAAGACCGCCGCCCCCTCACCATGCGTGTTTCCTCAAGGCCCACCATAACCCTGACTTCTAACAGCAGGGATGAGTTTTGCCCCCTTTTGAAATGTATTAACGTTGAATTATACAGTATGAATTCTTTGGTGTCTTATTTTATTCGCTCAGTATTATGTTTATGGGAATCATCTATATTGCTTCATTCTCATTCATTCATTGTATGAACATGCTACAATTTAATCTATTCTGTCAGCTTTTTTGGTCTTACATTGAATGGCTGCCATTCACCAAACAGGATCTAATTCAGCAATATGAGAAGATTTACTGCCTGAAGGGCAATAAATTCACCACGTTAACAGAAAAATGGAGAAAAATCATATGATTTTTGTGCATGTGTTTTGTGGATACATCTATGCCTTTCTTTTGAGAGTAGAATTGCCAGGTTGTAGGATATATGTGTCTTCATCTTTAGGTGATATTGCCAAATAGTATTCCAAAGTTGGTGAACCATGTTACATCCCCAACTGCACAGTATGACAGTTCTGGTTGTTCTGTATTCTCACCAATACTTAGCATTGTCTGATTTGTTGGGTTTTTTTTCACCCTTTGGCCATCCTGATGGTGGTATCACATTGTGATTCTAAAAATTCTCTAATGACTAATGAGGGTAAACTCCTTTTTATATGTTTTTTTCCACTTGGATATCCTCTTTTGTAAGATACCAATTCAAGGCTTTTCTTACTGATTTGTAGCAGTTCCTCATATATTCTGGATAAGAGTCCTTTGTCATATGCATCCCAAGTATGTTCTCTTCTTCTGTGGCTTATTTTCTTCATGGTTCCTGTTAATGACTAGAAACTCTTAATTTTAATGAAATCCAATCTACCACTTTTTTCTGATTAGCACTTTTTATGTCTTGTTTTAAAAGTTTTTACTTACCACAAGGTCAACAAGATATTCTCCTGTGTTTTCTTCTAAATGCTTACTTGTTTGATTTTTCACATTTGGATCCACAACCCATCTGGGATTGATTGTTATATACATTGTAAGGTAAGAGGTCAAGATTCCAGTTTTTCCATATGGATACCAATTGAACCAGTATCATTTACTGTACACTGTCACTTTTGTCATGGTAATATTTACAGGTCTATTTTGGAACTTTTTATTCTTTTCTTTTGGACTGTTTGTTTATCCCTGTGTCAAACCTACATATCAGTTTGGATAAAAGAGGCATCTTCACAGTATCCCAGTGGAAGTGATGATAGCAGACATCTTTGTTTATTTTTCCATCTTAAAGGGAAAGCTGGCCAGGTGTGGTGGCATGCGCCTGTAATCCTAGCACTTTGGGAGGCCGAGGCGGGTGGATTGCTTGAGCCCAGGAGTTCGAGACCAACCTGGGTAACATAGCAAGACCCATGTCCTTTGAAAAAGGCAGGGAAAGCTTTTAATCTTTCACTGAGAAGTATGACGTTGGATGTAGGGTTTCTGTAGGTATTCTTTCTCACAGTAAAGAACCTCCCTTCTATTCCAAGTTTGCTAAGAATTTTAATCTTGAATGGGTTTTGAATGTTATCACAGGCTTTTTCTGCATCTATTGAGGGGATCATATGATCTTTTTCCATTTTTATGTTAACGTGGTGAATTTATTGCCCTTCAGGTAGTAAACCTTCTTATATTGCTGAACTAGATCCTGTTTGGTTGTGATTTATTATACTTTTTATACATAACTAAATTTGACTTGCTGATATTTTGTTTGGGGTTTTTACATCTCTGTTGCAGAGAGAAATTATAAGATTCTTGTCAGATTTGGGTATCATGCTTATAATGAGTTGGGAAGTGCCATCATTTTCTATAATCTGTTTTCGTATGAGATTAGCCTTCTTTCTTCAAATGATGCTTGGAAAATTTGTCAATGAAGTAATGAGGTAGGTGTGTGTGTGTGTGTGTGTGTGTGTGTGTGTGTGTGTGTGTGTGTTTGGGAGCAGGAGAGGAGAATTTTCAATAATAAATTCAAGTTCTTTGATAGATATGAGTGTCCATATTTTCAATTGTGAAAACAGTTGTTCAAAGAGTAGCTGCCCTGTACTGAGACAGACGACCCAGATCCAGCAGTAACTGTGGACACGTTGACGTGGAAAGATATCTCATGCCTTCTTTTTTTTTTTTTTTTTTTTTTTTTTTGAGACGGAGTCTCACTCTGTCGCCCAGGCTGGAGTGCAGTGGCACAATCTCGGCTCACTGCAAGCTCCACCTCCCGGGTTCAAGCGATTCTCCCGCCTCAGCCTCCCGAGTAGCTGGGACTACAGGTGCACGCCACCACACCCAGCTAATTTTTGTATTTTTAGTAGAGACGGAGTTTCACCATGTTAGCCAGGCTGGTCTCCAACTCCTAGCCTCATGTGTTCCACCCGCCTCGGCCTCCCAAAGTGCTGGGATTACAGGCGTGAGCCACTGCGCCTGGCTTCTCATGCCTTCTTGTTAAAGGGATTCATTCTGACCCCTCCGCAAACACAATCACTTCAGCGTTTCAATTTCTCTTTCTTGGGTGCTCCCCCACCATTCTTACCTCCCTGTTGTTCATTCCATCCTGACCCCATTTGTCTACAGCAGGACATGCTCTGATGCTGGTGTTTCTTTTGAAGCTGCCGCCTGCAGTTCCTTTTACCTTCTTTTTAGATGTTCATGAGAGCGCAGTTTGACTATGATCCCAAAAAGGACAATCTGATCCCTTGCAAGGAGGCGGGACTGAAGTTTGCTACTGGGGACATTATCCAGATTATCAACAAGGATGACAGCAATTGGTGGCAGGGACGGGTGGAAGGCTCCTCCAAGGAGTCAGCAGGATTGATCCCTTCCCCTGAGCTGCAGGAATGGTGAGCCATTTTTGTGCAGGTGGAAGGGCCATGTGCCTGCCACAAATAACTTAGCTTCAGAAAATCTGTCATTTTGTTTGTAGTTTCTGTTTCTCAACCAAGGAGACCTCCTAGATTTCCTGGCATAATGGGTGGGGGAGGGTTAACCATGCGTTGATAAGCTGGACTGAGAGGCAACCACAGGCAAGGGAGCCCAAATAGCTCTTCATTCTTATGTGGGCCTCTTGCTTCCTTAAACGTTTTCCCCATAGTTACCAAGCACGTGACAGTGCTGGGACTGAGCCCTCCCTGGTCTCCTGTTTCCCAAGCTAGTGCGCTTCTACCAGCCATGCTGTTTCTGGGATTTCCTTGGAGTCCTGCAGAAAACAGTCGCATTTAAGTATGTGTCCTTTAGGCACATTCCTGGTACATGGAAGAAATAATTCCTGTCCCCGAGTCAGATTGCTCACTTAGTCCTGGTTACATCATAGGAATGGCAGAAAAATTCACAAAACAGTTCCAACTGATAAGACATCCAACACTGAGCCTCCCTCTGCCTGTGCAAACTTACCCCAGTGTAAAGATTACAACCATTGTGGGGTTGACACTGAATAGAAATATTAGAATATATTACATGTAGTAATACAAGTTATTGTTTTGTGAAGCAGTTGTTTTAGATATATATGTGGGGTGTGTGTATGTGTTTTGTTTATAGATGTATGTGCAATAATGGCTTGCAATGTACAGTGTATTTCTTAGAGTGAGGTAGGGTCATAAAGGTTTGAGACCTTTATGGTCTAGACCAAAGAAAGAGAGTTGTTTGTGGGTTGTGTCCAGAATGTGCTGACAGGTACTAGATGACACAGACTCAAGGAGCCAGGTCCCTGACTGAGGGCAGGGCACAGTGCAAGATGCACCAAACAGTGTATGGGGTGCTTTGCACACATTATCTCCCACTGTAATGGACACTCAGAGAGTGAAGGGGGTGCCATTAGAGACTGAGTGGCTGGGGGGGGTATGAGGGGAGGGGGAGGAAAGCTGACCCCTTGATTGTCTTTTCCTACCAGGCGAGTGGCAAGTATGGCTCAGTCAGCTCCTAGCGAAGCCCCGAGCTGCAGTCCCTTTGGGAAGAAGAAGAAGTACAAAGACAAATATCTGGCCAAGCACAGCTCGAGTAAGCTTTCTGAGCCTTCTTGCCCCAGGTTCCTGGCAGCATTCACGTGTTTCCCAGTCTCTGTAACCAGCAGAAAAGGGGAGGTGGTGCAGTGCGCAGCAGAAGGCGCATTCTACAGAAAGCATGTCATTTCTTCTGGTTTCTTTTTATTGAATCCATCTTCACAAGCTTGCTGCAGTCAGGCCAGTGGATGTAAAGGAGGACTAGTGGTGAGCCCACACCTGCTCATCACCCCACCCCTCACACAGAAGTAGATGTGGTGGGAGAGGGGAAGTGAGGCAAGAACACAGGCCAGAGGGAGAGGCCAGGGCCAGGTCATAGGGAGCTTCGTGCACCCTCCCTAGCGTTTTAAATTTTGCACTATAGACTGTGGAGCTGGTGAAGGGTTTTGAGCAGAGAATTCGCACGGTCAGCTTTCCATCTGCATTTCTCTTTTCTGAGACGTCACGTGCACACCACCAGCCAGGGAATGATCGTGGCAGTCTTGGGTTGTAGGCAGGTAAGGGGGTGGAGAGTCAGGATGACACCAGGTCTCTATCTTGAGCAGCTGGGTCAATAGCACCACCATCTTCTAAGATAAGGGACATTCAGGCAGAACCGAGATAGCATTGGCATTCTTCAGCTCTAAGTGCCAAGGGAACATCTGATACTGAAACTATGGAGAAGAGATGAGGACAGGAGACAAGAAAAGTTGGCTCAGAGAGATAGGGCAAGGAGGAAGAGAGGGTGCAAAAGTTAGATAAACTCCCTTGCTCAAAATTCCCTCACCACACTAAAAATACAGTCCAAAGTCCTTCCTCCACACCAACCTCCCTCGTCTCATCTCTAGTCACTTCCTCCCTGCTTGTTGAGATGTCGCGAGGCTGTTTCCCATTTCAGAGTGTGGACCACTGTTCTCCCTAGCTCTGGAAATGAACACTGCTTGGTTTTCTTTGTCTCTAGTTTTTGATCAGTTGGATGTTGTTTCCTACGAGGAAGTCGTTCGGCTCCCTGCATTCAAGAGGAAGACCCTGGTGCTGATCGGTATCTTCTCATTGCCCCATTTGCACATTTCTGTCTTTGTTTTCCTGCCTGCATCACGTGCCCACCCCCAAAAAAGGCAGTGAGGAAGAAAAGAACTGAGGTCTCTTGGGTTCTCCATATAGAGCAGGTGTAAGGAATTTTCTGAATCCTCACGTGCACCCCACCTGGGTCCACCTCACAAATGAAACTAAACCTTACAAGTTTCTCTACTATTTAGCAACGAATTATTTTTGGTTAGGTTTCATGCTGTCTGCTGGCAGTGATACGCTTTGTAAATCTCCCTTCCCCCAAGCAGTGACTCTGACCTGAAACAGAGTAAGTCCTTGCTTCAAACCCAGGTATGTAGGCTTTGCCTCTGGCGGACTGCTCACCTTCCTGTCTTTAGAGTTGACCCCAGCCCAGATGCAACCCCAACTCATGTTCACCTGTTGGCAGTTTTGAGTGCCGAGAGAGGAAAATCCGTATCTTATCCTCGCTCCTCTCCCCCCTTTCCAAAAGATGTTCTTCTCTCTCTACACAGGAGCCAGTGGGGTGGGTCGCAGCCACATTAAGAATGCCCTGCTCAGCCAGAATCCGGAGAAGTTTGTGTACCCTGTCCCATGTAAGTAGCTCTTAGGCACCTTGGAGGGGAGGTGACAGGCTGGTACCACTCGCCATCTGAAATACCATAGTGTTATTTTATTATTTTTTAAATTATTTTATTTTAAATGATTATTAAAACTAAACAAAATATGGAAAGATAAAAATTTGTGCCCACAATTCCTCCACCTAACAGAATAACTGTTTTCTTATTGTTATTCGTGCTGTTTGTCTACATAACAGAAGCTATAGTAAACATTTTGATACTGCCTTAAAAATTACTAAGTATTAAAGTTTATACATATAACTTTGTCATTTTACTTTTTAAACATTTTCTCATGTTCCTCTGCAATTTGCCTAATTCTCTTTGAGAACTATCCCACTCTTGATGTTCAGGCTGCCTCTCATTTTCATGGAATGTCTTCTAAATCAAAGCAGTGCCTAGGAAAGGCCCAAACGATCTCAACAGCAGTCCTAGATATGGAGAAGAGTAGCGCCAGTGATCAGGTGGAGAATTTGATAACTCTTCCATTCCCAGAAGTGATGCTGCATGGTATAGTTGTGTATGTTCCCAGAAAGAAATACGGTGATTCCTCACTTAATATTGTCAATAGGCTCTTCGAAGACTGTGACTTTAAGTGAAATGACATATAACAAGAACCAGTTTTTTTACTCATCAACAATACAATGAAATGAAGTTGAACTAAACCATGTTAGTCAACGACCAGCTGCATGTGATTTCACTTAAAGTCACATTTTCTAAGAACCTACTGATAATAATATTAAGTGAGGAATTACTGTACTGCTAAGCAAAATAGAAAACCAGATTCTAAACCTCATATTACTATTTTTTAATTCTTTCTTCATTTTGCTTTTTTACACATGGATCATTGAGAGTTGTCTCGTTGCTGGAGGGACATAAGAGTTATTCCAGTGTCACATTAGGAGCAGAAAGAGATGGCCCCAGGAGTGAGTGGGGAAGCAGAAATAACCAGTACAGGCTCCTCCTTCAAGAGAATCACATGTGGTTGTAGATTGAGGGGAAGGGGCCAGTTGAGAGACAAGTGTGATCCGGAAGGCAAAGGAGACAGTCAATGGAAGATGGAAAGAGGGGAGGTTGGGAGGATTGTGTTTCAAGCTACAATATCTGGAGCATATTTTACTGATTAGACAATTTATATGAGTAATAGAAAATAGTCCAACTTTTAACAACATGAGCTGAAACTAAACCAAAGTACTCTTCTTTCCAAGTCATGAAAAGGAAACCTTAAATATATTTCCAAGAAATCCTGACCATAGTCTGTAGATCTGTTTTTAAAATATTTTCCGCTATCTTCATTTCTAAGTTTCAATATTCCTAGATTTGGTAGTTTGAGAGATGTAACTTCATTTAGGGAAAATGATAATAGGAATTTTCTATGTTAGGCTTTGCCCCTTAAAAATTAAATGTGTCCTGGGCAGATGGAGGGATTTCCTGGTGTGCATCACTTTCTAGCATCAGCTCTTCAGGAGCCCACGGGAGGAACCCCTGTATTAAAGTCAATGCACCAAAGGCAGCTAGGGTTTCCATACAGACACCATGGTCCAAGCCCTCATGAAAGGGTGAGGACCTGGAGTTTGTCGGGGATTTGGGTTCTTGTACACAGATACAACACGGCCGCCAAGGAAGAGTGAGGAAGATGGGAAGGAGTACCACTTTATCTCAACGGAGGAGATGACGAGGAACATCTCTGCCAATGAGTTCTTGGAGTTTGGCAGCTACCAAGGCAACATGTTTGGCACCAAATTTGAAACAGTGCACCAGATCCATAAGCAGAACAAGATTGCCATCCTTGACATTGAGCCCCAGGTGGGTAGGCATGGAAGGGCAGGGACAGATGGGCTCAGCCACACAAGGGATGGCGAAGACAGTGCTCCTTGGGAATCTTCTGGGGGCTCAGGATTGCTTCAGCCTTTTAATGGGGTCAGCCTGGAACAAGAACAGTAGTACTGGGAATGATGGAAAGTTGTATTGGGGTAAAGCTCAAAGCTGCTTATTAGAAGGAATCCATTATGACAGCTATGTAGGTTTTTTTTTTTCACTTTCCTTTTCTTCCTTCCCCCCCCTCCCCGCCGCCCTTCTTTTTTTTTTCTAGACCCTGAAAATTGTTCGGACAGCAGAACTTTCGCCTTTCATTGTGTTCATTGCACCTACTGACCAGGGCACTCAGGTGAGGAGAGGTTGTGCGCGATGGGTAGTTCACTTTCTCCGGGCCTGCCCATACTGGGACCTCAGTCCAGGTCATTGGCCAGAGTGCTGGCTGGAGGTCACAGCTCCAGCTGGGCTTCTTCCTCCAGGGCCAAGAAGCCAAAGGGTATGCACATTCGTTCCAGCTCTTAAGCCACTAGCTAGGCCAGTGCCCATGCTACCTAACAGGGACAAAACAAACCAGACCCAGTCATCGTCCTGGAGGCACACAGTTCCAGGGGCAGAGATGGACAGTTGAGCAGATCCTGATACTGGTGGGATGCAGGCTCTGGCAGGGGAAGCTGTGATGGACAGAGGTGGCACTGAACCCGCCCTGGGGTGCAGTATGGCTGTGGGGAAAGACAGAGAGGCCAGGAATATATCAAAAAGCCTACCCTGCTCCTCTGCCCAGCCCTACCCATGCACTTTGCTGCACTGTGCTTTTGCATTGAACAATGGACACCTTTCCCTATCAGGGTGTGAGGAACTCTTTTTCTCTATAGCTGCTTGGTCTTCTGCTGCATGCATGTGTAATACTGCAGTCAATAGCCCTGTGCATATAGCACATGTGTGCAAATATATCTGTAGGAAAAACTCCAAGTAGGATCACTGGGTCCAAGAGCACACACACTTAGAATTTGGACAGGGACCGCCAACCACCTGTGAGACTGCTTGTTTCTCTTTGCCTGCAGCATGTTGTCAAAATTTTCTTTTTTTGCCAGTCTACTGGAGGGAAAAATAGTATCTCATATTTCTTTTTTACTAAAAGAGATGATCAGGTACTTTTTCATATGAAGAGCAATTTGTATTGCCTTTTCTGAGAATTATCTGGTCATACCCTTAGCTCATTTTTCTGCTGAGTTATTGACCTTTGATTTATAGGAAGTCTATATTAGGGTAATTAGCCCTTTGTAATATCAGCTGCAATTTTTTTCCAATTTGGCATGTCTTTTTGCTATGCAGACATTTTTACTTTTATGTAGTTACATGATTTGTCTTTCATGGCTGCTTGGTTTTAGGTCAAAGACAGAGTCCTGAGATATATATACACACACATTTTTAAATTTTGTTTTTTGTAGAAATGGGGTCTCACTGTGTTGCCAGGCTGGTCTTGAACTCCTGTGCTCAAGCAATCATCCTGCCTTGGCCTTCCAAAGTGCTGGGATTACAGGTGTGATCTGGGATTAGAAGTCACCTTTATCTGACTGGGTGCAGTGGCTCACACCTGTAATCCCAGCACTTTGAGAGGCCGAGGCGGGCGGATCACCTGAGGTCTAAAGTTCCAGACCAGCCTGGCCAACATGGCAAAACCCTGTCTCTACTAAAAATACAAAAATTAGCCAGATGTGGTGGCGCATGCCTGTAATCCCAGCTACTCGGGAGGCTGAGACACGAGAATTGCTTGAACCCGGGAGGCGGAGGTTGCAGTGAGCCGAGATTGTGCCACTGCACTCCAGCCTGGGCCACAGAGCAAGACACTGTCTCAAAACAAAACAAAACAACAAAATCACCTTTATCTTCGTTTTAGGATTGCAGCTCTGGTGGTTGTTGAAATGGCTCTTCCATGTTCAAAGGGCATTAAGTGGGAGATGCTGGTGAAGTCCATGCTGTCTCTGCATAGCTATTGGTCCTCCAGAGGACTCTGATTAGTCAGGGTTAGCTTGAGATCCTCTGAGAATTGCCATGGTCTTTTGAGATTGCCTCTTCATGCCCTACATTAACATTCTTTCACAATGTCTTCTGAATTTGACTCGTCAAGTATGATGCACAGCTGAGCAACGCTAACAATTGCTGTTTAAAATCTGTCACTGGCCTCTCTGGGCTGGGGGTGGTGCAGCTTGCTTCATCTGTGGCTTTCTTCTTTGCAGACAGAAGCCCTGCAGCAGCTGCAGAAGGACTCTGAGGCCATCCGCAGCCAGTACGCTCACTACTTTGACCTCTCACTGGTCAATAATGGTGTTGATGAAACCCTTAAGAAATTACAAGAAGCCTTCGACCAAGCGTGCAGTTCTCCACAGTGGGTGCCTGTCTCCTGGGTTTACTAAGCTTGTAGAATGGGGGAACCCACTGTATGCCCCTCTCCAGCATTTGGAATTCCACCCGCCTTGCTTTAAGACAAACAGGGCTGCTCCAACTAGTTTTGTGTCAGCTTCCAGCTCTCTGCAGCTATCCTAATTCAGCCAGTAAGGTTCAGTCTTCTTGCTCAGGCTCCTGAAGGGTTGATTCTCCTGATAGATGGGGCCCCACTGATCTGGATTTGAAAAGGATTTCTAGAAATTGGGGGTAAGAAGTACTACCAAAATGTAACTGCTAATCAAGGGTGATGCACAGCAAAAGCAATGGACCCCATCCCTCTAAAGCCTGCCCTCCTTTGCCTTCAACTGTATATGCTGGGTATTTCATTTGTCTTTTTATTTTGGAGAAAGCGTTTTTAACTGCAACTTTCTATAATGCCAAAATGACACATCTGTGCAATAGAATGATGTCTGCTCTAGGGAAACCTTCAAAAGCAATAAAAATGCTGTGTTGAAATGCCAATGACCTTGTAACTCTGGGTTTCCACACAAAAAGAAATGTGGCCCATTTCACTTAAGCTCCTGGACAACAGCATTAACACAAGATGCCTCTCTTGTGTTCAGATGATAAACACTGGTGCCCTGGAAGAGTCCCCATTCTCTGCCCCCACTGCAGGGCTCTACTGGCTAGTGCCCATGTAGAAAAACACCCTTAAGGTTGTTGTAGCTAGTGGAGCGCTCATTGTGGGCACATATTTAGAACGAGAGAAAATCCAAGCCTGGGGTCCCGTGGTACAGTGGAGGCCGGTCGCTGAGCCAGGGCTGGGGCCCACCCTGCATGCCTGGCTCATGATATGGCTACAGCTCAGGGCCTCGCCTCGCTGCATCCAAGAGCGCTTTTTTTTTTTTTTTTTTTTTTTTTTTTTTGAGACAGTCTGTTTTGCCAGGCTGGAGTGCAGTGGCAGGATCTCGGCTCACTGCAACCTCCACCTCCCAGGTTCCAGGGGATTCTCCTGCCTCAGCCTCCCGAGTAGCTGGGATTACAGGCACACGCCACCACACCTGGCTAATTTTTGTATTTGTAGTAGAGATGGGTTTTGCCATGTTGGCCCAGGCTGGTCTCAGACTCCTGACCTCGGGTGATCTGCCCGCCTCAGCCTCCCAAAGCACTGGGATTATAGGTGTGAGCCATTGCACCCGGCCTCTTTCTTGGTTCTTAATACCAAATCGGAAGCAACCCTAGACCTTTCTTCCACTAATCTGTCACCAAGGCCTTCAGATTCCTGCATGTCCCCACCCTCAGCTTCGTTCTCCCGACTCACCCTGCCCCCCGCTCCTGCCAGGCCCACTATGTATAAATACATTAACCCTCTCCTTCTCTGTTCTTCTAGAGATCAGTGGTTTTGTGGTAATCACTGCCTCTGAGTACTTGATCTCACATCAGATGACAGGGCCCAAGGTGGATTGTGTAAGATACAGAACAAAAATGTAAAAACCAGAAAACAAACATAAAAGCATCACATTTCAAATAGGACATAAAGGTCCCTAGATTTTTAATCAAAATATTTTACAATTTTTGCTCTGCTAGCATGAGATCAACAAGAAAACCCAACAGGAATACATAAAAAACTTAACAAGTTGACTTTAATAAGTAAAAATTACAACATTCTTCTCCCAGCAATGAACAATTTCATTTTTTAAAAGTAAACGAGGCCTAAAACAAGAGGGCACAGGAACAAGTAGTCAGATGGATTTAGGTGAGCACTGTACACAAGCTTTGAGGAAGTGCAAAGGACTGACCTCTAGGCCAGAACAAGATGGAAAACTACCAGGCCCATCAGGCCTATAACCCAGACACCAGCATGGACAAAACTCAGTTATACTGAATTCAGAGACAAAATTCAGTGACACTCTTCTACCACTTATTTAGGGTTCTACAGCATTTCACTGAGCAGACTTAGTTTTTTGTTTTTGTTTTACAAACCTTTTAAACAGAGGGGATTTAAAAAATGCAAACTAGGACTACGATGTTAAGACAACCACTAGCAGACAGCTGCGGACAGTTACTGGGTCTGAAGGTGAGGCTTCCCAACTCAAACAGAGAAGTCATTGGGATAAACTCTGCCTCTTTCATCTTTCACCACCCATATCCTTAAAACAGGACAAGATGGGATGACCACACCAGGTAACATCACCGAGGTCTCAAAGTAGCAGCTAAAATGTGCCAGAACTCTTCACCCTGTCTAGGACCTATGTTCCACTCTCTCAGCAACAAAAGGATCTATAACATGTTTTCTCAATAAGGCTTTAGTTTCTCCTCCAGCTTCAAGTGGCCTTCACTACTCAGAAACCAATTCTACCTCTTTTGCTTTCTTCTTCTTCTTCTTCTTCTTGGTGGTATCACTGTCCTAGAAAGAAAGAGAATGAAAGCTCACAGATACCATCCACTAACAAAGCTATGACTCTCCCAGAAGGAAATCTGGTAAAGGTCCACAGTCAAGCAAGCCTTTTTCAGGACCTGTAAGGATATTTTGGGTTAAATGCTGCATGTGACACAAAGTTCTGTAAACCTTTCAGTGACACCCTAGTGGTCTACTTTTGGAAGTGGAAACATTCAGATCACCATCCTACACATCCTCTCCACCCACCATCAATAGAGCTCTAAGTATAAGTGGTAGAGGTCGGGTGCCTCTATCTGTCCATTCCACAGGGAGGGCAAAAGCACTCCAGGAACATGGGGAAGCACTAAAGGCACTCGGTGGCATCCCACCCCCAGGCCACAGCTCCTCCAAGAAGAGTAACAAAGCTGGTACCACCTGGGTAATTCTTTCCCCACGCAGGGACTAAGCCAGCCCAAGGAACCTGAACGTGTTTCCACACACCCCATCTCCAGGCTCGGCCCCGCTCTCCAGACCAGCTTTGGCCTTCTTGTCCTTCTTACTCTTCTTCTTTTCCTTCTTGATCAACTGAGGAGCTGCTGGAGGAGTCTCGTCACTTTCACTCTCACTCTCTCGCTTCCGCTGAGATGAAAGCAATTGGTTAAGTGTTAGATCTTGGGCAATAATGGACAAGAAAGGTTCAGTGAGTCAAAAGGTAGCAAGGCACCAAGAAAGATCCCAACTGAATCTAACAGGACGTTTTCTGACTACAAACCCGGACAGGGCCTTAGTTTACTGAGGATTTGAAGACAGTCTCATCCCCCAAATCCAAGAAGCCTTGAGGCAGGCACAAGAGAAGGAGCACAGCAGCAGCACGGGGCTTGGGGTGGAAAGGCCCGGAGGAGCTGTTTCTCTCATGACTGCAAGGACCTCTCACAGAAAGCAGGCAAAGCAGGAATTCACATCTGACAAGTCAGAAGCTCCTCCCACACAGCCTGTGCAGGATACTCAGTACCGCCCCCGGTTTCTGAGTGCAGACCTGTCATTCTGTGCTCTAATGCCAGCAGCTCCATGGGGTGGAGTTGCCAACCCATGCTTGACTGACTCTTTCAACACTGGGTGGTGCCAGGTTAAGATGCAATTCTGCTCTCTGCTGAATTTTGTATGGCCTCGAATGTCCAACAGCCATGGCCTCTGATTTCAACACATCTGTCCTACCATTTGACCCAGGGCGGGGGCCAGAATTGACACACACACCACCACCCATTCCATCACTGTGTTGCTGCCATAGCTGAGGTAGGAGTCGAGGCCCATCTGATTCCTGAGCCCACATTCCTCCTCCCAGCAGATAGGACAGAGAATACAAATCAGAGGAGCCTGCAGAGCCCAAACAAGCACCCCAGGGTATGAGGCAGCATTACCTGTGTATGCGCTGCACCTCTGATGCTAGCGTATATGGCTGGACTGCGGACAGTCACAAAGTAAGACGAATGCCAGTGCCTCTTAGGATTATCTCCCTAAGCACATTCCAAACTGAGGACAGCATGCCACTCACCTTCGCAGTTTTTGCTGCTTCGGCAACTACCTGCGGGGCTTTTACCACTTCAGCAACCACCTCTTTTTTGGCAGACTCACTGAAAAAGAGGTAGCAATAGGTCAAATTCACTGAATGGCTTTCCAGGGCAGTACTGATGTTATGTAGTGTTATCTGGCAAGTCTAAAGCCACCATCAAAATACTGACGCTGGACAGAAGAACTCACCACTTACTGTTGCAGACTGACTCCCTCTAGAGTCCCACGAGCCAGACTAGAAAGGGATAACTGTCTGCCGTGCAGGCCCACACCCCTAACTGGCCTGGGCAGCCAAAATCTCACGGGAGCTGAAGAGCTGGTTCCTGTGGTCCTGCATTTAGCAAGTTTGCCCCAAACCAAGTGACTCCCCCTCCCCTGGGCTCTACAACCTCCATGCTCACCTGTTCCTCACCTGTTGTCCATGTACTCCTGCGTCCAGATGGCAAGTGGGCTCTACCTTCCCATCCTCACCTGTTGTTGACATACTCCTGCATCAAGGCAGCAAGTGTGCCGTCTCTACCCACCCCGGCTCTGAAACATCCTGCCCTCACCTGTAGTCAACATACTCCTGCTTCCAGGTGGCAGGTGTGCTGTCTGTGGGCTTCCCATGCTTGTCCAGAAGGCCCTGCTTGATCATCAGCTTCTTCTGACTTGCCTGGTGGAACATCAAGGTGTCAACATTAGAATGGTGTCAATGCTGGAAGCGGGCATGGTGACTACAAAGAATAGAACAAGGTTCCTCCCTGGTGTATTCTCAGCAGGGCCTCAAACTCCTCTCCAGAGCATTCAGAATTTGCCCACTAACTCCAACACACACAGGACTTGTTGAAGATCACAAAGCTTATTAGTGAGAGCCTCTGCAGACATAACGTCCCCACCGCAGCCACTCTACTTTTTTGCCTTTGCACATGCTGCTTGCTCCCAATGCCCTGAACTCTCCCCTCCCCTCTTCACTTCACCAACACCTAACCCACTCTTCACACCGGTGTGGCTTAACAGACAATCCCTTGACCAGACTCCTTGACCACTGTGGACACTCCAGGTGACAGACACCTCTCTGCACTCCTTGGTAGCCACTAACGTGCATGAAATTCGCCATTCCACTGTGTGATTACGTGAGTAATGCCCAACTGTTTCCCCTCATTAGACTGAAATCTCTAAGGCCCAAGACAGGGCCTGTTTCCACTCATCGACAACCCAGAGCCCAGCACAATACAAGGCTGTGGTGGTGAAACACACCAAGAGCTGCCCAAGTATTCAACAATGCCAAACAAAAGAACCTGGCAGGAGCCGCCCCATCCGGGAGGGAGGTGGGGGGGGGTCAGCCCCCCCGCCCGGCCAGCCGCCCCGTCCGGGAGGTGAGGGGCGCCTCTGCCCGGCCGCCCCTACTGGGAAGTGAGGAGCCCCTCTGCCCGGCCGCCACCCCGTCTGGGAGGTGTGCCCAACAGCTCATTGAGAACGGGCCAGGATGGCAATGGCGGTTTTGTGGAATAGAAAGGCGGGAAAGGTGGGGAAAAGATTGAGAAATCGGATGGTTGCCGTGTCTGTGTGGAGAGAAGTAGACATGGGAGACTTTTCATTTTGTTCTGCACTAAGAAAAACTCTTCTGCCTTGGGATCCTGTTGATCTGTGACCTTACCCCCAACCCTGTGCTCTCTGAAACATGTGCTGTGTCCACTCAGGGTTAAATGGATTAAGGGCGGTGCAAGATGTGCTTTGTTAAACAGATGCTTGAAGGCAGCATGCTCCTTAAGAGTCATCACCACTCCCTAATCTCAAGTAATCAGGGACACAGACACTGCGGAAGGCCGCAGGGTCCTCTGCCTAGGAAAACCAGAGACCTTTGTTCACTTGTTTATCTGCTGACCTTCCCTCCACTATTGTCCCATGACCCTGCCAAATCCCCCTCTGTGAGAAACACCCAAGAATTATCAATAAAAAAATAAATTTAAAAAAAAAAAAAAAAAAAAAAGAACCTGGCAGGGCACGCAACCCAGTACCACTTACCTTTGGACCTAAACCCCACTTCCGAGGGTAAGTGTCTCTCTCCATGATCACTCTCTTGATCTTGGCTACTATACCATGGTCGCAGGTAGAGATGACCGCTGTGGTCATTAATGCAATAGCTACAGGCATTGAATAAAGAAAAGAATTATTTGAAGGGTGAAAGAATTGATAATTGATGAGCCCCAATTCTACTGTTGTATGCCACTTTAAAACTTTTAAAACTCTGAGCTACTACTTTAATTGGGGTTACCTTTGCTCAGGATGTGCATATGGAGGAAATACTCCATTATGAGAAGGAGGCCTTTGAAATGACGTTAAACTTCTGAAGTTAAAAAACACCTAACCAAAGCACCTAACGATACACATAACAGGCTTGCAGCTCAAGACGTCTATAAGAACGGCATGCACACTCCCTTTGGGGCCACAGAACCTTTGAAGTTTTAAGGATTCCTTTTCTGCTGCTGTCCATAAGCCGTGGCTGCCTTGCCTGCTCACAGAGCTAAGGAATCCTGATGACATGCTTACTTCTGGTACAAATTAGACCCATTAAATGAATAGCTCTAAGGTTCATTCACTAAGAGGGTGCGCAGAGCATTTAAAGTCTTAAGAGACAATCCAACAGTAGCTAAGCTTTCACAAGTTAAAAAACACTGGTACTTTACATGGAACCACAAAAGACTCAAAATAGCCAAAGCTATCCTAAGCAAAAAGAACAAACCTGGAGGAATCACATTACCTGACTTCAAATTATAGTATAGAGCTACAGTAACCAAAACAGTATGGTACTGGCATAAAAACAGGCACATAAACCAATGGAACAGAATAAGGAACCCAGAAACAAATGCACACACCTACATTTAACTCATTTTTGACAAAGGTGCCAAGAACATACACTGGGTAAAAACCAGTCTCTTCAATAAATGGTGCTGGGAAAACTAGATATCCATATGCATAAGAATGGGAGAAAATATCCGCAAACTACCCATCTGACAAGGGATTAATAACCAGAATATATAAGGAACTCAGCACTATAGGAAAAAAAATCTAATAATCTGATCAAAAAACAGGCAAAAGATTTGAACAGACACTTCTCAAAAGAAGACAAATAAATGGCAAACAGGCATATGAAAAAGTGCTCAATGCTGATCACGAGAGAAATGCAAATCAAAACTACAATGAAATATCATTTCACTCCAGTTAAAATGGTTTATATCCAAAAGACAGGCAATGACAAGTGCTGGCAAGGATGTGGAGAAAAGGGAACCTTTGTACACTGTTGATGGGAATGTAAATTAGTATAACCACTATGAAGAACAGTTTGGAGGTTCCTCGAAAAACTAAATTGAGCTACCATAGGATCCAGCAATCCCACTGCTGGGTATATACCCCAAATAAAGGAAATCAGTGTTATCAAAGAGATCACAGTAGCCAAGATTTGGAAGCAACCGAAGTGCCCATCGACAGATAAATGGATAAAGAAAATGTGGTACATATACACGATGGATTACTATTCAGCCTTAAAAAAGAATGAGATCCTGTCATTTCCAACAACATGGATGGAACTGAAGATCGTTATATTAAGTGTAATCGGCCAGTCACAGAAAGACAAACATTGCATGTTCTCACTTATTTGTGGGAGCTAAGAATCGAAACAATTGAACTCATGGACAGAGAAGAGTAAAAGAATGGTTACCAGAGACTGGGAGGGTAGTGGGGGGCTGGCAGGGAGGTAGGGATGGTTAATGGGTACAAAAAAAAAAAAAATCAGGCCCGGCATGGTGGCTCACACCTGTAATCCCAGCACTTTGGGAGGGCAGATCACCTGAGGTCAGAAGTTCGAGACCAGCCTGACCAACATGACAAAACCCTGTCTCTACTAAAAATACAAAAAATTAGCCAGGTGTCATGGTGTGCACCTGTAATCCTAGCTACTCGGAAGGCTGAGGCACGAGAATCGCTTGAACCTGGGAAGCAGAAGTTGCAGTGAGCCGAGGTCACGTCTCTGCACTGCAGTCTGGGTGAAAAGAGCAAGACTGTCTCAAAAAAAAAAAAAAAAAAAAAACACCACCACCAAAAAACCAAAAGAATGAACAAGAAGAGTGAGACTATTTAATAGCACAACGGGGTGACTATAATCAATAATAACTTAAGTGTATATTTTAAAATAACTAAGGTGATAAATAACTAACAGTAAAATAGGATTGTTTGTAACACAAAGGATAAATGCTTAAGATGGATGCCCCATTCTCCATGATGTGATTATTATGTATTGCATGCCTGTATCAAAACATCTCATGAACCCCATAAATATATACACCTAGTATGTAACCACAAACATTTAGAATTTAAAAAATAAACATCCCCTCTTACCCATGCAGATTGCTTCTCCTTTGGTGGTGATAACCACAATCTCCTGATTGACCTCAATGCCGTCCTCATATCGAAGAACACCTGGAAGCATAATCTTGGCCCCATAGCAGATGGCATTTACCTGCAGAGATGGCACCAAGTGTAAGGGGCCCAGCTGCTGCCCTCCACCCCACTCCCACACCAGAGTAAAGGAGGACAACAAGGGAGTGGGGCCTGACACCAGGAAACAGGGATGACACTTATAGCCCACTAGCTGCAAGGGGCATGAGTGGTACTCAGAAGAGCCACCTCACTGTGCTATAGGTACCACTCTCCGCACATTACACACGACTCAAAAGTAGTAAAGAAGACTTTCAGGTTTTCAGGTTCTAGAGACTCACAAGTATTTTCTTTTTTTTTTTTTTTTTTTTTTAATTTTCAGGCAGAACCTCCCTCTGTTGTCCAGGGTGGAGTGCAGTGGCACATTCTCGGCTCACTGCAACCTCCATCTCCCAAGTTCAAGTGATTCTCAGCCTCCCAAGGAGCTGGGATTACAGGCACGTGCCACCACGCCCAGCTAATTTTTGTATTTTTAATAGAGACAGGGTTTCACCATATTGCCCAGGCTGGTCTCAAACTCCTGAGCTCAAGCAATTTGCCTGGCCCGGCCTCCCAAAGTGCTGGGATTATGGGTGTGAGCCACCGCACGTGGTCCATATTTTCATTTGAAACATAAAAATAGCCTTGGCATTCCTTAATTACTCCTCTCTCCTCCTTATGAGGAGAAAGAACAGATTTACTGGAGATCCAGGCAATAACAGGCTCTTAAAGAACTTGAAAACAAGATTACTGAGCCCTGTTGAACCAATCACACAAAAGTCTTGGTGCAGAATTTATAGGTCAGTGGGTACAAGTTAAGGCTACCTCTCCAGAGGTTCAATGGTACCCAATGCACCCATCTGCCTCATACCATCTCCACTCACCTAGACCTCTTTTGATCACATTCTCCCCTCCCTTTACATTCACCCAGAAGCCAATGGTTTGATAAGGAGAGGACATCACATTTATGTTGTCCACTGTTTTGTGACTGAGTTTTTTCAACTATTATGGTGCCATCTTTCAGTATTTATTACAGCCTATACACATACAAAAAATGTGAACATCTATACAAGATTTGAATATAAATAATTACCAACTACAAACATTTTAAATATCCAGAAATTTTTATCCCTCAAGTTAGAGAAAAAGACAATGTTTTAATTTATAAAAGGCCAACTCTCTGATCATCATAAAAACACAGCTCACAGCCTTGATCTCCTGGGCTCAAGCTGGTCTCAAACTCCTTCCTGGACTCAAGTGATCCTCTTGCCTCAGCCTGCCAAAGTGCTAGGATTATAGGCATCAGCCACTGTGCCTGGCCTAATGTGCCTTATTTTTAAGTATGCCTACCATTAAACTTTTACTTTAAATTAATATACTTGGTTTGGACTTGAAAAAAATAAAATAAAACCCAAGGAAAACAATAAAAAGAGCAAGCCTCATCTTTGGAGTACGTTCTTTCCAAATATAAACTCCTAACCCGGAACTTACTGCACTGTCTTTCATAACCAGCCGTTTATGAGATGTCAACAGCTTTTCCAAAGGGTAAACAACTCGCCGCAGGTAACTCTCATCCTTGTGGTTATCATACAGCCACTGAGCATCAAGCACATCATGCATTGTCACCATGTGGTCCTGAAAAGCAGCCATGTATGAAAATAATTCAGTTTATTTGTATCTCAGCCCATCAGACCCCAAACTTCCTAAAACTGAATGTCACTTGTTTACTAGTCCAAGCTCATTATGTCTTCAGCCTCTTCAGTCCTGGCTCTTCCAGGCATCTTTTTTTTTTTTTTTTTTTTTTTTTTGAGACGGAGTCTCGCTCTGTCGCCCAGGTGGGACTGCGGACTGCAGTGGCGCAATCTCGGCTCACTGCAAGCTCCGCTTCCCGGGTTCACGCCATTCTCCTGCCTCAGCCTCCCGAGTAGCTGGGACTACAGGCGCCCGCCACCGCGCCCGGCTAATTTTTTTTGTATTTTTAGTAGAGACGGGGTTTCACCTTGTTAGCCAGGATGGTCTCGATCTCCTGACCTCATGATCCACCCGCCTCGGCCTCCCAAAGTGCTGGGATTACAGGCGTGAGCCACCGCGCCCTCTTCCAGGCATCTTTAACCGTTGAAGTATTAGACCCCAAGCAGGCATTTTTGTAGGCTGGGAGGCAAATGAATAGAATAATACTTTCTACCCAATCATCTCCCTTAGCCCATTTTAATGTCCCAAAGTTTAATTAACAGAACAGGGAAGCTGCCCTGGACTGAACTCAACACTTTGGAAAGCATCTTTCCCACGACATGAAGCAAGTGGAGTGCCATCAAAGGCTGGCAGATGGTAAGAACCAGCTCTAAAACTTCTAGCCCCGTAACACATACCTTTTCACTCATGACTCCAGAACGAACCCTCCGAAGCTCCTGCATCTGACCACCAACTCCCAATAACAAACCAAGGTGCACACATAATGTCCGAATGTAGGTGCCAGCCTCACAACTCACCCAAAAGATTCCTAAGATACACACACACAAAAGAAAAGCAGCACCTACTGTAAATACATCACTGGTTGAGAAATGCAGTTATCCTTCATCTGAGCCACCAAGACTAGAGGTGACAGACACACTTCTTAAAATATAAGCATTTGCTGTAAAGATCTGTAATTCTGGCCAGGCACGGTGGCTCACGCCTGTAATTCCAGCACTTTGGGAGGCAGAGGCGGGTGGATCACGACGTCAGGAGATCAAGACCATCCTGGCTAACATGGTGAAACCCCGTCTCTACTAAATGTACAAAAAATTAGCCGGGCATGATGGCGGGCGCCTATAGTCCCAGCTACTTGGGAGGCTGAGGCAGGAAAATGGTGTGAACCCGGGAGACAGAGTTTGCAGTGAGCCGAGATCATGCCACCGCACTCCAGCCTGGGCGACAGAGCGAGACTCCGTCTCAAAAAAAAAAAAAAAAAAAAAAAAAGATCTGTAATTCTGATATTAGCAGAATTTTTAACACTTAAGTTGCAGGTATATTCAGCATGGTATGTTTCATGGATGGGAGGAAAATTGGCATTGTCTTAAATTTACTTCTGACAACAGAAACTTCTAAGCAGTCAAAATTGCAACAAATAAAAAACACATGCAAAACATACTTTGGTGAAAACACTTACCTTTGAACAAAGCACCGAACTACACAAATGCAGAATGAAAACATTTCAACTCCAGCAGAAGCAGTCATCATAAAAGGTGTAAAAGCCATCTCACTTTACTAGGCACTGTTCACTTTTTCAACAAAAGATAACAAAAACTATCGCCCACAGACAATATCCCAGCTGTAGGGCAGGTTTTAGAAAGTCTTCAACTTCAAGGGCATCTACTTTTAATAAGAGAACAGAATCCTGAAGAATGTGTTCATACCCACTCACAGGCCTAATGACTCACCTAATCTTCTTTCAGGATCGTATTCAATCATTTTGCTCTCGTAGATGGTCCTCACTCGGAGCTGCCTCTTTACTGCAGCAATAAGTGGGGGTCGCTGGAATAAGGCACCTGTCAGAGTTTCTAGGGCCTAAGAACAAACACAAATGAAAACAAACACCTCATCAGAATGTACATGTGCAGTCACTGGTCCAGGCTGGCTGCAGCAGCCGACTGAAAAGGGGACAAAAGGAGTCAGTCAGGACAGCTAACCCATCTCCAGATGTTTAGGGGCTCAGAGATCCAAGTCAACAAAGGGTGTCCTCCCTACAATTGCAGACTTACCCTAGAAAGCTGGGTCCCCCCTTCAATAGCATTGTGCAGCCGGACAATCCCCACATACTCTTTGCCTGAAAAATGACAAAAGAGTAGTCAGGTGTGGCCACTGAGTTTTCTGTTTTCCATATTTCTTATATGCTCAGTCACTCCCATTTTGCACAGCAGGAAAAGCGGCAGTTTGACCTTGTGTTTCTATAAAATTTGCATTAAGAGAGATTTCATGGTGATGATGTGGGAAAGAATGAAGACACTTTCTCACTGGGAATTCAATGTACTAACAGGGACAGTTGGGAGTACTCAGTGTAGAAGCTGCGTGGAAAAAGCCTTGCAAGATAAGCAGGCTTTTCTCAGATAAAAATGAACGAAGGATACTTTAGGCAGAAGCGGTAGCACAGAGTGAGAAGCCTGGAGTGACAAGCTGAGAGCTGAACCCGGACAAATGGATCCAGTCAGCTTGATGAATACATGCTTAGTATGTGGAATTCCAAAAAGCGCGGACCACCAAGATCTGGCAGGGGACAGAACGTACACAGAAACCAAAACAATATCCTTGCTTTAGGATTTTTTTTTTTCTTAATGAAGAAATAGTTTCCAGCAGACAAAACATAGAAGGGAAATACAGAAAGCTTTTCACTCTAGCCAGTCCTTCCCTCCCTCTCCCACATACCTGCACTCTGTTGTGACTTCACCAAGCGAGTGGCTCGTTCTATGCACACGATTAAACAACCAGTCACCTTGGGATCCAGCGTACCACTGTGCCCTGTCTTCTCCACCCGAAGTATCCGTCGAATCCAGGCTACCACCTCATGGGAAGAGGGGTTAGAGGGCTTGTCAAGATTAATGAAACCTGTCCTGGAATGGAAAAAAAAAAAATTAATGTATCACCCACTCTTAATGCTCCAGTGAAACAACAAATCTGAAAAGTTAAAAAGAAAAATAATTCACTGCGGGTACAGGTTATATATTCAAGACAAAGCTATTCTGGCATGCCACTGCCTTCCTGAATAGCTGATGTGAAAGCATTTTCAAAAGAAAGTAAGTTTGCACAGTGCCTCCTCCCAACACTTACCTGATATAGTCCCCAATCTCTCTCTTCAGAGGATTTGAACCACATGCAAGAGGTGTATAGTGTGTTGTCCTTACATTCAGCTTATCAAAATTCTACAAAGCAACGACACAACACAAAACAAAATACCATGTCGTGAGCACATGTAAAAAAAGAGTCAGTACCACTATGTGGCCCACAAACTGGCATAGGTCTGCAAGATGGACTAAGTACAAAAACTGAGAACTGTTGACAAACTCAGCAATTTAACATTGTGGGGACATGTGTTCTACAACAGTGTTGAGTGCACTGCCAATTTTTTAAAAACTTGGTTCTCATTTCAGATACCTTAAGGAATCCTGCTTTAAACTGTATCAGTGGGCACTTCCCAAAGTCAAGGATGCCAGCAGTAAGCATTCTCAATCAATTGTTTAACACTTGGAAATAACGTAAAAGCAGGCATTCATCTGATGCACGATTTTAACCACATACCTTTAGCAAAAGGGGCCACTGAGACGTGTCCAACTTAGCAACTTTGGATTCAGGTTTGATAAGAAATTCTTCAGCGTGTTGTATTTCCTTCGACAGGACAGAAATATAACCTATTAAACTTCCCACCCGATTTTGAACAATTCCATTACTGCCATGGAAATGTATGCCTTTTAAACAGAAAACAAGGCTTCCTATGCCTTTTCACTGGGACCTCCAAGGGAAAGAGAGAGAAGAAATGAACCAGGAGTACAGAGGGGAAGTGAAATGTCACTAAGATGGGTCCAAACATTTAAAGAGAAAGGGGGATGGCGGGTCTGTGGGTGGCATAAGGAAGACAAATTCAGAGACAGCAGTTGGTAAGGCCAGCACCATTTAGTAAGCTATGCCTGAAGGACACTTGGACTGTCTGGGGCTGTGTCATTTCAGTGCTTTTTCGAATCTACACAATGACTACCAATGCTGGCCCATTCCTTGGAAACCTTTAAAAACACTTCTTTCCTTTAGTTTGTTATTTAAGTAAACTTTCTTTTTAGTCAAAGTGAAGTCAAACACATTACTACTCACGGCTACATCTTCTTCTGGCAATGACTTCCGCTCCTTTTTCTTCTTATGTTTCTTTGGCAAAATAATTACTAAAAAAACAAACACAGGATTTGGGAATTTTCCCCAAGAATAAATGAAACAAGGGTTTAAAATAAAGACCGAAATTAGGGCAGGTAGGAAATGGATTTTAGGTCTACAATTACAGTCACATGCCACATAATGTTTTGCAAGTACAGACTGCGTATGTGATGGTGGCCCCCATAAGATTATAACAGAGCTGAAAAATTCCTATCTCCTAGTGATGTCTTGATGATCCTGACCCTGTGTAGGTCAAGGCTACTGTGTGTGCTGTGTTTGTGTCTTAGTTAACAAAAAAAAATTTTTTAAGAAAAAAATTAAAAAATTTTAAAATAGAAAACTTATAAATAAGGAGATAAGCAGAGAAAATATTTACGTACAGCTAAATAATGTGTTTGTTTTAAGCTAAGTATTATTACAACAGTCGAAGTAAAAAGTTTATAAAGTTACAGTAAGCTAAGGTTGATTTATTCTGAAGAAAAATATATTTTTATAAATTTAGTGTAGCCTAGGTGTACAGATTATAAAGTCTCCAGTAGTGTAATGTCTGAGGCCTTCACATTCAGTCACCGACTCAACCAGGGCAACTTCCAGCTCAGCAAGCTCCATTCATGGTAAGTGCCCTCCTCTACGGGTGCACCACTTATAACCTTGTGTACTATATATATATAATATACATACATATAATACATACATATATAATATACATATATACACACACATATTTATATATATATATAATTTTTTTTTTTTGAGACGGTCACACTCTTTCCCCAGGCTGGAGTGCAGTGGCAGAAACTCGGCTCACTGCAACCTCCTTCTCCAGGTTCAAGCAATTCTCCTGCCTCAGCCTCCCGAGTAGCTGGGATTACAGGCGTATACCACCACGCCCACCTAAATTTTTTGTATTTTTAGTAGAGACGGGGTTTCACCATGTTGGCCAGGCTGGTCTTGAACTCCTGACCGCAGGTGATCCGCCAGCCTGGGCTGGGATCACAGGCCTGAGCCACCGCGCCCGGCCCTGTGCTATATTTTTACTGTCCTTTTTCTGCTTAGACATGTTTAAGTACACAAACTCTCGACGCTGTGTCCCAACTGCCTACAGCATTCCGCACAATACCATGCTGTCCAGGTTTGAAGCCTAGGAGCCATACGCTACACCATATACAGCCTAGGTGTGTAGTAGCCTATGCCACCTAGGTTTGTGTAAGAGCCCTCTGATGTTCACACAATGATGAAATCGCCTAACGACCCATTTCTTAGAACGTATATCCGTAGGTAAGCGAGAAAACAAGGTGTGTAAGGCCAAATGTATGGGTCCCATGGCTGGGTAACTGACTGTAGGCTACTGCACGTGTCGGCTTCCCTTCCGGTTCACCACGTGGCTATGGCAGAGCTTAAACATCCCACAGAAGCGCTCACGCAGGGGGCCGGAAAGTTCCATAAGCGACCACTCGACTGTCCCCGCGGGCTTGTGGCCTCTAGAACTTTCTTGCAACTCGGAGCTCTATCCCTGCTCCGGGGTCCCTCCGCTCCTTTTCTTCTCGGCCCGTTTCCACTACCCTTGCTCCCCTAGTCGCATGGAGCTGTAACGGCGGCGTCCGGGCTGGCAGCAGCACAGACACTGCCACGTCCCACGCCACCGCGGGGTGGGCAGCACGGCAGATGTCTTTCGACGGCGACCCGGACCCCAGGGAGGTGAGAGGGCCGAGCCCCATCATGCCAAGTCACCGCGAGGGGCTCCCACTCTCGCGCCCTTGCCACGGAGCCAGGGCCGAGAGACAAGGCCGGCTTAAGGCCGGGCGGTGAAGAGGCCGACACGCCGGCGGGAACCAGAGGGAGGCGTGCGCGGGCCCCGATACCATCCCCCCACCCCCGTTCCCCGAGTCGCCCGGAGTTAGCACGGCCCGGAAGCCTGCAGCCCTTACCTTCCGCATCCGCCATGTTACCCTGCACCGCGTGCGTGCCGCCCGGTCCACAGCCGAGGGAACGACCGCAGACTCCCGCCGCCTTGGTCCCGTCAGGCCGCGCTGCTAGGACCCACCCACCCGCGCACTGCCCTGTGCGTGCCTTGCCGCGGGGCGGGAGGAGGCGGGGCCATCCCGGGGGCGGAATCCGAGGCGCCCGCTGGTCGTCTGCGCAATGCGATTTGCTGGCTCGGCCAGTACGGAGGGCGAGACCGCGCATGCGCTTCGAGCCTCAAGCAGCCTGGTTGGCCCAGGCTGGAAGCGCGAGTGCCGCCCGCCCCGACAGCCCGGAGTCTGTGGGCGTGGCCCCAGCTGTAGTTGCTTCACCTCCGGGTTTAGCTCCGCGCCTGCGCCTGGGCTCACGGCTGAACGCTCCGTAAACAGTACCTCTTTCTTTGCTTTCTCACACCGACCCTTTCAGGTTGCTGTTGGATCAGTCCTGATGCATAAGTGAACATGTTGAAGCTCGGAGAGGTTGAAAGGCCTTTGCTGCTTGCAGTTCCCATCCAGCTAGAGCAGATGGCCAATAGGAGTAGTGTGCGTGCCACATGTTGACTTTTAAATTTTCCAGCAGCAACATGAAAGAAGAGTAAAAAGAAAAAGGTGAAAATGATTTATAATGAATTTTTTTAACCCAGCGTATCCGAAATATTATCATTTCCACATATAGGCAAAACACAACAGTATGAATGGGGTATTTTACATTGGTTTTTTTTTTTTGTCCCCGCAAAGACTTTCCGGTGTGTGCGTTTATGCTCACAGCACACCTCAATTTGAACTCTACGACCGGGCTTCACGCCAAACAGCAGAGACAAAGCACTGGCACTAAATCTCATAGAAACAGGATGAGCCTGGGTATCATGATAGGCAGCAGGGCTGGAAGCTGGAACCAAACTGATTTCTCCCCAGGGATCTTTGGTGGTGTCTAATTGATCACAGTGTCCTGTAGTAAGCCATCATGATCTGTATAACCCCGGTAACTCTAGGTCTGGCTAAAGGCATTCTGCCTTGAATCACCACAATGGAAAATCATGGTGCCTCATCTAATTCCCAGATCTAGTCAGTCCACAGGCCAGAGCCCGTGAGGTGAGCCTGTAAAGGTGAGGCCAGGCACATGTAACGCTACAAGTGTGTACTTTCAGCCTGCCTCCTCCCTTCTCGTGGGACCCGTGGCCATTTACCAGGGGCTTGCACTAGCCCGTGTGAATCACTGGGGAAGTAGAATGCCACTTGGTCCAATGGTCAGAAGTGGAGTCAGCCCACGTCCCTTTCACTATCAGCCACCCTGTGGCTCTTTCCCCGGTTCTTGAATCCATACTTGTAATAAACACAATTGGTAGCTGGATAAATTCCCAGAGGGGCTTCCTGACTCAAGGACTGAGGGTGATAATGGAAGGAAAGAACAAAGGAAGCCTCTGGCACATTATCATAATTGAGTCCCTGGGAACTGATTTGATCATCTCACTGTACCCCAAGACATCATGCTGAGTGGACCTGATGCATAGGAAGTGGCAAATATTTCACCACAAGGTGAGAGAGAAGCCCCTTGAAAATTCAGGGAGGTGATACCTCAGTGAACTTCCTGGGCATGCAGTGGGCTGAGGCATGTTGAGACGGTCCCTCCAAAGAGAAAGACAAGTTGCCTTACTTGGAACCCTCTGCTTGCTAAAAAAGAAGCATGACACTCAGTGGGCCATTTTCTGGAGATGGCATACCCCATTAGGATGCTACACAGAGCCTTTTCCAAGCTTTAATAAGAGACTCACAGTTCAGCCCTCTGGAATTTGAAATAAACTTAAAGCTAAGACCTCCACACACAAAAAATAATAATTTGCCAGGAGGAAAAGCTCCTGGCTTGCTGTAATTATTTACTGAAACGGAATGACTGTGATACATGTGGTCTTAAGACCTGACCTGCCCATGATAAACTGGGTGTTGTCTGACCAAACCATGAGTACCATCAAGTACAATGATGCAGCCACTTTAGAAAATGGTCTGGCAATTCCTTGAAAGGTTAAACACAGAGTTACCATATGACTCACCAATTCTACTCCTAGGTATAGACCCAAGAGAATCGAAAATGGATTTTTAGATAGATGGTTGTACACATATGTTCATAGAAGAACTGTTCACAATAGCCAAAAGGTAGAAACAACCAAAATGAACAGATGAATAGATAAACAAAATGTGGTCTATTCATACAATGGAGCCGTAAAAAGGGATGAAGTACTGATCCATGCTACAACATGGATACAACATTGAAAGCATTATGCTGAGTGAAAGAAGCCATTCACCAAAGGCCACATTTTGTGTGATTCCATTTATAGGAAATATCCAGACTAGGCAAATCTAGAGACAAAAAGCAGATTAGTGGTAGCCTTGGCCTAGGAATTTAGGGGAACATGGGGAATGACTGCTAATGGGCACAGAGTTTCTTTTTGAGGTGATAAAAAAAGGTTCTAAAATTACATTTTGGTGATGGTTGCACAGGATTTCAAGAATTGTGGGATAGGATGGCCACTCATGATGGTTTGGGATCATCTAAATGACAGCCAAATTCCTCGAATTTTTGGTTTGGGTCACAGAGGGAATTTCTATAACAATGCTTAAGGAATTACTTATCTTTTACAGGCACAAGAATAAAACAACTAAAAACCAAACTTTAAAATTTTGACCCATCACCTTTCCAAATTACAAAACTCAGTGAGTTCGCAGCCTTCTCAGTTCTCTTAGTAAAGGTTGGGGCCACGATCAGAAAAGCATAGAACACTGGGATTTGAAATGGGAGTAAATTGGAGAATTGGGAGTCCCCAGAATCCCCAACTCTTACTGAGCCTCCATTGTTAAACAACCCCCACGTTTATCTGATTGCAGGTTCCCTTACTGTCTCATGAGGGAATTAGCAGGGAAGCAAAGGCACTTCCCTCCTACTCTCCCACCCCAATGTCTCCAGGCCTGTAACTAGAGTTAACCTCTACATTGCCTCAACTGAACAATTTAAGTCATGCAGCAGGAGAAAGCTTGCATATGAAAACAGTAGTAGGAGTTTGCAAACATGTACCAGGAAACAGGTAATATTTATGTAAATGATATGTGAAGGTTCTTGACCCAAAAAGAGAGAAGATCATTTTAAATCAGGCTGATTTCTTGGTATAGACGCTGGAATAGAGGTTCATGTGGAGGTGATGCCTGGACCAAGAAGCCTATCCCAGAGCTTTAACTGCAATGGACGATAGAGTTCAGGTGAGAGTGTACAAGGATTGAAGGAGGTGTTTTGCTAATAAATGCTGTAAGCTACTAGATTCCCATCCCAGATTATTTTTCACCACATTGTTTTCACCACATCTAGCCAGGTAACCAAAACAAAATTCTTGCATTTGTCTGAATGCAAGACTCATGGAAGACTTTGCTTCTAGTACCAAATCTTGTGCCACTTAGAAATGTTTTGTTTGGAAGTACAAGAAACAGACTGTTATTATTGGAAGGGTATTATAGACTGTGGGACTCAATAAAGAACAGGTTTAAAGAGTGGGGTGAGTGAACATTAAGGGTAGGCCTCAAAATTGTTTATGTCTCATCTCTCACCTTCACAGCACCACACCACACCAAGTTATACCATTAAATAAGACTTTAGTGGATGTTGGCAGAGGTAAAAACTGAAAATCACATTTAAAGAAAGGCATGTGAAACAATAGCTCTAAATATCTTTTTGTACTCTAAGAGAAAAGCCCCTAACAATGCCCTGCATGGATGCTCTTTAGTTCCCAGCCTGCTCTCCTGCCCTCAGGTCCTGTAGGGTTATACTGCTTCTAAAACGTTTCACTAGGTCATGTGTGGTAAGCACTGTTAGTTGGCTGCCTAACAGACATCCCTTTCCTCTTCTTTCTCCATAACAGAGCCCCAGTTTTGGCCAGGACAGCACTGTGCCCAGCAGCAGGGCAAGCATCACAGTCGCTCTAAGCCAGTCAGATCCTTTGTCACATCATTTACTGGCCTCTCTTGCAGTTAGGGTGGCCATGCGGCACAATTCTGGGCAACGAGTTGTAACTGGAAGTCAGCTGGAGAGGGGAGGATTGGGTAATGGCAATGAGGAGCCAGAAGTGGCCAAGTGGCTCTGTTTGCAAGTTAGTGGAGCGATTCTCATAAGTGGAAGCATGTTTTTCTTGGGTACTAGAATCTAAACCAGCCAGGTACAAAGTCATGAGGTTGAGAAGCAAAAATTCTGAAGGCAGATTATTCAGCATGTCTGTGAGATATGCCATTCCCCACCTCAACTCTGTTTTCCAGACCTCTTATATTCTGACCATGAGAAAAACTGCACCATTTAATGGTTTCTAGTTCAGCGTATGGTCCAGATCCTCACAAGAGTGTTGTGTCCCAACTAGGAACACAGCAGAATCTTCAACAGGCCATTTTATCATTGGCCAGATCAACGGCTGCCTACAGAATGTTGGAAGAGGTATGGAATTGTTTTAGCAAATAGATCACACCTGTAACCGTAGCAGCACTTGAAATAACCACCTGATTATGCTTTCAGTAATCCACAGTCGTTTAATGTCCACAGTTTAGGTTTCTACTGCTGCATAACAAACCATCCCCAAACTTAGTGCCATTAAACAGCCATTTCATTGTGCTGACAGGTTCTTCAGGTGAGAAATCAAGACAGGACACAGTGAGAATGGTTTCTCTTTGCTCTGTAATGTCTGAGGTCTTGGCTGAGATGACTTGATGGATAGGGGTGACAGGATGGCTGGAGGCTATAATCTTCTGGAAGCTTCTTCACTAACATGCCTGTTGCCTATACTAGGATGGCTGGAAGGCTGGGTTCCACTGGAACTTGAGCACCTACTACACACAGCCTCTCTTTATGGCGTGGCAGCCTTAGACTAGCTGGAGTCTGTACTTGGTGGCTCAGGACCTCCAAAGCAAGGGTTAGAGTGAAAAAGGCAAAAAGCTGCATCACCTTTTATGACTCGGCCTTGGAAGTCTCATCATGCCATTTTTGTTGCAGTCTATGGTTGAAGCAGCCACAAGCCTGCTCAGGTTCAGGGGGAGGGAACATTAACCCCACCTCTCAGTGGGAGGAGTGTTAAGAATTCTGGAGTCCTGGTTTAAAACTGCCACGTTGGCCGGGCGCGGTGGCTCACGCCTGTAATCCCAGCACTTTGGGAGGCCGAGGCGGGCGGATCACGAGGTCAGGAGATCGAGACCATCCTGGCTAACACGGTGAAACCCCGTCTCTACTAAAAATACAAAAAATTAGCCGGGCGTGGTGGCGGGCGCCTGTAGTCCCAGCTACTCGGGAGGCTGAGGCAGGAGAATGGCGTGAACCTGGGAGGCGGAGCTTGCAGTGAGCCGAGATCGCGCCACTGCAGTCCGCAGTCCGGCCTGGGCGACAGAGCGAGACTCCGTCTCAAAAAAAAAAAAAAAAAAAAAAAAAAAACTGCCACGTTCACCAAGACCTAACCACCTGCTGTGCAGGCCAAACGGATGAATTAAATGAGGGTGTGATAGGAATTTCCTTCCCTGCATTTTTCAAGTCTTTGATGAGGGAACTAATTTCTGAAATTGCTCCTAAGTATGTGGTATTATTTGTTTTGATTTACACTTTGTGAGAAGGGGAAACTCTAGGGGTTTCCACTTGGGCCTTTCTGTCATGATGGCCTCATTCTGTAGGTCAGGAAATCATTGTGGGAATTTTGTTTTGTTTTCTTTTGAGACAGAGTCTCACACTCTGTCAGTGCATTGGTGTGATCACATCTCACTGCAGCCTCAACCTACTGGGCTCAAGTCATCTTCCCATGTCAGCCTCCCAAGTAGCTGAGACTACAGGCATGCACCATCATGCCCAGCAAATTTTTGGGTTTTGTGTAGATACACGGTCTCAATATGTTGCCCAAGCTGATCTTGAGCTCCTAGGTTCAAGCAATCCTTCTGCCCTGGCCTCCCAAAGTGCTAGGATTACAGGCATGAAGCCACCGTGGCTGGCCCAATGTGGGGATTTTGCTGACTTTTTTTTTTTTTTTTTGAGACAGAGTCTTGCTGTGTCACCCAGGCTGGAGTGCAATGGCTCAATCTTGGCTCACTGCAACCTCCACCTCCCAGGTTCAAGTGATTCTCCTGCCTCAGCCTCCCTATTAGCTGGGATTACAGGCACGCACCACCACGCCTGGCTAATTTTTGTATTTTTAGTAGAGACAGGGTTTCACCATGTTGGCCAGGTTGGTCTCAAACTCCTGACCTCAGGTGATCTGCCTGCCTCAGCCTCCCAACATGCTGGGATTACAGGCTTGAGCCACTGTGCCCGGCCAGCTGACTTTTTTTTTTTTTTTTTGCCATTTAGATGAGTAGGTAGTGGTGGTTTTAATATGCACTTCTCTAATAGCTAATGATGCTGAACCTCTTTCTATGGGCTTATTTGATACCTGTATATCCTCTTCAGTGAAATATCTCTTCATATCTTTTGTTTATTTTCTATTTGGATTTTTTTTACTGTTTATTTTTGGTAATTCTTTATATATTCTTGATATGAGTCCTTTGTTAGATCCATGATTTGTAAATATTTTCTCCCAGTCTGTAGCTTGTCTTTTTATACTTTTTTTTTTTTTTTTTTTTAGACAGAGTTCCAGTTTTGTTGCCCAGGCTTGAGTGCAGTGGCATGATCTGGGCTCACTGCAACCTCTGTCTCTGTCTCTGTCTCCCAGGTTCAAGCAATTCTCTTGCCTCGGCCTCCCGAGTAGCTGGGATTACAAGGGCCTACCACCACGCCCAGCTAATTTTTGTAATTTTAGTAGAGACGAGGTTTCACCATATTGGCCAAGCTGGTCTCGAACTCCTGACCTCAGGTGATTCATCTGCCTCGGTCTCCCAAAGTGCTGGGATTACAGGTGTGAGCCACCATGCCTGGCTGTCTTTTTATACTTCTTAACAAGGTATTTTGTAGAGCACAAGTTTTAATTTTGATGAAGTCCAATTTATCACTTTTTTCTTTTTTTTTTTTTTGTTTTTTTTTTTTGAGGTGAGGTCTTGCTCTGTCACTCATGGCTGCCTCAATCTCCTGGGCTGAAGCCATCTTCCAGCATCAATCTCCTGAGTAGCTGGGACTACAGGTGTGCACCACCACACCTGGCTAATTTTTTTAAAAAATATTGGTGTAGAGACACCGTCTACCTTTGTTGCTCAGGCTGGTCTCAGACTGTTGGGCTCAAGTGATCTTCCTGTTTCGGCCTCCCAAAGTGCTGGGATTCCAGGCATAAGCCACTGCACCTGGCATCAAGTTTTTCTTTTATGGATTGCATTTTTGGTGCCATGTCTAAGAACTTATCACCAGGTCGTAGGTCCCAAAGATTTTCTCCTATTTTATCTTCTAAAAGTTTTGTAGTTTTACATTTTATATGTAAATCTAGGATCCATTTTGAGTTCATTTTTGTATAAGGTGTGAGGATTGGGTTGAGGTTTTTTGTTTGGTTTCGGCCTATGGACGTCCAGTTGCTACAGTTTGTTGAAAAGACTATCCTTCCTCCATCGAATTGCTTTTGCACCTTTGTCAAAAACCAGTTGGACGAATTTATGTGAGCCTATCTCCAGGCTCTCTATTCCGTACCATTTATCTATATGTCTATCCTTTCACCAATACAAAAAGTTTTGATTACTGTAGCTTTATAATAAGCCTTGAAATCGTATAAAGAGATTTATGTGTTGACCTTGTATCCTGCAACCTTGCAAAACTCACTTATTAGTTTTGGGAGTTGTTTTTGCATATTCCTTGAGATTTTCTAAGGAGACAATTATCTTCTGCAAATTGAGACATTTTCTTCCCAATCTTTATGCCATTTGTTTCTTTTTCTTATCTTATTGTACTGAACTAGGACTTTTAGTACTATGTTGAATACAAGTGGTGAGAGTGGATATCCTTGCCTTGTTCCCAGTCTTAGGAGGAAAGTGTCCAGGTTTTCACCAGCAAGTATGATGTTACCTGTAGGTCTTCTGCAGATGTTCTTTAATAAATTGAGGAAATTCCCCCATTTTCTGAGAGTTTTCTGAGAGTTTTTGTCATGAGTTCTGTCAAATGCTCGTTCTGCATCAACTGATAAATCATGTGATTTTTCTTCTTTTGTCTGTTAATGTACTGTATTGCATTAATTGGTTTTCAAATATTGAACAAGCCTTGCATCTCTGAGATGCATGGTGTATAATTATTTTTATGTATTTGTGGATTCTATTTGCTAGTATTTTTCTAAGGATTTTTGTGTCTATATTCATGAGGCATATTGGCATGTAGCCTTCTTTTTTTAACTTTTTCTGGTTTTGGAAGTATCAGAGTAATACTGGCTTTATAGAATGAATTGAGAAGTGTTTGATTTGGACTTATGACAACAATTTTGTGCAATCTCTTATTTATTTAGAGATGAGGTCTTCCTATGTTGCTCAGGCTGGTCTCAAACTCCTGAGCTCAAGGGATCCTCCTGCCTCATCCTCCCACAGGGCTGGGATTACAGGTGTGAATCACCATACCTGACCAATTTTGGGCAATTTTAAATACAACAATAATGGATATGATGAAAGACTATCACTGATAATAATAAAGTCAAATTTCATATTCCACATGAAAATTAGATGATTTTAACTCATAGAGAAGTCGTTTATGGATGCCTATAGAGGAAAAAGAGTGTTCCCCTATCTGAACTTGTGCCATGGCACTCCAGGCCTTTAATTCACATACTTCTTAGATTTATTAAATCAAGAGGTGGGTGGGAGGTGGGAGATATAGGAAGGTGCAGTCCTTTTCCTCATTACTGACTCTCACACACATTTGAAGCTGTTTCCCCTGCCTGTCTATGATCCAGAGTTTTCTTTTCAAATTTTCTTTTCATAGCAAATAAGTTAGATGCATAGTCACTTTGACTCATCATGATGAAATTGAGATAGAAACTCTTCTGTAATAGTAGGCATTTATTTTCACAAGTTTGTAGTTATAAGATTTACAGAAGTTAATGAACTGTGAAACAAAGTGTATTTTAAACAAAAAATAAATGGGGAAGCCACAAAGGGAATGCAGGTGCCAAAAATCACTTGCTATTCAAATTCTCTCCTCTCCCCAGGCTAGAGTGCAGAGAAGCTAAGATGGGTTTCCATGAAAGGAACAATTTCGATTTCTCTGGCAGTGAGAACAGGGTACCCTAAAAGATACGGGAATAGTTACTCATATCACATCTTTATTTAACCCATCTGGCTAGTCTGGAGATTAGTAGTGGGTAATTGTAGAATTAATCAGGCTGTGATTCGAACTGAAGCTGCTATTCCAGATGATGCTGTTTTCCTACAGCAAATCAACATAGCCCCCTGGCACCTGGGATACAGCTATTCCTTTGCCAAATGTTATTTTTTCCCATTCAGCAGAGAACACTAGAAGCAGCTTACTTTCATCTAGCGGGAACAGAAGTACAACCTTAGGACTATATCTATTCTCTGGCTCACTGTCATAATCCACGTTGAATGGAGCTTGATTGTTGTGAATGTTGTGCTGGTTTATTACACTGATGACATATGTACTGGACCTGATGATCTAGAGGTAGCGAATACTCTAGATGCTTTATTAAGATACAAGTACACCACAGGGCAGGAGATAAGCCCCATGAAAACTCAAGAGCCTGAACCTCAGCAAAGTTTTTAGATGGTCTGGACCACGTTGGGTATTCAACATGTTGTTGTACCGCTTACCACCTACCACTCAGAAAGAGGCACGGCATTTGGTGTGGATGTTTGAATTTTGTAGGCAACATATGCTACATTTAATTGTGCCGCACCAATGCACTCAGCAAGTCATCTGTAGGGTTGCATGTTTTCGGGGAGAGATCCAGGGCAAGAAAAGGCTCTGTGACAGGTCCAGGCCACTTGACCCTTATGACCATGTAGATTCAACAGGTACAGGACCTTTGACACACTGGGAGGCTACACGGAGCCTCTGGCAAGTCCCAGTAGGAGAAACACACAGCAAAGCCCTAGAGTTTTGAAGTAAACCATGCCCTCTACCACAAAAGAAGTATTTTCCTTTTGACCAACAGCTTCCAGCTTGCTCCTGGGCTGTGGCAAAGTCTGAATGCTTGACCATGGGGCACCAAAGAACCATGGAACTTCAGCTGCCACTGATAAATTTGGTGCTATTTCATCCTCTTTTGGAAGTGGAATATTTGAGACCAGACTCAAGCAGGTCTGGAAGGTACAGGAAAGTTGCTAGAGCAGGTGGCTCACATCTTTGTGGCCCCTGCTGCTGCATGATCACCATTCCCTGGACTTACACCCAGAATGTCGTAGGGAGTTCCTCATGACCAGGTCTATCGGTCAAGGTTTCAAAAGGAAGCAAACAGTAGACTCAAGGGGTTGAAATGAGGAAAGTATAATTAAGGGATTTTTTTTTTAACAGAGGTGTAAGCAAGACTTAGAGAATTAGCAATGCATAGTGGGGCTCTCAGGGACTGGCAACAGTTGATATGGCCACAGCCACTGCTAAGTGCTCAAGCTGCCCACAGGCAGAGACAAACAATGAACCCTTAATAACAGCATTCCCTGGGGGGACCAGACAGCCACCTGGACTGCCATCTGGAAGGGGCAGCAATTTTTTCTCACTTGAACAGGTACTAATTTTGTACATGGATTCGCTTTTTTAAAATTCACATTTCTGCTGGCACTCCTGCCCATTGACTTACTGAACCCATTATTCACACTGACATTATCTCACACAAGAAAATCATTATAAGCCAGTGTGCGCATGCTGATGGACTCCACTGGTGTTACCATGTTAGCTCATCACCCTGAAGCATCTGGCCTGATAGGATGGGAGGTTGGTCATTCTGTTGAAGATGCTAGCAAACGTCACATAGATGATACCCACAAAAAGCAGAGGGTGGTGCTTAAGTGGATGGGCTCTTGACACAGCTCTGGCTGCCTATGGATGATTTTCTCGTGTGGCTCTCGACAAGTGACACTGTCATCCTGTTTTTCATTTTAGTAACCTGCAAAATTGAGATAATAATAAGAGCCCTTTGACAGGGTGTTGTGTGGATTCAATGAGATAACGCCTGGAAAGTGCTTAGCACAATCGCTGGCATGGTGTTAGCTTGGCAGTAAGGAAGGTCACAAGTGTTAGGTGCTCATGATTGTTATTTTTACTTAGCGTGGTCAGCACACTAGTTGGCACAATCGACTTTAGATCCATCTTTTAAAACCTTCGAGTCAAAGAGATTGCAAACAGCACTACCTTTTGAGTTTGGGTCATTTGGGTTCATTAAGACATTTAGACCGTTTAGCCGGCAAAGCTTATCACTGAATACAACGATCTTTGGGGGAGGGACATAGAAAACACACTACTGTGCAAGCAATCAAGTGGAATAGGGAAGTCCAAGAGGAGTCTTGCTTTTGTTTCTCCGTGAACTATGCACATGGCAGATGCAGGTGGTACTTGGGTTTCAGCTCCAGGGTCCCTGAGACCCAGGGACCAGCCCGTTTGGCGTGGCGGATTGGGGATGGGGCATGAGGGCAACAGGTTCCAGGCTGTGCTCCCATTAGGTCGCAGGGCTCCTTCCGAGCGCTTTCTCGTGACCCTGGGTGAGAGTGGCAGGCGCCCTGCTGCGTAGGCTCCCCCCCCCACACCCCCCCCCCGGGCACAGCCGCTGGCGGAGCTGCAGTTGCTCGAAGGGGCTTCCCAGGCTTCGCTGCTTGCTTTTCCCGCCGTCTTGGGTTGCGGGCGGCGTCGGTTCCCTCCCCGGGGGCCGCGGCGGCCGGAGGCGGGGGTCGCAGCGGCCGCTCGGGGCGGCGCTGGGCGGGCGGGCGCTGGGCCCGCCCCGCCGGCATCCTTGGCCCGACTTCCTTCTGCCGCGGGCGGCTGGCCCAGCTGGAGGAAGCGGCGGCGGCGGCCACGATGAGTGCGGGCGACGCAGTGTGCACCGGCTGGCTCGTTAAGTCGCCCCCCGAGAGGAAGCTACAGCGCTACGTGAGTAGGGGCGCCGCCACCCGCCCGGCCTTCGCGTCCCGGGGCACCCGCCCGCGGGGCGGCCGCGGGGAGCCGCTGGGCTCCGGGCGCGCCAGGCGCAGCCGCTCCCAGCGCCCGGGACTGCGGGCGAGGCCGACGGACGGAAACCGAAATCGCACGTCGAGCCAGCTTCGCCGCTGTGCTAGGCAGCGGGCCGGAGACCAGGTGGCGCCTGCCCGCGGGGCTCAGGGACTCCAGACCGCCGCTGACTCTAGCGGAGGGAGGCGGGTTGGGGCTGAAACCTCAGGCGCCACTCTCCGTACAGGAGCGGCCAGGGAGACATCTCGAAAGCGTGCCCCTTTCTTTGGCTGGGGGTGGCTCTGAGACCCATCGCCCCGCGAAGGAGACGCGGCAGGGGATAGGGAGACTGACAGCCAGAGGGGAATTGCCTGCATTCCCCCTGGACCGTAAGGAGTAAGGAGTGCTGCTCTTGTAGCTGTCATCGGACACTGCTGTCTGGAACCCTACACAGTGTAACTCGTTTCTCATCGTGTAACTCCTTTCAGCTTCTTCTTAATGCTGACACCGCGCTTTTATAGTGCCAGCTGGACAACTGACTTTTACTAATATGAAATTAGGAATACTTGGAAGAGCGAATCTTCCTACCTATTCCATTACCGTTTTAAGATGTACTATCGACACCTCAAACGTTCATTATCTCCATCAGCGTCCTCACGATAAGGTCTTAAAAACATTCTGCTTAAAGACCTGATTGCTACTCAGTGTTTTTCAGCCATTAGGAAGAACCACTTCAGTCCCCAGGGAGTTGCATATAAATAGCTATTAGGACTTCTTGCTTTTTTTAGGCTGGGAGTAGCTGGATGGATTCATCTTGTTCTTAATTCCTAATTTCTCTGCAACTTCACTGCACGGTGGTAGGAACAAACTCGCGCATGTCTGCGCTCATCCAAAGCAGCCCACCCCAAATGTGGTTCAGCCTTGTGCTCTTGTCTATACAGTGCTCTCAAACTGCTGTCCTCTTCTGGCCAAATTTCACAACTGTTTTTGTTCCCACATAGATGAGGCACATATTGTGTGGAAGTTCAAGAGGTGGGATTATAAAAAGACTTTAATAATGTATGAATACTTCCAGAATGTGTGGCAGGAGATTTTCCTGAACATAGAGTTGCTCAAGCCCTCTTTCCCCATTCACATCGGGCTAGACAGTGTGTGTTTCTCTCTTAGGGGTCTTTGAAAAGATTTTTGTTGTTTGTTCTGCAGAACAGAACTTTAGAGGAAGGTTGTTCTATTTAGCACGTGAATATCAGGAGTGCATAAATACTGAGATTTCTCTAAGTGCCAGTGTGTCCCTACATCATTTGCTTTTGAGTCCAGGAGTCCATAAGCACAGGGTCCAATATCTCTTGGCCTCTGCATTATCCAGCTGCTTCCTTAACTGTGAAGCTACTCAAAGGAGGCAAGAGAAGAAAACCTGCTCCCATCACCTGCATGAGCAGGTGAGGCTTTTGTCACACAGTAGTGCTTGCAGTGTTGACTCAGGATGGGTTTCCTTGTTGTCCTTTGGAATGACAGACATTTTAAAGGTTCACTATACAATTTCAGTAGATGATACAGAAAGATGCCCCTGGAGGGCAAAGATTATAGAATATTTTATTTCCCAGTCTTTTTTTGTATCTTAAGCAGACTGGCTTAGGGAAGTTTATTAGTATTTCATCAACTTTGGGAAGGCATGAGTGTGTGTGCCTATTATCACACGCGGTTCATTCCTTTAGGGGATGTGGCAAGAGTGGACACTGCGCAGCTTAGAGATATGTGGGGCGTGTGATGATGGGGCAGTGACTAGACTTAAGACACAAGAGTACCTAGGTGTCATCTTACCAACACTCCAAGACATAAACCTTGATGTTTGGGAACTGTCTCTAAGAAAGATCATATCTAGTCAATGCTTTTTTCGCTGACAGGCATCTGTCCCTGGAACACACCACAGAAAGAATTCTTTTTCCTCTCATAGCTAAATTCTGCAGGAATCTTTTTCACCACTAGATGGTGATCATGTGTCACTTCGACGGGGCCTGGATAGGGCTGTTACAGCTGCTTAAATTCAATTCCTGTCACTCCCTCCCGTTAACGGAGCGCTAACTCCGAACTAGGCCCTGTGTTACAGGCTGGGAAGACAGAAAAAAAAGACTTGATTCCAGTTTATAGTTTAACATTTATAATAGTAACATAGCAAAACTAGTTATTGGCACAACCAGGACAATAACTCAGTTATTCGTGCTGCCAGGCCAGCAAGCAGCACTCCATCAATGTTTGCTGTTACAAATGGAAGCTCAGGCAGTTTTTAGGTAAACCTTTCAGTCCAAAGTAGGCTTGTACTTCATCCACTTGAATCCATCAGTGAAGACAATCAGAAAGTTATTTTTTATCACTGGTCTTTTAAAAGATAGTTATTTTCATCTGTATTTTTTGTTTCACAAGAAATATATTCTTATGTTAATAAATAGAATGAAAAGTGAAGACCCCCTTTAAATTTCCCCTACCCCGCTACCTTCCCTTTGCTCTCCTCCTTATTCCACTCCCCAACCCAGGGATAACAACTGTGAGCCGTTCAGTGAGTACCATTCTACAAAATTTTTCAGAAAATATATAATTTTCTTTTTGCACAACTGGGATCATATTCTACTAACGGTCCTGCAATTTGCTTTGTTCACAAACATCCTGGACATCTTTCCAGGTTAGTACATATAGATTTACTTCATTCGTTAAAGCATTGTCAAATATTCCTTGTAATACATATAATATAACAATTTCTCTATTGGTGAACATTTGGCTTGCATCTATTTTTATCCATTTTAAAGAGTCCTATAATAACAGTGATAATAAAGCTATAATAGTTCACTTTTATTGAATGTTTATATGTGCCAGGCACTACACTAAGAACTTGTATTAACTCATTTAGTTTTCAAAACAATGCCAAGAGCCAGGCACTGTTTTTGTCCCTGGATATAGGTTCTCTGGATATAGGTTCTTTGTTGCATATTTAATTTGCAAATATTTTCTAGCAGCCCATAGTTTTTGTCTTTTCATCCTCTTTTGAAGAACTAAAATTTAAAAATTTTAATGAAATCCCCAATACAATTTTTCTTTTATGAATCATGGATTTAATGTTAAATCTAACAACTCTTCATCTAGCCTAAGATCCTTTGTCACCCAGCCTTGACCTCTTGGGCTCAAGTGATCCTCCCACCTCAGTCTCCTGAGTAGCTGGCACTATAGCTGCTCCCCACCATGCACTGCTAATTGTATTTTTTGTAGAGAGGACAGGATTTCTCCATGTTGCCCGCAGGCTGGTCTCCAACTCTTGGCCTCAAGTGATCCTTCCACCTTGGCCTTCTAAAGTGCTGGGATTACAGGCGTGAGCCAATGTACCTGGCCTCTGAAAGTTTTATAATTTTATATTTTATATTTAGATATTTTATATTTAGATCTATGATCCATTTTGAGTAAATTTTATAAAAGCTGTGAGGTTTGTATCATGGTTTCTTTTCTTGCATACCGATTTCATTTGTTCCAGTACTATTTATTGAGTAGACTGCCTTTATTCCATTGATTTACTTTTGAAACATCATCAAAAACCAATTTACCTGAAGGGCACAGTGGCTCACGCCTATAATCCCAGCACTTTGGGAGGCTGAGGCTGGAGGATCTCCTGAGGTCAGGAGTTCAAGACCAGCCTGGCCAACATGGTGAAACTCTGTCTCTACTAAAAACACAAAAAAAATTAGCCAGGCATGGTGGTGGGCACCTGTAATCCCAGCTACTTGGGAGGCTGAGACAGGAGAATTGCTTGAACCCCAGAGGTGGAGGTTGCAGTGAGCTGAGATCACACCATTGCACTCCAGCCTGGGCGACAAGAGCAAAACTATCTAAAAAAAAATCCATTTACCATATCCATGTAGATCTATTTCTGGATTCTCTAGTCTGTTCCATTGATCTATTTGTTTTATGCCAACAACATGCTGTTTAATGACTAATGACTGTAGCTTTACAATAATTCTTGAAATCAGGTTATTTTAGCCCTCAAACTTTTTCTTTCTCAGAGTTGTTTTGGCTATTTTAGGTCCTTTGTTTTTCTATGGCAATTTTAGGATTGGTTTGTCAATTGATTTCACTGACCTCATATCCCATAGCCTTGCTAAACTCACTTATTAGTTCTAATAGCCTTGTCTGTAGTTGCAACCTGCAATACTATAAATGTTGCATAGAAATGACGAGAGCAGACATCCTTGACTTTTTCTTGATTTTAGAGGGAAAGCATTCCATTTTTCACCTTTTAAGTATGTTAGCTGTAGGCTTTTTGTAGGCACCTTTTACCAAATTGAGGAAGCTCCCCCATCTTGCTAGTTTGCTGAGGCTTCTTCTCATGAGTTGGATTTTGTTGTGTTTCCTGCATCTATAAAAATGATGATATGTTTTTTATTTTTTAGTCTGTTACTATGGTGAATTACACTGCTTGATTTTAAATGTTGAACCAACCTCGAACTTATGGGATAAACTTCAGTTGGTTGTAACATATTATTCTTTTCATATATTTCTGGATTTGCTTTGCTGATAGTTTGGCTGAAGATATTTGTCTCTGTCCATGAGGGATATCGGTCTGCAGTTTTCCTTTTTTATGCTATCTTTGGTTTTGATATTAGCATAATGCTGGCATCATAAAATGAAATCAGAAGTTCTCCCTCCTCTTGTATTTTCTGAAAGATGTTGTGTAGAATTGGTATTCCTTCTTCCTTAAATGATTGGTAGAACTCACCATTGAAAACATCTGGGCCTATACTTTTCTTTTTGGGAAGGCTATCAACTACAAATTTTCTTTCTTTCTTTTTTTTTTTTTTTTTTTTGAGATGGAGTTTCACTCTTGTCACCCAGGCTGAAGTGCAGTGGCACGATCTTGGCTCGCTGCAACCTCCACCTCCTGGGTTCAAGAGATTCTCCAGCTTCAGCCTCCCGGGTAGCTGGGATTACAGGTGCCCACCACCATGCCTGGCTAATTTTTGTATTTTTAGTAGAGACAGGGTTTTGCCATGTTGGCCAGGCTGGTCTCGAACTCCTGACCTCAGGTGATCCACCCGCTTCGGCCTCCCAAAGTGCTAGGATTACAGGTGTGAGCCACTGGGCCTGGCCAAATTTTATTTCTTTAATAGATATAGGGCTATGTGGGTTATCCATATCTTCTTGAATGAGTGTCGTTAGTGTCTTTCAAGGCTTTTCTCTATTTTGTCTAAGTTCTTGAATTTATTGGCAGAAAGTTGTTCATTATGTTCCCTTATTATCCTTTAAATGCCTGTATGATTTGTAGTGATGCCTCAGTTTTCATTTATTACATTAGTTTTTAGGAACCATCCTTTGGTTTCGTTTATTTTCTCTACTTTCTCCCTGCTTTCAATTTCATTAATTTATCCTCTTATCTTTATTATTTTCCTCCTTTTGATTGCATTGGGTTTAATTTAATCACTTCTTTATCTAGTTCCTTAGGGAGGAAACTTAAATTACTGATTTGAGACCTTTCTTATTTTCTAATATAAGCATTTAGTGCTATAATCTTCCTTTTTTTTTTTTTCTGAGACTGAGTCTCGCATTGTCACCCAGGCTGGAGTGCAGTGACACAATCTTAGCTCACTGCAACCTCTGCCTCCTGGGTTCAAGCAATTCTCCTGCCTCAGCCTCCTGAGTAGGTGGGATTACAGGCACCTGCCACCATGCCTGGCTAATTTTTGAATTTTTAGTAGAGATGCGGTTTCACCATATTGGCCAGGCTGGTCTTGAACTCTTGACCTCAAGTGATCCAGCCCACCTTGGCCTCCCAAAGTGCTGGGATTACAGGCGTGAGCCACCACACCTGGCCAATCTTCCTTCTAAGCACTACTTTAGGTGCATCCCACAAAATTGGATATGTTGCATTTTCATTTTAATTCATTTCAAAGTATTATTTAATTTTCCCCTGAGATTTCCTCTTTGATCCAAGGGTTTTCTGGAAGTTTATGTAATTTCCCAATATTGGAATTTCTAGATATCTTTCTATTATTAATTTCTAGTTAAATTCCATTATGATCTAAGAACAAACTCTATATGATTTATATTCTTTAAAATTTGTTAAATGTATATCATGGCCCACAATATAGTTTCACTTCATGTACATAAGCACTTGAAAAAATATGTATTCTTCTGTCATTGGGTAAAGTGTTCTATAAATGTTAATTAGGCCAGGTTGGTTGATAATGTTATTCAGTTCTTCTGTATCCTTACTGATTTTCTGTTCACTTTTACTCTCAGTTACTGAGGGAGGAATGTGAAAGTTTCTATCTGTAATTGTAGATTTGTCCACAGTGTCCACATTTCTACCTCCAGTTCTATTTGTTTTTACTTCACATATTTTGATGCTCCATTTCTAGTTATACACATTTGGAACTACTATGTTTTCTTGGGGAATAGAAGCCTTTTTCATTATTTAATGTCTTGCTTTGTCCCTGATGCTATTCCTTGTTTTGAAGTCTATTTTCTTCTTTCTATTGTCTTTTTGATAATAGCTTTCTTTTGATATGTGCTTGCACGGTGTATCTTTTTCCATTCTTTTACTTCTAACCTCTCTGTGTCTATATTTGATGTAGGTTTCTTATATACAGCATAGAGTTGGGTCTTGCTTTTTAACGCCTTTTTTTTTTTTTTTTTTTTTTTTTTTTTGAGATGGAATCTCACTCTGTCACCAGGCTGGAGTGCAGTGGCACGATCTCGGCTCACTGCAACCCCCGCCTCCTGGGTTCACAAAGTTCTCCTGCCTCAGCCTCCTGAGTAGCTGGGATTACAGGCACGCGCCACCACATCTGGCTAATTTTTGTATTTTTAGTAGAGATGGGGTTTCACCATGTTGGCCAGGATGATCTCGATCTCTTGACCTCGTGATCCGCCTGTCTTGGCCTCCCAAAGTGCTGGGATTACAGGTGTGAGCCACCACACCCAGCCTCTCACCTTGTTTTAATTGGCATATTTAGTTCATTCACATAAAGTATGATTATTGAAATGTTTATATTAAAATACACCATCTTGCTAGCTGTTATTCATTTGTTCTATCTGTTCTTTGTTTCTTTTCTCCTCAGTTTCTGCCTTCTCTTGGGCTAATAGAGCCTTTTTTATTATTCCATTTTATCTCCATTGTTAACTTACATTTCATAACTTCATATTTTTGCAGTTACCCTGGAGTGTAAATTATACATCTTTAATTAGTTGCAGACTTCCTTTAAATAATATTATATCATTATAATATTAGTAGTATAAGGACATTGGAATAGTATATTCCCAATTCCATTCTTATATTCTTTGTGCTGTTGTCATGCATTTTACTTTTACATGTGCTATAAACGTATGATACACTACTACTAATTTTGCTTTAGACAACCAGTTATCTTTTCAGTCAATTAAAACAAAGAGAAAAAACTAAACTTTTATTTTTCTTTTATTTATTCCATTTCCGTCACTCTTCATTTCTTTATGTAGGTTCAAGTTTCTGTCTGCTATCATATTCCTTCTGCCTGAAGAACTTCCTTCAGCATTTCATGTAGTTTAGGTCTGCTGGCAGTGACTTCTCTGTTTTGTTTGTCTGAGAAAGTCTATTTCTCCCTCATTTTAAAAAATATTTTCACTGGGCATAGAATTATGGGTTGACAGTTTAAAAATTTTGTTTTGTTTTGTTTTGTTTTTCTTTTCAGCACCTTAAAGATGTCACTTTATCAATCAGGAAATACACACACACACACATTAATACATTTAGCTTGATCCAATATTATATTCTGTCTTCCTTGGCTTAACATCCTGGGAACCCATTCCACAGATTTCAGTGGTTTTTAAAGACAGCTTTATTGAGGTATGTGTGTGTGTATGTGTGTGTACATATATATATATATATATATATATGTACACACACTATAGAATTCACCCATCATAAGTGTACAGTTGGTTGACTTTGAGTAAATTTATACAGTTATGCAACCATCACTGTGGTCTAGCTTTAGACCATTTCTATCCCCACAAAAAATTCCCTTAGCCTATTTGCAGTCACTCCTCACTCCTATCTCTAGCCCCAGGCAGCAACTGATCTGCTTTCTGTCTCTATAGATTTGCCTTTTCTGGAAATTTCATATAAGTGGAATGATAGACTATGTGGTCCTTTTATGTCTGGCTTCTTTCCCTTAGCATTGACCCCACAGCAGCCAGTGTACTTTCTGAAATTCATTTAAAGTAGAAGCTGTGGCCATTGATATGAGATCTTTCTTATTTTCTAATACAGATGGTTCCTGACTTACGATGGTTTGACTTATGACTTTTTTTGCTTTACGATGGCATGAAAGCAACACTCATTAGTAGAAACTATACTTCAAATTTTGAATTTTGATTCAAAATTCCTTATAACTATTATAAAATAGGCTTTGTGTGAGATGATTTTGCCCAACTGTAGGCTAATGTAAGTGTTCTGAGCACATGTAAGGTAGGCTAGGCTAAGCTATGAAGTTCAATAGGTTAGGTGTATTAAATGCATTTTTGACTTAGGGTATATTCAACTTATGATGGGTTTCTTGGGATGTAACTCCACTGTAAGTTGAGGATCAACTGCATAGACATTTAGTGCTACAAATTTCCCCCTTGGCACTGCTTTAATGGCATTCCACAAATTCTGGTGATATGTTGTATTTTTGGTTTTATTCACTTCAAGATATCTTCTAATTTCCCTTGTAGTTTTTTTCTGTGACCTGCGGGTTATTTAGAAATGTATTGTGTAATTTCCAAATATTTGGGAATTACCTAGATATCTTTCTGTTTTTTACTTCTAATTTCAATTTGTGGTTGGTTGAACCTATGGTTGATGGAACCCACGAGATATGGTTTGGCTCTGTGTTTCCACCCAAATCTCACCTTGAATTGTAATCCCCATAATCCCCACATGTCAAGGGCAGGACCAAGTGGAGGTAATTGATAATCAGATTATGGGGGCAGTTTCCCCCATGCTTCTCATGCTATCGAGTGAATCTCACGAGATATGATGGTTTTATAAAGGTCTGGCATTTCCCCTGCTTGCACTCACTTCATCCTGCTGCCCTGTGAAGAGGGTACCTGTTTCTCCTTTGCCTTCTGCCATGATTGTACATTTCCTGAGGCCTCCCCAGCAATGTGGAACTGTGAGTCAATTAAACCTTTTCCTCTTTTCCTTTTTTTTTTTTTTTTTTTTTGAGATGGAGTCTTGCTCTGTTGCCCAGGCTAGAGTGCAGTGACATGACCTCGGCTCACGGCAAGCTCCGCCTCCCAGGTTCAAACAATTCTCCTGCCTCAGCCTCCCGAGTAGCTGGGATTACAGGCGCCTGCCACTGCACCCGGCTCATTTCTGTATTTTTAGCAGAGATGGGGTTTCACCATGTTGGCTAGGCTGGTCTTGAACTCCTGACCTCGTGATCCACCCGCCTCGGCCTCCCAAAGTGCTGGGATTACAGGTGTGAGCCACCATGCCCGGCCCAACCTTTTTCCTTTATAAATTACCCAGTCTTGGGTATGTCTTCATGGCAGTGTGAGAACGGACTAATACACCACATATATTAGTCTGTTTTCACACTGCTAATACAGACATACCAGAGACTGGGCAATTTACAAAAGAAAGAGGTTTAATGGGCTCAAAGTTCCACGTGGCGGCGGAGGCTTCACAATCATGGTGGAAGGTGAAAGGCACGTCTCACATGGCAGCAGACAAGAGAAAGAACTTGTGCAGGGAAACTCCCCTTTATAAAACCATCAGATCTTGTGAGACTTATTTGCTATCGTGAGAATAGCATGGGAAAGACCTGCCTCCATGATTCAGTTATCTCCCACTGGTCCCTCCCACAACATGTGGGAATTATAGTATAGGAGCTACAATTCAAGATGAAGTTTGCATGGAGACACAGCCAAACCATATCTCCGTGGATGCATTCTCTAGTAGGTAGAGGCCAGGGATGCTGCTAAATGTTCTGCAATGCACAGGACGGTCCTCCACCACAATGAATTTGGCCCAAATGGGTCCAAGTGGTGCCAAGAGGGAGAAATTCTGTTCCAGATTGAACAGTGAATTCCTTCAGCTTAAGTGAGAATTCTGTTGATAGATATCTACTTTAATTCTTTCCTGTTATGGTGAAGAGGAAGGCCAGGGACCTGGGTTGGCTATACAGGTAGCTTGTTTTCTGGGTCGTGGGCTACCTCAGCAACTGGAAGTCTCTGTGCTTAGGATCACCACTAAGGGAGGGATCTCCTCCATGAGTCCTATATACCGTGGGAAGGGATTGTCATCCCTCTGTGGAAGTCAGATCACTTGGGCGCCTTGTGACCTCCACTCTCTGATGGGCTCAAGAAAATGAAGATTTTGTGTTTTGTCCAGCTTTTCTCGTCATAGTGGGAAGGATGTTCTTTGCATCTTTTTACATTCCTAGAAGCGGAGAACCCTTATATTTCTTTTCTGAGACAAGTTTCTTGATTTTCTTTTCAGATATATTCCATGCATATACAAGCACATATACTTCCCCATTTTTTGCACAAATGGTAGCACACTATACTCACTATTTTGTAACCTCCTTTCTTAGTAATGTATTTTGGAGATTGGTCCATATCAGTCCATAACAGCTTCATAATATTTCACTATGTGGAGATACTATGATAGAACTTCTCTTGTTTCCAGTCTCATGCTGCTGTAAACAATACTGTGGTAAATATCTTTGTACATTGGTCTTTGTGGTTATGTGCAATTATGCTTGTAAAAAAAACTCTTAGAAGTTGAATTGCTGAGTTGAAGTGCATGTAAACGTATAATGCCAATTTTTACTCTCAGCAACAGAGTATGAAAGTGCTTGTCCTCAAATACAGTGTACTGTTAAATGTTTTTATCTTTGAAAAATCAATAGATGATAAATGGTATCTTGTTTTAATTAAATTTCTTTGTGAGTGAGGTTGAACATCTCTTCAAGTATAAAAGCCATTTATATTTCTGTTTCTAGAAAATTATCTTAAATGTAACCTAAATCTTAAATCCTTCATTGGGTCTGTTTTGGGGCAGTTTTGTTGATCTTCCTGTCAATTCTTCTACTTTTGACTTAGTTTTAAAAATTGCTACCAAATAGGTAATGCAGTCATGTTTCAAAAATTAAAAAATATATTTTAAATGTTTGATGAAAACTTCTTCCACCTCTGTCTTCATCCACCCTATTTACCCTTACCCCCAAATAACCATTTTTTAATTTTTTTCTTTAATCTTTTCAGTATTTCTTTATATGAACACAAGGAAATACATATACAGCTTCTTATTCCTCCTTTTCTTACACAAAAGATACACAATGTTCTGTACATTAGTCTGTTCATTTAAAAATTTATCCTAGAATTGTCTCCATGTCAGTGGCCAGAGTTCATCTTTTTTCTTTTATTGATTTCACTTAATATAATAACCTCCAGTTCCATCCGTGTTGCTGTGAATGACAGGATTTCATTCTTTTTTATGGCTGAATTGTATTCCATTGTGTGTATGTACTACATTTTCTTTTTCCATTCATCCATTAATGGACACTTAGGTTGATTCTGTAGCTTGGCTATTGTGAATAGTGCTGCAATACACATGGATGACGTGAGTATACTTTAAGTATGGTGTAAATATGTAAAAGCAGCTTCTGTTAATGAGTTTCAGGGCATGGTACTGAGAAGCTTTGTTTTTTTAAATCATATATCTTTAATAAAAACTTTAATTTTTGACACTGGGCTCCCACTCCCCACTCCCTCAAAACCTTATCTTTAGTGGGCATGTCATTTCAGGTAACTAGATGATGATTTAATTAGGCAGATAAAAAATACTGTTGTGGGATCTGCCGAAGCAATCTTGAGGTTAAACTGTCAGGAAAGACGATCAGAATCTGTACCTTCATTGTAATGGAGACTGGAAAAGAAAGGATCCATCATTTCTTGCTTCTATAACTGGAGTTGGGAATTCCCCAAATATAGAAAAAGGTGCAGATGCTGGGTGGCCAAAACAACTGACAATGTTACTCCAGATTGCCACTTAGATTCTGGAAGTCAGGTTGATTGGGATGGTATTTGAAGATATCCTTTTTAAAAAAATCTTTCCTAGGCAAGGCGACTTAGTCCAGGGTAATAATGTGAATGCAGCAGAAGGGAAAATATGAGAATATTTTAGAGAAATAATCAATGGGAAATGTTGATTGCTTAATTATAAGGTATGTGAGAGAGGGCGTAATTAAAGATTTTGAACTTGACAGGAGTAGGGACGAGGAGAAGGGTGATTAGCCCAAGATGAATTACAGCAACTCCAATGCTGGCCACATTTTTGCCAGCCATTTGTTATCTGGACACTTCCAATGACAGGAAACCGGTTACATAATATGCTGCCCAAATAATCGTGTGATAGTTCTGACTGCAAGAAATTGGTCCTGGTGTTAACCTCCTTAGAATATACAGAACACCTCTAATTCTTTTTCAATTTGAGAGCCCTGCAAATATCCAATCTAAATGTTGCCAGCTTACTCAGTCATTCCTTAGGATAGAACAGAGTTCTGAGTTCCCTCACTGTCCTGTATATTTCCTCTGAACTGGTACCAGAACTAAATAAACTCCTCCAGGACCATCATTGCTCATCTGGACATCGTGCTTCTGAGAAAGCAGCTGGAGATTCCATTAGCTTTGTTCTGGCAGCCACGCCACACCGTTGACTCACACTGAGCTTCCTGTCAAACGGACTTAGATTTCCTCTGTGTTTCAGCTAAGCTATCTTTTCTCCAGTCTGTTCTTGTGCTATTGCTGTTTTGCTTAAGCCCAGGAACAGGACCTACATTATTACTGTTGAATTTCATCTTTTATTTATTTATTTTTGTAATTGATTCTTTTTTATTTTTTTGAAACAGGATCTCACTCTGTTGCCCAGGCTGGAGTGCAGTGGTGCAATCTCAGCTCATTGCAACCTCCACCTCCCAGGTTCAAGCAGTTCTCCTGCCTCAGCCTCCTGAAAAGCTGGGATTACTGGCGCCTGCCACCATGCCCGGCTAATTTTTGTATTTTTAGTAGAGACGGGGCTTCACCATGTTGCCCAGGCTCGAACTCCTGACCTCAGGTCATCCTCCTGCCTCGGCCTCCCAAAGTGCTGGGATTACACTGCGCCTGGCCTGTAATTGATTTTTTACGCCACATCTTTCTGGACACTGACTATGTCATACAAACACTGTGAGCAAGAGCATGGGAGAAAAGACCCAGTTTGGGGGCAAGCCAGTGAGACTGGTACGTTCAGGCTGGCACATACCGAGTTTGAAGTAACCGTGGGTAAATTTGTCTAGAGCTGAGGGGAGGGACCTGGGCTCCAGATGGAGTTTTGGTGGTTACTGGGGTATAGGAAGTAGTTAAAGTTATCGGGGTGGATGAGATTATCCAAGGAGGGTGTGATGAGTAAGAAGGAAAAGGACCTAGGGCAGAATTTTGGGAGATACCGCAGTTAGAGAGTAAGAGGAAAAGTGTCAGCAAAACTGAGAAGAGATAAGAGGAGAGACCATTAGAGGCGATGGATAACCCTAAATACCTTGCAGTGGTAATGCCAGTCACCCGCCTTTCCTCCCAGGGCTCTGACTGATAGGGCACAGAGAAGGAATGGACAAGGGGCACAAGATAAGGAAGATGGATGCAAAACAGCTGTTTCATCACTGAAAAAGCTGAATTGGAGACAGCTACTTGGGCCTGAAGTCTAAGTGGGGCTTCCGAGTCTTTCTGGTGAAGTGGATTCCCAATATTAATGGTTTAGGAAGAAATGGGTAGCAACGACAGCAAGAAGTGTGGCAGTGGAAGAGAAAGGAGATGAGATGGTAGTTAAAAGTGAAAGACACAAATGGGAGGAAAGTATTTATTCATTTGCAGTGTCAACCAGAAAACCAGTGACCCAGGCTATCAGACCCAGGCCTGATAAAGAAAGAAATACAACCAAGTGATGAGATGGACTCGAAGTCAACAATTTTCCAAAGGGCTAACTACATCTTTAGGGCCTGAAGTGTGTGTTTTAGATGAGTTCTGCCAATAGGTATTTGTGAGATTGAGGATAAAGTGCACAGGTTAGAAGTCTTAATAGGAAAAATCCTTGGACTGGTTCCTCCACAGGCCAAATGCTTTGGGACAAGCTCTCTAAATGGCAGAGAGGTCACTCAGGTCCAACCCTGGCTTATTCTCCCTGCCCCTGCATTTGATGAATACCTTAAACCTTTACCGTGAATCGGATACAAGACTTTAAGATCTTAGCACCAAAATACGTACACACCACAGAAAAGCAGAAAGAAAACTTCAAGTCTAGCATTTTACTCTTTTTAAATTGGAAGATGGCAGTATGTGGATCCACTTGGCTCTAGATGATAACAGTCAGCACTCAAATATGTTGTTATTTTCTGAGAGAATAATATAATGAACTCTTCCTAGGTGGTATTATTGTACTTCCATTAGGAGGAAAATCGTATCTGGTTGTCTCCCTTTTTGTGATTGTAGCAGCCACTGATGCTTAATGCTTAAATTGATTAATTCATTAAGGATTACAAATGGTGAGATTCTATTTCTCATTCGCTCCTAATCAAGTGTTTACTCCACCACTCCATCAAAACTGCTCTTGTCAAGGTTGACTAATGTCCTGCGTCATGGGTTTGTTGTGAGGATGAAGTGAGTTATATGTAATGCACTTCATAAGTAGCCAATAAAGGTGACCAATTCATATTGTATTACTAGCACCGCTAGTACTAGTACCACGGAAAGATATTGGAGGATGTGCTCCTCTTCCCCCACTTTGGGGGGCTTTCACTTCCAACAGCGGCAGCTCCTGTTTGGGAGATTGCTATTGGCCTACTAGAGACCATTTTGCTTGCATGTTAGAGAGCTGAAAGTGTCTGGGAATGGCATACCCCACTCCTTAATCATGGGAGGGGATGGACAATGTACAGCCTCTGAAGCAGGAACACGCCTGGAATGTTCCAAGAGCAGTGAGCTTGGCTGCAGCCCAGGGAGTAAGGAATGGAGCAAATGAGGTCAGAGTGGTGATGTGAGTAGAGGCCTTACTTTAGCCTTTGGCTTTTCGTCTGAGTAAGGGAGGAAGACACCAGAGGGTTCTGAGAACAGAACTGACATGATTTGATGTGAATTGTAACAGGATCACTCTGGCAGCTGCCTGCAAGCTGTAGGGGCCAGGGCAGAAGCAGGGAGACCAGGTGAGGGGCTAGTGCAGTGATACAGGTGAGATGCGTGGAGAGGGGTATATTCTAAAGGTAGAACCGGTAAGATTTTCTGATGGATTGGTTATTCTATGCAAGAGAAAGAAAGGAGTCGAGAATTCCAGTGTCTTGGCCTGAGCAGCTGGAAGGATAGAGTTGCCATGTACTGAGATGTGAAAGCCCCAACTACCCCCATGGGCTCCATTCTGGGAAGATGTCTTGTGAACAGTCTGCATTTAATTGTTTTGAAAATTTGCTTTTGGAGTTATAGACTTTTCATTTCACTCCGACTTGTAAATGGGATGAAGGGAATGGCACTCAAATAATCACAGCACATGAGAGTGCGGAGATTGCCAAAATATAAGCGTAGACTGGGGTGGAGGGGCTTATGTGTGTGGTTTGCTTATTCATACCATAATTTATTCAACCTTTTGATAGATATTTAGTTTCTTTCTGATTTTTAGTTATTATGAAGAATGACATTAAGATACATTGCACATGTTTGAACATTTTTGCCAGGCTTATATACAAAGATGTCTCATTTAAAATTAGATATGGATATATAGTTTGGGGCCATTTCTGTTTCTTTTTCTGTGAAATACTGATTCATATATTTTGCCCATGTTTTTCTATTAATTAGGTCATTCATATTTATCTTAACGTCTCATAGAAGCTCTTTTTGTGCTTTGTTTATTACATACACATTTATGTGTAATTCAACATAGAAGATTAAAAGAAAACATAGGAAAATATTTTGATAATCTTGGAGTGGAGAAGGCTTCCAGATCGCATAATAGGAGGTTAGCCCCCACTTCAGTCAGACTGGATGTGCTCAAAGCATGCTGGGAAGCCTTGGCTGGGGTGGCTCCAGATCTGCTGTCTCTGTAGCTAAGGGCAAGCGTTAGAGTGGAAACAGCGATCAAAGTCAGTTTCCTTCCCTTGCAAAGCAGCCCCTCTGTTTACTTGTCTGTCTCCCTCCCTGAGCGCCTTGCTCAGCGCTGTCTCCCCAGGGCCTGCAGTGTGCTACATCAAAGTCGGGGTTCCTTCCCTTGTGGGTTGTGCCCAGTGCCTGAAAACACAGTGTCTTCCTGCCAAGTAGAGCCTTGTAAGAACGTCCCACTGACCTGCAAAGTGTGTGGGCGAAAACCTTCCCATCCTCCCTCTTAGGCCCTGGACTTCCCTCTGTTACAACATTAGCATTCTGCACAGTGATTATTTGTTTGACTTACTCATATTTGTAGCCTTTCACTGGAGAATTTCTATCCAAGTAATTCAGCCTATTTTGCCTTCTTTGCACATAAGAACGTCACCATGCTCTAGACCAAGCTAAAGCTTTGGCTATTACTTACTAAAAGGCAACAGCAGCAAAGTGACAGCTAGGCCCCCAAAGGGGAATGGCTGCTTTTCTGTCCCCTCCTTTTCTTTAGTTATTTCACCACTAAGTCATGACTTCCTGTTAGAGGCTTCCAGTTCTGGCAGTATTTGGTTCCTATTTCACAAGAAGCCAGTCTGTTACATTGTGGCTTTTAGTGCTAACAAGAAATCAGTGGTTTAGGGTCTTTGGCCAGGAGAACAGTGTAATTAGAAGTTAAACTGAGGTTTAAACAGTAATTTAACCCCACCCAAATTTTCACACCAAATGAGAATTCTAACATCACCTTGCCAAAAAAAAGGTACACTCTTCAAAGTGTTAGCCCCTAAAATGTTAGACTGATCAACATTGTAAGTAAATATAAGAGATGAAAGTTATTGTCAGATAATTACCTCCAGGACAGATAACTGACTCGGAAAGTCTTTAGATTTGAGATCTCTTGAGCTATGACCCTTATACCAAATTAGGTAAAGAGCTTACGGTACAAAAAAGAAAATTGTAGATCAATCTCACTTAACGCAGATATGAGAGACAAATTCTAGATATATGTTGTATTTAAATGTAAAGAAAACGAAATAATATAATTTCTAGAAGGGACAATGTTATTGAATCTCAATCTGATCGTGGGGTTGGGAAAACCTTTCTAAACATGATAGCAGAGGAAAAACCATAAAGGAGGAGAGAAGGATTTTTGCTACATGAAAATAAAACATATCTCTTTGCTCATTTATTTATTCAGTCGGTTCTCCAACAAATAATCTAGTGAGTGTCTCCTATATGCTGAACACTATTTTAGGTACTTCAAAAACAATACCAACTTATAAGGCAAATGACAAAATGCGAAAGTTTTTCACATCATACGAGGCAAGCAAAGAGTTCATATTCTTCACTTTTATGAGTAATCCTGATCAATGATTAGAAAAAGATCAGCATCACAATTGGAAAATGGGCAACATACATGAACAGCAGTTCACAGACAGTTCACAGCAGTTCACAAAGGGACGTGACACATAAAAAATAGCATACATTGAATTGCAAATGAGACTGGTTGGTGTTGTTGTATCTGAGTGTGCATATTGACATATTCTGGACCAGTGCTCACTGATTCATTCAGCAAACATTTTCTGAACCCTAACTTGCACATGTATTCTTGGGAGGAAAGAAAGGGCATTTGGGTCAACAGTGAAGAGGCCAAGAGTTTGTCTGGAACTGTAAGCAATAAAGAGTTCTTCCTTCTAGCAGATGTGCTTTGAGCCAAGCAAGTAATGAAACCAAGTTGAAATTGAGAGTGTTCTTTTCCTCTCCAAGTACCTGGGGATAAGTCAGCAGGCAGATGCCCTCTGGGGTCTTAACTTCTCCCACGCTGAGACAGGAGCTTAAGTAAACACTGGTGCCCTGTGGTCTCTGATGGAGCAGCTTCTATTGACTCAAGGTTATGTGCTGGCCGGGGGCTCGGAGGTGGTTTTGGCAACTTCCTCCAGCCAGAGGAGTACTTAGAACTGATGAACCACCCTGAAAAAATTCATTTGGGGCTGTAGCTGACTGCTGGGTTTCCCACTGACCCTGGGGTGCTGGGACCCTTTCTAGAACGGCTCACTCCTTCCCCTGTCATCTCTTTTCTTCCCTCTCACCCTTAGACTCACACACAACACTTAGGTGTTTCAAGCATTTCTACTTTTTAGGAATTCATATATGGTTAGAAAGCCTTCCCAGCTGCCAGTATTACGTAAGTGTCCACCTCTATTTTTTCAGTACTGTCAGTTTCTTTATTTCAATGTAAATGTTTAATCCAGGAAGAATTTATTTTTATTATATGTGGAATGAGATAGAGATTCATTAATTAATTCAACAAGATTTACTGAGTCCCTGTTAGGCACCAGGCACTGTTGGGACATTTGAGAAAGACTTTCTTCAGTATTAAACGTCAGATTATATTATGTCCGATAACACCAGATACAAGGTTTTCTGAATGCTTTCCAAATTCATGTATTTTAGGAAAAAAAATAGGAGGACCTCTTGCTAGACTATGAGCTCATTTTTACAAAATGATGTTGTATTTTTCTCCTCTCCTAGACCTTTTAACCTGAATACACACTCTTCCACAATCCCAGTCATTCAGCTCATGCTTTTCTTCATGTGGAATGAGGTTCCTCTTTGACTCCTCACCCACTGCTCACTCTTCTGATGTGCTAAGCTCTTTGACCTACATAGCTCTAGTCAGCGGATGACAGCTTCTCGACATCACACATAGTCTGTGATTAGGAACCAGACCGAAGCAGACGATCTGATTTCATGGCCACCTCTGCTACATATTCGCTCTTGCCCGACCGCAACTTGCTCAACCTCTGTGTGCCTCAGTTTCTGCATATGTATAGAATGCCCTAAAAAGAGTATTCACTCACATGGGGTCTGTGTGAGCGTCAAATGATTTAATTTAATTTAAAGCATTTAGAATAATTCCTGGGATATACGTGTTAGCTATTAATATTGCTATTGCATATTTTGAGGGATCTGTGTTACTTCATGTTTGTCTGTGACTCTGGTACTGATATCTTCTCATTGTTAATGGACTCCTTTAGAGACAATCCCAGGAGCCACCACACCTGTGCACTCAGCTTGGGCAATGGGGAATGTCCCTAGCGGACACCCATGGGTGTGAGGGTAACATTTTTCATTACTTTTCTTGTGGGAAAAGATGCATAACATAATATTGACCATTTTAATCACGCGTAAGGGGACAGTTCAGTGGCATTAACTACTGTACCTTCATAATGTTGTGTAACCATCACCACTAATTATACCTAACACTTTGGAGTTATTCTTAATGTTTTGCAAGTACCTCTGCTTAGAAGAGCCTCCCCTCAACCACATTGGTCTCACACAACTGGTGAGTTCAGCTGCGCCGTCACTTCCTCTATATTGCACCTTCCTTGATTCTCCATCCAGACTTGATTACCTCCACTGCACCTCAGACACTTAATGTATCACAGAACTTACCAGAGTTTAAAATAACTTTATTCCTGAGTTGGTTTTGGCCCATGGTTTCAACCCGTAATTTTGCATCCTGATCCTGACCTAACATATTAGTGACCCTCCCAGGTTTGTAAACACTTGCAGATTTGATTAGCTGGTCTTAATGACCTCAAAGATTCTGCCACACAAGAAATAATGAGAAACTGGCCAGGATATTCAGTGGCACTTTGGTTGACAATACATGAGGAAGGTCAAGTCCATGTCATGTATGTACTTGAACACAGACCTCTTGGTGTACTTATCTTTGCTGAACATTTCTCCTCAGGATTCTCCCTTCCAAGGCCCACCATACTGTAGAGATACAGGACTTTTCTGCTTCTGTTGACAAGCTATAGAAGCAGATCCTGTGGGCCAGGCCATCTTCAGGACAATCACAGGAAGTTATTCCACGCCTTGGACAAGTCCCAACTCTATCTGGCAGGGAGCAGAAGGTTACAGGCCATCAGGCTGAAAGGTCACCGGCAATCCCAGGGCTAGTGGCATTGAGCCAGGATAGAGAGGAGAAGTGTGTAACCTGCTCCTGGAAACTCCCAACCTTTGTGGCCCCCCTTGGCAAGGAAGTAGAAGGTGGAGGGAAAGGGCCCTCTTGAGTAAAGCTCAGCAGAAAATAGAAAATTAACCAGATTTCTGTTTCTTTAATGATGCTTACCTTTTGCAACACATAAACAACCCCCAGCCTCGTGAGTGCGTTCAAGGTGTAGCTACTGGGCAGAGAACGGGAGATCAGCTTAGAGGAGCAGGTCTTGGGAGGTTACCAAAAATCTCTAAGTTGTTACCAAATGCTTTATTTCATTTCATGTTCTGGGACCACATCCAAAATTCCTAGGGGCCTTGCAAGTGGCAGTCAGTAATTGAGTTGTTAGGTTTTCTAAACAGTAACTAGAATCTACTAAGTATATGTCAATAGCAACACAAGAACAAGAAAAACACGGTAGGGGAAAGTTGTCCATAGTCAGAGGAACAGGGGTGAGGAAGGGTGTCAAAGGAAATGAAAAGTCAGTAAATCAGACAAGAGCAATTCTTATTCCTCTTTCCTTCTTTTCCTCTGTGTCTTCTGGACTCCAAAGAATGTTTGCACATGAAGGGACAGAAATATCCAACTTTGCAATACAGAGCTAAATCAGAGGAAATAACTTTGACAGTTCCATGTGATAGAACAGTGCCCAAAGTGCTCTAGCACATGACTGTTTCCCTGCAGATACCCCCACAGCAAACTGCAGAGCGTGGCAGGAGCAACCAGCTTGAAAACTTGCCTGGTAAAGTTCTAAGCTATCTTGAAGGGTCATCAACCAACTTGAACGGGCACATACCCTCTCCTTACTGTGGCTCTGTTTTCTCTCTTCTTTAATTTCAAATAATTTGAAACAATGTTGTTGAACACTGAATGGGGGAGCCATGGGTTCAGATTCACTGTTACTCAGTGAGAAAGCCACTTCATCTGTCTGAGTACCAGTTTCTTTTTCTGGAAAGTTAGGGTAGTAGCTGCCCTGACCACTGCACGAGATTAGGAATGTCAATTGATAAAAACTTGTAGGAGAAAGAAATGTCATCAGTGAAAGCTCATTTGCCCTTGTTCCATGAGGCCCTGATAGCATGTTACACAATAGTATTATCTGCTAATTGCAAACCAGAACCCTGTGATTCAGTCTGAATCCTTTCCTCTCCCTGGTGGCCCACATGCATTTGGTGACCCAGTCCTGTTAATTCTCCTTGCAACTTGTCTGCTACTGCCACATCTCTAGCTTCATCTTCCGTCACTCCAAACCTCTGGCAGTTACGAACTCATCCAGGTGGCACTCATTAACAGCATTTGGCCCAGTTCTTGGTTCATTGCACCGAGCATCATAGGAGCAGGGCCTGGGTCATATTCTTCGCTGTTTCCCTTGCAACCAACCGGGCTTGGTTCACAGTAGGCATTGGATAAATGTCTTTTCACAAGAGCATTGAGTCCATTTACATTTAAAGTAATCATGGGTGCCTTTGGATTAAAGTCAAGCATCTTATTGTGCTTTTTATTTGCCCTATCTTTTCTAGGTTTCTTTTTCTGCACTTTTAAAATTTCCTTTGGATTGAGTGTCTTTTTGTAAACTTACTATTTTGAAATCACTAGATTCACAGGAAGTTGTAAAGAAATGTCCAGGAAACCAGTGCACCTTTTCCCCCCAGTTCCCTCAGTGTCGCCATCTAGCATAATTCTAGTTCGGTCTCACAACAGCAAATGACATTGATACCCTCTAAGAGCAGCTGTAGATGTCACCCCTTACACGTGCATGTGTGTGCATGTGTAGCTCTGTGTGATTTCATCACCTGTGTAGAGTCATGTACCCACCACTGAAACCAATACTGAACTGTTCCATCACAAAGATCCCCTGTGTTGCCCCTTTATAGCCATACTTTAGTCAGTCATGCTGTCCACAACAACACATTGAGTACGTATTGTATGCCAAGACTGTTAAAGATGTTGGAGGTACTTTAGGGACCAAGATGGGCAACGTCCTTGCCTTCACAGAGCATACAGTTTAGGTCAGCACAGGCTAAGATCCCAGGGAAAGTTGGAGCCAGTTGCTGTTTACTGGGTGTGGCTTGGTTTCCAGGATTTCTGTGTTCTATCTGTAACTCCAACTGCTCCCCAAGCTAGTTCCATCTCCAACGTCTCATCAATTTACATTCAACTTGAAAGCCTTTCACAGTTGGTTCAGGTAGGATCTTAGCAACATTTTTTTTTCTCCTTGTTGTCTTTTAATCTGAGGCATCTCCTATACCTGGTCAATAAGGCCACTGAAAAAGCAGCGCAGAAGGAGACCAACACCTGTAAGCAATCAGAACAATCAGAATCTGAGCACCAAAATCCTGGCGCTCTAGGCGCTCTTGGCCAGGACAGTATGAAGCACGTCCATGGGTCAGGAGGGGAAGAGGCCCACACAATTCCTTTTGGCAGATTCAGTCAAAAAGTGTCATTGCTGAAATGACAGCAGTATTGAAGGATCAAAACGTAGAGCTCCAAATGCAGATAGGTATAGGTTCTCCTCCCTCAGCCTGAGTTGGAAAGCCTGGCTCTGAAGGCAGGTTGCTGACCCCTCCTGTGCACATGTGAAGGAAATGATTTCACAGCTTTGGGATTTCACCACCGCAGAGGGGGCAGAGGGCCAATTCTGCTGAAACAAAGGGACAATAATCACTCTCACCAGAAAAGTAGTTTAAATCAGAGGTGTCTCTTTACAGCCTCAGAGATTTTCAGGATGTTTCTCAGTTCATTTCTGTGTCTTTTGACAATGGATACAATCCAGGCGGGCCACTTCAATTTTATTGGAGTGAATTCTGGAGCCAAAGAAGTGAAACTTGCTATAACCCAGCCAGGTTTATTTTACTGTGCAAGTAGAATTGAGTGCAGGAGGAACGTGTCCAAACTTCTAAGCCTTGTTCGTTGTTCAGTTTAATCCTGAACAACATGCTGCAATATCTGGATAGAGTATTTGCTGGTTTTGAGTTAAAACTCTGGTATGATGCCTTGCCTGACAGCCTAAGTTCCAGCTTGGAGACTGTGTCTATCTGGTTCACTGTTACATCTCCAGCTCCTAGCACATAAATATGTGATGAGTACATTCTGGTGATTAGGTTTGCTATAAACTACAATACTAGTCTTGTTCCTCAAGAGTAGTGTTTTAAACCTAGGTCTATGATATCATGAAATCACATGTACAATTCATTCATTCAACAAGTATTTACTGAGCAACTATCCTGTGCCAGGCACTACTAGGCCCAGAGGATAAAACAGTGATCAAGACAGACAAAGTCTCTACTGTCCGGGAGCTCACATTCTAGTGCTGGAGGCAGAGAATGACTGTGGCTGGCCACTTCAATATGGATGATCAGAGAGGGTCTCTCTGAGAGATGACAATTAAGTTCAGGTGTCAATAACAGGAAGCAGAGATCTGCATGGCAGCCATGCAAGGATCTGTGTGACAGAGTATTCCATGGAGAAGGAACAAGTAAGGCAAAGCCCCCAAGATGGAGAGGAGATTCTACATGTTCAGGAACAGCAAAAAGACCAGTGTGGAAGAGCAAGAGAGTGGCTGAGATGTGAAGTGGGAGAGACAGGCAGAGCCAGTTCATGTGGGACGTTCTAGGCTATGTGAAAGAGTTTGGGTTTTGTTATTAATTTATTGGGAAGCCTTTGGAGGGTGCTAACCAAGGGAACAACATGATCTGATTTATGATTTTAAAATGTTATTGACTTCTTTGTTAAGAATGAATTTATGGGGGGAGTTGAGAGTGGATGTGGGAAGACAAGAGGCTATTTCAATTACTCAGGTGAAAGACAATGGTGACTTGGACTAGGGTGGTTGTGGGGCAGGGGTGGTGCATGGAGAGAAGTGGATTGATTTGGAATGTTTTGAAAGTAGAGTCAACAGAACTCACTAGTGGTTTGGATATGGAGAGTGGAAGCAAAGATCACTCCAAAGTTTTTGTATTTACAGAATGGAAGGATGGCGATACCATTGGGAGGTACTGAGAGGCTGGGAGAGGAGAGGGTTAAGTGGCCATGAAATAAAAGCTGCATTTTGGCCCTGTTAAGTTTGACAGACCTCTTAGATATGTAAGTGGAGATGTCAGTTAGATGGTTGGCTATATGGGTCTGAAGTTCATGGGAAAGATCCAGATTGGAAACATAATTTTGTAAACCATCATCAAATAGATGGTAGTTAAGGGAAATGAGACTGGATGAAGCCTCTTTTATTTTCATCTGTGGCCGCTTACTTTTATGCATCGTGATCTGCACCTCTGCACCAAGTCAGGCCTGGTGAATTAGGATCTCTGGAGGTGAGGTCCAGGAATGTGCATTTTTAACAGCTCTCTGGGTGATTCTGGTTATTCCTCTCTTCCCAGGCTTTTCTATCTGTGCTTCAGGTTTGATGATCACTTCTTCAGAGTCTGAGATGTTATTATGCCCATCTAGTGTATTTTTTTTGTTTCAGATATTGTATTTTTTACCTACACATGTTCCATTTTTTTCTTGTCTGTAACTTCCATTTCTCTCATTATGTTCGTATTTTCCTTTAAATCTCAAATGTTATAATAGCTGTTTCAAAGTTGTCTGCTTATTCTATCATCTCTGTTATTTCTAGGTTTCTTTCTATTGACTGATTTTTCCTTTGGTTATGAGTCATATTTTTATGCTTCTTTGCATATTTAGTAATTTCTTGGGTGTTTTCATTGTAAATATTATATTGTTGAGTGTCTGCTTTTGTCTTTCCTTAGAGTGTTGAATTTTTGTTTTGGCCAGCAATTCATTACCTTGCTGATGAACTTGATCATTCCAAGCCTTCTTTTTAAGCTTTCTTAGGGCAAGTCTAGAGCAGCCTGTACTCTAGGGCTAGTTTGGCCTTACTCCTGCTTCTAAGATGTGGCCTCTCTTTGAGTCTCTACTGAATGTTCCAGGTCTCTCCATTATGGCTGATCAGCACTCAAACATCTCCCAGCCCTGTGTGAGCTCTGGCAGTTGTTTAGATTGGGGGTCTTCAGTAGTTGTTTTAGGATGCACCTCATAGGGTTTCACTCTACACACATGAATGTTAGTATTCAGCCAAAGTCTCATGGGGAAACACCTATGTAGATTTGTAGAGCTCTTTCTCTACATAACTGTGTTCTCTGTGGTCCTTTGTCCTGCAAATTCTAGCCACCTCAACCACCCAGAATTCCGATCTCTGCTTTCTCAACTCTGTGAGATAGCCATGGTTGAGAAAGTGCTTACAGGATGAAAGCCAGGGTGATCAGGGACTCACCTCTTTTGCTTTCCTTTTTATAGAGGCCATAGCTCTGCACTGACTGCCATCTAATGTCTATTTCATGTATTTATTTGGTCTAGTTTTCTAATTGGTTTTATGGGTAGGAGGCAAGTTCAGTGTCCAGTACACTAATGTGGCTGGAAGTGGAAGTCCTTCCAGGTGATTCAGATGCATAATAAAGGTTGCAGAGTGTATTAGTTTCCCAGGGCTGCTGTAACAAAGTACCACAGACTGGGTGGCTTAGACAAGAGAGGTCATTATAGTCTCACAGTTCTGGAGGCTGGACATCTGAAATTGAGCTGTCAGCAGATTTGGTTCCTTCTCAAGGCTGTGAGGGAAGGATGTGTTCCAGGCTTCTCTCCTTGACTTGTAGATGGCCATCTTCTCTCTGTGTCTTTTCACGATGTCTTCCTTCTATGCATCTCTGTGTTCCAATTTCCCCTTTTTATGAAGACACCAGTCATATTTGATTATGACCCCACTTTAACTTGCTAAAGACTATTTCCATATAAGTTTATATTCGGGGATACTGGGGGCTTAGGAGTTTAACATATGAATTTGGGGGGGCGGTGACACCTGCCATTGCATAGGACCCACTTCAGCCTTGCAGGTACTCGCACCTTTGTTCACTCCATTAAGAAACAAACTTGGAGATGTTTGTTAACTATGTAATCAGCAAGTTGGATTGTTTTAAGATGAGAACAATGTGTAGCTTTTACTCTCAGAAGAATGGGATTAAACTGTTCTCTAACAATTTTTTAAAAACTAACAAGCCTGTGACCTAAACACACCTTCCTGGAGGAGACTAGAAATTAGCACAAACACCTTTCCACAAGGTTACAGGATATTGCAGGGTTTTGTTGTTAGAGATGATACTGGTCGGTGGTAATGAGTCAGCTTGGTTGCTGTGGCAGGAAAGGCTGATGGGAAGTGGATCTTTCGATGGTCAGAGCTGGAAAAGCCCTCAGAGCTCATCATTGTATAGTATGGAGACATGGGCTCCAGAAGGGGAGAAGCAGTTTCCCCAAGGCAAGTGATGCCATGAGCCCTGGGGGCCAACAGTCACATTGTCATTTTATTTTTATTTATTTATTTATTTATTTATTTATTTATTTATTTATTTAAGATGAAGTCTCACTCTGTTGCCCAGGCTGGAGTGCAGTGGCCCAATCTCGGCTAACTGCAACCTCCACATACTGGGTTCAAGCAATTCTGCCTCAGCCTCCTGAGTAGTTGGGATTACAGGTGCGTGCCATCACACCTGGCTAATTTTTGTATTTTTAGTAGAGACGGGGTTTCACCATGTTGGTCAGGCTGGTCTCGAATTCCAGACTTCAAGTGATCCACCCGTCTCGGTCTCCCAAACTGCTGGGATAACAGGCGTGAGCCACCGCACCCAGCCCACATTGTCGTTTTATAAGTTACTTTTACATTGATAATGTTTTGCCATTGTTTCTCATTGGTTCACTACAATCATACCATAAGGGTGACAGGCCAGGGTTTACTATTTACATTTACAGATGACAGGACTGAGGTTTGCAGAAGTTGAGTTACTCAAGTACTGTGTGCTCAAAGTCACACAGAAAGTAGAATCGGAATTCAAATTCAGGTCTCCTGACTTTCAATTCAGTGCCTCCCCCTGCCCATTTTTGTACTCCATTTCTCTAAGTTACTGTTATGGATACTTGTTTGCATAGTGATTCCGCTTTCTATATCCTCTTGACCCAGGCTCATCTTCACAGTCTATCGTGAACTCTTGACCTCACCCTTTTCCATCTTGGCTTCCCAAGCTGCTCATGACCTACCCAGCAGAGAAGGCCTGAGGGGAGAAGGTGAAGTCCAGTGCAGCTACTTGAAGCCAGCAAGCCTGCAATTTTATGTTTCCATAAAATGCAAACATCTCAGTAAGAAGAGAGGGCAGCCCTCAGGTCCTAACATCCCCACACCCTCTATTCTGAAGTGTTCACCATCATCTTTTGTACTCTTTACTTCCTGACCCATCTCTGAACTTCTTAGGTTCAGACCCCTCTACTTATCTCTTATTTATACTCTGACTCCCTCTCCTCACATCTGGTAGTTGATGCTGGACATTGAGCATAAACCTCTGCTTTCCTTCCTCATCCTGTGAGCTTACGAACTCCCTGATAAACATAGCACCCTTTTTCTTTACATGCACAGTGTCTGGCACATAGTGGACACTCGGTAAATATTGATTGAATGAATCCACAAATGTGCCCTGTACAGAGGAATTGTTTTAAGATTTTTTTTGTCATAAAAGAAAACACAAGGCCGGGCACGGTGGTTCACGCCTGTAATCCCAGCACTTTGGGAGGCTGAGGCAGGCAGGTCACCTGAGGTCAGGAGTTCGAGACCAGCCTGACCAACATGGCGAAACCCCATTTCTACTAAAGATACAAAAAATTAGCCGGGCATGGTGGTGCATGCCTGTAATCCCAGCTACTTGGGAGGCTGAGGCAGGAGAATCGCTTGAAACTGGGAGGTGGAGGTTGCAGTGAGCCAAGATCACACCACTGCCCTCCAGCCTGGGCGACAAGAGCAAAAAACTCTGTCAAAAAAAAAGAAAGAAAAGAAAACACAAATATTGCAAACCACATAAAACAAATGTATTGACAAATAGAACTTTGCCACCCACAACAGAAGTCCCTCCATGTGTCCTTCTCGATCATAACCTCCTTCTTCTCCCCATAAATAACTACCATCCTGACATGTATAGAAATATCTTCTTTGCATTTTTAATGTTTTTATCACTCAAATGAGTATCTGCTAGGCACACTTAAACATTTTGATGTGTCTTTTAAGTATCATTTAATCCATAGATATCTCCTCTGTCCCTTTTTCTTTTCTTTTTAAAAGTAAATTTTATTGTATATAATTTGGAGTTTACAACATGACCTTATAGGATACCAATGGATAGTAAATGGTTACTATAGTGAAGGAAATTAACATACAATCTCACATGTTTACTTTGTGTGTGTCAATAGCAGCAAAAATCTACTTATTTCACAGAAATCCCTAAGGCAATACAATTGCATTAGATGCTGGTTGGATCTTTAGCTGCAGTCCTCATGCTGTACATTGGATCTCTCGACTTGCTCCTCTTACATATTTGCTACTTTGTATCCTTTGACCTACATCTTCCCATTTCCTCCCATCTTGTCCCTGGTAACCAGTTTTTTTTTTATATATTTATAAATATACCACAGTACATTTGACCTTTTCCCCCCACGTACAAAACAGATCATTCAGTATTTGTCTTTCTGTGTCTGGCCTGTTTCACTTAACATAATGTCCTCTAGATCCATCTATCTTTTTGCAAATGGCAGGATCTCCTTCCTTTTTAAGGATGAATAATATTTCATAGTGTGATGCGATGCACATGCCACAATATCTTTATCCACTTATCTGTCAACAGACACCTAGGTTGTTTCCATATCTTGGCCATTGTAAATTAATGCTGCACTGATCATGGGAGTGCAGATATCTTTATGAGAGGGTGATTTCACTTCCTTTGGGTCTATACTCAGAAGAGGGTCTGCTGGGTCAGGGTCTGCTGGGTCATGTGGTAGGTCTAATTTCAACTTCCTTAGGAACCTCCATAGTGTTTTCCATAAGGGTTGTATGAATCTACATTCCCACCAACAGTATACTAGGGTTTCCTTTTCTCCACACCCTCACCAACACTTGTTATCGCTTGTCTTTTTGATAATTGCCATTCTGATGAATATGAAGTGATATCTCATTGTGGTTTTCATTTGCATTTCCTTGGTGATTAGTGATATCGAGCATCTTTTCATATACCTGTTGCTATACTTGAATGTGTCCTCCAAAGTTCATGTGTTGGAAACTTAATCCCTAATGCAACAGTGTTGGGAGGTGGGACCTTTAAGAGATGGTTAGGTCATGAAGTCAGCCCTCATGAATGGGTTTCTGTCAGTGTCAAGGGAGTGGGTTTGTTATCAAGAGAGTGGGTTTGTTCTAAAAGTAAGTTCAGCTCTCTCTTGCTCTTGCGTGCACTCGCTTGCCCTTCTGCCTTCTGCTATGGGGTGACACAGCAAGCAGATCCTCACCAGATGCTGAGCAGATGCTGGTGCTATGCCTTTGGACTTGCCAGTCTCCAGAACCATGAGCAAAATAAACTAATATTGTTATAAATTATCCAATCTCAGATATTCTGTTATGGCAAAAGAAAATGGACTAAGATACCTGCTAGACATTTTTATGTCTTCATTGGAGAAATGTCTGTTCAGATCCTTCACCCATTTTTTGTTTCTTTTTCCGCAATTGACTTGTAAGAGTTCTTTGTAAATTTTGAATATTAACCCCTTAATGTAGTTTGCAAACATTTTTTCCCAGTACATAGGTTGCCTTTTCATTTTATTGATTGCTTCCTTTCCTGTGCTTTTCTTTTTCTTATAACCTATCCATTGAAGAACCTGGGCTTTTGACCTGTAGAGTTTTCTACAGGCTGGCTTCTGCTGATTGCACCCTCATATCAGGCTATCAGAGGCACAAAATGTCTGATTGTTTCTTTTCCCAAGTTAGCAGCTGTTGATGCTTAATGGCTATACCTATTAATTCACTGGGGCTAGCAAATAGGGATATTCTAATTCTGTCATTTGTTTTTCCATTACTGATCAGAATACATTCATAAAGAGACATTCCCTTCATCTACCCAAGTGGGACAGTTCACGTAGAGGAAAGGTTGGATAATGCTTGATTCTTCCCTTTTACTTAAGTAGTTTTCAAGGAAATGAAGTAGTTCCCTTACATCCTCTGAAGATGACAAATTCTTTTGCTTTTTTTTTTTTTTTTTTTTTTTGAGACGGAGTCTCGCTCTGTCGCCCAGGCTGGAGTGCAGTGGCGCGATCTCGGCTCACTGCAGGCTCCGCCCCCCGGGGTTCACGCCATTCTCCTGCCTCAGCCTCCCGAGTAGCTGGGACTACAGGCGCCCACTACCTCGCCCGGCTAATTTTTTGTATTTTTATTAGAGACGGGGTTTCACTGTGTTAGCCAGGATGGTCTCGATCTCCTGACGACAAATTATTTTTCTAATATCATAATGAACTCATGGATTTAAGTGTATTTGATGGATTTCAAGCTACTATAATTATTACACAATCATGCATCATTCAATGACGGGCATATGTTCTGAGAAATGTGTCATTAGGTGATTTAGTCACTTTGCAAACATCACAGGGTGTACTTACACAAACCTAGCTTACTACACACCTAGGCTATATGTTATAGCCTGTTGCTTCTGGGCTACAAACCTGTACAGTATGGTACTATATTGAATACTGTAGGCAATTGTAACACAATGGTAGGTATTTGTGTATCTAAACATAGAAAAGGTACAATAAAAATATGGTATTAAATCTTTTGGGATTCAGATGTCTCGGAGGATTGAAAAAAAATCTTATAGGACCACCATTGTATATTTGGTTCATTGTTACTATTATGTCATGCAGCATATGACTATTTATGAAAGCAAAAATTCTTTCATATATGGCCAGTGGTAGCCTCTTCAGGTTAGCCCCTAAGTCCTTTTGACATGGCCCTCGTCATTCCTTGTGGCATTGTTTCACTGTAAAAAGCTTCACTTTAGTGCTGGCAGACTGACTGCTTTCAGGGGCTTTGTCACATGTCTTCCATTTTCCAGAAGCCTGTAAGCCTGGTGGAACAGAACTATATGTGGCCTCTGGTTTTACCTACTTAGCAAAGAGCTCCAAGAACACCTCACTTCTGTTTTTGCATAATCAAAACTCTTATGTAGAGATTTAAAAACCTAAGGGATGACACACTGGCGATTTTGCATGATTCAGCATCAAGACTATGCTACGTCCTATTTAAGTTACTGTGTGACTGTTCTTTTTCCTTTCCACCCTCATGCCTGCCTTCCAGCCCTGCTGAACTACTTACGCAAAGTTTTGAGCCTTTCCACCTTAATGCCTTTGTGCACGCTGCTTCCTCCTGCCCCACTTTAGCCTTAGCTTAGTCACCACTTCTTCCTGGAAGCCTCCCCAGACAACTGATCTGAGAGAGATGTCTCTTTTGTTTGTTCCCATAGCATCTTGGTTTTGCCTTATCGTAGCACTTATCTCACTGATTGCAATCGTCTGTTTATCCATCTGCTCACTCCCTTGTTGCCCATGAGACTGTGAGTGGCAGGGCATGTGGCTTGCTCACTTCATCTTCCCCAGTATCTGCACAGTGTCCAGCATATTAGTGGGCTATCAACAGGTAATTGTTGAATGAATGGATAAAGCCCAAACTTCTTCATGTCACTCTTCCCATTGCACTCCCACCACTCCTGGTTCATTCTTCTGCTAGACCGCTCACTACGCTGAGTTGAAATCTACCCATATCATAATTCTACCCTTCTCCCTATCCCAGCTAGAGAGTGAGGTCTTTTAGGGACCAGCTCTAATCCCCTTTTCTAGCTTCATTGTCTAGCAGGATGCACAGTGCAGAGTAGGCACTCAAATAAACTCTTGGTGTTACTTCTCTTCCAATATTGTTATTAAAAGATAAGAAATCTATTGTCTCCATAACACTAAGAGCGGTTAATGTGAAACTTGTTTCTGTGCTTAGTTTGACTTCCTCTTTTAGAATCATTTTTGGGAAGTGCAACAAAGTTCCTCTTTACATTTCCCCCACCAAAGTGGCTTTTGGAAAGTTTGGAGCACCCCATGCTCCCTCCCCATGAAAGCTTTCCTCAGCAGGCACAAATGGCATTCTCTCATCCCCTGAGCCCCTTCCCTGGACTAGGCCTTATGTTCCTGTTTGCCTCAGTTGATGCCAGAAGCCCAGGTTTCCCACTTTCAAACCCCACAGCAAAACTTGAGCTCCTTCTCTTATGTTTAGTGGCTCTACTCCCATCCAGTGCCACGTTTTTGCAACAGGAATTTACTGAATCAATTTTTCTCTCCCTCTTGGGTCACCCCCACGAGCATACAAACATGCTGTTATTTTTCCTGTCTTAAAAACATGGACTTAATCACACCACGTTGTTTGTCTCCTGAGATGGTCTCCTTGTTTGACTCATGGCCAGACCTCTTTTCAAAGCTTTATACTGTCTGTAAAGGCAGGAGCAAACCAGGGTTCACCTGCCCCAACCTGACATGGAGTGACTGCCTTCCTTCTGCTTGCTGCCCCTTGCCTCAGTCCTGGAAGGGCTTTTTATTCTAAGGCATAATTGGAGGTCAGTGCTTCTTTGGATTCTCTGCCATCTCAGATTCATGTTCTCTGAGCAGGGAGGGAGCTGAGAATACTCCAAATAGTGTCTTTTCCTTTTTCCCTGGCCTCTTGGTCAAAGCTGGTGGGCTTAAAAAGTATCACACATAAATGAAGCTAGAGATACAAAAGACTTCCTGTCCCAGGGGTCGCTGTACCTCCTGGCAGAACCCCACACTTCCTGCTGTCACACATGCTACCGCATGGGAGAGAAAAACCACAGAGCTATAAATCTCCCTGCGGTCAGCCGTCATCCTTCTCTGTGCTCAATTCCCAACTGGGGCTAATGCCATAGTTCCCTACCGCAGAAAGTAAGGATACGCTATCCATGCAGGCTGGCCTATCTGGCCCTTCGATGAACAAAGGGCACCTAAATGTAAGACAAGGAACTCAAACATTTCCTTCCCCCTGGCTCCATGAGAGGGCAGGGAGGTTTACAGATCCAGGGGACTCCCTAGGGCTTTGGTCAATTGTAAATACCTCTTTCCCCAGGCCAGAGATCTGCACCCTTTCTTTGTACTGAGCCAAGATGGTACTGTCTACATCAAAAATTCTAAGTCAATGGTGAGTGGGAAGCCAAGGAGCCCTAGGTCATTCTCAGTTGTTCTCAGGGCACAAAAAGAGACCTGTCAAATCTTGGCACTGGTTTCTGTGGAATATCATTCTCTTTTCTTTTCTGAGCATGGACTGAGCTTTACCTGTTCATCTGACTTCCAGGCTTGGCTCTTTCCAAGATTCCTATTCCATTAAGGAAAATTCCTTTTTGTTTTTACAGTGTTTCAAAACAGGGGCACTGATAGCTTTAGGCCAATCCTGCCATGCCCCACCCCCCACTCCATCTCCAGCCTTTATAACAAGCAAAACCCACATATTTTCAGATGCTCCCGAGAGGAATTATACCATCCCTGGTTGAAAAACACTGTGACTTAGGGGGTGAATGCTTAAGAGTCTCCCATCTTTAAAAAATCCCTTGACCCCAGAGCTTTCCCCCTTTACAGTCAGATGTTTCTGGAGAGCTGGCTACACTTCCTCTCTCTCTTTATTTTTTAACTTCACATCCATTACCGATCCTTCCATCCCAACCTGAGTTCAAATTCATTCCTACAGTTGTTTAGCTATGTGACCTTGAGCACATTACTTAATCTCTCTGAACCTCAATTTTATCAGACATAAGATGGAGATAGTAATAGTTACCCCTCCCATAGTATAGTTTTAGGGATTAAATGGGTTACAGTAAAGCGCTTAGACAAGGGTCTCTTACATAGGAAGTGTAACTAGCCAAGCTAGTTAATTCTCTGAGAATTCTATTAGTGTTTTAATCATCATTGGGGGTTTTATGGAAGACAATTTGTCACCTTCAGACACTGGCAATCTTCTCTCCTCCTCTCCAATGTGTATGATTTTCCTTCTTGGCCAGTTGTGTAGAACTTAAATAGCAATGTTGGAAGATACTGGGGCAGTGGTGAGCATTTGTGATTTTCATCTGATTTTAATGTATGATATTGGCTCTTGAACTGAGATACATAATAGTAAGAAAGCTTCCTTCTAGTTCTTTATTGCTAAGATTCTTTTAAAGCTTCAGCATATGTTAAATTTGTACTACATTCCTTTGCTGCATCAATTTCAATGATTGTATAATTCTGGCCCTTCAAACTGTGGGTGTGAATCCCATTACTAGACTCTCCAATCCTGACCCGTCCTTAAAATCATCCAATAAAGCGGACTTGAAGATGGGCACTAGTCCTGTAATACAAAGCGTTTCATCATTAGAATGGCTGATTTGTTTCCTTCCTGCTGTCCTTGTCATGACATGGGTTCTTGGCATAGCCTGAGAAACAAGAGAAATTGGTCCAGTAACTCCTTATTGAATTGCCTTTCTGCAGGCCTGGCGCAAGCGCTGGTTTGTCCTCCGGCGAGGCCGCATGAGCGGCAACCCCGATGTCTTGGAGTACTACAGGAACAAGCACTCCAGCAAGCCCATCCGGGTGATAGACCTCAGCGAGTGTGCAGTGTGGAAGCATGTGGGCCCCAGCTTTGTTCGGAAGGAATTTCAGAATAATTTCGTGTTCATTGTCAAGACTACTTCCCGTACATTCTACCTGGTGGCCAAAACTGAGCAAGAAATGCAGGTGTGGGTGCACAGCATCAGTCAGGTCTGCAACCTTGGCCACCTGGAGGATGGTGCAGGTAAGAGCGGAGTTGGGGCTCCCATGTGCTAAGGGGTATCCCAGGACTGGAGGGTTACTGCAGAAAAACAGTTCAAGATGCCAAGCCTGCCTCCTTGAGGGTGTTTTGGCAGGCTAATTTATATCAGAACTGTTCCTACCAAATACAATACTGGAAATTGCCCTCTTTTACCCAGTCCAAATGTGGGAAGGCAGAGTCCATGAGCACACTGAGCATTGCAGGTTACTTTAATGGCTTTAAAACCCCTTCATGTCTTTGCTCTCATTCAGCCACAGTGAAAGTCAAATGTGGATGAGGATGTCTTCCCATGATGCTGACACTCATGACCTTCTAGAAATATCAAATATTGCCATACTTCAAAATATTGTGGAACTCCAGCATTTCTGGTGCCTATTGGGTTGTTCATCACTAAATGGTAGAAAGAGAGAACTTGGCTACTTATCGTAGGCAAGAAAGATTTCCTGATACCTCCAAATGTCTCAAGTTCTCTGCAGAGGAAATTAGTTGTAAGTTTGCTCTGGGCCATTTCTGGGCAGTGGGAGCAATTGACCCATGAAGAGTACCCCAGAGTCTCTCTCTCTCTCTCTCTCTCTCTCTGCCACACGCACACACGCACACACGCACACACACACAACTCATCCTATGTAATTTTCCAGGTATATTGTAACCTAGGGTTACAATTAACTTCCCTTCATGGATTTTGTTGTTGAGCCCCTGACATTATTGCAACATGTCCTATTCCTCAAAATATGAGATTTTGAATCTGGTTTCTTTTAGCCTCTTAGTCTAGTAGACAAAACTTTGCCCCTAAATCCTGTAATCTATAGTTGCTTCAACATTTTAAGAGTTACTGCATGGTTTCCACCATCTGCCACTGAAATATCCACACTCTAACGCTAGGTGGCAATGGAGAGTCAGAATTGAATCTCCCTCCAGGACAGGCACAAGAGTGTGCTTTCTGAGAACACATTCCTTTTCGTTTCATGAACCAGGGAAGCATATTAAGTGAGGCTATTCAATAATATTGCTGAGCATTGGGAGCACTCAAATAAAAGGAAATGAAGTGATGGCAAGTTCTTTATCCTTGGTACAATGGACAAAACTTAATTGGAAAAGCAGCATTAAGTAGGTTCTGGCTAGAGTCTGACATTATGCAAATCAAGCAGAACCTCCCTGACCAACTAACTTCTCCAGCCTTGCTGCTGGCTCTTTACCACCCTGTTGTGCACCTTCAGCCTTAACTAGGTATATCGTCGTATACTGTGTTATATATCTCCTCTGTTTCTTTCCTTATCCAGGAGTTATCCTAAAACATACATATATAATATGTTTCCCAATAACCCAAGAGCACCAGGAATGAGTAAGGCACCAGGCCGAAACTGGAGAGCCTGTCCCGGCATGAAGTTGGAGGAAGCCAGAAAACTCACCTATGACCCTTTCCATTCTCTGTAGCCCCCCGCCTCAGTTTTTAGAACCACATAAGAGCAGGGTCCTCTTCATCTGAGAATTACACCCAAAGGGCTTTCTTGTGACTTTTCACAGAGTGTTTGGTTCTGTCTCCAGCAACCATATAGTAGTCAACACATTGTGTGTGTACCCTGGCCAGGATCTCTGTTGAAATGCTTTTGTATATTAACTTGTCTCATCCCCACAGCAGTTCTATGGCCTATGTGTGATTACTATCTCCACTTTATAGAAAAGGAAACTTGGAGAAGGCAGGCCATGTAGTAATGGCTATGTAGTAGAGCCTGGACTTGAACCTAGTTAGTTCTGGGTCATCCTGACTCAGGAATCCTGGACTATTAACTTGGTTCAAAAGGGAAATAAAAGCAGGCTTTTCATTGGCTGTTTCTGATCTGGAGTTCTCATTGATTCCTGATTCAAATTCATCTTAAGGACCATGTTCTCAGGTGATGGGGAGAATGTTATGCTCCTTGAGAAAAAGAAATGGACTTTTCCAGCCACCACAGCACTGTGTTTCTTTCCTTCCCTTTACTTATAACAGTGATGAACAGGACTCTTTATTTATGTGTTATTTGTCTGTCTTCTCTGCTAGAATCTAAACTTCAATAAGGGCAGGATCTTTGTCTTGGCTGTATTGAGGGTTAGTGGCATTCTGGGCACATGGTAGATGTAATAGGTATTCTATATAGACATATACCTATATAATAAACATGTATAGGTATACATACATATATGCACAAGTACATATATAACTATATGCATGTACTTGTTATGCATATATATATATATATATATATATATATATATATATATATATATGTTTGTTAGTTGAGTGAAAAAACAATGAGGCAAGGCTGCTGCTGAGGGCCATAAAGAAGCTGTGCGTAGATTAACTGCAGATTTTTGGGCCAAGAATGCTGGGTTTTTTACTCTTAATTGATTCAACACTTTGCTCTTGAAACATTGGCCTTCTTTCCCAGACATTGTTTATAGCTTGGGGAAATGGTCTTCTCCATCAGTACAAACACCAGCTGTGATTTGCATCTTCTGTTTGGCTTCTTTGATGCTGTTGGAGAAATTTTGAGTGCGTGTTATAGCCATTCTTAAACATTAACCTGGGAAATGATTTCTCCAGCAGATTCCATGGAGAGCCTCTCTTACACGCCCTCCTCCCTGCAGCCATCCTCTGCCAGCTCCCTTCTTACCGCCCATGCTGCCAGCTCCTCTTTGCCAAGAGATGACCCAAACACTAATGCCGTAGCCACTGAGGAAACCAGAAGTGAGTCAGAGCTTCTCTTCCTTCCAGATTATCTGGTTTTGTCCAACTGCGAGACTGGAAGACTGCACCATACCAGGTATGCTTATGCCCAGGACTCTGTCTGAGCTGGGCCTGCTAGCATGCTCTCTAGAGTCACACTGCCTCCTCTTGCAGTCCGTAGCTGAGATGTGTTCAGTGTGCTTCACCAAATTAGTCCATTTAGTGGTAGCATTTTCTAGTGGGTGTGTCTGCTGTCACCTCTCTTCCTGCCAATGTCAAGGCAGGAACAGATTGCTATGAACCACTGTGAAAGATGAAGCATGTAGTATACTAAACAGAATGAGTCATGCTTTTCAGCATTGTGGTTTTCACTTCTAGCCTTGCATTTTCATGTGTATCTGATGCTTAGAGGATGAAAAAATCAACAAACCATTTTTCTTTTGCCACACCAAGGGGTTGGTGTAACTGAGTGTTGTAGAGGGAATGTGGCTATGCAAGTAGCAAGCAAGGTGGTACTGGGGAGATGGGAATGAGGCCAGCGTTGGTTTTGTGGTGGGTGGATGGCTGCATTTTAGTCCAACTTACATGCTTTTCTTCCCCAGTCTACCCACCAGATGTGATAGCTGGTCAAACTCAGACCGTTCATTGGAACAGGCTTCATTTGATGATGTTTTTGTTGACTGCCTGCAGCCGCTCCCCTCCAGTCATTTGGTCCACCCCTCATGCCATGGCAGTGGAGCTCAGGAGGTGCCATCCTCGAGGCCTCAGGCTGCCCTGATCTGGAGTAGAGAAATCAATGGGCCACCCAGGGACCACTTGTCTTCTTCACCATTGCTGGAAAGTTCCTTAAGTTCCACCATTCAGGTAGATAAAAATCAAGGTTCCTTACCCTGTGGAGCAAAAGAACTAGACATTATGTCCAACACTCCACCTCCCCGCCCCCCTAAGCCAAGCCATCTGTCTGAACGGCGCCAAGAGGAGTGGAGTACACACAGTGGTAGCAAGAAGCCAGAATGCACTCTGGTTCCAAGAAGAATCTCCCTCTCTGGTTTAGACAACATGAGAACCTGGAAAGGTAAGTGTTGGGTCCTAAGATTCAGGCGCCAAGAAAACCCGGGCTCCTCTTCACTCTTTGTGCCCATGTGAGGTCATGCCAATGGACCAAAACGATGGGGCTGGGTTAGAATTACCTTGATGTGTGCAGCTTGGTAAAAAGCCACATCAGTAGTGTGTACTTGTGTACATATGTGCTTGTCCCTTGTTCAGGCTGGCCTGATCTTCTAATGGGGCTGGATCCTTGGTGGAAGCATATACCCTGAAAGCAGCACTCTTCTGTTCCTGGATCCCCCCAACCCCTCCTTTGAGCCTGACCACCAGGAGAGACATTTAGGTCCCCATAGATGCTGCAATAGGTTGGAACCCTGGTCCCTTGTGATGGGCTTGCCCATGCAAGTCCTTGCCCATGTGGTAAGCTTCCCACCTGAGTCTGAGCTCCTAGTGTTTTTTGGAGTCACTCAGGGACCCACTTGGTACAAAAGTTGATGTCTTTTGTCTTAACTCAGTCCCATTCCCTTCTTTGCCTCTCTCTCACATACATAGAGAGTCCTGAGACCACAGACCATCACTGCCTTCTATTTTTTAGCAATCCCATCAACCTCATTCATCATCCCACTAGACTTGTTCTTTCCAAATTCTAAGTGGCTGTACAAAGGGCCCTCCCACAGCCCTCTTTTGCCCTTTTCTATAAGGCCATTTATCCTCACGAGGTTATCTTGCAATTCTGCTTGCAGTTCCATCTTCCTCCACCTGTTTCTTTCCACCTGGGCCTCTCTGGCCTTCAGAAGCTGTTTGGTGAAAGCCAATTCAAGCCCATTCATTGTGGTTTTTCAGTAACCTCTTCTTTACTGCTTTGCTGAGCCACCTCATCTTTCTGCCATGAGCCAACCAACCTTAGCATTTTGCTCTTCTTTCTTACATCAGTCTGTATCTCTCAGATACACAGACAGACACAAAAACTAGTTGTCTATCTCTGTGTCTTTCTCCTTTTTTCTTTCTTCTCTCTCTTTCTTTCTCTCTCCATTGAAATATAATCACCCACACATCACTACTTATTTAGGCCATGTTTTCAAGGAATTATGGAAAGTGGAAGGAGTGCAAATTTATTTTCAAATTGTACGAATCTCTCATTCTGACTGAGAATTAAGTCACTAGTAAAAACCTTCCCTAATGTCCCTAATGATGTTACCATTATGTATGTTGCTTCCTTTTGACAGTCCTTATGAAATAGATGTATACTGATTACACAAATGATCTGGATATGCTAACATGTGTGAACAGTTGACAAAAAGGGAAAAATGAAAGTGGTTAAGCAGATTTTAGGAAGTGAAATGAATAAAACCAGTAGAATAATAACATATGAAAATGAATTAAAAGTCTTAAATTGAAGAACAAAAACTTGAAATAATTTGAAATTTCAACACAAACATAAAACAATTAGGTTGTGTTCTTTTACATGAAGGCAAACAAAGATTAAAACTAAGTAAAATAGAGGTTTTGACCATGAAACAAAGACCAAACAACAGTGGTGCCTAGAAGCAAAATGGCTCTGATAAAGCTGAGGGAATGCATAAAGTTTATTGTTCTGCCTTTCCCACTGAGATTTGCCTGGAATCTGTGTTGGTACGTGGTGGCAGAGTGAGGTCAAGGTTCGTTTTTGTCCATCTGGATCTCCATCCGATGACCCTGCAAGGCTGTCCTGTCCCCATGGCTCTCCAGCGCCCCCTCTGCCATAGATGAAGTGCCCATGTATGTGAGGGTCTGAGTTTCCTTTCTGCTTTCTATCCCTTGGAGCCTACTTGTCCAGCTTGCACCAGTGCCACACTCTCTTAATTACTGTACCATTCTGTCTTAATATCCAGTAGGACAAGTCCTCCTGCCTTTGGGAATATAATGGCTATTCTAGGGTCAATTTTACAGTCAGCTGGTCAGGTTCTAGACACACATATATAAATATATTGGGGATTTGAGGAGGATTGCATCCGATCTGTAGATCGGTTTGTGAAGATTTGACTACAATGTTGAATTTTCCAATCCATGAATAGGAAATATGCTTCCATTTCTGTAGGTCTTATTTTTGTATTTTAAAATATTTAATTGACAAATAAAGATTGCACATATTCAAGGTGTGAATGCATATGCATCAGAACATGATGATTTGATATGCATATGCATTATGTACTGATTATTACAATCAAACTAATTAACACATCCATGGCCACCCATGCTGTACATTGGATCCCCCAGACTTGTTCACTTATCACTGAAAGTTTGTACCTTTTGACCAACATATTCTCATTTACCTGCATTCCCCAGTCCCTGACAACCACCATTTTACTATTGCCATGAGTTTGACTTTTTTAGATTCCACATATAAGTGAAATCGTGCAGTATTTTTTTTTCTGTGCCCAGCTCATTTCACTGAACATAATCTCATCCTGGTTTACCCATGTTGTCACAAATGACAGGATACCATTCCTTTTTAAGGCTGAGTAATATTCCATTCTGAATATATACCACATTTTTTATATCCATTATATCCTTTATCCATTCATCCAGTGATGGACACAAATTGACTACATGTTGTATTAGTCCATTCTCAGTATGAGAATGGACTAAAGAACTATTTGAGGCTGGGTGCGGTGGCTCAGACTGTAATCCCAGCACTTTGGGAGGCGGGGGCGGGCAGATCACAAGGTTAGAGGTTCAAGACCAGCCTGGCCAATATGGTGGAACCCTGTCTCTACTAAAAATACAAAAATTACCCAGTGTGGTGGCGGGTGCCTGTGGTCCCAGCTACTCGGGAGGCTGAGGCAGGAGAATCGCTTGAACCTGGGAGGCAGAGTTTGCAGTGAGCCAAGATCACACCACTGCACTCCAGTCTGGGCGACAGAGCAAGACTTCGTCTCAAAAAAAAAAAAAAAACTGCCGGAGACTGGGTAATTTGGGTAATTTATAAAGCAAAGAGATTTAATTGACTCACTCACAGTTCCACAGGCTGTACAGGAAGCATGGCTAGGGAGGCCTCAGGAAACTTACAATCATGGAAGAAGACAAAGAGGAAGGAAGCATGTCTTACATGGCTGGAGCAGGAGGAAGAGAGTGAAGGGGGAGGTGCTACACACTTTTAAACAACCAGATCTCGTGAGAGCTCTATCACAAGACAGCACTAGGGGGATGGTGCTGAACCATTAGAAACCACCCCCATGATCCAATCACCTCCCACCAGGCCCTACTTCCAACATTGGGAATTACAATTCAACATGAGATTTGTGGGGGACACAGGGCCAAACCATATCACATGTTGTGGCTATTGTGAATAGTGCTGCAACAAACACAGGAGGGCAAGTATCTCTTTGACATACTGATTTCATTTCTTTTGGATATGTATCCAGAAGAGAGATTGCTGGATCATAAGGTAGTTATATTTTTAGTTTCTGAGGAACCTCCATACTGTTTTCCATAATGGCTATACCAATTTACATTCCCACCAACAGTGTACAAGGGTTCTCTTCTCTACATGCTCTCCAACACTTGTATTTCTTGTCTTTTTTGATATTAGCCATCCTCACAGGTGTGGGCCGATACCTTGTGTGGTTCTGATTTGCATTTCCATGATGGTTAGTGATGTCGAGCATTTTTTCATATACCTGTTGGCCATTTGAGAAATGTCTATTCGGATCTTTGCCCATTTTAAAATTGGGTCATTTAGTTTTTTTGCTACTCAGTTATGTGAGTTCCTTATATATTTTTACTGTTAACCCCTTTTATATGATTTGCAAATATTTTCTCTCATTCTCTAGGTTGCCTTTTCATTTTGTTGATTGTTTCCTTTGCTGAGCAGACACTTGTTAGTTTGATGTAGCTCCGCTTGTTTATTTTTGCTATTTTTGCCTGTGCATTTGGAATCATATCCAAAATATCATTGTCAATCAATACCAATGTCAATGAGCTTTCCCCCTATATTTTCTTCTAGGGGCTAAATGGTTTTAGATTTTAGATTGAAGTCTATAATCCATTTCAAGTTAATTTTTTGTATATGGTATAAGAAAAGGGCCCAAGTTCATTCTTTTGCGTGTGGATATCCAGTTTTCCCAACACAATTTATTGAAGAGACTCTCCTTTCTCCATTGTGTATTCTTTGCTCTCTTGTCAAAGCATAGTTGACCATGTACATGTGGGTGTATTTCTGGCCTCTCTATTCTGTTCTTTTGGTTTATGTATCTGTTTTTATGCCAGTACAACGTAGATTTTATTTAATTTGTGTATATAATGTTTTATAGTTTTTAGTGTAGAAATTTTACATATCTCTTATTAATACATTTCCGTGTATTTGCTATTTTTTATGTTATTGTCAACTGTTTTTTGCTGTTGTATGAAAACTTAAATTGAGTTTTGGATTTTGATTTTATATCCAGCTTTTTAAAACTATGGATTATTTTGTCTTTTCTTTGCATATAATTATATTGCCTGCAAATAATAATAGCTTTGTTTTTTCTTTAACAACCCTTGTATTTTTCATTACTTTTTCTTATGTCACTGCATGGGATAAGAAGTCCAGGACGTTACTGAATAGTCCTGGTGACAATACGGATCCTTGTATCATTCCTGATCTCAGATAGAAAGCTTCTAATATTTCACCGTTACAATGTGGTTTGCTGTGGAATATTGTAGATATCATTCATTAGATTAAAGTCATTCACATATTTTCTACTTTGCTAACTGTTATTTTCTAAAGTCATGAATAGATGTATTTCTTTTATTTTTAACTGACAAATAATTGTATACATTTATGGGATACAATATGATGTTTTGATATACATCTATATCATGGAATGATTAAAATCAAGCTAATTAACAAACATTACCTAATATAATTATCATTTTTTGTGGTTGAAGCACTTTATAATCATATTATTTTTATCATGTTAATGTCAAGAAATTCACTGGATAATTTTTTTAGTGCTAAACTAACCTTGGCATTTCTGGAATAAACCCAACTTTATCATGATACCTATCCTTTTTATAAATTACTAGATTTGTTTTGCTCATATTTTGTTTAGAACTTCAAAAAAAATCTGTGTTCATGAGGGAGATTGTCCTGTAACTTTCTTTTATCATGACGTCTTTGGTTTTGGTAAAAATGTTATGCTGACGTCATAAAATATGGATTTATTTCTGGGTTCTCTATTCTGTTCCATTGGTCTATGTGTCTGTTTTCATACCAATATCATCATGCTGTTTGGGTTATTGTAATTTTGTATATTTTGAATTGACGTAGTTTGATGCCTCCAGCTTTGTTCTTTCTAATTTTTTTTTTTTTTTTCAGAAACAAGGTCTCATTCTGTCACCCAGGCTTCAGTGCAGTGGTGTGATCATAGATCACTACAGCCTCAAACTTCTGGGCTTAAATAATCCTCCCACCTCAGTCCCCCAAGCTGCTGGGACTACAGGCTCACGCCACCACACTTGACTAATTTGAAAAAAAATTTTTTTTTTTAGAGGCAGGGTCTTGCTATGTTGCCCAGGCTGATCTCAACCTCCTGACCTCAAGCGATCCTCCCACCTCAGCTTCCCAACGTACTGGGATTACAGGCATAAGCCACTATGTCCAGCCCAGATTTGTTCTTTTTGCTCAGTATTGCTTTGGATGTTCAAGGTCTTTTGTGGTTCCATATACATTTTAAGATTGTTTTTTCTATTTCTGTGAAGAACGTAATTGATATACTGATATTTTGATAGAGAGTGCATTAAATCTGTAGATAACTTTGGATAGCATGTTCATTTTAACAATGTTAATTCTTCTGATCCATGAGCATTTTTTTTTTTTTTGAGATGGAGTCTTGCACTATCGCCCAGGCTGGAGTGCAGTGGTGCGATCTTGGCTCACTGCAACCTCTGCCTTCCAGGTTCAAGCGATTCTCCTGCCTCAGCCTCCCGAGTAGCTGGGATTACACGCATGCCCCACCATGCCCAGCTAATTTTTGTATTATTAGTAGAGATGGGGTTTCACCATATTGATCAGGCTGGTCTCGAACTCCCAACCTAAGGTGATCTGCCTGCCTCGGCCTCCCAAAGTGCCAGGATTACAGGTGCGAGCCACTGTGCCCGGCCAGATCCAGAAGAATATTAATTCTTCTTTCCATTTGTTTGTGTCCTCTTCAATTCTTTTTATCAGTGTTTTGTAGTTTAGTTTTCATTGTACAGGTCTTTCACCTCTTTCATTAAATTTATCCCTGGGAAATTTTTTGTAGCTATTGTAAATGGGATTGCTTTCTTCCTTTCTTTTTCAGCTAGCTCATTGTTTGATGTATAGAAATGCTACAGATTTTTGTATGTTGATTTTGTATCCTGCAAACTTACTAAATTCATTTATCAGTTCTAAGAGTTTTTTGGTAGCATCTTTAAATTTTCCTGTATTTAATATTATGTCATGTGCAAATAGAGAGAATTTGTCTTCCTCTTTTCCAATTTGGATATCTTTATTTCTTTCTTTTGCCTGATTGCTCTGGCCAGGACTTCCAGTAATATGTTGAATAAAAGTGGTGAAAGTGGGCATTCTTTTCTTCTTCTAGTTCTTGGAGGAAAGGCTTTCAGCATTTCCCCATTCTCTATGATGTTGTCTGTGGGTTTGTCATATATAGCCTTTATTATTTTGAGGTATGTTCCTTATATGCCTAGTTTGTTGATAGTTTTTTTAATCATGAAGGGATGTTGAATTTTATCAAATGCTTTTTATGCATCTATTGAGATGATCATATGGTTTTTATCCTTGATTCTGTTGATGTGATGTGTCTCATTCTTGCATCTCTGAGATTAATCCCACTTGATCATGGTGTATTATCTTTATGATGTATTGTTTGACTCAGGTTGCTAGTATTTTTTAATTTTTTAATTTTTTAAACTTTTATTTTAGGTTTTGGGTACATGTGCAGGTTTGTTACATAGGGAAATGCATGTCACTGGGTTTGTTGTACAGATTATTTCATAACCTAGGTACTAAACCTGGTATTTTGTTGAAGATTTTGCATCTATGTTCATCAGAGATACTGGCCTGTAGTTTTCTTTTTTTTCTTGTGTCCTTGTCTGGTTTTGGTATCAGGGTGATGCTGGTCTCGTAGAATGAGAGGGAATTCCCTCTTCATTTTGTGGGGGATAGTTTGAGAAGCATTGGTGTCACCTCTTCTTCATTTTGTGGGGGATAGTTTGAGAAGCATTGGTGTCACCTCTTCTTCAAATGTTTGGTAGAATTCAGCAGTAAAGCCATCAAGTTTCTGGGCTTTACTTTGTTGGAAGACCTTTTTTTATTATTGATTCAATCTCATTACTCATTATTGGTTTGTTCAGGTTTTCTAGTTCTTTCTGATTCAATCTTGGTAGGTTTTACGTGTCCAGGAATTTATCCTTTTCCTCTGGGTTTTCAAATTTGTTAATGTATAATTGTTCAAAACAATCTCTAATAACCGTTTGTATTTCTTTGGTAACTATTGTAATGCCTCCTTTTTCAGTTCTAATTTTATTTATCTGAGCATTCTTCGCTTTTTCTTACTCTAGTTACTGACTAAGTGACTAAACCACTTAGTCTAGTGGTTTATTGATTTTGTTTATCTTTTTGAAGAACGAACTTTTTCTGTAGTTCTGATGTGATCTTTATTATTTATTTCCTTATACTATTTTTCAGTTTGGTTTGCTCTTGCTTTTATAGTTTCTTATTTCTTTTTAATTTTTGTGGGTACATGGTAGGCGTATATATTTACAGGGTACATGAGATGTTTTGATACAGGCATACAATGTGAAATAATCACATCATGCATTTGTTCTTCATGTTACAAACAATCCAATTACACTCTTTTTGTTATTTAAAAATGTACAATTAAGTTATTATTGACTATAGTCACCCTGTTGTGTGGTCAAATATTAGGTCTTATTCTGTCTAATGAATTTGTGTATCTATTAACCATCCCCACTTCCCCCACAGCCCCCCACCCTGGCTACCTTTCCCAGCCTCTGGCAACCATTCTTCCACTCTTTATGCCCATAAGTTCAATTGTTTTGATTTTTAGATTCCACAAATAAGTGAGGACATGTGACATTTGTCTTTCTGTACCTGGCTTCTTTCACTTAACCTCCTTAATGACCTCCAGTTCAATCCGTGTTGTTGCAAATGATGGGATCTCATTCTTTTTTATGGCTGAAGAGTACTCTATCGTATATATGTACCACATTTTCTTTATCTATTTATCTGTCGATGGGCACTTTGGTTGCTTCCAAATCTTGGCTACTGCGAATACTGCTGCAGCAAACATAGGAGTGCAGGTATCTCTTTGATACACTGATTTCCTTCCTTTGGGGTATATACCCAGCAGTGGGATTGCTGGATCTATGGTAGCTCGATTTTTAGTTTTCTGAGGAACCTCCAAACTTCTCCATAGTGGTTGTACTAATTTACATTCCTGCCAACAGTGTACAAAGGTTCCCTTTTCTCCACATCCTCACAAGCATTTGTTATTGCCTGTCTTTTGGATATAAGCCATATTAACTGGGGTGAGATGATAATCTCATTGCAGTTTTTAAATATATTTTTTATTTTAACTTTTGTTTTAAGTTCAGGGGTACATGTGTAGGTTTATTAAATAGGTAAACTTGTGTCATAGGGGTTTGTTGACTATTTCATCACCCAGGTATTAAGCCTCGTATCCATTGGTTATTTTTTCTGATCCTTTCCCTCTTACCATTCTCTGCCCTCCAATAGGCCCCAGTGTCTATTGCTCCCCTCTATGTGTCCATGTGTTCTCATCATTTAGCTCTGACTTTTATAAGTGAGAGCATGTGGTATTGGGTTTTCTGTTATTGCGTTAGTTTGCTAAGAACAGTGGCCTCCAGCTCTGTATATGTTCCTGCAAAGGACATGATCTCATTATTTTTTATGGCTGCATAGTATGCCATGGTGTATATGGACCACATTTTCTTTATCCAATCTGTCATCGATGGGCATTTAGGTTGATTCCATGTCTTTGCTATTGTGAATAGTGCTGAAATGAACATATGCGTGCATGTGTCTTTATGTTAGAATGATTTATATTCCTTTGAGTATATATCCAGTGATGGGACTGCTGGGTTGAGTGGTATTTCTGTTTTTAGGTCTTTGAGGAATCACCACACTGTTTTCCACAATGGTTGAACTAATTTACATTCCCAAAAACAGTTTATAAGCATTCCCTTTTCTCTGCAACCTCACCAGCATCTGTTATTTTTTGACTTTTTAATAATAACCATTCTGACTGGTGTGGGATGGCATGTTATTGTGGTTTTGATTTACATTTCTTTAGTGATCAATGATGTTGAGCTTTTTTGTATCCTTGTTGGCTGCATGTATGTCTCTTTTGAGACAGTTTTGATTTGCATTTCTCTGATGATCAGTAACATTGAGCACCTTTTCATATGCCTGTTTGTCATATGTTTGTCTTCTTTTGAGAAATGTGTATTCAAATCTTTGTTCCATCTTTTAATCAGATTATTAGACTTTTTTCCTATAGAGTTGTTTGAGCTTCTTAAATATTCTGTTTATTAATCCCTTGTCAGATGGGTAGTTTGCAAATATTTTCTCCCATTCTGTGGGTTGTCTCTTCACTCTGTTGATTGTATTCTTTGCTGTGCAGAAGTTTTTCAAGTTCATGTGATCCCATTTGTCCATTTTTGCTTTGGTTGTCTGTACTTTTGGTGTACTGCTGAAGAATTTTTTTGTCCAGGCAAATGTCTTCGAGATTTTCCCTAATGTTTTCTTGTAGTAGTTTTATAGTTTGATGCCTTAGCGTTTTTTCCCTAATGTTTTCTTGTAGTAGTTTTATAGTTCGATGTCTTAGATTTAAGTGTTTAATCCATTTAGATTTGATTTTTGTATATGGTGAGAGATAGGGGTCTTAGTTTAATTATTCTGTGTATGGATATCCAGTTTTCCCAACACCATTTATTTATGTGCCTATCTTTTTCCCAGTGTATGTTCTTGGCACCTTTGTCAAAAATGAGTTCACTGTAGGTGTGTGGATTTGTTTCTGAGTTCCCTATTCTGTTCCATTGGTCTATGTGTCTGTTTTTATGCCAGCACCATGCTGTTTGGTTACCATAGCTCTGTAGTATAATTTGAAGTCAGGTAATGTGATTCTTCCAGTTTTGTTCTTTTTGCTTAGGATAGCTTTGGCTATTCTGGGTCTTTCATGGTTCCATACAAATTTTAGGATTTTTTTTCTATTTCTGTGAAGACTTTAATAGGTATTTTGGTAGGGATTGCATTGAATCTGTAGATTGCTTTGGGTAGTATGGACATTTAAATAATGTTGATTCTTCCAGTACATGAACATGGAATATTTTTCTATTTTTTGGTGTACTCTTCAATTTCCCTCAATATTGTCTCATAGTTTTCATTATAGAGGTCTTTCACTTCTTTGGTTAAGTTAATTCCTAGGTATTTAAGTTTTTGTGTGGCTATTGTATATGGGATTACTTTTTAATTTCTTTTACAGATTGTTCACTGTTGGCATATAGAAATGCTACTGATTTTTCTATGTTGATTTTGTGGCCTGCAACTTTACTGAATTTGTGTATTAGTTCTAATAGTTTTCTTGTGTAGTGTTTAGGTTTTTCCCAATATAAGGCAGAGGAGCCTCACTCCATAGCTATCACCACCCCAGGCCATGGGGAGTACTGTCTGCCCATGTTCCCTTAAGGCCCAAGGGCATTTCAGGAAGCTTGCAATGAATGCTGTCATATAAGAGAAAAAGTGCCTTCCTTTACTCTGATCCCATCTGCATTCTATCTGTCACAAATCTCTTAAATTATCTGGCACATGGATTATACCTATGTCTTTGATTCAGAGTTTTCTCTATATTTATGTTATTTGATGGCTTTAAAAGGGTCTGGTAGTGGAAAGGGAGTTAAGGGCTTGTGCTCACACATGCAAGTCCCACAATGAGAAATTATTCCATAATAGTTTCTAAGAATTATTAAGTACTTTCTGTGTTCTAGGCAGTGTTCTATGTCCTTTCCAGAAGTCCTATGAAATAGGTTATATTATTGGCTTCACTTTACAAATAGGAAACTGAGACATAGAGAGGGTAAGTAACTTGTCTAGTGCCATACAGCTAATACATGGTGGTGTAGGGATTTATAACTAGACAGTCTGACTTCAGAGTAGTTTTTAACCAGTACTTGTACATCTTTAAACATATGTAAGCATAGATATATACATATATACATACACATATATGTATATATAATATATATGCTTAATTCCATCAGTCTCTGTCACATCTTTTCCGAGCTGGGAGTTGTCCTTGCATTTTAAGATGTTGTCGAATTTTAAGTTTATTTCTTAGAGGCCTCCTGACTTTTCACACCTCCAAGCTCTTGAGGGCTGAGGGCTGAGGGCCACTTTGCTCTGGCCACCACATGCTGGGAGCACTTGCTGAACTTCTCTGCACCACTCAACACTGTTGGCCATTCTTTCCTTCCTGAGGCTTTCATGGCACCATACCCCCAAGTTTCCTCATTAATCTATGGTTGCTCTTTCTCAAGATACTTCACTGACTTATCTCTTAGTTCTTTGAGTCTTAGGATTCTCTAGAGTTTTGTATTTTTCTCAACACTTGCAACCTAGATAGTTTCATCTACTCTTATGGTCTAAATTATTCTAAATTTTAATATCACACTGTTTCTTGCATCCATCTGATGAGTTTCTAATCCTGGATAACTCCAAATGTCCTTTCTCTCCATGCGTCTACCTGAGTAGCTTTTCTGGTCACAGACCTCAATTGGGCCCTTAATGCTGCTCCACAAGGCAATCGTTTCTCTGTTCACCCTGTTCTCCTGCTCGTTACAAGGAATATTTCAAACCTCTCTCCTCTCCTCAAACCTCCAGTTCTGCCTCCAGTTCAGAAGATTTATGTAATAAATGCAATAAGAATTTGTTAATTACTTGCTATGTCTCCTCCTATTTCACAGAGAGAACTCAAACCATTGGCTAGAAACTTCTTCAAAATCTGGTCTGATTTTTCATCTGTTGGGGAAATGTGTTCTGACTGCCCAGCTAGACTCTAATAGCAACTGTTGTGTTATGCTTCTCTGCCTCTCTGGACTCTAGTTTCAGTTGATATTGTTCTGCATTTCTCACCACCTTGGCTTATTTCTTGCAGCTGATGTAGAAGGCCAATCCTTAAGACACCGAGACAAGCGGCTTAGTTTGAATTTGGTAAGTTCAACATTCAGGTTCTTTTAAGCATCAATTTTACCAAAAACAGCTTGATCTATGTATATTCCCTTGAAATCTTTAAGATTCAGCACTCTGAGTCTCTGAGGAATCTTCCAGTCTCCCCTGAAGACTTGAACTTGCTTGGGAACTACAGGACTTGGTGTTCTATAAGGGCCTTATTGGTTCTAATGGTTCAGACACTTGCTCAACTTGGTATAGCTACTTAAGGCATCACTTTATGCTTAAAGCATTTGCATAAACTCATAACCCTCTGTCTTCCAGTGTCAGATCTTGGAGACTTATCGCCTATACTAAAACGATAAGTCCAGAGGCAGAACTTGAGCTAGAGGCTTGTCTGACTTTGCTGAGGAAGTTCAGAGTTATACTTGGATAATTTGGAACTGAAACCATATGTACAGCTTTGGCCGCCCTCTGATAGCAGTTTCCATGACTGGTCTGTGGTTCCCAATCTGTATCTATTCTTTTGCAGCCATGCAGGTTCTCCCCGATGTACCCCACAGCTTCAGCCAGTATCGAAGACAGCTATGTGCCCATGAGCCCCCAGGCTGGTGCCTCTGGTCTTGGACCCCACTGCAGCCCTGATGACTACATTCCAATGAACTCAGGAAGCATCTCAAGCCCGTTGCCTGAGCTGCCTGCAAACCTGGAACCTCCCCCAGTGAATAGAGATCTCAAGCCTCAGAGGAAATGTAAGCACTTGACCAGGCCTGCTGTACAGGGGTAGGGGAGCAAGGTTCCGGTGGTTGCATAGAAAAGGTTTCTGTAAAGGAAGACCTAGAGAAACCACCCCAGAGGGCCGGAAAGTGTAAGGTCAGGAAAGAAGTGGCTGGGTTGGAATAGGAAGGGCTGGGGCACCTTGCTGCCCCAGATTGTCATGATAATAGGAGTCAGGAGACTTACAGGCACTGTGGCCTTGCAAATACAGCTGACAAAGCCAAGTTCATTCCAGAGGGCTCGTCTTTGGCTGTTTCCCTAACAAAGGCCCAGGAATAAGTGATGGTGGATTAGAATGGAATCCCACCTGGCATCTCCTCATTAGACAGCACTTGAATGTAATCATAGTGCCAGCCTCTGTAAGGCAGTCAGGAATAGCCTTTGACACCAATTCCTGAAGGTCAGACCCAGTCACATGCAGTTTATCACTCATCGTTCTGTGCATGCCCGTCAGCAGAGGTATTCAGGGATAGAAGAGGATTTTGGCAATGAGCAGGCTGACTCCTCTGTGCACGGGGTGCCTTGCAGCTTCTGTCTTACTCCCAGGCAGCTTCTCTGGTTTGCTAAGCAGCACAGACAGACAGAGAGATAGATAGGAAAAGAGGGAAAGAGGAAGAGCAGGTCAGAGTGACTTTTTAACTTCATTCTTGCTCATCCTCCCCTTCCCAGTTGGCTGTGTGATTACAAGGAAGCATTGGTAGAATGACTGATCTCTCGTGCATTCCAACTTCTCTTTGCCCTTTAGAAAGCAAAAAAAGTCACTTCAGGTGGCTGTGCCCAAAGCTGCCAACTAAGACCCCTACTCATGCCTGGTCTACTCCAGGCATATTCCCTTAAATTTCAGTCAAAATACATTTATACATTTACAATGCATGCGCTGCATATGTATTGCTGTGGTGGGCACTGGGTGGGATACAAAGATGAGGGAGCAAGGAGGGTTCTTCAGTCTGAGGGGGAGGAAGATATGTAAAATCCACCTGGACCATGAAATAGAATTATGAAATCAGTGCTAAATAGGAGAACAGACCCTGTCTTATGAGGTTCAGAGGAAATAGCCATTAATTCTGGTCAGAAACAATTAAACAACAACAGAACTTTCTGTGATGTTGGAGATAATGGCTATTGAACCCTTGAAATTTGGCTAATGTGACTGAGGAACTACATTTTAAATTGTATTTAATTTTAATAAATGTACATATATGTCTAAATGGGCACGTGTGGCTAGTTGTCACGACAATGGACAGTGCAGCTCTGCAGGACCTTGTGATAGGCAACAGAAGATGTCTGACAGACTCAGGGTTGGAGATTTAATGAGTGGATGCAAAGGTGGATACCTGAGCCAGGACTAACTCAAGAAGATGGGCCACTGAGGTGGAATAAGGGTTGGGGCAGATACCAAGTGCTTTTCTAGGTGCTGAGACTACTGCAGTGAACAAACCAGATACACCCCTATTCTCCTGGAGCACAGTTTAGGTCCAGATAAATCATAGATGAGTGTATTATCACAAACTGGGGCTGTGCTGTGAAGGGTAAGTACAAGAACTTGAGAGCCCAGGCTGTGGGGCCTGATCTTGTCTAGAGGCAAAGAGATGGGATAGAATGTTCTAGGCAGAAGGATCATCAGGTGGACAATGGATTGTAGGTGGGGAAGACTAGGACCTGGGTGATCATCTCTGCCTGTGATAAGAAAGGTAACATTTCCACTTCAGACACATCGGGTGTGAGGTAATAGATGTTGCAATTCCACAAGGTCAGAGACTTTCATCTGCTTTATTCATCCTGTGCCTTCGACACCTAGAAGCACGCGTGATATACAGAGACTTCTTAATAATGCCTTGCCACGTTGTTACCTCCAGCAGGTAATGTGACCATTTGCTCAGTATTTGTCTTTACTCCCAGTGAGGCAGGGAAGAGGAGGACAGTGAAATTCACCCTCATCATCAGTGCTGCCTGTTAGTAAATGTGGATTTGGTGTGCTGGGAAAGTGAAATGTCATAGTTTTACAGTCTTTAGACTCTGGCCTTGACCTCCTGGATGTTGCACACTGTCTTGTAGCACGGCCACCTCCTCTGGACCTGAGAAACCTCTCGATCATCCGGGAACATGCATCTCTTACCAGGACCCGCACTGTGCCTTGGTAAGACTGATTGCTCAAAAGAGCCTCATCCAGCACAGACACCCCGGTGTGTGTTAGGCCTCTGATTAAATGTAGTTGAAGCCCATCTGATCTAGCTTAAGCCAAAGGAGGGGTGAGGTTTATTATCGAGAGCAAGAGCTGTTTTATGGATCACAAAGGAAGGAATATGTCTGGGTCTCCCAGGATCCTGGAATCAGGAACTAGTGTGCTGTTGGGAACCCAAGGAATCTACTCACTTCTGCTTCACTCTTCACATCTGTGCATTCCTTTGTCTTTGCAGTATTCTTTTCTATTGCACAATCCTCATGGTCAAAGATAGCTGTACCATACCCCCTGAACTTGTTTGCATGCTACAACTCCAGTACCAACAGATGGGCTCTTTTTCAGTGCCAATTCAGATTTCCTGGGGAGAGAGAATTGTGTTCCCCAGTCTCAGTGGAACTGGCTATGGCCCAAGCCCAACTTTGTGAATGGGGTAGGACAAGGGAGTTCCCAGGTTCACGGGCTGGGTAGACAGACTTCAAAATGTAATTGCACCCTTTCATCTCACCTTTTAGAAGTTGCATTTTTAGTCCTGAGCTTGGCTCAGGAGTTTCTCGGTTCACTCTAAATGCCACAAAACACAATTGCATTGTAAAGCAGAATTCTGCAATGAGCTGTATTTCCAGCCAAGACTGTGACTCAGCTCATGCTTCTGACTCAGGAGAAGGATGGGAGTTGATTGGCAGTCTTGTGTCCTATCAGAGGAATGGCCATACTTCCTCACTTTTCCTTACATTGAATAGAAACAAGAAGGCCCCAAAGGAGTATTTTTTTTTTTTTTTTTTTTTTTTGCTAAATGATATGATGCCCTCGTCCGTTTAGAAAGCTCATGAGCTGTGTCACATAGAGGGCCTGAGAAAAAGCAGCCTTTGTGAATTGGGAGCCATTTGCCCCAAAGTGGAGCAGAAACTGTTGGGCATTTTGTGCCTCTTCAGGAATTGCTTTGGCCGGAAGGAAGTTGTGTCTGGAAGAGGAGGGCTGAAACCCCATGAGGGCCATGTTAGTTCCTGGCCAGCTTTCAGAGCAGCTGTAAGACATTGCTTTGACCTCATCTATATTTTTATTCTTAGCAGTCGAACCAGCTTTCTCTCTCCAGAAAGAAATGGTATTAATTCTGCAAGATTTTTTGCTAATCCTGTTTCCAGAGAAGACGAAGAAAGCTACATCGAAATGGTAATCTTATATTTTTCACACTCTTCTTATCCTTCACCCCAATCTGTAGTCTTATGAGCTCATTGTAAAGGAAACACATCCTTCAGTAAGCCCTGTGCAATTTTAAAACAACCACTTGATCGTAAAACCAGGCCACAAGCTTTTCTAGACTTGGAACAAATCAATTTGAAGTTGGCTTTCTTTCCTGCAACATTCAACTCCTCATACCATTTTGAGATTGCAGTATTTCAAGATAGCTCAGGGCTGAGGCTTGCTTAATTTGAAAATGGAAATGCCAGCAATTCTTTTCACCAAGGCTGTGATGTCCTGTTTGACCCCAATAGGTTTGTAGTTCTCTGGATGTCCAGAGTTCAAATTGTAAAAACTCAACATATTACATGGTCCCTTCCACCAGAACACCTGGTGGCCCTGTCCTGACTGCTTCTGAACCTTCCTGGAGGATGAATCACTTAGAGTCCCATTGGGAAAGGTACAGTGCCCTGGACTGTGAGTGTATCTTAGCCTCTGGAAGATTCCTATTATGGGTCTTTCTATAGACCTGAGTGGATGGAGACTTGATTAACCATTTGCAGTTAAAGAGTCCTGATGTTTCCCTTCTAGCCTGTTGTTCCTTCTATTCTCTTCATCTTGGATGCTATTGAGAACATGGGCTTTTTGAAGATGGAGAGGAACTTTTAGCACCTCTGGCAATTAGCAGACACTTTAGCCATGACAGTGCCTGTTCTGCAATTTAGAAATGTAGGGAACTCAAGAGAGAGCTTCTGTTTGAACTACGAAATTTTGAAAAGAGATCTTAGAAGGACAATGTTCAAGGCTCTGTGACAATATACTCTTGAGAAGACAATTCTGCCTTCCTATATGCAAGGATAATCAGCAACTGAAAATCTAAAAATAGTAATCTCCAGTTAAGCTATAATTAAATGCTTCATTTTACCTTCTTATTTTATTCAAATCATGCTGTAAGTGCACTTAACCGTATGCAGATGCAAAGTGACTCATATACAAATCTGTTATGGTCTTCCCAATATTTCTGACACTTAGTAATGGCCCTTGGGAAATTTCTAGAAGAAAACACTCTTATAAAACGATGCTTAACAGCTGTGCTCTGTCTCCAGAGAACAGAAAAAGGAAGTGAATCTAAAACCCAATGGAAGCAAGTACAGAGTCATTCCAGATACCAACAGTTCATTTCTGATCTTTGATGTTGTGAGAAAGATCAGTGTTGGCTGGGCGCGGTGGCTCACGCCTGTAATCCCAGCACTTTGGGAGGCTGAGGCGGGCGGATCACAAGGTCAGGAGATCGAGACCATCCTGGCTAACACGGTGAAACCCCTTCTCTACTAAAAATACAAAATACAAAAAATTAGCCAGGCGTGGTGGCGGGCGCCTGTAGTCCCAGCTACTTGGGAGGCTGAGGCAGGAGAATGGCAGGAACCCGGGAGGCAGAGCTTGCAGTGAGTCGAGATAACGCCACTGCACTCCAGCCTGGGCGACAGAGCCAGACTCTGTCTCAAAAAAAAAAAAACAGAGAAAGATCAGTGTTTCATTAACAACAAAGCTAAGAATCGTTTGTTTACCTAGGTTTATAATCACTGATCAATGACTGTCTCTGTGTATTAGTAGGCAACATGACACAGCAGATTAAGAACCCAGAACACTGGCTGATAGTAGCTATGATCTGGGAACTGTCGTATAAAAATGTTTAAAGGCTATCCCATCTTGTTCAATTGTGTTTTTTTAAACTTTAGTAATAAGACAGTTTCACATGACTTTGATTTACGTTATTTCACTTGTGCCACATAACAGCCCAATATGGTAGTCAAACCTAGTATGATTTGACTTTGATTTTGTGCATAAGTATATATGTTAATTTTTTTTTTTCTCTTTAAGGGCAAGTTCTGATCTGAATGTAGTGATTAAGGCCAGGGGCTGAAACACGGTTTTGCTTTACTGAAATACAAGTTTTGCCATATATCCTTCTTTAAATGTTTGTGAAATTATAGAAAATTTAGAAGAATAAACATAATTTTATTATATGGGATTTCTTCTCTATCACTTTTTCAAGCCCTTTGATTTCAACAGCTTTGTAAGGCTTTTATAGTAGAGTTCTAGCCTCTTAAATCTCACATTAATTTTTTGATTATGGTATTACAATACTTTTACATTTTTAGATCATTTTTACATCATACAGTGAAATTGACTTTCTCTTGGTGTGCAGTTCTATGAGTTTGAACATATATAGAGATTTGCGTAACCACCACCATGATCAGAGTACACAACGGTTCCAAAATCCCTCATGCTACCTCTTTAGAGCCACATCCTCCCTTCACCTGTAACCCCTAGCAACCATTGATCTGTTCTTCATGACTATAGTATTGTCCTTTCAAGAATGCCACAAAAATAGAATCATACGGTACCTTTTAAAACTGGCTTCTTTCACTCAGAATGGTTTTTTTGAAATTCATCCATTGTTACATGTATTAACAGCTCTTTCCATTTTATTGCTGAGCAGTGTTCAAGCATATGGATGTGTCATATCTTGTTTGTCCCCTCACCCATGGAAGACATTTGGATTTTTTTCAAGTTTTTAGGCAATTAGAACTGTTAGATGCTTTCTTTTACAGTTTTTGAAAAATATTTTTCTTGTAGTAAAGCTCTACTTTCTGTCTCTATGAACTTACCTGTTCTAGGTACCTCATATAAGTGAAGTCATACAATATTTGTCCTTTTGTGTTTGTCTTCTTTCATTTCATCTAGTGTTTTCAAGATTCATCCATATTGTAGGATCCAACAGAATTTCATTTCTTTTTAAGGCTGACCACATTTTGTTCATCCATTCATCTGCTAATGGGCATTTAGGGTTGTTCCTACCATTGTCTATTATGAATAATGCTGCTATAAACATTGGCATACAAGTGTATGCTTGACTTCCTGCTTTCAATTTGTTTGTATATATATATGTAGAAGTGGAATTTCTGGATCATATGGTAATTCTATGCTTAACTTTTTAAGGAACCACCAAACTTGTTTTCCACAGTGACTGCACCATTTTACATTACTGCCAGTAACGCACAAGGGTTCCAATTTCTCCACATCCTCACTAACAATTTTTATTTATCTTTTTTTTTGGAGACAGAGTCTCGCTCTGTTGCCCAGGCTGGAGTGCAGTGGCGCAAGCTCGGCTCACTGCAACCTCTGCCTCCCAGGTTCAAGCAATCCTCCTGCCTCAGCCTCCTGAGTAGCTGGAATTACAGGCGTGTACCACCATGCCCGGCTAATTTTTGCATTTTTAGTAGAGATGGGGTTTCACCATGTTGGCAAGGCTGGTCTCGAACTCCTGACCTCATGTGATCCGCCTGCCTTGGACTCCCAAAGTGCTGAGATTACAGGCGTGAGCCATCACACCCGACCTATTTATCATTTTTTATAATGGGTATCCTAACGGGTGTGAATTGGTATCTCATTGTGGTTTTCATTTGCATTTCCCTAATGATTAATGAACATCTTTTTATGTACTTATTGGCCATTTATATATCTTCTTTGGAGAACTGTCTATTCAAGTCCTTTGCATATTTTTAAGTTAGGTTGTTTCTTTTTTTGTTGTTGAGTTATAGGAATTTTTAAAATATATTCTGGATGTTAACCCCTTATCAGATACATGATTTCCAAATATTTTCTCTCATTCTGTGGGTTGTCTTTTCATTCTCTTGATAGTGTCCTTTGATGCGCAGAAGTTTTTTATTTTGATGAAGTCAAAATTTTCTTTCCTTTTATTGCCTTGCTTTTGGCGTCATATCCATGAAATCATTGCCAAATCCAATGTCATGAAGATTCTCTCCTATGTTTTCTTCTAAAAGTTTTATAGTTTTAGCTCTTATGTTTAGATCTTTGATCTTTTTTGAGTTAATTTTTGTATGTGGTATAAAGTTAGAGGCCAACGTCATTCTTTTGCTTGTGGACATTCAGTTTTCCCAGCACCATTTGTTGGAAAGTCTAGACTATCCTTTCCATGTCGAATGGTCCTGGCGCTCTCATTGAAAATCTCGTTGAAAATCAATATATGCAAGGGTTTATTTCTTGGTCTATATGTCTATCCTTATGCCAGTACCACAATGTTTTGATTAGTGTAGCTTTGTAGTAAGCTTTGAAATCAGAAAGTATGAGTCTTCCAACTTTGTTCTTCTTTTTTATGATTGATTTGTCATTTAAGGGTCACTTAATATTACACGTGAACTTTAAGGACAGGGTTTTTTATTTCTGCAAAAAAAGACCATTGGAATTCTGATGGGGAATGCTTTGAATCTGCAAACCGTTTTGCATAATATTATCATGTTAACAATATTAAGTCTTTCAATTCATGAACACAGATATCTTTTCATTTACTTATGTCTCCTTTACTTTCTTTCTTACAGTTTTCAATGTATAAGTCTTTGCCTCCTTGGTTAAATTTATTCCTAAGTATTTTGTTCTTTTTTTTCTTTTTTATTTATTTATTATTATTATACTTTAAGTTTTAGGGTACATGTGCACAATGTGCAGGTTAGTTACATATGTATACATGTGCCATGCTGGTGCGCTGCACCCACTAACTCATCATCTAGCATTAGGTATATCTCCCAATGCTATCCCTCCCCCCTCCCCCCACCCCACAACAGTCCCCAGAGTGTGAAGTTCCCCTTCCTGTGTCCATGTGTTCTCATTGTTCAATTCCCATCTATGAGTGAGAACATGCGGTGTTTGGTTTTTTGTCCTTGCGATAGTTTACTGAGAATGATGATTTCCAATTTCATCCATGTCCCTACAAAGGACATGAACTCATCATTTTTTATGGCTGCATAGTGTTCCATGGCGTATATGTGCCACATTTTCTTAATCCAGTCTGTCATTGTTGGACATTTGGCTTGGTTCCAAGTCTTTGCTATTGTGAATAATGCTGCAATAAACATACGTGTGCATGTGTCTTTATAGCAGCATGATTTATAGTCCTTTGGGTATATACCCAGTAATGGGATCACTGGGTCAAATGGTATTTCTAGTTCTAGATCCCTGAGGAATCGCCACACTGACTTCCACAATGGTTGAACTAGTTTACAGTCCCACCAACAGTGTAAAAGTGTTCCTATTTCTCCACATCCTCTCCAGCACCTATTGTTTCCTGACTTTTTAATGATTGCCATTCTAACTGGTGTGAGATGGTATCTCATTGTGGTTTTGATTTGCATTTCTCTGATGGCCAGTGATGGTGAGCATTTTTTCATGTGTTTTTTAGCTGCATAAATATCTTCTTTTGCGAAGTGTCTGTTCATGTCCTTTGCCCATTTTTTGATGGGGTTGTTTGTTTTTTCCTTGTAAATTTGTTTGAGTTCTTTGTAGATTCTGGATATTAGCCCATTGTCAGATGAGTAGGTTGCGAAAGTTTTCTCCCATTTTGTAGGTTGCCTGTTCACTCTGATGGTAGTTTCTTTTGCTGTGCAGAAGCTCTTTAGTTTAATTAGTTCCGATTTGTCAATTTTGGCTTTGGTTGCCATTGCTTTTGGTGTTTTAGACATGAAGTCCTTGCCCATGCCTGTGTCCTGAATGGTAATGCCTAGGTTTTCTTCTAGGGCTTTTATGGTTTTAGGTCTAACGCTTAAGTCTTTAATCCATCTTGAATTAATTTTTGTATAAGGTGTAAGGAAGGGATCCAGTTTCAGCTTTCTACATATGGCTAGCCAGTTTTCCCAGCACCATTTATTAAATAGGGAATCCTTTCCCCATTGCTTGTTTTTCTCAGGTTTGTCAAAGATCAGATAGTTGTAGATATGCGGCGTTGTTTCTGAGGGCTCTGTTCTGTTCCATTGATCTATATCTCTGTTTTGGTACCAGTACCATGCTGTTTTGGTTACTGTAGCTTTGTAGTACAGTTTGAAGTCAGGTAGTGTGATGCCTCCAGCTTTGTTCTTTTGGCTCAGGATTGACTTGGCGATGCAGGCTCTTTTTTGGTTCCATATGAACTTTAAAGTAGTTTTTTCCAATTCTGTGAAGAAAGGCATTGGTAGCTTGATGGGGATGGCATTGAATCTGTAAATTACCTTGGGCAGTATGGCCATTTTCACGATATTGATTCTTCCTACCCATGAGCATGGAATGTTCTTCCATTTGTTTGTATCCTCTTTTATTTCCTTGAGCAGTGGTTTGTAGTTCTCCCTGAAGAGGTCCTTCATATCCCTTGTAAGTTGGATTCCTAGGTATTTTATTCTCTTTGAAGCAGTTGTGAATGGGAGTTCACTCATGATTTGGCTCTCCGTTTGTCTGTTGTTGGTGTATAAGAATGCTTGTGATTTTTGCACATTGATTTTGTATCCTGAGACTTTGCTGAAGTTGCTTATCAGCTTAAGGAGATTTTGGGCTGAGACAATGGGGTTTTCTAGATATACAATCATGTCGTCTGCAAACAGGGACAATTTGACTTCCTCTTTTCCTAATTGAATAGCCTTTATTTCCTTCTCCTGCCTAACTGCCCTGGCAAGAACTTCCAACACTATGTTGAATAGGAGTGGTGAGAGAGGGCATCCCTGTCTTGTACCAGTTTTCAAAGGGAATGCTTCCAGTTTTTGCCCATTCAGTATGATATTGGCTGTGGGTTTGTCATAGATAGCTCTTATTATTTTGAGATCCGTCCCATCAATACCTAATTTATTGAGAGATTTTAGCATGAAGGGCTGTTGAATTTTGTCAAAGGCCTTTTCTGCATCTATTGAGATAATCATGTGGTTTTTGTCTTTGGTTCTGTTTATATGCTGGATTACATTTACTGATTTGCGTATATTGAACCAGCCTTGCATCCCAGGGATGAAGCCCACTTGATCATGGTGGATAAGCTTTTTGATGTGCTGCTGGATTCGTTTTGCCAGTATTTTATTGAGGATTTTTGCATCAATGTTCATCAAGGATATTGGTCTAAAATTCTCTTTTTTTGTTGTGTCTCTGCCCGGCTTTGGTATCAGGATGATGCTGGCCTCATAAAATGAGTTAGGGAGGATTCCCTCTTTTTCTATTAATTGGAATAGTTTCAGAAGGAATGGTACCAGCTCCTCCTTGTACCTCTGGTATTACTAGATTTTTAAATTTTCTACCTTCTGATGGATGTATATTGGTATCTCAGTGTGGCTCTAACATGTACTTTCCTAATGGTAAATTATGTTGGACATATTTTGGTGTGTTTACTTGCCATCCATATATTTTCTTTGGTGGAGTATCTGTTCAATCTTTTTGCCAATTTTTAAATCAGGTTGTTTGTTTTCTTACATTGAGTTTTGAGAGTTCTTTATATATTCTGTGTACAAGTCCTCCAAAGGGGCCAGCCATGGTGGCTCACGCCTGTAGTCCCAGCACTTTGGGAGGCTGAGGTGGGAGGATCATCTGAGGGCAGGAGTTCGAGACCAGCCTGGCCAACATGGTGAAACCCTGTCTCTACTAAAAATACAAAAATTAGCTGGGCTTGGTAGCACGTGCCTGTAGTCCTAGCTACTCGGGAGGCAGAGGCAGGAGAATTGCTTGAACCCGGGAGGCAGAGGTTGCAGTGGGCCAAGATCATGCCACTGCACTCCAGCCTGGGTGACAGAGTAAGACTCTGTCTCAAAAAAAAAAAACAAAAACAAAACAAAAAAAACCCAAGTCCTCCAATGGATATATAGTTTGCAAATATTTTCTCCGTATCTGGAGCTTGTCTTTCCATTCTCTTCTGTCTTTTGCAGAGCAAACATTTAAAAATTTAATTAAGTCCAATTTATTGATTTTGTTTCCTTAATGGATTGTTATGTCTAAGAACTCTGCCTAACCTTAGTTCATTAGAATTTTCTCCTTTATTTCCTTCTAAAAGAATTATGGTTTTACATTTAGGTCTATGATCCATTTTAAGTTTATTTTTGTATGAGATGTGAGGTGAAGTCGAAGCTGACATTTTGCATATGGATGTCCAAATGTTTCAGTACCATTTATGGAAAATATAATCCTTTCTTCATTGAATTTTCTTTGCACCTCTGTAATAAATCAGTTGGACATATTTGTGTAGATTTTCTATTCTGTTCCATTGTCTCTTTGCCTATGCCATACAGTCTTGATTATTGTAGCTTTGGAGTAAATTTTAAAATCAGGAAGTTTATTTTCTCTAACATCATTCTTGTTTTTAAAACTTGTTTTTGTTATTCTACTTCCTTTGCCTTTCCATGTATAATTAGAGTCAGATGTTCTTTATCTACAAAAATATCCTGCTAAGACTTTTTTTTTTTTTTTTTTTTTTTTGAGACAGAGTCTCGCTCTGTCACCCAGGCTGGAGTGCAGTGGCGCCATCTCGGCTCACTGCAAGCTCCGCCCCCCAGGTTCATGCTGTTCTCCTGCCTCAGCTTCCTGAGTAGCTGGGACTACAGGCGCCCGCCACCACACCTGGCTAAATTTTTGTATCTTTTTTAGTAGAGACGGGGTTTCACCGTGTTAGCCAGGATGGTCTTGATCTCCTGACCTTGTGATCCGCCCGCCTCAGCCTCCCAAAGTGCTGGGATTACAGGCGTGAGCCACCACGCCTGGCCTAACACTTTTTTTTTTAGTTGGAATTGCATTAAATCTATACATACATTTGAGAATTGAGTCTTTACTATTCTGAATCTTCCAATTACTGAGCACAGTATATCTTTCCATTTACTCAGATTGGTTTTTGTTTTTTTTGTTTTGTTTTTTTCTTTTTTTTGAGATAGAGTCTTGCTCTGTCACCCAGGTTGGAGTGCAGTGGCACAATCTCGACTCACTGCAACCTCCCCTTCTCGGGTTCAAGTGATTGTCATGTCTTAGCCACCCAAGTAGCTGGGATTACAGGCACACGCCACCAGGCCTGGCTTACTTTTTTGTATTTTTAGTAGAGACAGGGATTCACCATGTTGGCCAGGCTGGTCTCGAACCCCCGACCTCAAGTGATCCGTCTGCCTCAGCCTCCCAAAGTGCTGGGAATACAGGCATGAGCCATCGCGCCTGGCTCATTTATTCAGATTTTCTTTGATTTTTTTCCCCTCATAATTTTGTAATTTTTACATAGATCTTATGTGTGTCCTATTAGATTTATATCTAAGTATTTCATTTTTGGAACTATTATAAATAGTATTTTTTAAATTTCAGCTTCCAATGACCCATTGGTGGTATATAGAAATATGATTGGCTGAGTTCAGTGGCTCGCACCTGTAATCCCAGGACTTTGTGGAGGCTGATGTGGGAGAATGGCTTGAGCCCAAGAGTTCAAGACCAGCCTGGGCAACAAAGTGAGACCCTGTCTCTACAAAAATGTTATTAAAAATTAACCATGCATAGTAGCTGTGCCTATAGTCCCAGCTAATCAGGAGGCTGAGACAGGAAGATCCCTTGAGCCCAAGAGTTTGAGATTGCTGAATTAACTTATTAATTATAGGAGGTTTTTATTTTCCTCAGATTTCTTGGGATTTTTTTTTTTTTTTGGTAGAGACAGGGTCTTACTATGTTGCCCAGGCTGGTCTTGAACTTCTGAGCTCAAGCCATCCTCCCACCTCAGCCTCCTAAAATGCTGGGATTATAGGCATGAGCCACTGTACCAGGCTTTAAGCCAGTCTTGTATTCTCTAGATAAACCCCATTTGGTCATGGTGTATTATTTCCTTGTATATATTGCTGCATTTCATCTGCTAATATTTTGTTGAGGATTTTCATGTCTGTGTTCCTAATGGGTGTTGATCTTTAGGTTTTTGTAGTGTCTTTGTGTGGTTTTGGTATTAAGGTCATGCCGGGCTCCTCAGGAAGTGTTCTCTCCTCTTCTAGTTTCTGGAACAGATCGTGTAGAATTAGTTTTGTTTATTCTTTAAATTTTTGGTATAATTCACCAGTGAAACCCTCTGGGTGAATTCAATTTCTTTAATACAGGATCATTATCTATTTGATCTCGGGTGAATTATGGTTATTTCCTAGGAGTTTTCTAGTTTTACCTTCACATTTGGATTATACCACCTTGAATTAACTTGTGTGTGCTGTGAGATAGGGGTCAAGACTCATTTTTCCCCATATGTTTATCTAATTGGTTGGCACCATTTATGTAAAATGACTATCATTTACTGACAATTCGGCAGTGCCATCTTTGCCATAAATCAAATATCCATATATGTACGGGTTTTTTATGGACTCTTAATTCTATTCTGTTGGTTTCCCTGTCTATCTTTGAACAATACAAACTCCCTTAGTTGCTGTAGCTTTATAAGACTCAATATCAAGGAAAGTAAGTCCTGCTTTGTTTACCTTCCTCTAGGTTTTTTTTGTTTTTTTTCTTTGACTTTTCTACTCCCATAAAAATTTTAGAAACAATTTTTTAATTTCTACCAAAAAAGGAAAAAAATATTGTTCTCAGCAGGAAGGGTGATCAAAATTACTTTATTCAACATTACTGGAGGTGAAACTACATTTATTCTATTTTTAAAATTTGATGGAACACTTTGGTAGGCAAGATAGCATGAAAAACACCTCTTATTATAAATATGATACATTTTTAAGTCTAAAACTCAGCTGACAAGAAGGGAAGGGAAAAGAAATCTCTGGGGCCAAAAATATTGAGAAACAGCAACCCCCCAAATTAATAAGAATTACAAACAATAGAATCAAATATGGAAGTAGGCAGTTTTTGGAAACACTGGATTTTGAATATAAAATAAGTAGTTTTACTATATTTAAAGAAATAAATGAGAAATTGAAAGTTGGATTAAGTAATGAGATACTATTAAAAATGGCCAAGTAGATTGTAAAAGACCATTTACAACTTGTAGAAATAAAAACAAGAATGAAATTAGAAACTCAATGGATGAGATAAACAGACTAAGCACAAAGAGTGATTTAGTGAGCTGGAAGATAATTTATGAATAAGTTACTAATAAATCAGAACGAGGAGTTAAAAACATGGAGAATATGAAAGAAATTTGGGACATGGAAGATAGAATAAGAAGGTCAAATATTTGTATAGTCAGAGTTGCTGAAGAAGATTATAGAACCATAGGAGAGAGGCAATATGTCAAGGGATAATGCTAGAGTTGCTCACAGTTCATGAAAGGTACCATTCCTCCACAAGCCCAAAGACTTACAAGCAGGTTAGTATAATAAAATGTTAGTGGAGTATACATGGTGGGTATATTTTCTTTAATTTGGCTGATTGCTGGAAAAATTTTATAATAATAAGTTTAGAAAAACCCTACAAAAGTGAAAGAATAAAGGCAAAAGCAGAAACTAACAAAATAACAAAATCAGAGAGGATCAATACAGCTGTAATTGGCTCTTTAAAAAGACTAAAATTTAACAAAACTAATACAAAAGATATGAATACAAATAAGTAATATTAAGAATGAAGAACAGATAATAATTACAAATACATGAGAGATTAACTACCTAAGAGAATTTTGTGAACAACTCTGTACCAATAAATTTGAAAACTTTTGTGATAGGCAAATTCTCTGGATTAAAAAAAAATCAGAAATTGACTCAAGTAGAATTAGAAAACCTGAATGTTTATGTACCTATTAAAGACACTGAATCAGTAGGAAAATTTGTACTACAAAGGATCATAAGGCCCAAAAAACTTTACAGATAGTTTCGACCAAAAAGAAGAGATAAGTGCAATCTTATATAAACACCTACCAGGAATGGGAGAAGAGAATATTACCCACCTTACTTTATGAGGCTAAAATAATTTGATAAAACAAATAGCAATTACATAAGTAGAAAGCTGTAGGCCAATGTTACTGGTGGATGCGGATTTTAAAATCCCAAAGAAGAATATGTCTAACCAAATACTCGTACACAAATGTTCATAGAAGCATTTTTTCATAATAGCCAGAAAGGGAAAACAACTCAAATGATCATCGACTGATGAATGTGTGAATAAAATGTAGTATAATATATAATAAAATGTAGTATAATATTCCATTGTATTATGCAGCCACAAAAAGAAATAAAGTGCTGACACATGAACCTCAAATGGAAGATTGACCGCAAGCTTCCAATTTCTCTCCATCCCCAAACACCCTCTAAAATAACAGTAAAGAAATCTGTTAAAGGCATAAACCCACAAAGATATGAAGAATTGGAGAAGAAAATAGCAGTAACATATTGGAAACTAGAATGCAGGTAGATATGTAGTAAATGACTTACAAGACCCCTCCCCCCCACAAAAAAATTAAATCTTAAATGTGGTGGAAGGAAGGCAAGAAGCAACTTGACTTATACTGCAGACTACCCAAAGAGTTCAGGAATTGTCCACAGTAGGTAGTTCTGAAGTAGGGTTGAAGGGAAAGTAAAAGAAGCAGTAATGGTCAAAGGCATCAGGTAAATTCCAAGATCCCTTCCCTCACTCCATGGAGGTGAAACACTGTGACTTTCCATCCCCCATCTCATAGAAAAGTTGAAGTTCAGTCTCTCTGGAGAGAGTAAAACAAAAGGTCTCTGCACTGGGGGATACTAGACATATTTGACCACGAATACTATACTAACGACAAGGTGATTAAGTAAATAGGCATAATGGATATGAGAACCATTCTCAAGCCCTTTTCCAGAATGTTGACAACCAGACCATTACAATTGAGTTTGGAGATTAGAAAATATTTCTCTGGGCTATTTGAGCAGCCCAAGTGGCAAAACGTAGTTCCTAATATTGGGGGTTACTCAAGATAACCACCCAATGGGATCACCCTGCAGAAAACTCCAGAGCTGACAAACACCATCCATGTACACAAAGCTCCACGTTAGCTTTTTGGTCTTTCGCTCGTAAGTATAAGCAACAGTCAGTGATTTCATGTGACATTTCAGGAGAACTCTAGCATGAAAGATTGAAATCAAAACAGATTGGAGGAAATAAGAACTATGCCAGAAGGAAAAGTCTTTTTATTTATTTATTATTTTATTTTTTTGTGAGGCGGAGTCTCACTCTTTCACCCAGGCTGGAGTGCAGTGGTGCAATCTCAGCTCACTGCAACCTCTGCCTCCCGGGTTCAAGCAATTCTCCTGCCTCAGCCTCCGAAGTAGCTGGGACTACAGGCATGCGCCACCATGCCTGGCAGATTTTTGTATTTTTAGTAGAGACAGAGTTTCACCATGTTGGCCAGGCTGGTCTTGAACTCCTGACCCCAAGTGATCCGCTCGCCTCGGCCTCCCAAAGTGCTGGGATTAAAGGTGTGAGCCACTGCGCCCAGCTAGGAAAAGCCTTTTTAAAACTCTATTATTACCAATATTCTCAGAGAGATGAGCTATTACAACCATAAACCAGGAATATCTATTAAGTCAACCAAGCACATTAACAGATTAAAGGAGAAAAATGATATATTATCTTACTAGATGCAGAAAAAGCATTTGATAGAACTCAACATCTATTCATGAAAAAATCTATTAGTAAACAAGGAATAGAGGAATTTTCTCTAACCTCATAACAAATGAAAAATGAATCTTATAGAACCTGTAGTAGATATCATACTCAGTGGTTAAAAGCTAAAAACATCTCCTAAAGAAACAAAATGAATAAGAATTGGAAAGGAAGGAAGAAGACAAAGAGTGATTATTCTTAGATGAAGCGATAACTCAAAATAATCTGCTTATATGAATGATAACTCGAAATAATCTACTTAGAAATAATTAGAATTACTAAGTTAGTAAAATAAATAATTACAATTAATAAAAGATATCAAGATTGATGGATATAAAATCAATATACACAATCCAGTTCACTGTCTAGATAATGGTAACAAACAGAAAAAAGAATTTAAACAAAACTTACCATTTACAGTAACAACAAACTCTAGGCATTTAGCGATAAACCTAACAAAAAATATTGTGGAGAAAATTATTAAAACTTATTGAAAGACATTAAGGAGAATGAAATAAGTGGAAAAGTAGACCATGTTCCTGAATAGGAAGACTCAAATATTAAAGACATTATCTAACCAATTCCCTAACAGAGATTTTTGAGGAACTTTGAAGCTGATTCTAAAAGGGTCAAGATCACGCAAGACATTCTGGGGGAAACCAGGTTATCCATGTTGAGTAAAAACAACAACAAAAATGGAATGAATTTTATTTCTATTGCACCACCATATACAATATTAAAATCCATTCAAGTGAGATTATTGCTTAAACGTGAAGCAAATTATTGCAAAACATTATAATTTCAGGAAAAATATAGAGAAATAAATTATGACCTCAGCATAGGGAAGGATTCCTTAAACATAATGTAAGCCATACAGGAAAAGATCGACATTACATTAAAAGTATTTCTTAGTCAAAAGAAATACCATAAAAAGAAATGAAAAGACAAGAAGCTAGACTGTGATGAGCTATCTGCAACATACATGATAGCAAATGATTACTCTCCAGGGCAGAGGAAAAAGTACTAAGGGTAAGTAAGAAAAATATACAAATAATTCAATACAAAAATTAACCAGAAACAAGGCAAAAAAAAAAACCCAAAAAACAAAACAAACCCAAACAGGCAATTCACAGAGGAGAAATAAACAAATGACCTTTCAACATATGAACAGGTGCTCATACTAATTAATAATCAGGGGAATGGAAAATCAAACCACAGTAAGATACCATTTTACCTGTCTCAGGTAGGAAAAATGTTAAAAACTCTGACAATACCAAGTGTTGGCCAGGATGGGAAGCAATAGAAATTCTTATACACTCCTGGTACACGTGTAGATTGGTTCACTCTGGAAAATAGTTTGGTGATATTTAGTAAAGTTGAAGATACTCATATCCTATAACCCAGTGATTCTATTCCCAAGTAAATGCCCTAGAATTTCTCCCACAGGTGCATGAATGCCCATGGCAGCATTGCTTACAATAGCCCCCAAACTGGGAGCAACTCAAATATCCTTTGATGGCAGAATGATTAAATAAGTCATGCAATGGAATATCTGACCCACTGCAAATGAGTGAAATAGGGCTAATGCTTCGACACAAGTGAATGTGGAGTACCTAATATTGAACACAAAACTGAAGCCGCCCAAAATGCATACAATGTGATTCTGTTGATATGACATTCAAAAACAGGCAAAATGAAATAGTCTGTTATTTAAGGATACTTGCATACTCATAAAACTATATTTAAAAGTAAAAGGAGTGGTAAGCACAAAATTCAAGATAGTGCTTTACCTCTTGGGAGGAGAAGGAAAGATGGTACAGGGGAAACAGCTTCAAAGATATGGATTGGTAGCATTGCACTTCTGAAGCTGGGCCCTGATTTTCATCTGTGTTATAACTGTTTGTATTGTGCAAACTATATTTAAGTGCATTTGGGATGCCTTCACGAGAACTTTAATAAGTATAGTTGATCTTGTTAGGGTTTAATCTCTGAAGTATCACAGGCCTGTCAGATTCGTGAAGCAAATTCCTTTTTGAGTGAATTTTGGCAAACTGTTCCCATGGTGAATAATGGTATGGTTTCATTGCGAAGGCCAAATTGGCTATATTCTGTTTGAAATTACAGTTCTCACTCAGATATGCAGGCTGATTGACTCAGGTCTCATCAGACTATTCTGTTACGATCTGATGGCAGCTGCTTGGGTGAAGCCACAACTTGCCCTCCTTCCCTTGAGCAACCAAGATAGACATCATTAACCTGACTCCTGTGATGTTGGTTCCTAGGAGGAGCACCGAACAGCCAGTTCCCTGAGCAGTGGTGCCCTTACGTGGACAAAGAAATTCAGCCTAGATTATTTGGCCCTGGACTTCAATTCAGCATCACCAGCCCCCATGCAGCAGGTAGGAAGGGCTTTGTGTCTAAGAATTCCCAGGTGATTCCATCTCTGCCTAGACTTTTCTGATTATCAAACCATGCATATTCTCCTTAGAAAGTGTTAAAAATGCAGACATGTATAATGAAGAATATTAAAATCGGCCCTCATCCTGCCTCCCAGAGAGAATGAAATCTTGGTGTATTTCCTTCTAGGGTGTGTTCTTTGTGTGTGTATGTATAAATAGATGTGATATTCACACTTCAAAATTTGGACCAAAAAGTTTATAGAAAAATATCTCAGGCAGAAATGAGGGTCGGGTAGAGGACCCTCCAGGTGTAGGAACATCCTGTTTAGGGAACAAGTAATAGTCTAGTTTGGTTAGACTTGAGGGAGCAGTGGAAAGAACTGTAAGTTGGAAGTAAGGGGCCTTGAATGCTGAGTTGGGCAGCTACCCCTTTGGGTAGAATTCTCATCTGAAAAATGGGAATCAGAAATGACAACACTTATGTCAAGGGCTGTTGTGAGGATTAATTGAGTTAATACATGTAAGTTATCATATCTGTGAACTAGTATCACCCACTGTACAGCGTAAGGAATGAGTGCATGGGAAACAACTGAGGACTTTCCTCCTCTTTTGCTGAGGTAACTCCTACTTGTTTTCTACTTTTAATATCGTTCCAAAAACCTGATATGAGACTGGAGAAAAGCTGGTAAGAAGGGTGGGAGCAATAAGTATAAAAGGAGCATTAGTCAGTTTTGGTAGACAAACAACCCCCAAATCTCATCTGCTTTCAACACAAAGGCTCTTTTATTGCAGGCCAGAGCCTTTGTGTTCCAGGTCATCTCCAGTCCAGGGCCGAGGCAAGAGAAGCAGCCCCCATCTGAAGTGTGCTGGCCTCCTGGCAGAGGAAAAAGAGAGATTGCAGAATCACAGAATACCTCTTTCTCCTTAGGATTGGAACATGTCACTTCCTTTTTGTTATTATTGTTTTGTTTTCTTGAGTCAAGATCTCACTCTGTCACTCAGGCTGGAGTGCAGTGGCATGGTCATAGCTCACTGCAGCCTCGATCTCCTGGGCTAAAGTTATCCTCCCATCTCAGCCTCCCAAGTAGCTGGTACTACAGTTGCACATCATCACCCACGGCTGTTTTTTATTTTTTAATAAAAAATGATCTTGATCTCCTGGGCTCAAGTGATCCTCCTGCCTTGGCCTCTGTATTAGTCCATTCTCACACTGCTATGAAGAAATACCTGAGACTGGGTAATTTATAAAGGAAAGAGGTTTAATTGACTCACAATTCAGCGTGGCTGGGGAAGCCTCAAGAAACTTACAATCATGGTGGAAGGGGAAGGAAACACATCCTTTTTCACATGGTGGCAGGAAAGAGAAGTGCAGAATGAAATGGGGAAAGCCCCTTATAAAACTATCAGATCTCTTGAGAACTTACTATCATGAGAACAGCATGAGGGTAACTATCCCCTTGATTCAATTACCTCCCACCAGGTCCTTCCCAGGGCACATGGGGATTATGGGAACTACAATTCAAGATGAGATTTGAGTGGGGGCACAGCCAAACCACATCCCAGCCTCTCAAAGTGCTGGGATTACAGGCACGTGCCGCCATGCCAGGCCATGTCACTTCCACTTACATTATATTGATCAAAGCAAGTCAAGTGGCTAGAGCAAAGTTGAGGGAAGCAGAAGCACGTGCGTGCACACACACAAGCACACATACAAAGTACAAAGTTTCCACACAGAGGAAAGGGCAACAAATATTTAACAATTTAATACAAAAGGGTAAACATTTTCCTGACATTTTAAGTTAGATGTAATGAAAACCTTTTTGTTCTCCTCCTTCAGAAACTTCTCCTTTCAGAAGAACAAAGAGTAGACTATGTCCAAGTGGATGAGCAGAAGACACAGGCTCTCCAGAGCACAAAACAGGAGTGGACGGATGAAAGGCAATCCAAAGTATGAGAGGTGCGGGCTTGTGCCATGTGTGAAACAGGGAAGCTTGGGGCTCAGTTTGAGTTTTTTCTTTTTTTTTTTTTTTTGTCCACTAAAAACACACTGATGGTCAACACAGGTCAAAACCAAGAGAGAATGTGTAGTTTTCAAGGTCTTGGCCAGAACCTTTAGGAAAGAAGACCTGTTTATACATTGAAGGAAGAAAAGAAGGAAGCAGTTGCCTTCCGGAGGGGGCTCTGAGAGAATCTAGCCTCCCCTCTGTCCTATTGGAGCAAAGATTGGAGTGAGTGTTGCCACCAACAGGATTTTATCGTTTGACTCCAATACCTGAAATTCTGACTTCTCTCCTGTGCTTCAATGAGAATGATAAATTATCCTAGCAAAGGGGCCTCTGGAGACCATCTTGTTCCAGCCTCTGAAGACAGTTGAGGAGATCAAGCCCAGCAATGGTGGCAGAATCTTACTCCACAGACTTCAGCAGACTAGTCATTTCAATACCCAAAGAAAGACAAGTGACAGGGGCAATGGATCTCAGGCTCTGAGATAAGTATATCAGATGACACTGGTGGCTCTAAGGATATTGCAATTAAGCAGCTACCTGTAGCCAGGTATTCTGCTGCTCTTGGCCTTTTCCCACGCATCGTCTCGTGTCTTCTCCGAAAGACCTTGGAAGATAGGCCTGGAAGAGACTGTTGATGCCACTTTGAAGAAAAGAACACTGAGAACTAGAGGAGGGAACACTTTGCCCAAGATTACTCACAAAGCCAAGACCCAGAGTCCAGCTTAGAGAATAGAGTTGTTCAGGCTGCCAATTGCAAGCTCATTCCTCTACCTCATACTTCCTCTGAGGATTTTGACAAAATGGATTAATTGGGTGAGCCTTGGAGACATGTGGGAAACACCTGCAGACACAAAATGAGTAGTCATCCTGTCTCCCTTTCAATAGGGATCTGAACAGGTGTTTTGATACTTGAAAGATGTGCATGTCAAGTGAGGGTTTCTTTCTGCGATGTTCAACTGGAACTCTCCCATCAGTAGTTACAATTAGAAATACCTACTGATGGTTAGTCTGAAGGCCATTCTCATGGTCACCTATACAGTGTGTTTCCCTGTGAGCTAGCAGACACAATGACCAGGAAAAAACCTATGAATTCCATTCTTAGGTTTCCCAGCCAATTGCTCCCTTCTGCTTTAGAAGTGACTAGGTACTGAGAGTACAAACACTCCCACTTTATAATGAAGGCGTCATGTCACCCCTTCCTTTACAGGTCCTGGGGTCCAGGAGACCCAGAATGAAGGTGTCAGTTGGGCATGAAGTGTTATTTAGTGTCCATTCTTGATCCTTCTGAGCACCTACAGCTGGAAACTAAGCAGATACTGGTCCTGCATTCTGACTGAGATTGTGTCTTCTTTATGAGGATAGATCAAATTGGCAGTCAGGCCCATGATAGTCAGTGCAGTTGGGGCAGTTGTAGACTTTGCTACAGGATTTCAGGGTTTCCAATCACCCCACAGGTAAGTGAATGCCAAAGTCTTCTTTTTTCAGACCATACAAGAAGTCATTTTGATTTTCAAAGAAGCCGTTTTGATTTTCAAAGAAGCAGGTTCTGGTGACATTATTTTCTTCCTTGGACAAAGTGGGGGGAAATTTCTAAGTATTTTAACTGAGTTCAGGGTCCTTAGTGAGCCTGGACAGAGCAAGGAGAGGGCTCCCCACTCCCTAAGCCCCACAGCCAGCTCTGCATCACCACACACAGCCAGAGCCTGTGAGGAGCTGCCTTCTTCCCCATGTGACTTGCAAAGAGTCTCAGGCAAGAAACCAGGGCTTCAAACTGCTAGTTCCCATGGAGGGTAGTTCCCTCGTGTGGAGCACTTGTGTTAGGATCACTGATTATCTGACAAAGGCTGGTGCAGAAAAAAAATTGTAGGCCCAAGTGTCAAGAACCACACCAGATTGGAGATAGAAAAGAATAGCTGAAATTATGTCAGTAGTGAAATGTCACTCCATTGACCCACCGAAAAAAGAAAAGAAATCTGTTTCTACCAAACATTTCCAGAAACGTATTTATAGCATGAAGAAACACACATGGGTAGTGTGACCTGTTTGGATGTGATTACTTAAAAATGGAATGCTCTGAATAGGCACTCTCTACATTAAAGGTATGGAAGGCGATAGGGGTCAGAATTTTAAAAATTTAATTTTGAAAAAGGTGACTCACCCCTCATTTCCAGAGTGTAGGCAATTATGTCCTGCTTTGATAAAACTGCTAGAGGATGGCTATGCAAAAGCATAACGATTCAAGGAAACAAAGTACAGGTAGTTTTTGAGCTGACAGCAGCAAAGGCACCATAAGTCAAAATATTGGTTTTGGTGGAGATGATCGATGTGTGTGTGTGAGAGAGAGCTATGTTTCTAACCAAGGGCCTAATGTTTGTTACAGAAATGATCCCAGAGACCTACAAGATGTGGGAATCAGCATAACAGGGCAATGCAGCAATTAACCCCACATCGTTTTCTGTAGTTCCTTTTTGTTTCATTTTCTTCTGTCTCACCTCGTTAGAAAATTCCTCCCAGTCAGGGGTCGTCCAGTGCAGGACGGGGGACCCAAGGGTCTCAAGCCTGCAAGTCCAGAAGGTGACAAACCCAGGAGCACTGGGAGTTAAGCTTTCCTTGGGGAGGGAAGAGCCTTGATGTCCAGCACACAGCCTGGCTATAAAGACACGAAGCGACCTACCCACTGTACAGTCCACTTCACAGGATCAGCTGAATCATGACCTTTAAAAGTTCCGAGTTGAAACTGAAGGCTCTCCTCAGACCTGGCTTTTTCCTCAGTCCCTGTTCATACCATCTCTGCACCCACAATCACACTGATTTTTCAAATTCATTTTGTTTTTGCTGTTTCATTTCTGGCATTAATAAAAGTCTTATAAGGAGAAATCGTGACTTAAGTTCTTTTTTATTTAACTGATGACATCCAATATAAATAAGGAACATGTTTTGAAAGCGGAATATTTGAAAATGGACTTCATAACCACTTTTACGTTGAAGTACAACAAACTTAACCTGATTCACGTGCATGTTATTTCACTGCAAACATTTGAGCAGGTGTCTGTAATCAGTACTGCTTCGGCTCAGCCAAACCATATCTTGTCATTTTCTTAATTTCTTCGTTGGAAACTCGCTTTGATAATTGACACTAAAATCAACTGCTCTCCCTGACACCATGTATAACATGACCTTCGTGATTACTTGCATGAGAAGGTAACTGCCCTACGCCTGCCTGCCCCAGCAGGCATCTCTTTTGCCACCACCTCCCTTTTCTCCATAGCTGAGTCTCCCAGATGCCCTGGGTGCTGGGTCAGTGGCATCTCGAGGCCGTGAAACAAGGAAAGGACAAAGAAAGTAGGGAGGGGGCGGGCTCAGGTTTGGGGGAAACAGGCCAAAGGCATAGAGAGAACAGGCCTGGGGGATCCTGGGACCTAGAGAAAGGACAAAAAGCCACATTAAATCCCTCACCCCTGGTGAAGTATGAGGCCAATCAAGAACACTTTTTCCCTACACACACACTCTAGACCAAATCTCTGACCCACAAAACAGCAGGTTGGCCCATAAGGCCAACTGAGAGACTCCTTAACCGGGTCCCCACCAGCCACATCAGGATGCCTTTCTCATCACCCATGGAATACACAGAATAAAATGGGATGGAGGACATTTATTAATGATAAAGGGTTCAATTCATGAAGAAGACACAATAAATATGTGTGCACTGAATATAACAGAGCTTCAAAATACATGAAGTTAAACTCATAGAAAAAAAGGAATACATAAACCCACAGAGGTGAATATTTTCACACTCCTTTTTTAGTAACTGATAGAACAATATTTTAGAAAATCAGATATAGAAAAGCAAACTAGACTGTGCACAGTAGCTCATGCCTGTAATCCCAGTGCTTTGGGAGGCTGAGGTGGAAGAATTGCTTCAGGCCAGGAGTTTGAGACCAGCCTGGGAAACATAGTGAGACCCTGTCTCTACAAAAATAAAAATACAACAAATTAGCCTGGCATGGTGGCACACACCTGTAATCCTAGCTACTTGGGAGGATGAGGCAGGAGGATAACTTGAGCCCAGGAGTTTGAGAATGCAGTGAGCTATGATCATGCCACTGCACTCTAGCCTGGGTATTAGAATAAGCCCCTGTCTTTAAAAAAATGAAAAGAAAACAAGAAATAAGAATAAATTATAGTCTAAATATAGGAATGATCTCAGCCATGTAGAAGAATAGGAGTTCTCCAGCTTTACTCTCCCAAACAGAAATCCAACCAGTAACTATCAAAAGGCAAGACCACCATTGTGAGCACCACAGAACTCAGAAGTGAATGTGAGACACCCCTTTGAACTACAGAATCTAGAAAGCCCACAATCAGATGGTAAGAGGAACAATTCTTTCTAACCTTGCTGCCCTTCCTCCAGGCTGGCACAGTACCGCACACAGAATTTTTCTGAGCTCATAGTTTCTACTGTGGGAGCAGTGAGTTGGAGGCTGACATTTGTCTTCCCCACCATTCTGAACCCCTTTCAGGAGGCTCAGTCTTGTCACATACTTCAGGGAACATTGGGAGTGCCAGCAGGGCTGGACACCTGGGGTAAGTTGGAGATGGAGGATTGGGGTGGAGCTTACAGTGACAAGGGAACAGATTTTGGTGGTTACTCTGCATTCTAGCCAATGGAGGCACCATGCTGGAGAAACTAGCCAACGGCATCACACTTTAGGAAATATAATACAGATTCCAAACAATAGTACCACATGGCCTGGGAAGACAACTGCAACCCTGCCTAATCAGAGTTGATTGCAGAGCCCAGCCAGCAGCCCCACCTGACAGTGGACTCCAGCCAGTGGTCTCATTGGACCATGGTGCAGAGGCAGCACTACCATTCAACCTCAGAGCGCAGGAAGCAACTCAAGAACATGACACCAAAGACTGCTTGTATATGGTTGCAACCAGCTGGCTCATTCAGAATCTCAGGTTAGACTAAATAGTAAAGGTCTATTATCACCAAAGAATACCTGCAAAGAATGAAAGACGTGGCTAGGTCCTCAAATGCACAGGCATCAATGTAAAAACACAAAGATTATGAAAAAATCTGAAAAATACAACACACGAGAAGAAACTAATAAAGCTTCAGTAATGGACCCATTAGAGAAGGAGATCTATGAAATAACTGACAAATAATTCAGAATAACCCTCTTAAAGAAGTTCAGAGAACTATAAAAATACAAATAGATAATCAAATAAAATAAAAAACAATTCATGAACAAAATGAGAAATTTGACAAAGAAATGGAAACAATCATCAACAACAACAACAACAAATCAAATAGAAATCCTAAAGATGAAGAATACAATCACTTGTGGAGCTTGGTGGCTCACGTCTGTAATCCCAGCACTTTGAGATGCCAAAACAGGTGGATCAATTGAGCTCAACAGTTTGAAATCAGCCTGAGCTACATGGTGAAACCCTGTCTCTACAAAAATTGCAAAAAATAGGCTGGTGTGGTGTCTCAAGACTGTGGTCCCAGCTACTTGGGAGGCTGAGGTGGGAGAATTGCTTGAGCCTAGGAGGTTGCAGTGACCAAGATTCCACTACTGCACTGCAGCCTGGTTGATAGAGAGATACTCTGTCTCAAAAAAAATTGTAGAATACAACAATTGAACCCTAAAACATCAATAGAATGCCTCAACATCAGAATAGACCAAGAAGAAGAAGATGAAGAAGAAGAAGAAGAAAGAAGAAGAAGAAGAAGAAGAAGAAGAAGAAGAAGAAGAAGAAGAAGAAGAAGAAGAAGAAGAAGAAGGGGAGGAAGAAGAAGAAGAAGAAGAAGAAGAAGAAGAAGAAGAAGAAGAAGAAGAAGAAGAAGAAGAAGAAGAAGAAGAAGAAGAAGAAAGAAGAAGAAGGGAGCTCAATGACAGGACATTTGAAATTATCCAATCAAAGGAGCAAAAAAAAGGATCATAAAAAGGAATGAAAAAAGCTTAAGGGATTTATGAGATAGCATCAAAAGGGCAAGTGTTTGGGTCATCAGAGTTCAAGCAGGACTGAGAAAAACAACTAGGTAGAAAGCTTATTTAAAGAAATAATAGCAGAAAATTTCCAAAACGGGAGAAAAATATAAATATTCAGGTACTGGAAGGTCAAAGGACACCACTCAGATTGAATCAAATAAGACTACCCCATGACATATTAGAATTAAATTGCCAAATAACAAAAACAAAAAGAGAATTCTGAAAGCAACAAGAGGAAGGAAGCAAATAACACATAAGGGAGTTCCAATATGTCTGGTAACTGACTTTTCAGTAGAAACCTTATGGGCCAAGAGGGAGTGAGATAGTATATTCAAAGTGCTGAAGGAAGAAAAGAACTACCTACTAAGAACACTATACCCAGAAAATCAAGACAATAGAGACTTTCTCAGAAAAACAAAAGCAGAGACGATTCATAATCAATAGACCTATCTTATAGGAAATGCTAACGGGAGTTCTTCAAGCTGAAAGAAAAGGATGCTAATGAATATAACATCTGAACTTATAAAACTCACTGATAAAAGTGAGTACACAGTTCAATTTACAATATTACAGTAATGATGGTGTATACTTTGCTTACATCTTTAGCATGAAGGTTAAAAGACAAAACTATTAAGAATAATGACAATGGGGCTCCATTCCAAGATGGCCTAACAGGAAGAGCTCCGGTCTGCAGCTCCCAGTGTGATCGATGCAGAAGAAGGGTGATTTCAGAATTTCCAACTGAGGCACCTCATTCATCTCATTGGGACTGGTTGGACAGTGGGTGCAGTCCACGGAGGGTGAGCCAAAGCAGGGCAGGGCATCACCTTACCCGGGAAGTGCAATGGGCCAGGGGATTTCCCTTTCCCAGACAAGGGAAGCCATGACAGACTGGACCTGGAAAAACGGGACACTACTGCCCAAATACTGCACTTTCCCCATGGTCTTAGCAACCAGCAGACCAGGAGATTCTCTCCCATGCCTGGCTTGGTGGGTCCCATGCCCACAGAGCCTTGCTCACTGCTAGCGCAGCAGTCTGAGATCAACCTGCGAGGCAGCAACCTGGTGGGGGGAGGGGCATCCGCCATTGCTGAGGCTTGAGTAGGTAAACAAAGCGGCCAGGAAGTTCGAACTGGGCGGAGCCCACCACAGCTCAGCAAGTCCTACTGCCTCTGTAGACTCCACCTCTGTGGGCAGGGCATAGCTGAACAAAAGGCAGCAGAAACTTCTGCAGACTTAAAACGTCCCTGTCTGACAGCTCTGAAGAGAGCAGTGGTTCTCCCAGCACAGCATTTGAGCTCTGAGAACTGACAGACTACCTCCTCAAGTGGGTCCCTGAACCCTGTGTAGCCTAACTGGGAGACACCTCCCAGTAGGGACTGACAGACACCTCATACAGATGGGTGCCCCTCTGAGACAAAGCTTCCAGAGGAAGGACCAGGCAGCAATATTTGCTGTTCTGCAGCCTCCGCTGGTGATACCCAGGCAAACAGGGTATGGAGTGGACCTCCAGCAAACTCCAATAGACCAGCAGCTGAGGGACTTGACTGTTAGAAGGAAAACTAACAAACAGAAAGGAATTGGATCAACATCAACAAAAAGAACATCTACACCAAAACCCCATCTGTAGGTCACCAACATCAAAGACCAAAGGCAAATAAAACCACAAAGATGGGGAGAAACCAGAGCAGAAAAGCTAAAAATTCTAAAAACGAGAGTGCCTCTTCTCCTCCAAAGGATTGCAGCTCCTCGCCAGCAATGGAACAAAGCTGGATGGAGAATGACTTTGACGAGTTGACAGAAGTAGGCTTCAGAAGGTCAGTAATAACAAACTTCTCTGAGCTAAAGGAGCATATTCTAACCCATTGCAAGGAAGCTAAAAACCTTGAAAGAAAGGTTAGATGAATGACTAACTAGAATAAACAGTGTAGAGAAGACCTTAAATGACCTGATGGAGCTGAAAACCATGGCACGAGAACTTCGTGATGCATGCACAAGTTTCAATAGATGATTCCATCAAGTGGAAGAAAGGATATCAGTGATTGAAGATCAAATTAATGAAATAAAGCAAGAAGACAAGTTTAGAGAAAAAAGAGTAAAAAGAAAAGAACAAAACCTCCAAGAAATAATATGGGACTATGTGAAAAGACCAAGTCTAGGCTTGATTGGTGTACCAGAAAGTGACAGGGAGAATGGAACCAAGTTGGAAAACACTCTTCAGGATATTATCCAGGAGAATGTCCCCCCCAACCTAGCAAGGCAGGCCAACATTCAAATTCAGGAAATACAGAGAACACCACAAAGATACTCTTCGAGAAAAGCAAGCCCAAGACACAAATTGTCAGATTCACCAAGGTTGAAATGAAGGAAAAAATGTTAAGGGCAGCCAGAGAGAAAGGTCAGGTTACCCACAAAAGGAAGCTCATCAGACTAACAGCAGATCTCTCAGCAGAAACCTTACAAGCCAGAAGAGAGGGGGCCAATATTCAACATTCTTAAAGAAAAGAATTTTCAACCCAGAATATCATATCCAGCCAAACTAAGCTTCATAAGTGGAGAAATAAAATCCTTTACAGACAAGCAAAAAACATGCCAAATTGTAAAGACCATAGATGCTATGAAGAAACTGAATCAATTAACGGGCAAAATAACCAGCTAACATCATAATAACAGGATCAAATTCACACATAACAATATTAACCTTAAATGTAAATGGGCTAAATGACCCAATTAAAAGACACAGACTGGCACATTGGATAAAGAGTCAAGACCCATCAGTGTGCTGTATTCAGGAACCCATCTCACGTGCAGAGACACACATAGACACAAAATAAAGGGATGGAGGAAATTCTACCAAGCAAATGGAAAGCAAAAAAAAGCAGGGGTTGCAATCCTAGTCTCTGATAAAACATACTTTAAACCAACAAAGATCAAAAGAGACAAAGAAGGCCATTAGATAATGGTAAAGAGATCAATTTAACAAAAAGAGCTAACTATCCTAAATATATATGCACCCAATACAGGAACACCCAGATTCATGAAACAAGTCCTTAGAGACCTACAAAGAGACTTAGACTCCCACACAATAATAATGGGAGACTTTAACACCCCACTGTCAATATTAGACAGATAAGAAAGAAGGTTAACAAGGATATCCAGGACTTGAACTCAGCTTTGCACAAAGAGGACCTAATACACATCTACATAACTCTCCACTCCAAATCAACAGAATATACATTCTTCTCAGCACCACATCGCACTTATTCTAAAATTGACCACATAATTGGAAGTAAAGCACTCCTCAGCAAATGTAAAAGAACAGAAATCATAACAAACTGTCTCTCAGACCACAGTGCAATCAAACTAGAACTCAGGATTGAGAAACTCATTAAAAATCACAAAACTAAATGGAAACTGAACAAACTGCTTCTGAATGACTACTGGGTAAATAACAAAATGAAGGCAGAAATAAAGATGTTCTTTGAAACCAATGAGAAGAAAGACACAATGTACCAGAATCTCTGGGACACATTTAAAACAGTGTGTAGAGGGAAATTTATAGCACTAAATACCCCCAGGGGAAAGCAGGAAAGATCTCAAATCAACACCCTAACATCAAAATTAAAAGAACTAGAGAAGCAAGAGAAAACACATTCAAAAGCTAGCAGAAGGCAATAAATAACTAAGATCAGAGCAGAAGTGAAGGAGATAGAGACGCAAAAAACCCTTCAAAAAATCAATGAATCCAGGAGCTGGATTTTTGAAAAGATCAACAAAATTGATAGACTTCTAGCAAGACGAATAAAGAAGAAAAGGGAAAAGAATCAAATAGACCAGGCGTGGTGGCTCAGGCCTGTAATCTCAGCACTTTGGGAGGCTGAGACGGGCAGATCACGAGATCAGGAGATCGAGACCATCCTGGCTAACACGGTGAAACCCTGTCTCTACTAAAAATACAAAAAAAAAAAAATAGCCGGGTGTGGTAGCAGGCACCTGTAGTCACAGCAACTCAGGAGGCTGAGGCAGGAGAATGGCGTGAATCCAGGAGGCGGAGCTTGCAGTGAGCCGAGATTGCGCCACTGCACTCCAGCCTGAGCGACAGAGTGAGACTCTGTCTCAAAAAGAAAAGAAAAGAAAAGAATCAAATAGACACGATAAAAAATGATAAAGGGGATATCACCACCAATCCCACAGAAATACAAACTACCATCACAGGATACTATAAACACCTCTATGCAAATAGACTAGAAAATCATGGACACACACACCCTCCCAAGACTAAACCAGGAAGAAGTTGAATATCTAAATAGACCAATAACAGGCTCTGAAAATGAGGCAATAATTAATAGCCTACCAACCAAAAAGAGTCCAGGACCAGATGGATTCACAGCCAAATTCTACCAGAGGTACAAAAAGGAGCTAGTACCATTCCTTCTGAAACTATTCCAATCAATAGAAAAAGAGGGAATCCTCCCTAACTCATTTTATGAGGCCAGCATCATCCTGATACCAAAGCCTGGCAGAGACACAACAAAAAAAGAGAATTTTAGACCAATATCCCTGATGAACATCGATGTGAAAATCCTCAATAAAATACTGGCAAACCGAATCCAGCAGCACATCCAAAAGCTTATCCACCATGATCAAGTTGGCTTCATCCCTGGGATGCAAGGCTGGTTCAACATACACAAATCAATAAACGTAATCCATCACATAAACAGAACCAATGACAAAAACCAATGATTATTTCAATAGATGAAGAAAAGGCCTTCAACAAAATTCAACAGCTCTTCATGATAAAAACTCTCAATAAACTAGGTATTGATGGAACATATCTCAAAATAATAAGAGCTATTTATGACAAACCCACAGCCAATATCATACTGAATGGGCAAAAACTGGAAGCATTCCCTTTGAAAACTGGCACATGACAAGGATGCCCTCTCTTACCACTCCTATTAAACATAGTGTTGGAAGTTCTGGCCAGGGCAGTCAGGCAAGAGAAAGAAATAGAGGGTATTCAATTAGGAAAAGAGTAAGTCAAATTGTCCCTTTTTGCAGATGACATGATTGTATATTTAGAAAACCCCATCATCTCATTCCAAAATCTCCTTAAGCTGATAAGCAACTACAGCAAAGTCTCAGGATACAAAATCAATGTGCAAAAATCACAAGCATTCCTATACATCAATAGCAAACAAAAGGAGAACCAAATCATGAGTGAACCCCCATTCACAATTGCTACAAAGAGAATAAAATACCTAGGAATACAACTTACAAGGGATGTGAAGGACCTCTTCAAGAACTACAAACCACTGCTCAACAAAATAAAAGAGGACACAAACAAATGGAAGAATGTTCCATGGTTATGGATAGGAAGAATCAATATCGTGAAAATGGCCATACTGCCCAAGGTAATTTATAGATTCAATGCCATCCCCATCAAGCTACCAATGACTTTCTTCACAGAATTGGAAAAAACTACTTTAAAGTTCACATGGAACCAAAAAAGAGCCTGCATTGCCAAGACAATCATAAGCAAAAAGAACAAAGCTGGAGGCATCATGCTACCTGACTTCAAACTATACTACAAGGCTACAGTAACCAAAACAGCATGGTACTGGTACCAAAACAGAGATATAGACCAATGGAACAGAACAGAGCCCTCAGAAATAATGCCACACATCTACAACCATCTGATCTTTGACAAACCTGACAAAAAGAAGAAATGGGGAAAGGATTCCCTATTTAATAAATGGTGCTGGGAAAACTGGCTAGCCATATGTAGAAAGCTGAAATTGGATCCCTTCCTTACACCTTATACAAAAATTAACTCAAGATGGATTAAAGACTTAAATGTTAGACCTAAAACCAAAAAATCTCTAGAAGAAATCCTAGGCAGTACCACTCAGGACATAGGCATGGGCAAGGACTTCATGACTAAAACACCAAAAGCAATAGCAACCAAAGCCAAAATTGACAAATGGGATCTAATTAAACTAAAGAGCTTCTGCACAGCAAAAGAAACAACCATCAGTGTGAACAGGCAACCTACAGAATGGGAGAAAATGTTTGCAATCTACCCATCTGACAAAGGGCTAATATCCAAAATCTACAAAGAACTTAAACAAATTTACAACAAACAACCCCATCAAAAAGTAAGCAAAGGATATGAACAGACATATCTGAAAAGAAGACATCTATGCAGCCAACAGACACATGAAAAAATGCTCATCATCACTGGTCATCAGAGAAATGCAAATCAAAACCACAATGAGATACTATCTCATGTCAGTTAGAATGGCGATCATTACAGTGTCAGGAAACAACAGATGCTGGAGAGGATGTGGAGAAATAGGAACTCTTTTACACTGTTGGTGGGAGTGTAAATTAGTTCAACTATTGTGGAAGACACTGTGGCGATTCCTCAAGGATCTAGAACTAGAAATACCATTTGACCCAGCGATCCCATTACTGGGTATATACCCAAAGGATTATAAATCATCCTGCTATAAAGACACATGCACACATATGTTTATTGTGGCACTATTCACAATAGCAAGGACTTGGAACCAACCCAAATGTCCATCAATTATAGACTGGATTAAGAAAATGTGGTACATATACACCATGGAATACTATGCAGCCATAAAAACGGATGAGTTCTTGTCCTTTTCAGGGACGTGGATGAAGCTGGAAACCATCATTCTCAGCAAACTATCACAAGGATAGAAAACCAAACACCGCATGTTCTCACTCATAGGTGGGAATTGAACAATGAGAACACTTGGACACAGGATGGGGAACATCACACACCAGGGCCTGTTGTGGGTTGGGGGGCTGGGGGAGGGATAGCATTAGGAGAAATACCTGAGGTAAATGACTAGTGAATGGGTGCAGCAAACCAACATGGCACATGTATACCTATGTAACAAACCTGCACGTTGTGCACATGTACCCTAGAACTTAAAGTGTAATAATTAAAAAAGAATAACGACAATGGTTTATTTTAAAATATGCAATATGAAAAGTTGTAAATTGTAACATGAAAAACTCAAAATGTGGGCTAGATGCAGTGGCTGCCACCTGTAATGCCAGAATTTTGTGCTGAAGTGGAAGGATTGCTTGAGCTCAAGAGTTCAAGACCGCACTGGGCATCATGAGGATACCTCGTCTGTAGTAAAAAGAAAAAAAATTACCTCGGCATGGTGGCTTGTGCTTGTAATCCCAGCCTCTGGGGAGATTGAGGCAGGAGGATCACTTGAGCCCTGTTGGTCGAGGCTACAGTGAGCTGTGATCATGCCACCTCACTATAACCAGGTCAACAGTGAGTTCCTGTCTCAAAAAAATGTGTGTGGAGGGAGTGGAGTAAATGTGCAGAGGTTTTTATTTTTGTGATCTAAGTTGTTACCAGCTTAAAATAACCTGTTATAACTTTAAGATGTTTCTTTTAAGCCTCATGGTAACCACAAAGCAAAAAGCTATAACAGATAAACAAAAAATAAAAGACAACGAACCAAAACATACTACGAGAGTGATCACTTAACCACAAAGAAAATCAGTAGGAGAGGAGAAAAGGGAGAATCGACAAAGCAACTAGAGAACAATTAACAAAATGGCAGTAGTAAGTTCTTACTTATCAATAATTACCTTGAATGTAAATGGGATATATTGTCCAATCAAATGACATAGACTAGCTAAATGGATTTAAAAATTAAGACGCAGACATTTGCTACCTACAAGGGACTCATTTCACCTGTAAAGACACATAGAGTCAAAGTGAAGGGATGAAAAAAGATATTCCACGCAAATGAAAACACAAAGAGAGCAGGAATAGCTATAGTTACATGAGATAAAATAGACATTAAGTCAAAACCTCTAGAAAGAGACAAAGAAAATCACTATGTAATGATAAAGTGGTCATTTCAACAAAAGGGTATAACAATTGTAAACATATGTGCACTCAATATTAGAGCACCTAAATATATAAAAGAAATATTAATTAATCTGAAAAAGAGACAGACTGCAATACAATAATACTAGGGGACTTTAACAACCCTCTTTCAGTAATGGACAAATCATCAAGACAGAAATAAATAAGCAAACAACAAGCATATACTACACTCTAGAGCAAATGGACCTAACAGATATATACAGAAAAATCCATCCAGTAGCTGCAGAATACACTCTCTTCTCAACTGCACATGGAACATTCACTGAGATATATAGTATGTTGTGCCACCAAAGAAGTCTTAACAAATTCAAGAAGACTGAAATCATATCAAGTATCTTTTCTGATCACAAAATGGTATAAAACTAGAAAATGAGGGACTTCGGATAATCCACACATATATCTGTATTAGTATGTTCTCACACTGCTGGAAAGACATGCCCAAGACTGGGTAATTTATAAGGAAAAGAGGTTTAACTGACTCACAGTTCTGCATGGCTGGGGAGGCCTCAGGAAATGGTGGAAGGGGAAGCAGGCACATCTTACATGGTGGCAGGTGAGAAAGAGTGAGTAAGAGCAGGGAAAACTGCCTTACAAAACCATCAGATCTTGTGAGAACTTGTTAGCAGTGGCAGAAATTTGAGTTACCCCATGTTACTGTTGGCCTATCTGTATGGGTCCGTAGCAACTTCAGCCCTTGCCTCCTCAGAAGAAAGAATTCGACTGCAGGGCATAAAGCAGTAAAAGAGACCGAGGCAAGTTCCAGAGCAGGAATGGAAGTTTATTTTAAAATGCCTTACAACAGGAAAGCAAGGTGCACTTGGAAGAGACCCAAGGGGGCACATGAAGGTTTAATTAAAGAGAGAAGGTCAAATGCCCTGTTTAACTGTGATCCTAGGACATTTATAAGCTTACCTCTTTCCCATGATTATTCCCTTAGGGTGGGCTGCCCACATGCATAGAGCCCTCCTTACCCTTGGGAAGTGAGCATGCCCAGTGTGTCTAGGGAGTTATACATGCATGCCCACCTGAGGCTTTCTTCCTTTCTCCAGTGGAAGATCATACTTCACCATTTTTGTCTCTTACTATGCATGCCCAGAAAGTTTCTTCTCCCTGGGGCCTGCATCCAATTAACATTTTGATGTTAACAGGTGTGGACCATCAGGAAATGGCCTGTCCCCCTGGCATGGTCAGATTATCACTCTCGGAGAGGCAACATAATAATTGGTGAACCATCACCCAGCATTTCTGGTGGATGGGTGAATGCCATTCTAGTGAATGGGGACTCTCTATGTGTGCTCCAACCCCACATATCCCTTCTACACTGCCCTAGCAGAGGTTCTCCATGAGGGCTTAGCCCCTACAGCAGACTTCTGCCTGGATGTCCAGGTGTTTCCATGCATCCTCTGAAATCTAGGCGGAGATTCCCCAACCTCACTTCTTGACTTTCGTGAATTCACAGGCCCCATACCACATGGAAGCCACCAAGTTTTGGGGCTTGCACCCTCTGAAGCCACTGCCTGAGCTATACTTTGGCCCCTTGTAGCCCCAGCTGCAGCTGGTGCAGCTGGAATGCAGAACACCAAGTCCCAAGACTTCATAGAGCAGCAGAGGCCCTGGACCCGACCCAGGAAACCATTTTTCCCTTCTAAGCTTCTGGGTCTGTGATGGGGGGGAGCTGCTGCCAAGATCTACGACATGCCCTGGAGACATTTTCCCAATTGTTTTGGTGATTAACATTTGGCTCCTCCAGCATCAGGATAAATAGCTAATGTAGGCAGGGCTTAATACCTAGGTGATGTGTTGATAGGTGTAGCAAACCACCATGGCACACGTTTACCTATGTAACAAACCTGCACATCCTGCACATGTATCCCAGAACTTAAAATAAAATAAAAATTTTTTAAAAAGCCTCCTCATTACTTATGCTAATTTCTGCAGCTGACTTGAATTTCTCCCAAGAAAATGGGTTTTTCTTTTGTACCGCATCATCAAGCTGCAACTTTTCGAAACTTTTATGCTCTGCTTCCCTTTTAAACGTAAGTTTCAGTTTCAGATCATCTCTCTCAAGTTCAAACTTCCACAGATCTCTGGGTCAGGGGTAAAATGCCTCCTGTCTCTTTGCTAAAGCATAGCAAGAGTGACCTTCGCTCTAGTTTCTAAGAAGTTCCTCATCTCCATATGAGACCACCACAGCCTGTACTTCATTGTCCATAATACTATCAACATTTTGGTCAGCCGGGCACGGTGGCTCACGCCTGTAATCCCAGCACTTTGGGAGGCCAAGGCAGGTGGATCATGAGGTCAGGAGATGAAGACCATCCTGGCTAACACAGTGAAACCCCGTCTCTACTAAAAATACAAAAAATTAGCCAGGTGAGGTGGCAGGCGCCTGTAGTCCCAGCTACTCGGGAGGCTGAGGCAGGAGAATGGTGTGAACCCCGGGGCCAGAGCCTGCAGTGAGCCGAGATCGCGCTACTGCACTCCAGCCTGGGCGACAGCTAGACTCCGTCTCAAAAAAAAAAAAACATTTTGGTCAAAGCCATTCAACAAGTCTCTAGGAAGTTCCAAGGTTTCCCACATCTTCCTGTCTTCTTCTGAGTGCTCCAAACTGTTCCAACCTCTGCCCAATACCCAGTTCCAAAGTTACTTCCACATTTTCAGGTATCTTTATAGTAGTGCCCCATTCTCTGCAGTACCAGTTTACTATATTAGTCTGTTCCCACACTACTATAAATATACTACCCAAGGCTGCGTAATTCATAAACAAAAGAGGTTTGATTGACTCACAGTTCTGTGTGGCTGGGGAAGCCACAAGAAACTTACAATAATGGCGGAAGGCAAAGGAGAAGCAGGCACCTCTTTGTAAGGCAGCAGGAGAGAGAAGAGAGAGTGAAGGAGGAACTTCCAAATTCTTATAAAACCATCACGTCTCGTGAGAATTCACTCACTATGAGGAGAACAGCATGGGAGAAACTTCCCCAATGATCCATTCACCTCTCACTCAGTCCCTCCCTTAACACATGGGGATTATGGGGATTACAATTTGAATCGAGATTTGGTTGGGGACAGAGAGCCAAACCTTATTAATATCTAAATTTAAAAATATGCTTCTGAACAATCAATGGATCAATTAAGAAATTAAAAGGGAAATTTAAACATTCCCTGGGAGTAAGGAAATTGGAAAAAAATATCAAAACCTATGGAATACAGGAAAACCAGTTCTAACAGGGAAGTTTATAGCAATAAATGCGTACACCAAAAAGAAGAAATATCTCAAATAAATGACCTAATGTTGCATTTCAAGAAACTAGAATCACAAGAACAAAGTAAGCACAACATTAGTAGAAGGAAAGAAATTACAAAGATATAGCCTTATGTGATATGTAGAACACGAACTCTAGCTATGAAGCACCTACCCAGTGTGGTAACAGTAGTCACTCTGTTGGTTGTCGGGGGAGTGTGCATGTGTAAACTTTCACTCCATCTCAGTCATTTCTGCAGTGTTGAATTACTTTCCACGGGGTCAGATTATCTGGGGAATGAAAGCAAAGACTTAAGTTGGCTACAACTGAAGGGAAGCCAGCCTGGTCTGACCCCTCGACTCATGCTCCGGCCTAGGTGCAGAGGGCCCTGTGGTTTTGGCTCCGGTTCTCTGGCTGCAGGTTCCTCCTGAACAGGCCTAAGAAGAGAAGAATGCTGCCTGCAGAGGGCAAAGTGTCGGAGAACAGGACGTAGATACGGTGTCAGCCCCAGGGGTAGGCTCTCTGTGGGGACCTTGCTCGGTGAGATGCTCCCTCAAGCCACAAGCCACTCCAGACACCAGGCACCCTCTTCCTCCCCCAACACCTTCCTCACAGACAAGACAGGTTGGTGTCTTTTGTCCTGATGTCTTTGAGCTGACAGACCTAGTTTTGGACACATAGATAGGTAGGTATGCACGAGCTGGTGGCCGCAGGCTTCCACACAGCTTGGGCTGACTCTGCAAACAGGGAGACTGGAGACACAGCTACGGGAAGGATGACACAACATGGTCTTCACCACACCGAGGCTGATCTGGGTACTTCTGCCGTGTACCCAACGTAAAGCAACGCTTATTAGGTTGTCACCTCAAGGGGAGCAGCCAGCTGCCTGGTGGAAAGTGGATTATATTGGACCCATTCTCTCATTCAGGGAGCAGGAGGATTTTTGTCCCAGGAATAGAGACATTTTCTGTATATGTATCTGCCCTCCCACCTGCCACAGTTTTGCCAGCAAAGCCATCTATGGATACCCTAAAGGCTGATCCCCATCACTTTCTCCCAAAAAAGGTTCTGTTCAACAGGAGATGAAAGATTTGCCTGGCCATTTGAGGCTCCTCATTGTATTGAACCAACAAGTCTTCCTCCATTAAATCTGAAACCTGCCTACCTAGTCATTAGTCCATCCCTCATCCCCTCCCCCCCTTGTAAGTTGGGACTCCACACCTAGACCCTCATCTGACTCTGAGTTGCATACTACAGGTGCAGGGTTCTGTGCGTGGTTCCAAGCAGCTGCGGAATGGGACCCTAGTGTCCCAGTTTCTTCTGAAAGGCCTGAGGGACAGCAAGGCTTGGAGGCCCCTGCTGTTCACCACCTTTCTGCTAATCTACATAGTGGTTGTGGTTGGGAGCCACATGTTCACAGTGGACTACCGACGCCACACTCCCATGTACTTCTTCTTGGGCGGCCACTCGCTGATGGATGCCGCCTGTATCTCCAACATGGTGACTCAGGTGCTGGTGCATTTGCTGGCTCAGGTAGGGCCCGTACTTTATTGTGCTTGTCTCATCCAGATATGCTTTCTCCACTTCCTGGCACCCTAGGAGTCCTTCCTCCTCACAGCCGTGGCCTATGATTCTATGCAGCTATCTGCCAGCCATTGCACTACTTTGTCCTCGTGGGCCGACTGACCCACACGGGCCTCACTTCCATCTCCTGCCTGCTGGCCTTGGCCAACGCATTCACCTACAGCATCCTCACAGCTCTACCCAAGTTCTGCAGGCCTTGCCTCATCACCCACTTCTTCTGCGACCTCCGTCACTGCTCAGACTCTCTTGCTTCAGCACACGTACCAATGAACTTGCCCTGTTCTTCAGTTTTCTGGTGGCTCTTGCACACTGCGTCCTGGTCGTGGTCTCCTATGGACACGTTGTGGCTGCTGTTCAGGATTCATTCCACCCAGGGCTGAAGAAAAGCCTTTTCTACCTGTGTTGCCCATCTCACTATGATCGGTCTTTTCTACGTCACTTCAGTCCCCTGCTACATCCTTCCCAACTCTGCATACTCTGGCTTGGGCGACTGGGTGCTCTCTGTGCTATGTGTGGTCCTCACTCACATGCTAAACCCCATCTTCCCCAGCATGCTGGGATGACAGGCATGAGCCACCGCACCGGCCAGGAAATATTTCTTGAAAGAAAGAATGAGAGAGTACCTCGTGTCTCCCCATTATGGGGTTTGGCACTGGGGATACAGAAAAGCTCCAGACAAGCTTCCTGCCTTTATGGAGCTCACAAAGTAGGCTGGGCTATTAGGCACTAAGACAATTCACTGTCATACAATGGTTACTCGCCATTCCTTCACAGGAAAGGGTCACTCACCCCTACCACCAAACCTAGGAACGGCCACATGCTGCTCAAAGGGTCAACACAGCTGCCTTTCACTGTTCTCAAGTGATGGCGGGTGGGCGCTCAGAGAAGACCAAAGGCTCAAGGCCAGGACACTAGGCCATCCGGGGCTTCCCAACAGACCCCCATCCCGAGTCCCGCACAAGAGCCTGCAATGACCCCCACAGGGCGAAACAAGCCGTGCTCATCAGCCCTGGTAGGTATGGCTGGGCCCTCCCCCTGGGCCATATGAGGCCAGCCTACATCATCCCCACTTAGACCGCCCCACTCAGGCCAAATTCCTAGGAAAGGGGCCGGGAATCTGTGTAGACCGGGGGAGATTGTTCTCATCATATAGGTGAGAGATGATGCCGACCTGGCCTAGGGAGGGTGGAGAGGACACATTGAAGGAAACTGACTGGACGGAAGGTGAGATGACAGAGTGCGGGACCATGGAAACGCGTGTCGCCAAGACAGAGAATGAAGCAGAGGGAAGCCATTCCGGGAGTCGGGGGACAGGCAGTGAGGTCAGCTGGGGGCAGGTTGGGTTGGAAGTACCTACAGGCCATCCAAGCTCACATGACTGTGCTGGTTTGAAACTCTGGAATTCAAGCAAAGAGATCCCTGCTTAACTTTAATTCAATGGCCCTCTTTGAATATAGACATCCTGGCCCTGTCACCTCTGAAGCTTCACCATTCCAGATGATGCCTAATGTGATTTCAAATACATTTCATCCATTCCAAGCAAGTCTTCTCTGATTCGGAAACACAAAGACTGTCTGCCAGCGTGTGTGGACCAGGACCGGCCCTCTGGAGGGGAGGGGCTGTTATGGGCCTCGGTAGGTTTTGTGTTTAAGCACACATGTGTTCTTCATGAGTACCTCCAAGGTGCAGAAGAAAAAAAAAATCTCAGTGTGTAATAGTGACAAAATGCTGATGAAGCAAACTATCAACAGCCCTCTGGAGGAATAACTTTCAAGGTAGGATGAACTGTGTGTGTGGAATTTGGAAACAATTGTTTTTTGGAAGCGGCTGAAAGCCACAGAGATGACCAGGAGAGCCGGGCGACATCTGCCCCGTGGTGTCTAGCGTGGGCCCCGAGGCTCGGTGACTTCAGAGACTTCATCACGGCACCGTCCGCCTCATTACATCAAGAAAAGGTGCCAATTAGAACAAGTTTCAGAGGAAAAATATGGCCTCCAATGAATTGAACAGGCTAATTTAAACTTTGGCAAACTGGCTCACTCCAGAGCTAATTAGAAATTTTCCTCAACAGCAAGTAATGAATAACTTTCTTAATCGCTTTCTGCTTATAAATGTAATACATGTTCACTGCAAAAGAAGAGGAAATATGGGCAAGTTCGGAAGAGAAAATAAAAAACCAACCGTTATCTCACCGCCAAGGATAACGACAATGAAAATGTGGTGTATTTCTGGATAAATGAGCCAATTCTTGTCTAGTGCTTACAACAGTGGCTTGGGACATGGTGACCACCCAACAAATGTTATTGGTTATTATTATTCTCATTGCTAGTAGGCTTAGAAAAGTCTTTTCCAATGCTATCCCTCCCCCAGCCCCCCACCCCCAACAGGCCCCGGTGTGTGATGTTCCCCTCCCTGTGTCCACATTGTTCAACTCCCACTTACGAGTGAGAACATGCGGTGTTTGGTTTTCTGTTCCTGTGTTAATTTGCTGAAAATGATGGTTTCCAGCTTCATCCATGTCTCTGCAAACGACATGAACTCATTCTCTTTCATGGCTGCATATATTTCATGGTGTATATGTGCCACAGTTTTAAAATCCAGTCTAACATTGATGGGCATTTGGGTTGGTTCCAAGTCTTTGCTATTGTGAAGAGTGCTGCAATAAACATACATGTGCATGTGTCTTTATAGTAGAATGATTTACAATCCTTTGGGTATATACCCAGTAATGGGATTGCTAGGTCAACAAGTTGATGGGTGCAGCAAACCAGCATGGCACATGTATACCTATGTAACAAACCTGCACGTTGTGCACATGTACCCCAGCACTTAAGGTATAATAATGAAAAAAAGGAAAGAAAAGAAAGAAAGAAAGAAAAGGAGAGAAAGAAAGAAAGAAAGAGAGAAAAGTCTTTTCCATTCCAACAATCAAATAAAGTTCATCTAAATTTTCTTCCAATGTTTTTACTTTTATTGTGTATATATTAGGTCAATACATTCTAAACACTTCAGATACTATAGAAATATTTCTCTATATAGCATTCCCCCGTGCTTCTACTGAGATATGTATCGGCAGCCTGAGAAGTCGGCATTCCTTTGTCCACACCCATCCCCGTGCATCCGTTTCATTTCATTCGCTCCACAGTCAGCCGCACCTCAGAGTTGTCCTTCAAAGGGTGAGAGACTAAGACTTTTATCCAGTGACTCTTGGCCCCATCGGTGGGGGGCTGTGTCCAAGGGTACAACTTCCCCAGAGCTTCCAGGCCCACCCTGTGCAGGGCGCAGGAGAAAAAGCAGATGTGTTGTGAGCTGCAGGAGAGGCGCTGGCACAGGGCACAGAGGTCCCCACCCCAGCAGCCGAGAGGCAGAAGGCACGTGCAGGGGGCCCAGAGGCTCAGCAGGATCTGAGATGTGAGAAGATGTCTACGAACACAGAGGCGCAGGAGGAGGCCGGAGATGACGGTCACTGGAGGGGCTCTGAGACGTGCACAGAAAACAGGACAGAGCTTGGCAGCAGCACTCATTTGTCGCCCTGCCACACACAGCCTGTGTTTTCTCCTTGACAGCATCTCAGTAGGACCCAATAATGCCAACGCCTGGAGATCCCTCTGGACAACCGTCTTCATCCTCCACATCTGGTCCTCCCCTACACCTGGGGCCTGGACCTGCTAAGGAGCTCTTTCCAGTTTTCTAGACACCTGTGGAATCCCTTCACCCACCCTTACCCATCGGTGTGGCTGCTCTCCAGCTCACTCTCGTCCTGCTCTCCCCAACTGCCTCGGCTCCAGGGGGACGAGGCTTTCCCTGGGCTGCTGCCTTCCCTGCCCCCTTCCCAGTCCCCAGAAGGGTGCCAGCCTCAGAGGCCTCCAGAGCAGAGCCTTGCTCACCGCAGCAGCTCCAGCTGGAGGAGGTTCCCCCTGCCTCCTGCACCCTGACCCCTTCTTAGAGCAGCAGAGGCAGAAGCAGGAGCCTGCTTTGGAAAATGACATGTTTTTATTGCTATGTCTGCAGTGGCTTTTTAGCACAGTAGAATGTCCCCGCAGGCCCGCCACCCTCACCCAGCCCCAGCCCTGCAGCCTCTGTCTGGGTGTCGGGGAAGCCTTTCTTGGGGTCACTCAGCCGTCTGAGGACTGGATGTGGCACAGACATACATAGGTTAAAGCTGCTACACGGAAGACTGGAGATGCGGGAAGTGCATTCGCTTTAAGCCTAGAGGTGGTAGCCGTGTCCGGGGTCCCTTCCTGGGGGTGTGCCTGTTACCGAAATACCAAGGGTTTGGTCTACGTCCTGCTGCTGGCCGCACAGAAAGCCAATGACTGACTGAGACGAAGAGCATTACCAGGGAAGACGGCTTTAATTGGGTGCTGCAGCCGGGGAGATGGGAGTTAAGTCTCAAATCCATCCCCCTGACTAAAACTAGGGGTTTATATAGCCAGGAAGAAATGCACCAATGTGTAGGAAAACAGGAACTCGGGAGGGCCCAGAAAGCAATCCTGATGAATTTGGGGGGTCCAGCATCTCATTGTCTGGATGTGGTTATCTGGTGAGTTTCAGTTCTTTGATATTTTGAGAGGCCCGAAGGTCATTTCCTGAGGAAGGAATTCAGATAAAACAACTGTAAGGTTCAAGCTTGAAGACCAGAAGGGTCAGTTTCTATGTGTATCAAAAAGAACAGCCTATGGGACGATTGGATCGGTTTCATGCCCAACCCAGGGTACAGGATGTGGGAAGCCTGAGCCGGCCTGGTGAGCAGCCCAGACACCCGGGATGGAGTATTGCAGCCTCTCGCCCCACAGACTTGTGAACAGGGCGTGGGGACAGACACCCAGCTCCTAGGGCCATGCCACCCCCACCCCTGCCCGCCTCTCGCAGCACCTTTCCTGTGGATCTGACCCCCTTCCAGACACAGAAGTAAGCCAGCACCCAGCAGACACAGGGTCACCTCCCAGCTCCCTACCAGGCAAGAGCGACCAGGGCAGGGACTGATACTGCCGAACCCAGGAGCCAGGCCCGACCCAGCCTCAGGTCCAGCAGGTCCCGCCTGTCCACCTGGGCCAGGCCTAGAGCCCGGGAGCCCCTGGCTGGTGGGAGGCCACCCGCAACCCACCCCACACGCAGCTCCAGCTCCCCCACCAGGCGGGGCGACTAGGACAGGGACAGAACCCGTTGAACCCAGGAGTGAGATCCGGCCCCGGGTCCCGCTGGGCCCTCCCGTCCACCTTGGCTGGACCTGGCGCCTGGGAGACCTTGGCTGGCGCGAGGCCACGCCCACCAGACATGCAGTTCCAGCTACCCCACCAGCTGGGCGACCAGGACAGGGACGGAGGCTGCTGAGCCCAGTTAGAGGCCTGCCCCCCGGGGTCTGTCCTGGGCGCTCCCCCAAGGACGGACAGGGCAGACAGGGTCCGGGACGATGGCCGCACAGTCCCGGCCCCGTGTTCCCAGGCCCGTCTTGCTCCTCGATGTGAGGGAGACCCGGGGGATGGGACAGGCTGGGCCCCGCAGTGCCTGACTCCCTGCAGGGCTCCCGGGACAGGGGTCCGGCGGACAGCCGGCTGCTCAGGGGTGAGGGGTCCAAGCTGGCATTGCGGCCACCTTCCGGCCCGGGCTCTCTTGGGGAGGGGCGGGGTTGGTGAGAACCGGTCACGTGCTCCGGGGCTCACTCGGGGTCTCCCAGGGCCGGAAGTAGGGCCCCTGTGCGCAGGCGCCCTGAGGATCCCGGGCTGCCCATCTCACGCCAGGGGGCGGAACTTCCTGCAGCCTCTCTGCCTCCGCATCCTCGTGGGCCCTGACCTTCTCTCTGAGAGCCGGGCAGAGGCTCCGGAGCCATGCAGGCCGAAGGCCGGGGCACAGGGGGTTCGACGGGCGATGCTGATGGCCCAGGAGGCCCTGGCATTCCTGATGGCCCAGGGGGCAATGCTGGCGGCCCAGGAGAGGCGGGTGCCACGGGCGGCAGAGGTCCCCGGGGCGCAGGGGCAGCAAGGGCCTCGGGGCCGAGAGGAGGCGCCCCGCGGGGTCCGCATGGCGGTGCCGCTTCTGCGCAGGATGGAAGGTGCCCCTGCGGGGCCAGGAGGCCGGACAGCCGCCTGCTTGAGTTGTATCCTGTTCTGTTCTGTTCTAGGAGGTTCTGGTGGCGAGGTGGGGGCCGTGAGACGGAGACAACAGGGTCAAGAGGTGGGGGGCAGGGCCAGGAGGTGGGTGAGGGCAGGGCCAGGTGCGGAAGGTGGGGTTTGGGAGATGGGGGTAAGGCGCCGGGTGGGGTGGGGGTGGGGGCTGGGAGTTGGAGGTCGAGGGGTGGCTCAGAGGAAGGGAGTAGGTAGGGGATGGGAGGTGGAGCGTGTGCACAGTTGGGTGCTGGGCGATGGGGTGAGGGGCAGGGGGACAGGAGACAGGGGTTCTTGGGTGTGTGAAGGGATCAGGAGTTGGGGGGAAGCGTGCAAGGTGGGAGCCGGTGGCTGGGGTGTGGGCTGGATGGGGGTGGTGTCAAGCGATGGGGAGAGGTCCCGGCTGATGCGGCAGGGGGCATGGTGGGGAGGGCCTTGGAAGGGCACGCAGGAGTCAGCTTGAGGTGCAACAGAGGAAAGTGGGGAATCAAGACAGCTGGGTGGGGTTGCTGCAGGACCTGGGCCAGTGCGTGGGGAGACAGCCTGAGGGGATGAGATGGGCACCGGCCAAATCCTAGGAGATGGCACCTTAACTGGGTCCCCACCAGGCACATCACGATGCCTTTCTCGTCGCCCATGGAAGCGGAGCTGGTCCGCAGGATCCTGTCCCGGGATGCCGCACCGCTCCCCCGACCAGGGGCGGTTCTGAAGGACTTCACCGTGTCCGGCAACCTACTGTTTATGTCAGTTCGGGACCAGGACAGGGAAGGCGCTGGGCGGATGAGGGTGGTGGGTTGGGGGCTGGGATCCGCCTCCCCGGAGGGGCAGAAAGCTAGAGATCTCAGAACACCCAAACACAAGGTCTCAGAACAGAGACCTGGTACACCAGGCCCGCCGCCACCCGAGGGAGCCCAGGGAGATGGGTGCAGAGGTGTCGCCTTTAATGTGATGTTCTCTGCCCCTCACATTTAGCCGACTGACTGCTGCAGACCACCGCCAACTGCAGCTCTCCATCAGCTCCTGTCTCCAGCAGCTTTCCCTGTTGATGTGGATCACGCAGTGCTTTCTGCCCGTGTTTTTGGCTCAGGCTCCCTCAGGGCAGAGGCGCTAAGCCCAGCCTGGCGCCCCTTCCTAGGTCATGCCTCCTCCCCTAGGGAATGGTCCCAGCACGAGTGGCCAGTTCATTGTGGGGGCCTGATTGTTTGTCGCTGGAGGAGGACGGCTTACATGTTTGTTTCTGTAGAAAATAAAGCTGAGCTACGATTCCGTGTCTGAGTCTCTTTTCGGCGAGCGAAGGCACCTTCGGACTTGCATGCCCTTGTCCTCGGGTTGTAGGGGAGGCTCTGGGATTCACAGATTGAAGTAGCACAAGGTAACGGGAGGCAATTTGGGAAATGGGGGAAAATGAAAAGCCACTGGGTCCCGCCATTCAGCATTAACTACTGTGGACATTTTAGAATATTTTCCTCAATATACTTGCATTTATATGTTAAATATATGACAGTAGCATATATAATGTTTTTCCAGGTCAGCATTAAATTTTTTCCCAAATTGTTTTCATTGAACATATGAGCTTTTGTGCTTTCTAAAAATGCTTCAAAAACATGTACTTGAATAGATGCATAAAACCAGCATTATTTCACTGTTAAACATGTGATATGGGCCGGGCATGGTGGCCCACACCTGTATTCCCATTGTTCTGGGAGGCTCAGGTGGGAGGATGGCTTGAGACCTGCAGTTGGAGGCCACCCTGGGCAATGTAGTGAGATTCTATCTCTATAAGAATCATTTAAAAATTAGGGGTGGAGGGAGTGGTGGCAGGAACCTGTAGTCCCAGGTACTCAGGAGGCTGACGTGGGAAAGTGGCTTGAGTCCAGGATCTCGAGGCTGCAGTGAGCTATGAATGCATCCCTGAGCTCCAGCCTTGGCGACAGAGCGAGACCCTGACTCTAAAGTAATAATAATAGTAAATGTGAACAGCGTAAAATGTTTGTAAACACGTAATGTTAACACAGATTCTCTTACTGCTTGCAGAGTCTAATGAACAAGAGCAAGGTTTCCTGTAAAGAAACTGACTTTCTGCCATGCTTGGTTTAGGGGAAGACGTACAGGCTCCTGCCTTTAAGAGCACTGCTTCCCATTGGGGGCAGAAAGCAGGGCCTTTTAAAGGAGGACTTGGCGTGAATGGTAGGCAGGGGAGGGAGCAGGCAGCTGTGGGGTCTGCATGACATGCTGAGGTGTCTTGTCTGCCGGGAGGTCACGCTGGCACCATCTTGGGCAGAGCTAGGTTGGAAAGGGGCTGTTTGTCAAAGCAAAACAGACATATGCTTGAGCTGTGTTCTGGGATGCTCTTAAGTTGCTCGGAGACAACTTGATCCCTTTGAGTTTTGTTTTAGCATTTGCTCGGTGGGAACATAGCAGATTTTAATGTAAGATTAATAATATTAGTTGACAATCTCCAATGCTTGGCAAGGCTGTAGTTGGAAACGAGGACTCATACACTGTCAGTAGGAGTGGTAGTAACATCTATCTGGACATTTATTTGGCATTTTCTATTAAGGGAAAGATGTACATTCCCTTCCACCCACCTTGAGGAATCCATCTGAGAAACTCCTGGATATGCAAATGAGGTAGAATCCACCAGCATCTTAATGACACCACCACGTAAATAGTTTTTAGAATGTAAATGTCCACCAGCTGCGGAAAGGCTGAACAAATCACTGCACAACTGAGGAAGGCGAGGGGGGTTGGTACATCCAGGCTGTGCCAAAGCCGGTTCTGTCTCAGAGCAGAGGAGTTTTTCCAAGAGACGTGGGCACGCTGTGAGGAAGTCCCAGCAGGAAGCCAGGCGAATGCCACCTCCGCATGCCTGCCCCGGAGGGTGTGAGCGGCTTCCTTCTCCTCTGGATCGGTGGTGTGTTAGGAGAGGCCCGGCTCTCTGTCAAGGCCAGGGACGGATGGAAGCTGAGAGAGGACGCTGAGACCTGGGGAGCTTCCTGGAATGCAGGGACGCAGTGAACTCGCTCTGTTTCAGCCCGAGGTGCGCAAAGGAAAACTGAAAGACCAGCAGCAATGTCAGAGAGACCTTCCTGTCATGCCAGCGGGATTCCTTGGGAGCCAGTGAGCGCTCCAGCCCTTGAGGGCTCTGTCACAGCTGGTGGGAGCATGGGTCAGGGCTGTGGCAGAACACACCCCAGCCTCAGGTGAAGAGGTCCCTAATGCTTCCCTCTAGCCCTCATATTCCAGAATTCCAAGTCAAGTCTGAAGAGTCCACTTAACTTCCGTCCTCTCAAACATGCAGAGTGGTCGTCACACGCGGTTAGAGGAGTTTGACTCCTGGTGAAACGGGGAGGCCCGGGCAAACCTGGCCACGAGTCCAGCATGTGCCCGCCCCAGCAAGGTCACCGTGCCCCAGGGGAAGCAGCACCGGGAGAGGTCACCATGCCCCAGGGCCGCGACCCTGGCCGGGCTGACTCAGAAGTCCAGCTGCATTGCAGCTGTAACTGCATCCAGACAACTTTGACCAGGTGCTGAGCCACTGGCCCCTGCAGCCAACATCACGGGCACAAAAGCAGAAGCCCAGGGAGCAAAGATGAAGATCCAGGAGCACAGTAACTGTCAGGTAGGGACCTGCTGGCCCACTGAGTCTGGGAGCAACACCACAGGCGCTGCAGGGAGACCCCCGGAGTGACCCGGGGCCTGTCTCCAGAGGGCGGCCCTTCCTTAATTGGAGCTGCCTCTTCCCCTCCTGCCCTAGGATGTAAACCCTGCTTGGCTGAGGTATTGAATTCACGGGGAATCTGACCCCGCTCTGCCCATGATGCTCATCTGTCCTCTGGGGCCTCATTCCCTGAGCTTCCCAGAGCGGCCTCCTTTGTTTGGCTCAGCTCTGTGTCTTCCTTCCTGAAGCTGTGTCTCCAGTGTGTTAGGCTTCCCCTCTCTTCCCTCAAGTGGCCTCAAGGGCCCAGGAGGAAACGCAAGAGGGCAGGAGGGCTCCCTGAGGTGGAGAGCAGACAGAGAGCAGGTTCTCCTTCTGCCCTGTCTTGAAAGATGCCCCCAATTTACACCCACACGGGCGCCGGAATGGCCAGGTTGGTGAGGAGGGGGAATGGGCGAGGCTCCCATGCAGACACCCAGAGAGGTGAGTCCCTGAGATGGAGAGAAAGGAGTATCCGCGAGCGCACTGCCCTGTGGGAGAGGGAGAATCTCGCTGTTTGCAGAGTCAGCCGTGTGGAAGGCTGCGGCCATCTGTTTTTGCGTGTGTACCTACCGAGGCAAGAAGATCGCTTGGGGTCGAGAGTTTGAGACCAGCCTGGGCCACAGAGCAAGACCCTGTCTCTACAAAAATAAAAAAAATTTTTTTGTTTTTGAGACGGAGTCTCACTCTGTCGCCCAGGCTGGAGTGCAGTGGCACTATCTCAGCTCACTGCAGGCTCTGCCCCCCGGGGTTCATGCCATTCTCCTGCCTCAGCCTCCCGAGTAGCTGGGACTATAGGTGCCCGCCACCACGCCCGGCTAATTTTTTATATTTTTAGTAGAGACGGGGTTTCACCATGTTAGCCAGGATGGTCTCAATCTCCTGACCTCATGATCCGCCCACCTCGGCCTCCCAAAGTGTTGGGATTACAGGCGTGAGCCACCCCACCCAGCCAAAAATAAAAAATTTTTTAAAGTGACATTTGAGACGTACTTTTAAGTGAAGCTGATGTGTTTGGTGTTATTTTCTTGCAGAAAGTGAGGGGCATTAGTGTAAAGGATTTTGGAAGTGTTTAAAGAAACAAAAGGGAGTGTTGAGACGCCATCCACCCCTGAGAGAAGCTGCGTGGTATTATGGCGGGTGGGGGCACCAGGATGGGTGGTCCCACTTCTGGCCTCTGACTTCCTGAGCCTCAGGCCCATGTGGGCCCAGGCAGGGCCCGGCAGGCCGGGCTGCCCAGCTCCCCTCCACTGTCCCCTCTGCCACCAGATGCCATCCGGCAGAGCAACCAGATTCTGCGGGAGCGCTGCGAGGAGCTTCTGCATTTCCAAGCCAGCCAGAGGGAGGAGAAGGAGTTCCTCATGTGCAAGTTCCAGGAGGCCAGGAAACTGGTGGAGAGACTCGGCCTGGAGAAGCTCGATCTGAAGAGGCAGAAGGAGCAGGCTCTGCGGGAGGTGGAGCACCTGAAGAGATGCCAGCAGGTAGTCGGGGCAGGGCCAGGTTCTGAAAACCCGCGGTGACGCCAGTGTTCCACAAGGGAACCCGTGGTCGGGGTCCCCCAAAGCACCCTGGGGCTCAGTGCTGTGCCGGGAGGGCTCGGAACTCAGAAAAGCCGTCACACTCCCAGTTCCGGTTTATTACAAGGAAAGGACACAGGTTACGGTGAGCGAAGGCTCAGGGCGCACAGGGCGGGCTCCAGGAGAGACCAGGCGTGAGCTTCAGCGGCTCCTCGCCCAGGGGAGTTGTGCAGACGGCACCTGTTTCTTTCGGCAACAGTGTGGGACAGCGAGCACGGAGTCACAACCGGGAAGCTCACCCCAGCCGTGGCGGCCGGGGTTTTCACGGGGGGTGGGCCGCGTGGGCACCGAGCGCCTGCGTGGCCAACCCTGGTCACTCGGCTGTAGCCACCAGAGGTCCAGCTGTGTGGCCCAAGGCTCCCCCCATAAATCGTGTCATTAGCACAGACCGCCTGGTTTCAGGGTCTTTGTGTGTGGGCTTGGCTGATCGCAGGATCCTGGCGATGGTAGTCAGGAAGGGGCCGTGCTCCCTTTGAGGGGCAAGGTGGAGAGAAGTGCTGGAGAGGAGACTTGCTGGCGGGTACCTGGCACTTGCCACAGCCAGGCTCCACTCCCCTGGGGAAAGGCGTGGATGGTGGGCTGTGCACGCCGCTCCACTCAGGGCTTAGAGCGCCTGGCTTAAGGCGTTGATTTCCTGTGTGGGAAGTGGATGAGTTTTCTACAGCTGCCGTGACCAAGCACCACAGACTGCGGGGCCGAAGCCACAGAAACGCGTGGCCTCCCGCTTCTGGAGGCCTGGAGGCTGAGCTAGCGGTGGTGTCGGCAGGGTGGGCTCCCCGCCAGGGCCGCGAGGGAGCTGCCTTCCAGGCCTCTCCACGGCGCCGGGGGCCGCCGGCTGCACCTCTCCAGCCTCCATCTCCGTCATCCTGTGGCCTTGTCCCCGCGGGCCTCTGTGCCTGTCCTCCTCTTTTGACAAGAACACCGGAGATACACAAAGGTACACAAAAGCGGGCCTTTGTTCAAGCTGGCAAAAGAGATCTTCTTCAGAAACCCCTGCTTGCGGGGGAGAGAGCTGAGCTCCGTTCCCGCCCCAGCAGAGGCGGCCTGGCCTTGCGAAGGGAGAAGGAGGGAGTCGGGAGGGGGCGAGTGCAGGCTCAGGTGAAAGATGACGGGGCAGCCAGCGTCCTTGCCGCGAGGCCAGCCGTGTGTGGGAGCTGCCGGTGCTTACCAAGGTTGGGATGCTTCCGTCCCGTGGAGACTGGGAGACTGGGCCCCGCGCCTCCTGAGGTTTCCGTTTCCAAGGAGTGGCTGCGGGGCCCTCGGGAAAGCCCCTGGGTTGTGGGTGCTACACAGATGTCTCAAAGGGACAGGGTAAGCCCTTTGTAGTAAATGCTGTCAGAAAGGGAGGTCAGGTGTTGGCCGGAACAGACAGTACATGCTCTGGGCAGCCCTGAGCGTTTCCAGACGGGAACTCACTCAAAAGGGGGCTGGGGCGTCCCAGGGGCGCGGCCTTAGGCTCCCAGAGGCCCCGCGAGGTGGTGGCCGGGTGTCTTCGGGCAGGGGTTTGAGTGCAGTGTGCCTGCCGAGAGGTTCTGCAGTTCCCAGTGTTTAACAAAATTCAGTGTCCACTCTTGATCTGCACAAACTCTCCCATCCTGGCGGCCCCGGGTGTGGACTGGGGCCTGTGTTTACTTTGCCCTATTCGTGTCTGGCCTCCTTTTGTCCCAAGTCTCAGAGAGACGGAGAGAGATCCCCTGCTGGGGCTGTAGCTGCAAGGCCACCGGGTTCAGCCCTCGAGGCCTGCTTGCCGGGGCAGTGACTAAGCCGTTGACAACCTCAAGGCAGCTTTGTGCTCCTTCGTCTCTTTGGGGATCTCTTTTTGCCCCATCTGTGTGTCACCCTGTGGCAGAGGGTTAAGGTGGGCAGCTGGGGAGGGTTGGGTGGCCCTTGGGCTCATGAGGCCCTAGGGCACCCAGGTTTGGGGGTGCCGAGGGCAGGAAAAAAGGCCTCATGGCGCGCAGGCCTCAGCCGCTTGCGGGTTGCCCCGGGCTTGCGGATGGCAGGAGTGGGCCGCTGGGGAGAAAGCAGTGCTGACAGGAAGTGGCTTTTTATCCTGCAGCAGATGGCTGAGGACAAGGCCTCTGTGAAAGCCCAGGTGACGTCCTTGCTCGGGGAGCTGCAGGAGAGCCAGAGTCGCTTGGAGGCTGCCACTAAGGAATGCCAGGCTCTGGAGGGTCGGTGAGTCGGGGGAGCCGGCTCCGGAGACCCCTTGCAGGGTTTCCAAAAGCAATGAGGTGGGTTTAGGGGCCTCCAGGGTGCTCCTTGATGAGGATAGACCGGGGCAGGCTGCGTAAACACGTCGGGGCAGACGTCGGGAGAGGTCTGGGCCAGGCATCCGGGACCTGGGTCCCAGCCGGCTCTCCGCACTCTGTGACCCTTTGATGGAGTTTGGATTATTTCCTTAGGAGGCATTCTGGGGGCCCCGAGCCCACACCCACAGTGTCTAGTTCTCTGGAAGGACTTCTGGGACCGGCGCACAGTCGCCCTCGTGGCTGAGGTTGATGACAGGGAAAAAGGCACAGGGCAGGAGCCGCCAGGGCAGGAGCCGTGGGGGGAGTTGGAGAAGCCCTGTCCCAGCCTCCCGCTGCCCTGCGAGCGGCACAGTGAGAAGCGCCTCCCACACGGGCCATGTTCCTGCCCAGGGATGCCCGCTAGAGACTCAGCGCCCTGGGTGTTTACTGGGGGCAGGTCCTGTCAGCGCCCTCTGCCAGGCAGGTACCTAAATCCCCGACTCCCAGCAGCAGAGCGGGTGCTCACGTCAACCACGTTCTTCCTACAAATGGCCTAGGTGCAGGGACCGACCTGACCACTAGAGAAAGTGTCACTGTGGCAAGGGAACTTCACCAGCCAAGGGCCAACCTTGCCAGCCGGTGGCCTCAGGCCTGCTGGTTACTCTCTTTTGCAAAGGGGTCTTGGTTCTTGTGAGTGGGACCATTGGGTCAAAGGGCAGGGAGGTTTCTGTGGTTCTCATTCGGTCCTGCTTCTGCCCTCCAGACAGATGGATCAGCTGCCAGGGGGGCCCCAGCCATCCCAGCACAGTAGGCGGTCAAGGTGCACTTGGGGCAGCCAGCAGGGCAGAGGGGAGGGGAGCTTGACCCAGGCTCTGATGGGCAGAGGGAACCCGTGCAGGGTGTGGGGGCAGTATGCAGGCAGGCGCGGAGGGGAGAGCCAAGCAGCCAGGCCTGCCAGGCAGAGTTGGGGTGACTGGAGAAGGGCCGTGTCTGCCTGTGGCCAGAGGCCACCCAGGACCTGGACAGATGCACCCACCATTGTCCCTGCAGTGAGGCTGTGGAAGGGCTTGGTGTGGTGGGATGAGGCCAGACCCTGGAAACTGGAGGTTAAGGGAGCTGTAGGGGGGCAGGTGTGGGAACTGAGCATCCGAGCAGGTCGTCTGGGACTCCAGCAGAGCTCTGGGCAGCAGCAGGGATGGGGCCGAGGCCCGGTCTGCATTGAGCTCAGTGCTTGCACGCCCAGGTGGGCAGTCTCTCATTTTTGGAACAGCAGTCTCTCCTGACCCCCTCCACTGAGACTGCTTTTGCTGGGGCCCCCAGCAGTCCCCCAGTGGAACTCCACGGGCAGTTCCGAGGGCTCCTCTCACCTGGCCCCAGCACTGCGGGATGCAGGCGACCCCATCCTTTTCTCGGACCACCCCCTTCCCCTGGCTTCCAGGTCTCCTTGCCATCTGTACTTGGTCACCTGCTGGGCCCCTGCATTGAAGCAAACACGTCTTAAGCAAAGCTCCTCACCTGCTGCTCCCACCTGGCCCCCTGCAGTTGTCCTCGTGTCTGTTGACGGTGCCTCCACCCTGCCGCCTGGCATCAGCTCGCAGTCACAGGGTGTTCAGAGCCGACCCCCACCCCCCGCCCACGCCCTGCGCATAGCCCCTCCCGTCCCCCCGTTCGTCCTCCCTGAGTCTGCTCTTTCCCCGTGCCAGGGCCCGGGCGGCCAGCGAGCAGGCGCGGCAGCTGGAGAGTGAGCGCGAGGCGCTGCAGCAGCAGCACAGCGTGCAGGTGGACCAGCTGCGCATGCAGGGCCAGAGCGTGGAGGCCGCGCTCCGCATGGAGCGCCAGGCCGCCTCGGAGGAGAAGTGAGTCAGCGGGGGCGGGGCCGCACCGCAGGGTCTGTGGTTCTACACTTGATCTTAGCCGAAAGGCTGAGAAGTGTCGGGTCCATGGTTCTTTCTGCCTTCTGAGGACTCCTTCAGATTCTGCCTGTGGCTGTGGGCCCATTCTGTCCCTTAGCCTTGCTAACGGTAGAGGCGACCATGATGACACCCGGTTTGTCTTTGATACAGTCATGCCATCTGCTCTCCAGACCACGTTTCACTGCGTGTCCACACGTGGCCTTTTTTGTAGTTTTTTTTTCCTAGCCACTAGGTCATCAGGGGACTTGTCCTTTAAAACCCCTTCTAGGCCAGGTGCTGTGGCTCACGCCTGTAATCCCAACACTTTGGGAGGCCAAAGTGGGTAGATGGCTTAAGCCCGGGAGTTCCAAGACCAGCCTGGGCAACAGAAAGACAACAAAAATACCCCCAAACCCCCCCGTCTACCAGCATCCAATCTGGGACCTCAGGTTCCTGTCCTTGGCGTGCCTTTTCAGTCTCCTTTAATCTAGAACAGTTCCCCTGCCTTTCTGAGCTGTTTGTGAAGTTCACAGTTTTGAACAGTGCAGGGTAGTTCCATTGTATTATTACTATTATTTTCAAGACAGGGTCTTGCTCTACCGTCCAGGCTGGAGTGCAGTGGCATAATCTCGGCTTACTGTACCTTCCGCCTCTTGGTCTCAAGCGATCCTCCCAGGTAGCTGGGACTATAGGCGCAGGCCAGCACACCTGGCTAATTTTTGCATTTTTGGTAGAGGTGGCGTTTTCCTATGTTGCCCGGGCTGGTCTTGAACTCCTGAGCTCAAGCGATCCTCCTGCCTTGGCTTCTCAAAGTGTTGGGATTATGGGCGTGAGCCACCGCGTCTGGCCGCGATTTTATTATAAACATTAAAAATACTAGCTTTTAGGAAAACGATATTAACTGCCTGGTGACCAGCCCACCAAAGCCTGCTTTAGAGTTGACGGCCTCAGGAGTCCTCACACAGCCTTGGAAGACCCCATTCCAGGCCTGTGATGCGAGGGAGGGAAGGAAGGGGGTAGAGTTGGAAGCAGGCAGCACCGTGGCTGGACTGGCATGAGGTGGTTTCTCCAGCAAAAGCTCCCTTTCCTCAGGAGGAAGCTGGCCCAGTTGCAGGTGGCCTATCACCAGCTCTTCCAAGAATACGACAACCACATCAAGAGCAGCGTGGTGGGCAGTGAGCGGAAGCGAGTGAGTGCGACCACTGGGGCTCTAGGGCTGGCCTTGCCTCTTCCTCTCCCCGTGGCCCTGAACCTTGAGAATGGGTAGACCTGCCTTAGACTTGCCTTAGACCTGTGTCAGGCTGCAGCTGCGACAGCTCAGGGAAGCTGTGGGGAGATGGCAACCCCAGGATGTTGCTCTCAGGAGTGTCAGCAGGCCATCTTAATGGGGGGCTGGGCCAGAGCCTTGGGGTGCTCCCTCTGTGGGGCTGGGGACGTCTTGTCTCCATGGACATTCCCTCTTGCCAGCCATCGCCATCTGGCACCTGGCTCAGCTTCCCCCAAGCCAAGGTAAGCCCGACAGCATTTCCACCCCAGTGTTGGCTGGGAGCCTTTTCCTAGTTTGTCCTCATCAGACCTAAGCTGGGGTGCAGTTTGCTAGTGATCACATTTTAGCAGGACACCGTCAATCGTAAGTGTACCCAGAGGAGATTTATAAGGACAAAGCCTGAAGCCAGGTCACATGGGGAAGAGTTAGCTACAAAACTGGCCACTTAATCTCTGGAGGGGGGCGTTGGTGGGGTGTGTCTGTGTGTGTCTCAGGGGGCTGGAGATGCCTGCGTGGGAGGAGTGCACCTCTGACCAGGTGGCAGAGTGGAAGGACTGAGGGCTCTCAGCTGAGCTGTGCACATGGCGGGCACAGGACCGGCTGGCTGTGAGTGGGTGTGGCCTGTGGCCTGTGAAGGGTGGGAGGAGGGCTGTGGAGCTGGGGATTCTGGGAAGGGAATGTCGGCCCAGCTGGGAGGTTGTACCAGATGACCTCAGCGGCCTCTTCAGTCCTGAAAAAAACCTCAGCATCTCCTCTGTCGTTTTGGGCCGTGACAGGACGCAGCCATCTCCCTGTGCACGCTGAGATCCTGCAATGGGCCCTCAAATCAGGGGCTGGCATCACCCAGCCTGGTCAGCCAGGGCCACTCTTTCATCCTTCTCAGTTCTTCTCAGCCAGCCTCGCCCTGGGCTGACGAGGCTCCGTCAGCTCCCCTTGCCCGTCCTTAGGGAATGCAGCTGGAAGATCTCAAACAGCAGCTCCAGCAGGCCGAGGAGGCCCTGGTGGCCAAACAGGAGGTGATCGATAAGCTGAAGGAGGAGGCCGAGCAGCACAAGATTGTGATGGAGACCGTTCCGGTGCTGAAGGCCCAGGTGAGGGCCCTCCTCTCTGACCCACCCTGGCACTGGGACCTGGAGAGTCTCTTTGGCGTCTTTTTTTTTTTTTTTTGCTTTTGCTTTTTGAGATTGAGTTTTGCTCTTGTTGCCCAGGCTGGAGTGCCACTAGTGGCACGATCTTGGCTCACTGCAACCTCTGCCTCCCGGGTTCAAACAATTCTCTTGCCTCAGCCTCCTGAGTAGCTGGGATTACAGGCGCCTGCCGCCATGCCCGTCTAATTTTTGTATTTTTAGTAGAGACAGGGTTTCACCATGTTGGCCCAGCTGGTCTCGAACTTCTGGCCTCAGGTGATCTGCCCACCGCAGTCTCTCAAAGTTCTGGGATTACAGGCGTGAGCCACCGCACCCGGCCTCTTTGGCATCATTTTGTAGTGGCCTTTCGTAAGCTTCTGAGCCACTTGTGCTGCTCCTTAGACCTCTCGGTGAGCTTGGCATTACTCGCCGACGTATCTGTTTCCTCTGCGCCGCTGGGGGCTCTGGGAGGACAGCAGTGGGTTCTGCTTTGTTCCTGTGGTGCCTGGCGCAGTGCCTGGTGGGTGGCTGGCTTGTGGCGGGCACATCCCTTTCTGTTGGATTTGCCAGGCGGATATCTACAAGGCGGACTTCCAGGCTGAGAGGCAGGCCCGGGAGAAGCTGGCCGAGAAGAAGGAGCTCCTGCAGGAGCAGCTGGAGCAGCTGCAGAGGGAGTACAGCAAACTGAAGGCCAGCTGTCAGGAGTCGGCCAGGTGGGCCTCTGAGAGCGTGCCCGTGTGAGCAGTGGGTGCGACACTGGGGGGTCGCCAGTGGTGACCCCGCAGTGGGTGCGACACTGGGGGGTTGCCAGTGGTGACCACAGGAGACGGATGGCTCCTGGTGTTCTGGGTTAGGGCTCACTGTGGTCCCTCTCCTCTCACCTGAGCTTCCAAGAGCTGCTTTGACACTAGTCCAGCCAAGGAGCTTTACAGAAATGCGTGGCTTGACTGGACGGTTTCTGTTTCCAAAGGATCGAGGACATGAGGAAGCGGCATGTCGAGGTCTCCCAGGCCCCCTTGCCCCCCGCCCCTGGTGAGTGAGCGAGAACTGGGCCTGCGGGAGGAGGTGGGTGGGGAGGGCAGGTGCTGCGCCGCGGGAGGTCACAGTTCGACCTTCCTGTTGCTCTCTGGAGACTTGACGGCGGGAGCTCGTGTAGGCCACCCCATCGGTAGCCCACCCCCTTCCCCGAGGCTAAGGGAGGCATGCCGTGGTAGCGGCGGCTCCTGGTCTTACATGAGTGGCCTGTGAGACCAGGCCTGCCATTGACAGTCCTGCCAAGTCTCCGTCCCCCTCCATCCTCCCCTTCCCTCTGACTCTTCTCTTTTCCCAGCCTACCTCTCCTCTCCCCTGGCCCTGCCCAGCCAGAGGAGGAGCCCCCCCGAGGAGCCACCTGACTTCTGCTGTCCCAAGTGCCAGTATCAGGCCCCTGATATGGACACCCTGCAGATACATGTCATGGAGTGCATTGAGTAGGGCCGGCCAGTGCAAGGCCACTGCCTGCCGAGGACGTGCCCGGGACCGTGCAGTCTGCGCTTTCCTCTCCCGCCTGCCTAGCCCAGGATGAAGGGCTGGGTGGCCACAACTGGGATGCCACCTGGAGCCCCACCCAGGAGCTGGCCGCGGCACCTTACGCTTCAGCTGTTGATCCGCTGGTCCCCTCTTTTGGGGTAGATGCGGCCCCGATCAGGCCTGACTCGCTGCTCTTTTTGTTCCCTTCTGTCTGCTCGAACCACTTGCCTCGGGCTAATCCCTCCCTCTTCCTCCACCCGGCACTGGGGAAGTCAAGAATGGGGCCTGGGGCTCTCAGGGAGAACTGCTTCCCCTGGCAGAGCTGGGTGGCCGCTCTTCCTCCCACCGGACACCGACCCGCCCGCCGCTGTGCCCTGGGAGTGCTGCCCTCTTACCATGCACACGGGTGCTCTCCTTTTGGGCTGCATGCTATTCCATTTTGCAGCCAGACCGATGTGTATTTAACCAGTCACTATTGATGGACATTTGGGTTGTTTCCCATCTTTTTGTTACCATAAATAATGGCATAGTAAAAATCCTTGTGCATTAGTCGTGCGTATCTTTGGCATAGATTCTGAGAAGTGACACCACTGAGCATGGGCGATGGCGTAGATGGTACCTGAGCCCCCTTCCTCCTTGGAGCTTGGTTTCCCATCTCTCCCCACCCCCTATTTCCCTAGCCTTGCCAAGGAGGAGGTGGGAAAGCCCGTTTGGGTTTTTGTCATTCGCTAGGCCATGCAGTTCTCTGTTAAGAGTGAGCTTAAACATCTTTCCTGAGGCTTTAAGGACCTTTTTTAGTTCTGCTTCTGAATGGGCTGCTCATATCATATATATATATGTATATGTATAGTTGTGTATATGTATGTGTGTGTGTGTGTGTGTGTGTGTGTGTATTTTTTTTTTTTTTTTTTGAGACAGAGTTTTGCTCTTCTCGCCCAGACTGGAGTGCAGTGGCGTGATCTCAGCTCACTGCAACCTCTGCCTCCTGCGTTCAACCTATTCTCCTGCCTCAGCCTCCCTAGTAGCTGGGACTACAGGCGCCTGCCACCACGCTCGGCTAATTTTTGTATTTTTAGTAGAGATGGGGTTTCACCATGTTGGCCAGGCTGGTCTCGAACTCCTGACCTCACGTGATCCACCTGCCTTGGCCTCCCAAAGTGCTGGGATTACAGGTGTGAGCCACTGTACCTGGCCAATTTTTGTATTTTTAGTAGAGATGGGGGTTTCAGCACTTTGGCCAGGCTGGTCTCAAACTCCTGACCTCAGGTGATCTGCCTGCCTCGGCCTCCCAAAGTGCTAGGATTACAGGTGTGAGCCACTGCGCCCCGCTGGGCTGCTCATATCTTTTATCCGTTTTTCTACTGGGTTATCTTTTGTTGCTCAGCTTTTAGAAACTCTTTGTCCATGAGCAGGATTGGGTTTGTGGCTGTGATAGAAATTGCAGATATCTTTTCCTGCTTTGACCTCGCTACTAGTGTTTCTTTGTTTTTTGTTTTGAGATAAGGTCTCTGTCACCCGGGTGGGAGTGTAGTGGCACAATCAGAGCTCACTGCAGCCTTGACCTCCTGAGCTCCAGCAGTCCTCCTGCCTCGGCCTTGCGAGTAGCTGGGATCACAGGCGTGCGCCACCACACCCTGCTAAACTACTGGTGCTTCTCAGCCTCGAAGTTTTTTTTTCTTTATGTAGTCACATTTATCCATTTTTTCCCCCTTTTACTGCTTTGACTTTGGAGTCGTCGTGACCACCTTGTGGTCTGTGGGAGGGATGCTTCACACATGAGCACTTTTCTTTTTCTAACACCGAAGCGTGCTCTTGTCTTCACCAAGAGTGTTGTTGCCCAGTGTGACTGGTGATGGCTGTTTCATCATATTCCAGAAGTTTGTGATGCCATTTCCCACACTGGCCCCAATTAGGAAGAACAGACGACTCTACTTGTTTTGCAAGATTCTGGAAATTTCCCGGGGTGTCAGAGCCCTGGGCATTAACCCTGCAATTGTAGCAAAGGAAACAAAGTTGGAAGTTGACTCCCCAGCACCCGGGCCTTCCTTCCTGCCCTCCTCCAAGCTGCCCTGGTTGGGAACGGGATATTGTGAATCCACCCTGAGGCTTCCTCACAGGGCTTCCTGCTATTTGACAGTGTGAGGCTGGCTAGAATTGGGATATGAGGCCTTCTAAAAATTAACCTGGCCTGAGGGCTTTCTCAGCATCTGGGGGCGGGGTGTGGGGGCGGGGAGTGACCTTTCCCCTTCTTCAAGCCAGGTGCCCATCAGATTCTACTTGGGAAAATGTGAAAGGCACAGACAGCTTGTCTGCTCACGGGTGCTGCACTTAAATCCTAATCTTGCAATTTTTCTACAAGAGCACTTTACATTTTTTTTTTGGAGGGAGGGTGTATGAGTAGACGGTGGCTGCTGTAACAAAGGACTGCACACTTGGGGCTTAAAACAACAGAAACTCCTTCACAGTGTTGGAAGCCACAGTCTGCAATCAAGTTGTCAGCAAGGCTGGTTTCTTTTTTCTTTCTCTTTCTTTCTTTCTTTCTCTTTCTTTCTTTCTTTCTTTCTCTTTCTTTCTTTTTCTTTCTCTTTCTCTTTCTTTCTTTCTTTCTTTTTTCTTTCTTTTCTTTCTCCCTCTCTCTCTCCCTCTCTCTCTCCTCTCTCTCTTTCTCTCTTTCTTTCTTGTTGGATACAGTCTTGCTCTGACACCCAGGCTGGAGTGCAGTGGTGCCATCTCAGTTCACTGCAACTTCCGCCTCCAGGGTTCAAGCAATTCTTGTGCCTCAGCCTCCCGAGTATCTGGGATTACAAGTGCCCGCCACTATGTCCGGCAAGGCTGGTTTCCTCTGCAGGTGCCAAGAGAATCGTTTACAGGTCTCTGTCTTAGCCTCTGCTGGTTGCTTATAGAGCCATCACCCTAGTCTCTGCCTCTGTCATCACACAGTCTCTTCCTCTTCGTCTGTGTCTTCCCTTTTGTCTCATAAAGGACACCAGTCATTGGATGTAGGGCCCACCTGGATAATCCAGAATGATCTCCTCATCTCGGCATTCATTACATCTGCAAAGACCCTTTTCCCAAAGAAGGTCACACCCATAAGATATGCACGTATCTCTTCAGGGCCATCACACAACCCAGTATGGGGACATGTTCCAGTGCACACAGATGAGGGCAAATGCAGCAGCAGTGCCTGGGAGCTGGAAAAACACCCCTGCTTGGGCCCCCTGGACCAACCGAGTCAGAATCTTGGTCTAGACCCACCAGGCATTGGTCTAGACCCACCGCCCTGCCCGGAGGTGGGGCTGCCTCCTCCCTCCTCCGGTAGCACAGTGTAGGGTTGACCGTACACCAGACACCAAGGATTTAAAACCATACCATTTGCGCAGAAGTACGGCATTCCAGTGTTTTCCTTTTCGGCTTTACTTAGGTTGAGCTTCCAGAACAACTGGTTGGATTACTCTTGGGAGGGAACCAGCCTGCCTGCCCTATTGGCTGCGGCCCCTTGATCCACAAACGAAGCCCATCCCTGCCGGAGCTTGTGGCGTTCTCTGGTGTTCATGCGCGCTCCCCCTCCTGCCGACCAATGCACAAGAACAGTGCGGGCGACCAGTAAGCACAGTGAGAAAGCATTTCACCCTCATCAGTAACTAAAACAACAGCAAGTCTGACGGCAAGCAAAAAGTGATCTGAAAATGGCAACCGATGAAGCCCTAGGTGAGCGCTCTGCTGGCAAGGTGCAGGACAGCGGCCCTTGCAATGCTGCCCTTTCCGAGGGGGCCATTTGCTGGGATGGAGCAAGCCCGTAGGCAGCGTCCTCAGCCCTGGTGCGTAACCCTAAGAGAGAGTCGGGCACTCAGCGATGACTCTGGCATTGGGAAGGTGCTTCACTTCGTCATTTGTAGCTGCCAAAGGTCGGGGTGAGATAAGAGGCTGCGTATGTAACGATGTGGTCCGGCACAGCTGGCATTTTGAACATCTCCTCACACGCAACATGCCTTGTAGCATGTTGGTGTGAACAGGCCAGGTGACAAACTTATGGATAAAGCGTGACCCCAATAGAGAAGTAAAAGCTCTGAGTGCATACCCTGCTAACATTTGGACGGACGTGAGTAGCTGGGTGGCCAGTAATGAGAAGTTTTCCTTACATGTTAGTACCTTTCCTAAATGCCTATCATTTGCACGCATTCCTTTGATACACAGAGAATACGTCTTCCCACACAGTCGCTCGGGTGGTAACGCAGCTTGGTTTTCTTCTGTGCCAGTGGCAGGGAAGAGCCCGCTGTTGACACAGCCTCTCAGCAAGGCACGGGGCAGGGGCTGACTGTGTCTCCTGGGGCTGCCGTGACCAAGCACCACAGACTGCGGGGCCGAAGCCACAGAAACGCGTGGCCTCCCGCTTCTGGAGGCCTGGAGGCTGAGCTAGCGGTGGTGTCGGCAGGGTGGGCTCCCCGCCAGGGCCGCGAGGGAGCTGCCTTCCAGGCCTCTCCACGGCGCCGGGGGCCGCCGGCTGCACCTCTCCAGCCTCCATCTCCGTCATCCTGTGGCCTTGTCCCCGCGGGCCTCTGTGCCTGTCCTCCTCTTTTGACAAGAACACCGGAGATACACAAAGGTACACAAAAGCGGGCCTTTGTTCAAGCTGGCAAAAGAGATCTTCTTCAGAAACCCCTGCTTGCGGGGGAGAGAGCTGAGCTCCGTTCCCGCCCCAGCAGAGGCGGCCTGGCCTTGCGAAGGGAGAAGGAGGGAGTCGGGAGGGGGCGAGTGCAGGCTCAGGTGAAAGATGACGGGGCAGCCAGCGTCCTTGCCGCGAGGCCAGCCGTGTGTGGGAGCTGCCGGTGCTTACCAAGGTTGGGATGCTTCCGTCCCGTGGAGACTGGGAGACTGGGCCCCGCGCCTCCTGAGGTTTCCGTTTCCAAGGAGTGGCTGCGGGGCCCTCGGGAAAGCCCCTGGGTTGTGGGTGCTACACAGATGTCTCAAAGGGACAGGGTAAGCCCTTTGTAGTAAATGCTGTCAGAAAGGGAGGTCAGGTGTTGGCCGGAACAGACAGTACATGCTCTGGGCAGCCCTGAGCGTTTCCAGACGGGAACTCACTCAAAAGGGGGCTGGGGCGTCCCAGGGGCGCGGCCTTAGGCTCCCAGAGGCCCCGCGAGGTGGTGGCCGGGTGTCTTCGGGCAGGGGTTTGAGTGCAGTGTGCCTGCCGAGAGGTTCTGCAGTTCCGAGCACCATCATTTTCTCCTCCTCAGACCCCTTGGTTCTCCTTCCACGTCCTGGCAGCTGCTTCGCAGGCTCCTTGCTGGTTCCTGTGTCTCCGAGCTGACTCCCGAATTCTCTTCCTCTCCTTGCTCAGACACTGCCCCTTTGTGACCTCGTCCATCTTCAAGGCCTTGATGCTGATGACAGATTTCTGTCTTCCAGTCCTGATCTGTTCCTTCACGAAAATGAGCCCAGTAGCCCGTCCAAGCCAGAAATGGACTTTTAGCCCCCACCCCCTGCCAACTCTGCCCTTTCCCTCATCCCCAGTTGCTTAAACCAAAACGGATTCCTCTTCCTCTCATGATCCAAACTCCTGAGTCCCTTCACCTTTTGCCTACACTATCACAGTGACCTCCTTGCTGCTTTCACACTGGAGAGCGTGGGCTCCCTGTGATCTACTCTCCACATGGCAGCCAGTGTCATCTGGTAAACCTTTGCTGAAACCCTGCCATGCCCTTCAGTTGCCCTGGAAACCTGAACTCATCCTCAGCCTGGCTCGCAGAGCCCTCATGCCGCTGGGACGTCACGTTATGTCCCTCTCCTGCTGGCCCGCTGCACCCAGCCGCACCACATGCCGGCCGCACCTCACACACGCTGGCCTCTTGGCCCTTCCTCGAACACACGGCGCTTGTCCTTGTTGTCCCCTCATCTTTGCATGGCCGATTTCTTTTTCTCATTCAGCTCTAAGTTTAAACTTTCAACAGTTCTAAGCGTATCACCTTCTTCATCTTAAAGTCCTCATCCTAAATCACACTGCACTGTTTTAACTCCCAGCTTGGCAGTCCAAACGGCCTCATTTATTCTGCTTTGTTTTCTCTCTCCTTCCACCAGAGGGAGAGCAGAGGCCTCCTCCAGCTCAGTCAGGCACCATCCCCCGGAACAGCGGTCTCCAACCTTTTTGGCACCAGGGACCGGTTTTGTGGAAGACGAGTTTTCCACAGACGGGGATGGGGCGTGGGATGACGGTTCGGGGATGAAACTCTTCCACTTCAGATCATCAGGCATTAGTCAGATGCTCCTAAGGAGCACACAACCTAGATCCCTCGCACACACAGTTCACAATAGGGTTTGCGCTCCTGTGAGAGTCTGAGGCCGCTGGCTGATCTGACAGGAGGCAGAGCTCAGGCGGTCATGCGAGCAATGGGGAGCAGCTGTACACACAGATGAAGCTTCGCTCGCGTGCCCACCACTCGCCGCCTGCTCTGTGGCTCAGTTCTTAACAGGCCACAGACCAGTATCGGTCCGTGGCCGGGGGGTTGGGGACCCCTGCCCTAGAACGATGCTCGGCACAGCTACACTCGGTGCACATTTCTTGGTGGCCTGAGCTTGTCTTGAGCTCCATCAGGATTTCTCTGTCAATATTTTTGTAGACCATACCCTGTCACCATAAATGGTGCTTGGTAGAAATGACTGTATGCATGTGATAGGGATAACACAGAAAACCCATGGTAGAGAGCATGGCGACTAACTTGGAGGGACTTCTTTTTGTCTTTTTTTTTTTTTTTTTTTTTTTTTTCGTTTTTGCAGAGATGCAGGTATTGTCATGTTGCCTGGGCTGGTCTCAAACTCCTGGGTTCAAGCAATCCTCCCACCTGTGCCTCCCTAAGTGTTGGGATTACAGGCATGAGCCGCTGCCTCCCCGCAGCATGGGGGGACTTCTTATAAGCATTTTTATTTATTTATTTGGAATTCGGATGGATAGATCATGTTGGCCTGATAATGTATGTGCAAGAGCACAGACTCTGGGGTCTCATGGACAAGCCCCACTCTGCCCCTTGCTTAATGTCTCTGAGCCTCAGTTTCCTCATCTGTAACAAGGGCAGAAATGCCATCCGTGTGCAGCAGAGTACCGACGAAAGGATGGATGCAATGCTCTTACGGCAGTGCCCCACCCAAGGCACAAGGAAAAACCACGAAAGCAATTCCAGTTTACACCACGTCCCAAACTGGATTTTCCATTCGACTATAATTCCTCCCAATAAGGGCTCAAAACGTTGTCTAAGGAAAGTCGATTGGTTGTTGCCCAGGGCTGGAGGAGTTGGGGGAAAACGGGGAGTGACTGCTGATGGAGACAGAGTTTCCTTTTGAGATGATGAGAATGTCCTGAAGCTGGTCATGCTGATGGTTGCACGTATCTATGAATATACTAAAAACCATCGAATTGTACACTTTAGACATGTGAATTGTGTAGCATGTGAATTAAACCTCAAGTCGTTATTTTAAAAATGTTGTCTAAGACACCTGGGCGCCTCCTGTAAGCTCCCATGAAAATGCAAATGAAGACACAGAAGAAGACCAACATTGAACATTTACATCCTCTCCTAAAGCTATGTTTGACAGGTGACCTTTTTTTCATCCTTCCTTCCTTCCTTCCTCTTCCTTATTCCTTCCTTCCTTACTTCACTCCCTCTTCCTTATTCCTTCCTTCCTTCTTTCCCTCTTCCTTATTCCTTCCTTCCTTCTTTCCCTCTTCCTTATTCCTTCCTTCCTTCTTTCCCTCTTCCTTATTCCTTTCTTCGTTCCTTCCTCCCTTCCTTCCTTCCCTCCTTCCTTTTTTCCTTATTCCTTCCTTTCCTCCCTTCCTCCCTCCCTCCCTCCCTCCCTCCCTCCCTCCCTTCCTTCCTTCCTTCCTTCCTTCCTTCCTTACGTTTTTTAACAGTAGAGACAGGGTCTCACTGTGTTGCCCAGGCTGGACTCGAACTCCTGGAAATCAAGTGATCCTCCCACCTGGGCCTCCCCAAATGCTGGGATTACAGGCTTGAGAACTGGCAGGGAGAATGGGCGACTTTGTGTTGTGAAGCAGAGTGACCCTACTCTGTCCTTTCCTCAGAGACCCAGGGTTGGTACCAACCAGGAGACTAGCAGCTGCTCTTCTACCCGGCCCAGGTTGCTTTCTCTATAGTCATTGAGAGGGAAACCCTCAAACAGAAAGTGTGTCAGCAGGGGGCAGGCAGCTGATGGATGTCATTGTACCCTTGGAGGAACAGAACTCAGCGGTCACAGGAAGCGGGGAGATCCAGGGATTCCATCGGTCGCGTTGGTTCCGAGTGTCGCAGGCCTGAGGGGAAGGGGTGAGATTTGCTTTCTCAGTCTAGGAGAGCCAAAGTCGACAAATGTGTGCTATAGCTGGAAATAAGTCTTCTCCCGCACCTAGCGGGCGGTGGTCAGGGTGGTCTGTCTGTCCATCCCCGAAAGCACTGCAAGACCTGCCATCTGTTTCTGGTGATGCTGGGTGGTATTATTGAGACAGATATTTCTGCTGAAAATAACTGCAAATGATAGATGAAACAGTTTGAGACTGTTCAAAACAGCTGAGAACCAACAAGAGAGCAAAACCTGAGAGGAAGTGGGAATCCAAGAAGAAGTACGCCACTGAAGCTGCTTATTTCCCGAGGACGCTGGCCGACCTGGGCAAACTTGGGTTTTGGTTCTGGAGGCCGTCCAGGCAAGGGAGACAGCAGGCAAGGCCCAAAGCCTTTGTGAAGTGTGGGGAGTTGTATAGCAGCCCCCGCTACATTAAGGAAACCCCACCCCAGCTCTGCAGATTGCGGGGAAGCAGGAGATGAAAGGAAAGGGAAAACACCCCTGTGCAAAGTTGTGGCCAAGGGCCAGGTTCTGTGCAGACTTGCAGTCTAGGTTTTCCTGGTGGGGCCGTTCAGTGGCCCTCGAGTCCTAAATTTGGTCTGAGGTGGTCCTGGGCCGACAGTACCCATATTAGTTTTCTAGGGCTGCCGTAAGAAATGGCCACAAACTGGGTGGCCGAAAACAACAGAAACGGATTCTCCCGTGGTTCTGGAAGCTACAAGTCTGGAATCCAGCTGTCAGCAGGGTTGGTTCCTACTGGAGGCTCTGTGGGAGAATCTGTTCCATGCCTCTCTCGTAGCTCCAGGTGGTTTCTGGCAATCCCTGGCACTCTCTGTCTCATAGAGACACCGCTCCAATCTCTGCCTCCTTCTTCGTGGGGTCATCTTCCCAGTGTGTCTGCCTCTCTCTCTTATGAGGACACTAGTCACATTTGATTAGCGCCCACCCCAATCTAGTATGACCTTAACTTGATTACATCGGCAAAGACCCTATTTCCAAATCAGGTCACATTCCCAGGCACCCAGGTGTTAGGACTTGAACATACCTTTTTGGGGGACACAATTCAACCCACAACGGTTACCCCAACGGATGTGTGGATTCGTGGGAGCCTGGGGTTGAGATGCAGTCTCCACAAAAGTTCCTGAGTGAGAGCATGTCCTTTGCAGGAGCGTGGATGGAGCTGGAGGCCATTATCCTTAGCAAACTGACGCAGGAACAGACAACCAAATACCACATGTTCTCACTTATAAGTGGGAGCTAAATGATGAGAACACACGGATACATAGAGGGGAATGAAACACACTGGGGCCTTTTGCAGGGCGGAGGTTGGGAGGAGGGAGAGTATGAGGAAAAATAGCTCATGGGTGCTAGGCTTAATACCTAGGTGATAAAATAATCTGTACAGCAAACCCCCATGACACAAGTTTACTCATATAACAAACCTGCACATGTACACCTGAGCTCTTAAAATAAAAAGAGCGATGTATTAATATAACAACTTTAGGAGCACTGGGGGAAAAAAGTTCTTAATGACACTGAGCAGTGCACATAAAAACTAAGCACACCCAGGGCAGGAAAGAGACCATGAGACTAAGAGTTCAGATGCTGGAGGCTGGGTGCAGTGACTCACACCTGTAATCCCAGCACTTTGGGAGGCCGAGGTGGGCAGATCACAAGGTCAGGAGTTCTAGACCAGCCTGGCCAATATGGTGAAACCCCGTCTCTACTAAAAATACAAAAATTAGCCGGGCGTGGTAGTGGGCGCCTGTACTCCCAGCTACTCGGGAGGCTGAGGCAGGAGAATCACTTGAACCTGGGAGGTGGAGGTTGCAGTGAGCCGAGATGGCACCATTGCACTCCAGCCTGGGTGACAGAGAGAGACTCAAAACAGATGCTGGAGCACCACACAGATGACAGAACAACTGAACTTTAAAAACTTAAAAAAAAAAAAAAAGGCTTGTGAATATCCACAGGGAATAGGGAATATATATATCCAAAAAGTAAAAGCTGTCTAACTTTTTATTTCTTTGTTTGTTTGTTTATTTATTTGAGACAGGGTCTCACTCTGTCACCCAGGCTGGAGTGTAGTGGCACGATCACAGCTCATTGCAGCCTCAACCTCCCGGGCTCAAGCGATCCTCCCGCCTCAGCCTCCCGAGTAGCCGGGACTACAGGCGCGTGCCATCACGCCCGGCTAATTTTTTATTTTTTCGTGGAGATGGGGTTTCGCTATGTTGTCCAGGCTGCTCTCGAACTCCTGGGCTCAAGCCATCCTCCCACCTTGGCCTGCCAAAGTGCTGGGATTACAGGCGTGATGAACTCAATTTATTTTTCTCTTTCTAAAAAATACCCATTTGCTTTCTCTGTCCCCTGAAAAGCCTTCAAAGCAATGCTAATGCCATTGCAGCTGGCACCAAGACTATGGACTGAAGTGCTCCCTCTGGAGGTAAATCTGAGACATGACCACAGCGTTTGTCAGGAGGACACTGCTGCCAACCAATTTGAGTTGCCATTGGCTACGAATGGAGCATCAGAAGGAATAATGGCCCTTCCTGCCGGCTGCTCTGCTGGTCTTCCTTCCTGCCTCTCTTCCTCGGTCCTGTCCTTCTCCCCCTCTTCTTCCAAAAGCCCCTGGGATTGGGGGCCCACTCAAGGAAAGCGTGGAGGGCAGCTGGGGACCAGTGTGAAGCACGATCCTCCGCTGAGCGCAGCAGTGTCCTGCACAAGGAAGTTTTGTGGAGTAAGGAAGGGAGTCGGCGAGGGTGACTGTGTCCTGGGGAGGGGTCAGGGGTCCAAGAGAGGAACGTGTGCCAAGTTGGGTGGTGACCTGATGGGCTCAGATGGTTGACTGGCTTTGCAGTAAATATATGAATGATGTAGGGACCTGGCTTTCTCACCGTTTGGAAAAGGAGTTGCAGATATGAAAAGAGAGAAGGCTTGAATGTGGATTCGATTTGGAGTTGTTGGTGTGAATTCATTGATCTAGTTTGGATGTTTGTCCCCACCCACATCTGATGTTAACTTGTAATCCCCAGGGCTGGAGGTGGGGCCTGGTAGGGGGTGTTTGGGTCATGGGGGTGGATCCCTCATGAATGGCTTGGTGCTGTCTTCGTGATAGTGAGTTCTCGAGAGATCTTGTCATTTTAAAGTGGGTGGCATTCCCCCCGCCCCGACACACACACTCTCTCTCTCTCTCTCTCTCTCTCTCTCTCTCTCGCTTGCTCCTGCTTTCGCCATGAGATACACAAGCTCTTGCTTTGCCTCCCACCACAAGTAGAAGCTTCCCGAGGCCTCTCTAGAAGCTGGGCAGATGCCAGCACTAGGCGTCCTGCAGAGCCTGCAGAACCAAGAGCCCATTAAACCTCTTTTCTGTATAAATTACCCAGTCTCAGGTATTTCTTTATAGCGGTGCAAGAGTGGCCTGATACACTGATGGCTTTCAATATACAGATAGGTATAGAAATAAGCATAGCTGTAAAATAGGGCTGTGTGTATGGGTATTTCTCAGCTCCATCACTTAGAAGGCCTGGGACCATCTCAATAGCAGTGAGTTGACTTAGTGCCTGGGTCTCGATTTCTAAACAACCGTCTTGATTAAAAAGAACAGAGCTCACTAGAGAAATGACTGATTCCAGGGCTAGGGCAGAGAAAGTCCAAGATTAACTGGATCATCTTGTTGTCCCAGAAAAATAAGGAAGTGCTTAAAGAGCAACGGAGACACATTTAGCTGGACTAAGACAGAGAGAGCGAGGACTAAAATCAGAAATGAAAGTAGCCACATTACTACTGACCTTACAGAAATAAAAATATGCATGAGAGCACGGAAACGTATGACTTCCTTTACTTCATTCTCCTCCTTTACTTCTGAGTTGGTCAAGAATTAGAAGCAAGAGTTTGGGAACACTTTGCTAAAGGGGTTTCTATTCACTGTTGCAGATATAGCTAAGCTATAGATATAGATATAGATGATAGATAGATATAGATATAGATATAGATAGACAGATATATAGAGAGAGACCAGGTCTCACTTTGTCACCCAAGCTGGAGTGCAGTGGCATGAACATGGCTTATTGCAGCCTTGACTTCCTGGGCTCAATGCCATCTTCCCACGTCAGCCTCCAGAGTAGCTGGGACCACAGGCGTGCGCCACCGCGCCTGGCAAATTTTACAATTTTTTGTAGAGAGTGGGTACAGCCATGTTGCCCAGGCTGCTCTCAAACTCTTGGGCTCAAGCAATCTGCCCAGCTCGGTCTCCCAGAGTGTTGGGATTACAGGCATAAGCCACCATGCCCGGCCAATTGCAGCAATAATATTCTTTTGCAAAAAATTTGTTCATCGTTGGTACCGAAGAGCTGTTGAACATCCTATTATTGCACAGGAGGCATTTATCGTGGTACAGGCCAGGGTTTTCTGCCCCAATCAGGGTCTGATGTTACGAGGTACGTGGAGAGATGGGTAACCTTAACAGTGTCACCTTTTTCTTACTTTTCCCCAACAACTCATCTCATTTATTCATGTTTGTGTTTTGCAGACAATTGGAAATAACACGTCACAGTTACAAGCACCATTACATATGATGGTGGTATTTCTGATCCTAGACAAAGACCACTTGAGTTCATTACAACCCCTATCAGCCATGGTACTTTGGGCCAGTCACTCAGCCTCTCTTAGTTTTAGCTTCCACGTCTATGAATAGGATGACAATAATATTCTGCATGCTTGCTCTGAGGATGGAAAAGATAATTTCCCTTTTTTTAGAGTCAAGGTCTCGCTCTGTCGCCCAGGCTGGCAGGAGTGCAGTAGTGCAATCACAGCTCACTGGAGCCTCGACCTCCTGGGCTCAAGTGATCCTCCCACCTCAGCCTCCCGAGTAGCTGGGACCACAGGCATGAGCCACCATGCCTGGTGGGAAAGACAGTTTTTATAATGACTTTTATCCCTTTTATTTTTTGACAAAACCATGTTTTTGTTCACTACTTCAAGGTGAATGATGTCCTCCCAGTTCCAAATCTAGTGTCTGATTTGAGGGCTAGCTAGCCACTGGATCAACATTGGAGGAAAAACAGCTGTTCTCTGATTTGATCTTATGCTTAAGCAGATTTGCTGGAAGCTTGCACACCTGTTATCTTTGAAAAAATAAATTGGTTATTGGTTAATTTTTTCCCCAAACCGTGATACAATGAGTTATGATTATAGCATGACATACGTGTACACCTCAAAATCATTGTGTAGTACAAATCGCAAAACTTATAGGAAAAATGGGGTTAGGGACACAATACTCAAAACCTTTGTCAGTGACACATAAAAAAACGAAGATAGGAACCTAATGAAAATGGTAGCACAATTCTATGCATGTTAAATGGTTAAAAAATACCTAAGTGCTGCAGCAAGTACGGCACTTCACCTTGAAAAAGACCTGAAGTTTGCTTGTGGAAATGGCGGTGGAAGGGTTGCAGGTCATGAATTGGTGAAAGGAGGGTGTTCTGAAATTGGACAGAAAGTTGTAACACCAGATGCGGACTAGTGTGGCTTATAATACGTGTGCTGAGCCGAGGGAGTGGAGTAAGGTGGGAATCCCCTGGGAATTTAAGTGAACACTGATCAAAATGTTTGTTTCAAACCAATTCTCTTGTATTCATTACGTTGGCATTTAGGAATGAAGTGATGTTTCCATGACCTATGTTGATTGAAAGACCAAAGATTTTGTACCTGTTGAGTCTATGTCTTTACAGTGCAGTAAATTTGTACTTCTGAGTTTAAAGATTAGGTCAACAATTGGGTATTTAGCAAGGCACTCTGGGAAACAGAAAAACTGTAAGACAGTCTCTGCCTCCGGGCGACCAACTACTTTTTAAAAATTCAACTGGAGTCTATATAAAAGAGGAAATGAAGGCGGCCTGGTGCAGTGTGGCTCACGCCTGTAATCCCTACACTTTGGGAAGCTGAGGCGGGAGGACTGCTTGTGTCCAGGAGTTTGAGACCAGCCCGGGCAACATAGTCAGACGCCATCTCTACAAACAATTTTAAAAAATGAGTCGGGCGTGGAGGTGTGCACCTGTAGTCCCAGCTACTTAGGAGGCTGAGGTGGGAAGATGGATTGAGCATGGGAAGTCGAGGCTGCAGTGAGCTGTGATTGCACCGCTGCACTCTGACCTGGGTGACAGAGTGAGACCTTGTCTCCAAAAAAAACAACAACAAAAAGAAGAAATGAAAATCTAGAAAAATACGTGAAATCTTTTCCTGTCAAATGTTTCCCCCTAAGCTTTAATGATCCTATTTCATTAAAGGAAATATGGGAGAATATTGATGACTGGCAGCACGTAGTGGTTAAGAGCACCGGACTGGGAGCTGGAAGAGTCTGTGATTCTTGAACTCCTGGGCTCAAGCGATCCTCCCACCTGGATCTCCCAAAGTACTGGGACTACAGGCATGAGCCAACATGCATGGCCGAGTCTGTGATTCTTTACTGGAATGGAGTGACGTGTGTTTTCTTCTTAAATGACATCGTGAATTTCCAAGGTCCTTGAAATCTCTTTGCATCTCTTTCCAATTTGCCATTGCTATGCCTGAAGTTCAGTTGGAATGCTTATATTTCAGCTTATCACATTACCTATATTCTGATCAAATATGTTATGGCATCGAAGCTAATTTTGAGACATGGTCCCTAGGCCGTGGGACCTAATGACCAGAGATGGAAGTCTATGTGCTGCTTCTGTCCCAAGGGAGATGAGTATCTGTTAGGGGCTCACTCGGGACTGTGTGGTGCTACCTGAGTGCGACACAGATGCTGGAGACTTGAGAAGATATCACTGTAGACTCCAACCCTGTTATAGCTGATGAGGAAAAAACTGAGAGTATTTATTATTGCCCCCACAAAATGCACATATTTTATTATATTGATAAGATGTGAACAATATGTTATTCCTCAATATTCTGCAGGTTGCCTTTTCATTTTGTTGATTGTTACTGAATTCTTCTACCCCCAAAAAGGATTACATGAGAAGATTGTGAACAATTGTTTGCCAACAAATTAGATAACCTAGATGAAGTGGACAAATTCCTAGAAATGTACAAACCATGAAAACTGACTCAGGAAGAAATAGATTTCATTTCCTTCAGATCTATACCCAGAAGTGGGAGAGCTGGATCATATGGTAGTTCTATTTTTAATTTTTTGAGGGTCATTCACAGGCCTGGAGGCTGAAGAGGGAAGAATGGTTTTTTGGACCCAGCCCAGAGCCCTGCTGGCCTGAGCACCCTCGGGACACTGCTATCTGCGCCCCAGCTGCTCCAGCTCCAGCCATGGCTACAAGGGCCCCAGATACGCCTCCGGCTGCTGCTCTGGAGGGTGCAAGCTGTAAGCCTTGGTGGCTTCCATGTGGTGTTAAGCCTGCGGGTATGCAGAGGGCAAAAGTTGAGGCTTGGGAACCTCTGCCTAGATTCAGAGGATGTATGGAAACGCCTGAATGTCCAGGCAGAAGTCTGCTGCAGGGGCGGAGCCCTCCTGGGGAACCTCTACTAGCGTAGTGCAGAAGGGAAATCTGGGGTTGGAGTCCCCACTGGGGCACTGCCTAGTGGAGCTGTGAGAAGGGGGCCACCATCCTCAAGACCCCCGAATCATAGATCCACTGACAACTCGCATTATACTCCTGGAAAAGCTGCAGACATTCAATACCAGCCCAGGAAAGCAGCCGAGGGGGCTGTACCCTGCAGAGCCACAGGAGCGGAGCTGCCCAAGGCCTCAGGAGCCCACCCCTTGCCTCAGTGTGGCCTGGATGTAAGACATGGAGCCAAAGGAGATTATTTTGGAGCTTTAAGAATTAATGACGATTTTCTGCTCCGCCCGCCCACAGATGTAGTTTCCTCCGCACGTGCGCACCTTCCCTCCTCCCCGCCTGCAGGGTCCATGGCCTCCATGGCGTTTTAGGGGCAGCAGTGCCTGTGGCAGCCTTGGCCTTTGCAGCGGTGGCAGCAGCACCAGGCTCTGCAGTGGCATCCACCGGCGGCTTAAGCCGTAGCACTTCTCACAGCATTCAGCAGCAGCATTGCTGTAACCGACAAAGACACCTTCGAATTAAGCACATTCGTTGATTCCAGCAAAGCACTGCACCATGACCGAGATGAGCTTCCTGAGCAGCGAGGTGTTGGTGGGGGCTTGATGTCCCCCCTTGACCAGTCAGGTTTGGGGACTGAAGAAAGCCTAGGTCTCTTAGATGACTACCTGGAGGTGGCCAAGCACTTCAAACCTCATGGGTTCTCCAGCGACAAGGCTAAGGCAGACTCCTCCGAGTGGCTGGCTGTGGATGGGTTGGTCAGTGCCTCCAACGATGGCAAGGAGGATGCTTTCTTTGGGACAGATTGGATGTTGGAGAAAACTGATCTGAAGGAGTTCGACTTTGATGCCCTGTTGGGTATAGATGACCTGGAAACCATGCCAGACGAGCTTCTGGCCACGTTGGATGACTCGTGTGATCTCTTTGCCCCCCTAGTCCAGGAGACTATTAAGGAGCCCCCCCAGTCCAGGAGACTATTAAGGAGCCCCCCCCAGATGGTGAACCCGATTTGCCATCTCCCAGAAAGTTTAACCCGACCAGGTTGCCCCCTTCACCTTCTTGCAACCTCTTCCCCTTTCCCCAGGGGTCCAGTCCTCCACTCCAGATTATTCCTTTAGTCTAGAGCTGGGCAGTGAAGTGGATATCTTTGAAGGAGCTAGGAAGCCAGACTCCACTGCTTACATTTCCAAGATCCCTCACTGCACAAAGGAGGAAGACGCCCCCTCAGATAATGATAGTGGCATCTGTATGAGCCCAGAGTCCTATCTGGGCTCTCCCTCTACCTCCAGGGGCTCTCCGAGTAGGAGCCCGCCATCTCCAGGTGTCCTCTGTGGCTCTGCCTGCCCCAAACCTTATGACCCTCCTGGAGAGAAGATGGTAGCAGCACAAGTAAAGGGTGAGAAACTGGATAAGAAGCTGAAAAAAAAATGGAGCAAAACCAAACAGCAGGAACTAGGTATCGCCAGAAGAAGAGGGTGGAGCAGGAGGTCCTCACTGGTGAGTGCAAAGCGGTGGAAAAGAAGAACGAGGCTCTGCAAGAGAGGGCGGATTCCCTGGCCGAGGAGATCCAGTACATGAAAGATTCGATAGAAGAGGTCTGCAAGGCAAGGGGGAAGAAAAGGGTCCTCTAGTTGAGGGTAGTCAGGAGCGTCAATGTGCTTGTACATAGGAGTCTCGCGCTGTAGCTGTGTGTTCGAATAAATTATTTTGTAGTGGAAAAAAAAAAAAAAAAGAATTAATGACTGTCCTGTTGGGTTTTGGACTTGCATGGGGCCTGTAGCCCCTTTGTTTTGGCCGATGTCCCCCTTTTGGAAAGGGAGTATTTACCCAATGCCTGTACCTCAATTTTATCTTGGAAGTAGCTAACTTGTTTTAGATTTTACAGGCTCATAGGCAGAAGGGACTTGCCTTGTCTCAGTTGAGACTTTGGACTGTGGATTTTTGAGTTAATGCTGAAATGGGTTAAGACTTGGGGGACTGTTGAGAGGAGATTATTGTATTTTGCAATGTGAGAAGTACATGAGATTTGGGAGGGGGCAGGGGTGGAATGATATGATTTGGATTTGTGTCCCCACCCAAATCTCATGTTGAATTGTAATCCCTAGTGTTGGAGGAGGGGACTGGTGGGAGGCGATTGGATCATGGGGGTCGATTTCCCCCTTGCTATTCTCGTGATGTTGAGCTCTCACAAGATGTGGTTGTTTAAAAGTGTATAGCACCTCCCCCTTCACTTTCTCTTTCTCCTTCTCTGGCCATATAAGATGTGCCTCCTTCCTCTTTGCCTTCCGCTATGATTGTAACTTTCCTGAGGCCTCCCCAGCCATGCTTCCTGTAGAGCCTGCAGAACTGTGAGTCAATTAAACCTCTTTTCTTTATAAATTACTCAGTCTTAGGTAGTCCTTTATAGCAATGCGAGAACGGATTAGTACCGTCAATATTGATGAGAATGTTGAGCTATGTGTATGTACGCTGACACATTATGGTGGAAGCGAAAATTGGCTCAAACCACTTGGGAAAACATGGCATTATCTAGTAAATTTCGAGATATGTATTGGCTGTGATACAGCAATTCCAAAAAAAAACTTGGACATGTGCTTCAAGAGACCTGTACAAGCATGTTCATAGCCAAGGGCTGGAAACTATCCAAATGCCTGCCCATCATCAGCAGAATGGATAAATTAGAGGACTATAAAACTCTGCCGTAATGTAATAGGTAGTTTCCAAGAAATCCAATCGCATACAATGTGAAAATGTGTTACTGTGGGGTTAATGAAATGAATGAGGCAAGCCCGCTGGACCATCCAAATCTGTCCTGCTCCCGGCTGGAGTTTGATGCCATCTAGTGGCAGACGTTGCTCTGGCTGAAATATTGATGGAGATTTCCGGTCCAGTGGCTGGCTGAGACTTCCAGGACAGTGGCAGTATCTCCAGGAATCTCTCAATCAGTTAGGACTTCCTTTCTTGACTTGATCTGAGGATAATAGGCCGGGAAAATAATGGGGACCCGGAGACCCTCCCTCTGTCTTCCTGCTTCCTAAGACAGGGTCACATGCACTTTACTCTCCCTTCCCTGACCTGTTGAAGGTAAGAACTTTAGCCTGCCTCTGTCTGAGAATGGGGAGACTGAGCAGAGGACGACAGGAAGGATGGCAATCACTAACCGGGTTATGTCTGATTTTCAGCTATTCCAGGTGTTAACAAGTTGTGTTCTCTGGTTTTTAAAATTCATCATTTAATGAAATATATGTAATGAAATACAGCAGTGAAAATAATAAACTGGAGGTACACGCAAGAGCTTGGGTGAATTTTTCTTTTCTGTAAGTAAAAACATTTTTAACTGATGTATGATAACTCTGCATATTTATGGGATACATGTGATATTCTGATACATGCACACGCACACACGATGTAATGATCAAGTCGGGGTATTTAGGATCTCCACCACCTCAAGCATTTATCATTTCTTTTTTTGGGGAACATTTCCTATCTTTTAGCTATTTTGAAATATACAATAAATAATTACCTATAGTCCCTCTACGGTGCTATCAAACACTAGAACTTAATCCTTCTATGCAACTATATGTTTGTCCCCATTAACCTCCCCACCCTCCCCACCTTTCCCAGCGTCTGGTAACCATCATTCTGCTCTACCTCCAAAAGATCAACGTTTTTAGTTTCCACATGAGTGCCAATATGCTTTTCCCAGGTGCAGAGGCTGCTGATTCCTGGATTTGGAAGGTGGGGGAGAGTGGTTTGGATTTCAGTACCTCCCCCTTCCTCAGGGCTAGGCCCTGTCTGGTCACCTCCTGTTGCTACAGGTGTGCCTGGCACAGACATTCAGCTCCCGGGGCCGTGCCGCCCTCACCCCTGCATGCCTCTAGAGGTACCTGTCCCGTGGATTTGACCCCCTTCCAGACACACAAATAGATCACCACTGAGCAGACACAGGGTCACCTCCCAGCTCCCTACCAGGCAAGAGCGACCAGGGCAGGGACTGATACTGCCGAACCCAGGAGCCAGGCCCGACCCAGCCTCAGGTCCAGCAGGTCCCGCCTGTCCACCTGGGCCAGGCCTAGAGCCCGGGAGCCCCTGGCTGGTGGGAGGCCACCCGCAACCCACCCCACACGCAGCTCCAGCTCCCCCACCAGGCGGGGCGACTAGGACAGGGACAGAACCCGTTGAACCCAGGAGTGAGATCCGGCCCCGGGTCCCGCTGGGCCCTCCCGTCCACCTTGGCTGGACCTGGCGCCTGGGAGACCTTGGCTGGCGCGAGGCCACGCCCACCAGACATGCAGTTCCAGCTACCCCACCAGCTGGGCGACCAGGACAGGGACGGAGGCTGCTGAGCCCAGTTAGAGGCCTGCCCCCCGGGGTCTGTCCTGGGCGCTCCCCCAAGGACGGACAGGGCAGGCAGGGTCCGGGACGATGGCCGCACAGTCCCGGCCCCGTGTTCCCAGGCCCGTCTTGCTCCTCGATGTGAGGGAGACCCGGGGGATGGGACAGGCTGGGCCCCGCAGTGCCTGACTCCCTGCAGGGCTCCCGGGACAGGGGTCCGGCGGACAGCCGGCTGCTCAGGGGTGAGGGGTCCAAGCTGGCATTGCGGCCACCTTCCGGCCCGGGCTCTCTTGGGGAGGGGCGGGGTTGGTGAGAACCGGTCACGTGCTCCGGGGCTCACTCGGGGTCTCCCAGGGCCGGAAGTAGGGCCCCTGTGCGCAGGCGCCCTGAGGATCCCGGGCTGCCCATCTCACGCCAGGGGGCGGAACTTCCTGCAGCCTCTCTGCCTCCGCATCCTCGTGGGCCCTGACCTTCTCTCTGAGAGCCGGGCAGAGGCTCCGGAGCCATGCAGGCCGAAGGCCGGGGCACAGGGGGTTCGACGGGCGATGCTGATGGCCCAGGAGGCCCTGGCATTCCTGATGGCCCAGGGGGCAATGCTGGCGGCCCAGGAGAGGCGGGTGCCACGGGCGGCAGAGGTCCCCGGGGCGCAGGGGCAGCAAGGGCCTCGGGGCCGGGAGGAGGCGCCCCGCGGGGTCCGCATGGCGGCGCGGCTTCAGGGCTGAATGGATGCTGCAGATGCGGGGCCAGGGGGCCGGAGAGCCGCCTGCTTGAGTTGTATTCTGTTCTGTTCTGTTCTGTTCTGTTCTGACAGTTCTGGTGGCGAGGTGGGGGCCGGGAGATGGGGAGGGCAGGGCCAGGTGGGGGAGGAGGCGGGGGAGATGCGAGTAAGTGGTTGGGTGGGGGTGGGGGTGGGGGTTGGGAGGTGGGGATATGAGAGGCCAGCTGCGAGGAGGGGAGGAGGTAAGGGCTGGGAGGTAGAGGGGGTGGGGGTGGGGGAGAGGGGCTGGGTGATTGGGTGAGGGGCACCGGGTCATGCGGGGAGGGGAGCAGGGGCCAGGAGATAGGGGGACCCAGGTGTAGGAGGGGATCAGGAGGTGGGGGGAAGGGGGCAAGATGGGAGCGGGTGGCGGGAGGTGGTTGGGATGGAGGGTCGAGTGATGAGGAGGGGGCCGGGTGATGCCACAGGGGGCAGGGTGGGGAGGGGTCTTGTAAGGGCATGGAGGAGTCAGCTTGGGGTGCAGCAAAGGAAAGTGGGGAACCAAGACAGCTGGGTGGGGTGTGCTACTGGGCCAGTGCCTGGGGAGACAGCCTGGGGGGGATGGGCTGGGCAATCCGGGGTAGGGGGGAGGGGTGGGGGAGTGGGGGAGGGGGAAGCTGGCCTGGGGTAAGCAGCAGGCCGGAGCCACAGGCCAAGTCCTAGGAGAGGATGCCTTAACTGGGCCCCCACCAGCTACCTCGCCATGCCTTTCGCGACACCCATGGAAGCAGAGCTGGCCCGCAGGAGCCTGGCCCAGGATGCCCCACCGCTTCCCGTGCCAGGGGTGCTTCTGAAGGAGTTCACTGTGTCCGGCAACATACTGACTATGTCAGTTCAGGACCAGGACAGGGATGGGGCCTGGGTGGGTGGCGGTCACAGCGTGGCAGGGTGGGGGCTGGGATCCGCCTACACCCCACGGTCAGGCTGCTAGAAACCTGGGAACACCCCAGCACAGGGTCTCAGAACAGAGACCTGGTACACCAGGCCCGCCGCCACCCGAGGGAGCCCAGGGAGATGGGTGCAGAGGTGTCGCCTTTAACGTGATGTTCTCTGCCCCTCACATTTAGCCGACTGACTGCTGCAGACCACCGCCAACTGCAGCTCTCCATCAGCTCCTGTCTCCAGCAGCTTTCCCTGTTGATGTGGATCACGCAGTGCTTTCTGCCCGTGTTTTTGGCTCAGCCTCCCTCAGGGCAGAGGCGCTAAGCCCAGCCTGGCGCCCCTTCCTAGGTCATGCCTCCTCCCCTAGGGAATGGTCCCAGCACGAGTGGCCAGTTCATTGTGGGGGCCTGATTGTTTGTCGCTGGAGGAGGACGGCTTACATGTTTGTTTCTGTAGAAAATAAAACTGAGCTACGATTCCGTGTCTGAGTCTCTTTTCGGCGAGCGAAGGCACCTTCGGACTTGCATGCCCTTGTCCTCGGGTTGCAGGGGAGGCTCTGGGATTCACAGATTGAAGTAGCACAAGGTAACGGGAGGCAATTTGGGAAATGGGGGAAAATGAAAAGCCACTGGGTCCCGCCATTCAGCATTAACTACTGTGGACATTTTAGAATATTTTCCTCAATATACTTGCATTTATATGTTAAATATATGACAGTAGCATATATAATGTTTTTCCAGGTCAGCATTAAATTTTTTCCCAAATTGTTTTCATTGAACATATGAGCTTTTTTACTTGGGAAAAATTCTTTGAAAACGTACTTGAATAGATGCATAGAACCAGCATTATCATATCACTGTTAAGCATGTGATATGGGTTGGGCATGGTGGCCCACACCTGTATTTCCAGCGCTGTGGGAGGCTTGAAGCGGGAGGATGGCTTGAGACCTGCAGTTGGAGGCCACCCTGGGCAATGTAGCGAGATTCTGTCTGTAGAAAAATCATTAAAAGGCCGGGTGCGGTGGCTCATGCCTGTAATCCCAGCACTTTGGGAGGCCGAGGCGGGCGGATCACCTGAGGTCAGGAGTTGGAGACCAGCCTGGCCAACATAGTGAAACTCCATCTCTACTAAAAATACACACACAAAAAAAACAACAACAAAAAAACATTAGCCAGGCGTGGTGGTGTGCGCCTGTGATCCCAGCTACTTGGGAGGCTGAGGCAGGAGAATCACGTGAACCTGGAAGGTGGAGGTTGCAGTGAGCCGAGATGGTGCCACTGCACCCCAGCCTGGGCAACAGAACAAGACTCTGTCTCAAAAAAAAAAAAAAAAAAGAAAGAAAAGAAAAGAAAAAATTAGCAGGGTGTGGTGGTGTGTGCCTGTGATCCCAGCTACTTGGGAGGTTGAGGTAGGAGAATCACTTGAACCCAGGAGGTGGAGGGTGCAGGGAGCCGAGATCATGCCACTGCACTCCAGCCAGGTTGACAGAAAAAGACTCTGTCAAAAAAAAAATTTTTCTTTAAATTAGGTGGGTGTGGTGGCAGGCACCTGTAGTCCCAGTTACTCAGGAGGCTGAGGTGTGAGGTGGAAGGATGTGTTGAGTCCAGGAGCTGGATGCTGCAGTGAGCTATGAATGCACCCCTGAGCTCCAGCCTGGGTGACAGAGTGAGACCCTGCCTCTAAAATAATGATAATAGTAATTCAAATAATCTAAAATCTTTGTGAACATGTAATATAACCAAAACACAGGTTCATTCCCTCATCGCTTGGAGATCCAATTAACAAGAGCGTGGTCTGCTATAAAGAAACGGACTTTCTGCCATGCTTGATTTAGGGGAAGACGTACAGGCTCCTGCCTTTAAGGGTGCTGCTTCCCACTGGGGGCAGAAAGCAGGGCCTTTTAAAGGAGGACTTGGCGTGAATGGTAGGCAGGGGAGGGAGCAGGCAGCTGTGGGGTCTGCATGACATGCTGAGGTGTCTTGTCTGCCGGGAGGTCACGCTGGCACCATCTTGGGCAGAGCTAGGTTGGAAAGGGGCTGTTTGTCAAAGCAAAACAGACATATGCTTGAGCTGTGTTCTGGGATGCTCTTAAGTTGCTCGGAGACAACTTGATCCCTTTGAGTTTTGTTTTAGCATTTGCTCGGTGGGAACACAGCAGATTTTAATGTAAGATTAATAATATTAGTTGACAATCTCCAATGCTTGGCAAGGCTGTAGTTGGAAACGAGGACTCATACGCTGTCAGTAGGAGTGGTAGTAACATCTATCTGGACATTTATTTGGCATTTTCTATTAAGGGAAAGATGTGCATACCCTTCCAGCTGTAGGGAAAAGAAAGAGAGATCAGACTGTTACTGTTGTCTATGTAGAAAAGGAAGACATAAGAAACTCCATTTTGACCTGTACCCTGAACGATTGTTTTGCCCCGAGATGCTGTTAATCTGTAACTTTGCCCCAACCTTGAGCTCACAGAAACATGTGTTGTATGGAATCAAGGTTTAAGGGATCTAGGGCTGTGCAGTATGTGCCTTGTTAACAAAATGTTTACAGGCAGTATGCTTCGTAAAAGTCATCACCATTCTCCATTCTCGATAAGCCAGGGGCACAATGCACTGCGGAAAGCCGCAGGGACCTCTGCCCTGGAAAGCCGGGTATTGTCCAAGGTTTCTCCCCATGTGATAGCCTGAGATATGGCCTCGTGGGGCGGGAAAGACCTGACCGTCCCCCAGCCCAACACCCGTGAAGGGTCTGTGCTGAGGAGGAAGGCCTCTTGCAGTTGAGATAAGAGGAAGGCCTCTGTCTCCTGCCTGCCCCTGGGAACTAAATGTCTCAGTATAAAACTCGATTGTACATTTGTTCTCTTCTGAGATAAGAGAAAACCCGCCGTGTGGCGGGAGGCGAGACATGTTGGTGGCAGCAATGCTGCTCTGTTACTCTTTACTCCACTGAGATGTTTGGGTGGAGAAAAGCATAAATCTGGCCTATGTGCACATCCAGGCATAGTACCTTCCCTTGAACTTATTTGTGACACAGATTCCTTTGCTCACATGTTTTCTTGTTGACCTTCTCCACACTATCACCCTGTTCTCCTGCCACATTCCCCTTACTGAGATAGTAAAAATAGTAATCAATAAATACTGAGGGAACTCAGAGACCGGTGCCAGTGCGGGTCCTCCGTATGCTGAGCACCAGTCTCCTGGGCCCACTGTTCTTTCTCTATACTTTGTCTCTGTGTCTTATTTCTTTTCTCAGTCTCTCGTCCCACCTGACGAGAAATACCCACAGGTGTGGATGGGGCTGGCCCTCTTCATTTGGCGCCCAACGTGGGGCCTTTCTCTAGGGTGAAGGTGCGCTAAGACCGTGAGCATTGAGGACAGTCGATGAGAGATTCCCGAGTACGTCCACGGTGAGCCTTGCGGTAAGCTTGTGCACACGGAGGAACCCAGGGTAACAATGGGACAAACTGAAAGTAAATATGCCTCTTATCTCAGCTTTATTAAAATTCTTTTAAGAAGAAGGGGAGTTAGAGCTTCTACAGAAAATCTAATTATGCTATTTCAAACAATAGAACAATTCTGCCCATAGTTTCCAGAACAGGGAACTTTAGATCTAAAAGACTGGGAAAAAATTGGCAAAGAATTAAAACAAGCAAGTAGGGAAGGCAAAATCATCCCGCTTACAGTATGCAATGATTGGGCCATTATTAAAGCAGCTTTAGAACCGTTTCAAACAGAAGAAGATAGCGTTTTGGTTTCTGATGCCCCTGAAAGCTGTGTAATAGATTGTGAAGAAGAGGCGGGGACAGAGTTCAAGAAAGGAACGGAAAGTTCACATTGTGAAAATGTAGCAGAGTCTGTAATGGCTCGGTCAACACAAAGTGTTGACTACAATCAATTACAGGAGGTAATATATCCTGAATCACCAAAACTGGGGGAAGGAGGTCCAGAACCATCGGGGCCGTCAGGGCTAAAACCACGATGGCCACCTCCTCCTCAGTCGAGTGAGTGCTGGGGGAGGGAGCCTGAAACCAGGCTGGCTGCAACTCGGCTCGCGGTGCCCATTATTGCCCAACCGGCAGTTCACTGCGGTGAAGGAGCAATTCAGACTCGCCCTGTAGCATCCTGTCTGGGTCAAACAGTGGCCGCTCCCTAAGGAAAAGTTAGGGGCGCTACATAAAATAGTTAAAAAAACTATTTAAAAAAGGACATGTTTCACCCACTGTCTCTCCTTAGAATTCGCCAGTGTTTGTAATTCAGAAAAAATCCGGCAGATGGCGCATGCTAACCGACTTAAGAGCCGCTAATGCCGTAATTCAACCCATGGGGGCTCTCCAACGCAGGCTGCCCTCTCCGGCCGTGATCCCCAAAGGTTGGCCTTTAATTATAATTGATCTGAAGGATTGCTTTTTTTTTTTTTTTTTTTACCATTCCTCTGGCAAAACAGGATTTTGAAAAATTTGCTTTTGCTATACCAGCCATAAATAATAAAGAACCAGCCACCAGGTTTCAGTGGAAAGTGTTGCCTCAGGGAATGCTTAATAGTCCAACTATTTGTCAGACTTTTGTAGCTCAAGCTCTTCAACCAGTTAGAGACATGTTTTCAGACTGTTATATCATTCATTATGTTGATGATATTTTGTGTGCTGCAGAAATGAGAGACAAATTAATTGACTGTTACACATTTCTGCAGACAGAGGTTGCCAACGCAGGACTGACAATAGCATCTGATAAAATTCAAACAACAGCTCCTTTTCATTATTTAGAAATGCAGGTAGAGGAAAGGAAGGTTAATCCTCAAAAGATAGATAGAAATGAGAAAAGACACATTAAAATATGAAATGACTTTCAAAAATTGCTGGGAGATATTAATTGGATTCGGCCAACCCTAGGCATCCCTACTTATGCCATGTCAAATTTGTTCTCTATCTTAAGAGGGGATCCAGAATCAAATAGTAAAAGAACATTAACTCCAGAGGCAACTAAAGAAATTGAATTAGTTGAAGACAAAATTCGGTCAGCACAAGTAAATAGAATAGATCACTTAGCCCCACTCCAACTTTTGATTTTTGCTACTGCACATTCTCCAACAGGCATCATTGTTCAAAATACAGATCTTGTGGAGTGGTCCTTCCTTCCTCACAGTACGATTAAGACTTTTACATTGTACTTGGATCAAATGGCTACATTAATTGGTCAGGCAAGACTACGAATAGTAAAATTGTGTGGAAGTGACCCAGATAAAATCATTGTTCCTTTAAACAAGGAACAGGTTACACAAGCCTTTATCAATTCTGGTGCATTGCAGATTGGTCTTGCTGATTTTGTGGGAATTATTGACAATCATTACCCAAAAACAAAAACCTTCCAGTTTTTAAAATTGACTACTTGGATTTTACCTAAAATTACCAGACATACACCTTTAGAAAATGCTCTGACAGTGTTTACTGATGGTTCCAGCAATGGAAAGGTGGCTTACACCAGGCCAAAAAAACGAGTCACTGAAACTCAATATCACTCAGCTCAAAGAGCAGAGTTGGTTGCTGTCATTTCAGTGTTACAAGATTTTAATCAGCTTATTAACCTTGTATCAGATTCTGCATATGTAGTACAGGCTACAAAGGATGTTGAGACAGCCCTAGTCAAATACAGTATGGATGATCGGTTACACCAGCTGTTTAATTTGTTACAACAAACTGTAAGAAAAAGAAATTTCCCATTTTATATTACTCATGTTCAAGCACATACTAATTTACCAGGGCCTTTAACTAAGGCAAATGAACAAGCTGACTTGCTAGTATCATCTGCATTCATAGAAGCACAAGAACTTCATGCCTTGACTCATGTAAATGCAACAGGACTAAAAAATAAATTTGATATCACATGGAAACAGGCAAAAAATATTGTACAGCATTGCACCTAGTGTCAAGTCTTACACTGGCCCACTCAGGAGGCAGGAGTTAATCCCAGAGGTTTATGTCCTAATGCATTATGGCAAATGGATGTCACACATGTACCTTCATTTGGAAAAATGTCATTTGTCCATGAAGACAGTTGATACTTATTCACATTTCATATGGGCAACCTGCCAGACAGGAGAAAGTACTTCCCATGTTAAAAGACATTTATTATCTTGTTTTGCTGTCATGGGAGTTCCAGAAAAAATTAAAACAGATAATGGGCCAGGATACTGTAGTAAAGCATTTCAAAAATTCCTAAATCAGTGGAAAATTACACATACAACAGGAATCCCCTATAATTCCCAAGGACAGGCCATAATTGAAAGAACTAATAAAGCTCAATTGGTTAAACAAAAAAAGGAAAAAGATAGTAAGGAGTATAACACTCCTCAGATGCAACTCAATCTAGCACTCTATACTTTAAAATTTTTAAACGTTTATAGAAATCAGACCACTACTTCTGCAGAACAACATTTTACTGGTAAAAAGAACAGCCCACATGAAGGAAAACTGATTTGGTGGAAAGACATCAAAAATAAGACATGGGAAATAGGGAAGGTGATAACATGGGGGAAAGGCTTTGCTTGCGTTTCACCAGGAAAAAAGTCAGCTTCCTGTTTGGATACCCACTAGACATTTAAAGTTCTACAATGAACCCATCGGAAATGCAAAGAAAAGCGCCTCCGCGGAGACAGAAAACCCGCAATCGAGCATCATCGACTCGCCAGGTGAACAAAATGGTGGTATCAGAAGAACAGATGAAGTTGACATCCACCAAGGAAGTGGAGCCGCCGACCTGGGCCCAACTAAAGAAGTTGACACAGTTAGCTGAAAAAAGCCTGAAGAAAACAAGGGTAACACAAACTCCAGAGAATATGCTGCTTGCAGTTTTGATGATTGTATCAATGGTGGTAAGTGTCCCCATGTCTGCAGGAGCAGCTGCAGCTAATTATACTTACTGGACCTATGTGCCTTTCCCGCCCTTAATTCGGGCAGTCACATGGATAGATAATCCTATTAAAGTATGTGTTAATAATAGTGCATGAGTACCAGGCCCCACAGATGATTGTTGCCCTGCCCAACCTGAAAAAGAAGGAATGATGATAAATATTTCCATTGGGTATCATTATCCTCCTATTTGCCTAGGGAAGGCACCAGGATATTTAATTCCTACAACCCAAAATTGGTTGGTAGAAGTACCTACTGTCATTGCCAGCAATAGATTTACTTATCACATGGTAAGTGAAATGTCACTCGGGCCACAGATAAATAATTTACAGGATCCTTCTTATCAAAGATCATTAAAATTTAGGCCTAAGAGGAAGCCTTGCCCCAAGGAAATTCCCAAAGAATCAAAAGGCCCAGAAGTCTCAGTTTGGGAAGAATGTGTGGCTGATACTGCTGTGGTATTACAAAACAATGAATTTGGAACTATTATAGACTGGGCCCCTCAAGGCCAATTATATTATGATTGTACAGGCCAGACTCACTGATGTTCACAGGCCCCATCCATCTGGCCCACTAATCCGGCCTATGATAGTGATTTAACTGAAAGGCTGGACCAGGTTTACAGAAGGTTAGAATCACCCTATCCATGGAAATGGGGTGAAAAGGGAATTTCATCACTTCGAACAAAGTTAGTTAGTCCTGTTGTTGGTCCTGAACACCCAGAATTATGGAAGCTTACTGTGGCCTCGCACCACATTAGAATTTGGTCTGGAAATGAAGCTATAGGAACAAGAGATCGTAAGCCATATTATACTATTAACCTAAATTCCAATCTGACAATTCCTTTGCAAAGTTGTGTAAAACCCCCTTATATGTTAGTTGTAGGAAAAATAGTTATTAAACCAGATTCCCAAACTATAACCTGTGAAAATTGTAGATTGTTTACTTGCATTGATTCGACTTCTGATTGGCAGCACCATATTCTGCTGGTGAGGGCAAGAGAGGGCGTGTGGATCCCTGTGTCCATGGACCGACCGTGGGAGGCTTCCCCATCCGTCCATATTTTAATGGAAGTATTAAAAGGAGTTCTAACTAGATCCAAAAGATTCATTTTTACTTTAATTGCAGTCATTATGGGTCTTGTTGCAGTCACAGCTACTGCTGTGGCTGCTGGAATTGCTTTACACTCCTCTGTTCAAATGGTAAAATATGTAAATAATTGGCAAAAGAATTCCTCAAAATTGTGGAATTCTCAGACCCAAATAGATCAAAAATTGGCAAACCAAATTAATGACCTTAGACAAACTGTCATTTGGATGCGAGATAGGCTCATGAGCTTGAAATATCTTTTTCAGTTACAGTGTGACTGGAATACGTCAGATTTTTGTATTACACCCCGAGCCTACAATGAGTCTGAGCATCACTGGGCCATGGTTAGATGCCATCTACAAGGAAGAGAAGATAATCTTACTTTAGATATTTCAAAATTAAAAGAACAAATTTTTGAGGCATCAAAAGCCCATTTAAATCTGGTGCCAGAAACTGAGGCAATCGTGAAAGCTGCTGATGGCCTCACAAATCTTAATGCCGTCACTTGGGTTAAAACTATCAGAAGTTCCACTATTGTAAATTTCATATTAATCCTTGTATGTCTGTTCTGTCTGTTGTTAGTCTACAGGTGTATCCAACAGCTCCGAAGAGACAGTGACCAGCGAAAACGGGCCGTGATGATGATGGTGGTTTTGTCAGAAAGAAAAGGGGGATATGCAGGCAAGAGAAAGAGAGATCAGACTGTTACTGTTGTCTGTGTAGAAAAGGAAGACATAAGAAACTCCATTTTGACCTGTACCCTGAACGATTGTTTTGCCCCGAGATGCTGTTAATCTGTAACTTTGCCCCAACCTTGAGCTCACAGAAACATGTGTTGTACAGAATCAAGGTTTAAGGGACCTAGGGCTGTGCAGGACGTGCCTTGTTAACAAAATGCTTACAGGCAGTATGCTTGGTAAAAGTCATCGCCATTCTCCATTCTCGATAAACCAGGGGCACAATGCACTGCGGAAAGCCGCAGGGACCTCTGCCCTGGAAAGCGGGATATTGTCCAAGGTTTCTCCCCATGTGATAGCCTGAGATATGGCCTCGTGGGATGAGAAAGACCTGACCGTCCCCCAGCCTGACACCCGTGAAGGGTCTGTGCTGAGGAGGATTAGTAAAAGAGGAAAGCCTCTTGCAGTTGAGATAAGAGGAAGGCCTCTGTCTCCTGCCTGCCCCTGGGAACTAAATGTCTCGGTATAAAACTCTATTGTACATTTGTTCTCTTCTGAGATAGGAGAAAACCCACCCTGTGGCGGGAGGCGAGACATGTTGGTGGCAGCAATGCTGTTCTGTTACTCTTTACTCCACTGAGATGTTTGGGTGGAGAAAAGCATAAATCTGGCCTATGTGCACATCCAGGCATAGTACCTTCCCTTGAACTTATTTGTGACACAGATTCCTTTGCTCACATGTTTTCTTGCTGACCGTCTCCGCACTATCACCCTGTTCTCCTACTACATTCCCCTTACTGAGATAGTAAAATAATAATCAATAAATACTGAGGGAACTCACAGACCGGTGCTGGTGCAGGTCCTCCGGATGCTGAGTGCCGTCTCCTGGGCCCACTGTTCTTTCTCCATACTTTGTGTCTTATTTCTTTTCTCAGTCTCTCGTCCCACCTGACGAGAAATACCCACAGGTGTGGAGGGGCTGGCCCCCTTCATCCACCCACCTTGAGGAATCCATCTGAGAAACTCCTGGATATGCAAATGAGGTAGAATCCACCAGCATCTTAATGACACCACCACGTAAATAGTTTTTAGAATGTAAATGTCCACCAGCTGCGGAAAGGCTGAACAAATCACTGCACAACTGAGGAAGGCGAGGGGGGTTGGTACATCCAGGCCGTGCCAAAGCCGGTTCTGTCTCAGAGCAGCGGAGTTTTTCCAAGAGACGTGGGCACGCTGTGAGGAAGTCCCAGCAGGAAGCCAGGTGAATGCCACCTCCGCATGCCTGCCCCGGAGGGTGTGAGCGGCTTCCTTCTCCTCTGGATCCTTTTTTGATCTCCACCTCAAAAAAAAAAAAAAAAAAAAAAGAAGTCTGGAAAGATTATATATAACTATAGGTATAGCAGAGATTTGAAAAACAATAAGATAAATTCACTGTAGTAAATTTAAAAAACGATTAACTGGACATTGTGCTAGGAAAATATAATGAATTCGAGAAATAGAAAACATTTTTCTTTTTGGCCAAGACCACTCTCCAGGTGGGACTGTGCTTTCCCATTACATTGCACCAGGAAGTGCACCACATCTTTCTTTGTCTTTATTGTGATGCTATTTAGGTTCAGGTGGCGTCAGCCTGATCACTTTTTTTTTTTTTTTTGAGACAGGGTCTCTCTCTGTCACCCACATTGGAGTGCAGTGGTGAAATCCTAGCTCACTACAGCCACATTTTGTTTATCCATTCATCCGTTCATGGATGACACTTGGATGGTTTCCACCTTTTGGCTATTGTCAATAATGATGCAACAAACATTGGCACAGAAGTATCTGTTTGAGGACCTGTGCTTTTTGAGCAGCCGCCAAACAGTTTTCCATAGTGCCTGCACGATTACATTCCAGTCGGGAATAGATGAGGGTTCCAACTTCTCCCCATCCTCGTCAACTCTTACTATTTTCTATTTTTTAAGTAACCATCCTAGTAACTTAACTGTGAAGTGGTATCTCATTGTGGTTTTGACTTGCGTTTCCCTAATGACTAAGGATGTTAAGCATCATTTCATGTGCTTACTGGTCATTTCTGTATGTTTTTTGGAGAAATGTCTAAGTCTTTTGTCAATTCTTTAACTCAACTGTTTATCATTTTGCTTGAGTTTTAGGAGTGTGTTGTATATTACGAGTTGAGTTTTAGGAGTGTGTTGTATATTATGGATACTACACCCTTATCAGATATGATTGGCAAATATTTTCTCACTTTCCTCAGCTTGTCTTTTCACTTTTGTGTTGAGGCTTAATATTACCATGCTGACCTGGCATCCATTTTGTTGTCTTCACATGAGTCCCCAGATGCCACACAATGCCCTTGGTTAATAGCCTAAGCCCAGTTCCCAACCGCTGCCCTTCGATTCCACTTTCCTTCCCCTAAAAGCCATCTCACCAGTACACACACACACACCCAGCTGCCTGACCAAATGTAAAGTTAGATTAGGTCCACGTGGTGGGAGCCCCTTTTTGTGGGCATTTGCTTTGAATCCTCCAATCTTCTCACCCCCTACTGCGATGCTCTGACCATCTCCCTGGACCCAAATAGAGGCAAGTGCCCCAGGTCCACACACACCCTCTGCACATGTTGAATGACCTCCGTGTAGCCTCCATAACCTGTGAGTAATAGAAGTTCTTTGTTTCCATCTTCTGGCTCTTCTAATCACTGAAGGAGTACTCTCCATTTTAAAGGAACTAAATTAAAACAACTTTCTTGATAATGTTCTTGAATGCACAAAAGTTTTTCATTCTGATGAAGTCCAGTTTAACTATCTTTTCTCTGGCTGCATGTACTTTTGGTTTCATATCTAAGAAGCTATTGCCAAATCCAAGGTCATGTAGATTCACCCTGTGGTTTCTTTGAAGAGTTTTATGGTTTTAGCTCTTACATTTAGGTTGCTGATCGATTTTGCGTTAATTTTTACTTACTGCATTACATGGGGGTTCAACATCATTCTTTTGCATGAGTAATTCCACTTGTTCCAGCGCTGTTTGTTGAGGAGACTGCTGGATTGGCACTCTCGTCAAAAATTATTTAACCGGGGATCATATCAAGTTAAAAAGCTTCTGCACAGCAAAGGAAACAATCCACAAAGTGAAGAGACAACACACAGAATGGGACAAACTATTTGCAAACTACCCATCTGATAAGGGATTAATGACCAGAATACATAAGGAACTCAAACAACGCTGTAGGGAAAAAAAAGTCTAATAATTCAAGTAAAAAAGAGGCCAAAGAAGCAAAGGAACAGGAGGGGTATAAGGAGGGTTGAGGGGGGGAGGGGATGGGGCAACCAGAGACAGGATGGAGATTTAAGGATCCCTGTGATTCCCGAGATGACTCTGAGAGCATCAGCTGGGGAACCGGATGAAAATTCACAGCAGACGTGCATTGTTTGGAAGGAGGTGAGGAGCCAGAAACGGTGAGTTCTTCACTGAAGGAGTGACCACTTGATCTGTTCTTTGGCTGACTGCAGTACCTGAGACACGGTCTGCTCCATAAGAGGGACATCTTCATCCCCTTATTTAAAAAAAATTTTTTTTGAGACAGCATCTCCTCTGTTGCTCAGGCTGGAGTGCAGTGGCACAGTCAAGGCCCACTGCAGCCTCCACCTCCCCAGGCTCAGGTGATTTTCCCACCTCAGCCTCCCGAGCAGCTGGGACTACAAGCACGGCATACATTGCCTGGCTAATGTTTTCTGTTTTTAGTAGAGACGAGGTATCACCATGTTGCCCAGGCTGGTCTCAAACTTCTGGGCTCAAGCAATTCTCTCACCTTGGCTTCCCAAAATGCCGGGATTACAGGTATGAGCCACCTCGGGGAGCCAGAATTTCTTTCTTAAATGTTTGATTCATTAACCAATAGAGCACCCAGCCTGGAGTTTTCTATGTGGCAAGGTTTTTAATTATGAATTTATATGGGTAATTGATATAAAACTCCTTTTTTTCTTGTGTCAGTTTTAGTAATATGTGTCTTTCAATGAAATTATACATTTCATCGAAGTCATTGAATTTATAGTTACAGAGCTGTTAATAGCATTCTTTTTTTTTTTTTTTTTTTGAGACAGAGTCTCGCTCTGTCGCCCTGGCTGGAGTGCAGTGGCGCGATCTCGGCTCACTGCAAGCTCCGCTTCCCAGGTTCACGCCATTCTCCTGCCTCAGCCTCCTGAGTAGCTGGGACTACAGGCTCCTGCCACCATGCCCGGCCAATTTTTTTGTATTTTTAGTAGAGACAGGGTTTCACCATGTTAGCCAGGATGGTCTCGATCTCCTGACCTCGTGATCCACCCGCCTCAGCCTCCCAAAGTGCTGGGATTACAGGCGTGAGCCACCGCGCCCGGCCAATAGCATTCTTTACTAGCCTTTGACTTGTTTCACTGATGTCTGCTTTGTGATTTATTAGGTCCTCCTTCTGCTTGTCTGGGGCTAACTTTCTCTTTTCCTCTAGGGTGCATACCCTTCCACCCACCTTGAGGAATCCATCTGAGAAACTCCTGGATTTGCAAGTTAGGTAGAATCCACCAGCATCTTAATGACACCACCACGTAAATAGTTTTTAGAATGTAAATGTTCATCAGCCGCAGAAAAATTAAATAAATCACTGCACAACTGCCCCAGGGGAAAAAGTGTGAGGAAGCTAGAGAGAGAGCATGGTAGATAGTTGGGTACTAGCATAGAAAGAGGTTAAAACAAGTCACCAGATCTCTGCATATAGGCTATGGCACACTCTTGTTTTGGCAGTGTGCTCCCGCCACGTGAGCATGTAGGGATGTGCACAGTAACTCCCTGGAAAGCCACCTCCACGCTCAAGAGTGCTCATCGCTGGACAATAGCTTTAGGGAAATAAAACCTTCACCTTTTAAATCTCAGACTTCCATGTTGAAATATTTTCATCAAGCATGTATTACTTTGGAAATACACGCCTTTACTTTATAAAAGAAGAGTCTGCTCGAATAAGAAACCATCTCTCCTAGTCCTGTTCTTTCAAAACATTGGAAGTGGATTTTGAGTGTGTTGAAATGTCTGTGCCACAGCAGAGGGCACCTGTTGGTTTTGTCACCCAACCTCTGTTCCCCTGTACCAGTGTGCATATTTCCCCTAGAACCACTCCCTCCCTTTCCCTTCAGCAGTTTTGATTCTGCTGGAGTTGACTTCACCCCAGATTCCAGGTGGAATGACTCATCCTTCCTCTCTCACTATGTGATGCCAGCTTTCCGCCAGTTCCTGCCAGAAGTAGATGTGGTCTGAGGCCCTCACCAGAAGCAGATGCTGGCACCACCCATCTTACAGCTGCAGAACTATGAGCCAAATAAAACTCTTTATGAATTTCTCAGCATCAGGTATTCCTCTATAGCAATGCAAACAGACTAAGACAGGGATTGAGTCCTTGCTGAAAAGCTCTCAAAAGCTGCGATGGTAGAAAAAGCAGCGAATGAGTCTTCTGTGCATAAGAATCCAAATAGGGAGGAGTGAGCCTGCAAGGGAGTCCCAGGAGGAAAGGGAGGAGGAGAACGGGCACAGGGACCAGCTCTTTCCAGATAGGGCTCCCCAACCTGGTCCACAAGTGCGGGCTTCATTCACCCAGAGCTTGAGTCTTTAGTTTCATTGTCCCGTGACCCCGTCCCGCCACCTCTGCCCAAACATGGCCCAGGTGCAGCCGGCCACCCTAGCCCCATGGCTGGATGGCTAGAGCTGGCGGCTTTTAAACCCAAGTCAGGTGGCCCCAGTCCTCTGCTCTAAGCTGTCCAGTGGGCTTCCCTCACTCACAGTGAAAGCCAGAGCCCTGATGGCAGCCTACAGTCCCGACATGATCGAGCCTTTCCTCTCTGGCCTTCTCACCTCCCACACTTGCCCTTGCTCACGCTGATGCAGCCACACAGGGCCCCTGGCCCTTTCTGGAACACACCAGGCACACTTCTGCCTCAGAGCCTTTGCTTGTAATCCCAGCACTGTGGGAGGCTAAGGCAGAAGGATTGCTTGAGGCCATGAGTTCGAGACCAGCCTGCACAACACAGTGAGACCGCCATCTCTACCAAAAACATGTTTTTTAAGTTAGCCGGGCATGGTGGCATGCGCCTGTGGTCCCAGCTACTGAGGAGGTTGAGGCAGGAGGATCGCTTGAGCCCGGGAGGTGGAGGCTGCAGTGAGCTATGGTCGTACCACTGCACTACAGCCTGGGCGACAGGGCCAGACCCCATCTCTCAAGAAATAAAAATAAATAAATAAATAAATAAATAAATAAGAATAAATGCTTGTTGAATGAATGTCTGTTTCTCATTTCTGCATTTTCTACAGTTAGTGCAGGGTCAGGCATAGAGTGAGAAGAGCAGAGGGCAAAGGGCGAGCCAGGTCGCCGAGTGGGAGTGACGGGGACAGAGTTAGGAGAGAGTCAGGGAGGGAATGGTCTCAGGACAACAGGGGCTCAAGCACCTGGTGTGGGACCACACCCTTGGCTGGTCTGTTTCCCTGGCATCCCTCGGGGAGGCGTTTGTTTCCTCCTTCCCTTGGCAGGACCTGGTGTTTCGCCTGCTATTTCTCCCCGTGCGTCCCTCTATCCCAGCAATCTTAAAAGATTCTCGAAATTCAGCAAAGCAAGAATCAAGGAGAGTTCAGTGCCAGTGGAGCTGTCAACTGCAGGAGCCATTTCTACTAGGACCACTGATCCACAAAGTGGGTTCAGCGAAAGCAGAAAACCCATTTTAATCATGGTTTTGCTCAGCATAGGTGGTGACTGTGATTCCAGCTTCCCAGCCACTTTCGCGTTGCACTGAGGATTACTTGGTTGTTTTACTTACCTGAAGGGCACCTGGAGTCTTTGAGCTGGACAGGTCCCCAGAGGGCCACGTGCCCACTCCTCGCCTTAGAGCTCTGGGTCAGGAAGCCTTCTTCCTTGGATGACCCACCTCCTGCTACTGCCCCCGCCACTGGCTCCTGCCCCAGGTCCCCTGTCCCGACGGAGCCCAGCCCAGCTTGGGCTTCCCCTCTGGCATCTCCTCTCGCTATGGTCACAGGAGCCCAGGGTGGAAGGACTGGCAGAGGGAAGGGTGACCGGCCTCCCTCCAGACAGGGGTTCCCTCCAGCGAGAGCCCAGCCCCCTCCTGCGACCCAGCCCAGCCTCCCCCAGCCCCTCCATTGTCCCTGGCCGGCCCTCCCTGCGGGTAGGCAAGAACCTGCTTTCTGGGTTCATGTGTGTCTTCCTTGGACTCGTGCCCTTGGCTATAGCTTTGCCACGTCAAATCATGTCCACTCTTTTCTCTGCACCATGCTGCGGAGACATGGTGTGTGTTTTGTTTCCTTTGGGCCCTAAACCTTGAAAACACTGAAAGACACAAAAAGGAAGGTAAAAGTCACACAGCATGCAGACGCTTGAAAAGTAAGACATGAAAGTCAGAGTGAAGGTTCCTGCTCCTTCCGTCTTTCCCCACTCTCCAGAGAGAACCATTCTTAGCTGCCAGGGACATTTTCTTCCCTGCTTGGTACTGTGCATGCAAACACGCACTCACACACTCACGCACTCACGCGCACACACGTGTTCACACACACGCACGCACACACACATACACACACGTGCATGTGCACAAACACCACACTCACCCACTGCAAACATTCAATGGGATCATAGTCTACAAACTTCCCACCCTTATTGCAGTAATTTAATTTGTTACTTAACGAAATGTCTGGGAGCGGTTTTCAGTCAGCACTTACTGGCTTACTTCATTCTTTGTAGCTGCTGCATTCCGCAATATGAATGCGCTCTAATTTAACTAATTATAGATTAATACTAATAACAGAAAGTAATAATACACATAAACAAAAATAAAATCTAACTAAAATAAATCATAATTTCATCAGTCTTTGAGTACTTTGCTGTTGAAGTGGCTTCTGGCATTTCTTTTTTACCACAGCCCATGGCACAGAGCACATCCTGGCATAGAGCACGGCATGCCCGGCTTTTCTCACTCCCCTGAGCACCCCTGGAGAGGAGGCCTGGGGTGACCTGGGAGGGGCAGAAATCCAGAGAGCAGCCCCGTCTAGGAGACTCTTCCGTTGAGAACCATCTGCTGTCAGTGAGAGTAGCCCATCCTCAGGTGAACAGTGGCGGGGCCCAGTGGCTTCCTAGAGCTCAGACAGTGGCTTTCCAGCCTGTCTGGACCACAGGGAGCAGCCCTCAGAAGAATTTGCTGGCAGCTCTTAGGAAGGGAGTGTCCTTCGAGGAGTCACCAAGGTCTGCAACTTGCCTTAAATAGAGGCGAACACGGGACTCAGAAAGTCCCAGGAGAGGCCAGGAAGGCACCGGCCGGCCGTACTGGGACTCACCCACCGAGGGGAGTGACTTCACCAGGTCACTCAGTTCCTCAGGTTCCCAGCGGAACCCAAACCCTGACCGTTTATGTCTTATGTGCCAACCCTAGAGATGGCATAGGTCTGGGCAATGTTGCTTCAGTCAGATCTGCTGAAAAGGCAGCTCCTGCTATGCAATTACCAGCGTGTGAATGGGTCTCAGGCTGACTCCAGAGGCCAGAAACTTAGAGGGTTGGCTTGGGTGGAATTCCGTGACCACGCCTTGCTAGAGAGACATGTAAAGTGGGCAATGGGGCCTGAGATTGGTGGCCTTTGAAACACTGCTCCCCTTGCCCCGCCACCACACACACACACACACACACACACACACACACACACACACACACACACAGAGAGACTGGGCTGGGATTCTGTGCTTCTTTGTAATAACTCGGAGAGGGCATTCTTTGGGGCCCTCAGGCCTCCACATTTAATCTGCGAAACCACAGTCATCAAAGTGAGTGAGTCATCTTCAGGGAGTGAGATGGGGAATCAGAGTCAGAGAACCCGAGAATGCTACCACTCAGCTGACCTAACCTTCCACCTAATCCCATCGTCACCCCAGGCGAGTGTAGCCACATCCCAATGACTCCTGACTGGGGTGCAGCCCAACGTCCAGCCTGCACCACGGTCGCCCTCTCAGTAGAGCAGGACGGAGGTCACCGCTGCCCAGTCCGGTCAGGACGCTCCATCATCCCCTGCCTGCCAGCTGCAGCCACTCTAGGCTGCCAACTCCGCGTCTGCCACCACTGCCCTTTCCAGGTATACCAGTGCACAGGCCAATGCCACTGCCAGGCCTCAGAAGCTTCCAATCCTTGGAAGGCCAGCTCGGCTTCTTACGGGAAACCACAAAACAGGAAACAGGACCCCCAGACAGCTCTGTCTGAGCTTAGAATCACACACTCTCCCTCGAATCACTCCAGTAGCTTCTGCCTCTGCCTCCACCCCCAGAGGGGCTCCCAACACCGCACGGTGGTGCCTTTCCAGCCCCTCCACCTTGCTCTTCCCCCTTCCTCCTCTCAGGCACCCATCTCACGTCAGCCACAGTTGCTAAAGCAGAGCTCTTCTGCTTATAATGGAGGCACAGGCCGTGGAAACCCTATTGTTCTCAGCACCCAGGGAACAGGCTTTGGGAGGTGCCCTATGAGGGATCTTGCCTTGCAAGTGGGAAGCATGCGGGACTGTTCCAGAGTTGCTGAGACTTCCTGAACTAAGCCAGCCAACAGCAGAAACCCAAGGACACTGTGGGAGACAGATGGCCTGGAGGCCCAGGTGGCATTGGCCCATGCACTGGTGTACCTGGAAAGGGCAGTGGTGGTGGACGCGGGGTTGGCAGTCTAGAGTGGCGGTGGCCGGCAGGCAGGGGACGATGGAGCGCCCTGAGAGTGCCTGCTCAGGGAGACCTTGGGGCGCCTTCGGCAGGCAGCTTTCCGGCCAGGATTGCCTCGGCATAGGGCCCCGAGGGAGGAATGGAAAGGGAAGAAGATTCCAATAGAAACCGAACATTTCGAAAGAAAGGCACCGCAAATGACACCTCAGTAACTGTGGCTGTTGCCTTTGCAAATTTCTAGACATCCTAAAGCAGCGATAGCTCAGGTACCACAGCTCTCAAAATTACCCAGACTTTCTACACCTCCCTCAACTTAGATACCAATTAGAGATCACCGATTCTGATAGGGTCTGGGGCAACGTGGGACTGAGTTCTGGGAACATAATTCTACTGGGATGGGACACTGGCTTGTCTTCTACATTTGGTGGCTATAGGGCCGGGGCTAGATATTCCTGTGCATCCTATGAACTCTTTAAAGGGGAAACTCACAGTGAGTTGGCATTTAAATAACCCAACTGCCGAGGCACTGAATAAACAGCACCCATTCCTGTGGATGGTGGTCTAGACTGCAAACCTCTGGGCCCACAAGCCATCGAGAACATCTAGCTGAGTGGGAGCAGAGAGGAGGTTGGAGAGAGTGATTGGGGACTTCAGTTTCTTCCAACATAGCTCACAAGATCAAAAGACTTTGGGGGGTGGGGGCGGAGGTGGGGGGCACGGCCTTCCTCTAATGCCTTTGAGCTTCAGCTTGCCGGGAGATTTAATTTTATTTTATCTTATTTTTTTGAGAAAGGGTCTGGCTCTGTCGCCCAGGCCAGAGTGCACTGGCACGATCACAGCTCACTGCTGCTTTGCCCTCCCAGGCTCCAGCGATCCTCCCATCTCAGCCTTCCAAGTAGCTGGGACTACAGGTGAACACCTAGCTTGTTGGGAGAAAAGCTGAGTGTTGGGAGACAAGCTGAGGCAGGGCTTGCATGTCTGATATAATGTAAAAGTCTTGGAACATGTCCGGGGTCCAGGGTCTAAAACCCCTCGTGGCCTTTGGAACACCAAGCTCTGTGGTAAAGGGTAGAAGGCTACCCTGATGCACCATAATCTCAGCCCAGGGCATAAAACCCCTCGTGGCTTGGATAGAATCCAGGGCTCGTGGCTCTGGAATGTGTCTAGACTTGCTGGCTCCTTGCTCCTTGCTCTCCCAGGATTGATTGTATCTTGAGTTAAAAGAACCTGTTCTCCATTATCTCAAGTAGCAGAGCATATCCTAAACCATCACAGCTGTAAATCTTGTGCTTAATGCAATGCGCCCTTTCAACCCCACATTCTCACCACCTGTTTCTTTGATCACCAATAAATAGTCTGGGCTTCCAGAGCTCGGGGCCTTCACAGCCTCCATACTTAGCGATGGCCCCCTGAACTCACTTTCTCTCTCAAACTGTCTTTTCTCATTCCTTTGACTCCGCTGGACTTCATCACGCCCACGGCCTGGTGTTGAGTCCGATCACCCCAACACCGGCTAATTTATTTTTATTTTTTTGTAGAGACAGGGTCTCCCTATGTTGTCCAGGCTGATCAGGAGAATTTTGAACTTTATTGTCTCTGCAGGTAATTCTTCATGGGAGAGGGTTTACATTTGGGACATGTGCTATGTTGGACTCTCATTGTTAGAATATCTCATAGATGCCATTTGACCTTGTTGCAGAACCTCTGATGAGATATGTTGGGCAACGATGGCCAGAAATAATTTGGGATGAGGAAACAGAGTAAGGGGTAAACTTTTGGCTGTGGGTACACCATAGACTTACTAGTTAAGCCCAATGGGTTAAGAGGTATGTATCTGACCATTTTCATACTGCTACTGTTGTAGGACTTTCTGCTCAGTTCAGCTAAAAACTGGGTTCTTGTCACATGACCAGGAAAGATTTGGCACACAGACATTTTGAAGGGTGAGGGGTTATGGAATATATTGGGCAAAAAGGAAAAAGACTCTCAGCAAAGCCAGAGGGGTTCCTGTTAACAGGCCCCCATCTCACAGGTTGAATCCCAGGTTACCGCACAGGAACAGGAGGGGCCAGGCTCCTCCCGCCTGGAAATGGCACAAACTTCCATGGCGCTACCCTGTTCTCCCAGTGCCCTAGCCGGTTGGAGCTTCTCCAGGGCCCCTTTCTACTTGGCTGTTTCACTATGAAGAAATACCCAACACTGGGTAGTTTATAAAGAAAGAGAGGTTCAATGGACTCACAGTTCCACGTGGCTGGGGAGGCCTCACAATCATGGCGGAAGGCGAAGGATGAGCAAAGGCATGTCTTACATGGCGGCAGGCAAGACAGCGTGTGCAGGGGAACTGCCCTCTGTAAAACCATCAGATCTCGTGAGACTTATTCACTACCGTGAGAACACCATGGGAAAGACCCGCCCCCATGATTCCATTACCTCCCCCTGGGTCCCTCCCATGACCCGACCCGTGGGGATTATGGGAGCTACAGTTCAAGATGAGATCTGGGTGGGGACACAGCCAAACCATATCAAGGTACAAAAATTTGGGAAACATTAGGTGTGCATGTTAGGGCGGTAACTCTTCTCTCCCCCAGTCTCCTTGAGGAAGGATCAAGTGGTTAATTTGTCAAAAGTTCTCACTGTGGGAGATCTGGCCTCTTTTTCCTTTCCTTCCTGCCCAGTTTGGTGGCAGGCAGCAATATTGGGGATGTGAACCTGTTCTACAGACCCAAAACCTTCCTCCAGTGGACCGCTCTAAGTCTAGACTAGGGGGCTTGTGAGGAATTAGCAAGCCCATTTGGCTCTTCTAACAAGCCCTGTCCACCAAGGCTGCTTCCCCATCTGCTGGCACGTTTGTGGAATTTCTCAGTTGGTTAGGAACCCTGGCAGGCAGGGAAGAGGTGCTATTTATTGGCCCCTCCCTACTCCCCCAGATTCTCAACTTCAGTGCTAATGCTTGTAAATTGCTTAGGAATTCTGGTGCTAAATATGCAGGAATGCAATTCTGGTTGCAGGGGAAGGCGGTGAGGGGGGAGGCTCAGAATTCCTCTGGCTTCTTAACTAGCACTTCTGGTTTCTACGGTGAACTCTGGCCCCCCTCCCCTCACCATGGTGCTCCACCCCTGCCTGGAGGGGATGAGGAAGCCACAGCTGCACCCACAGCCTCAACACTAAGCTCTGCTCAATAGAACCCTCTGCAAGTACCAGGTTGAGATATGATGAAGCAATCTGGTTGATCATTTTTTTGTCTCACTTGAGCTTACTCATTACAGTCCATTTGTGTTTTGAAATGGTTAGCTACAGATTTATAGATGATTTTTATTACCTTGTTTTGTAGTGGAGGCAACCACAAAGAATTCCATAGTTGCAATTGCCTGAAGGCAGGTAAGTATTGGAATTCTGGGTCTGCCAGGTGCCCACTCACTTCCCTCAGATGCTAAGGCTCTGCAGATCTTGGAGCAGGTGCGGGAGGGGTGATTTGGTCTCAGCCACTCCAGATTTTGGAGTTCATGTGGATATCTTGTCACCACTTAGTTTTATTGTGGATGCTGCCCTCGGGTTTTGGTTTTGCTATCCTATTTCTCTCTCTCTCTCTCTGTTATGAATATACAAAAATGATGTTACAATCATTGATGTCATCTCAGAATGTAGAAATTGCATCACTTCCATATCGGAATAATTCATAAGGATGTTTTAACTTTAATACAAGAAAACCATAAGCATTAGAACTTCTGGGTAAAATAGTGACCAGAGGGCAAAGATTTTTAAGTCCTCTCCCCAGAGTTATGCTGAAATGACAAATGAAGCAAATGAAATGTAAACTATAAGGGGAAGCCAGTTCATCAGCTAACTAGGAAACAGCAGCAGCTCCTCACCAGGATCTCTGAGGAATTTCTCTCTCTCTCCTCTCTCTCTCTGTCTCTCCTCTCTCTCTCTCTCCCTCTCCTCTCTCTCTCTCTCTCTCCTCTCTCTCTCTCCTCTCTCTTTTCTCTCTCCTCTCTTCTCTCTCTTCTCTCTCTCTGCTCTCTCTTTTCTCTCTCCTCTCTCTCTTCTCTCTCCTCTCTCTCTCTGTCTCTGTATCTCTCTCATAGTTCCAATCTATCATGGACTGGTACTTTTGTTAAAACAATAAAATTTATCATACAATTAACTGAAAAAGACATACCAAGTCCAAGCCCATCTACTTTATTGTTAGAGTCAACAGACACTCTGATTCAACAGATTTACTCTGCCTGCGTATACACTCAATTTCTGTACTTATTACAGGCTGGAAGCAGTTTCTGGATCACCATCCACTTGCAGACTGTATTCATTTATTTAGGGCCATCAGAACAAAATAACACAAACTGCATGGCTTAAAACGACAAAAATGGATTTTCTTGCAGGTTCTGGCATCCACTAGTCTGAAGTCAAGGTATGGGCAGGGCCGCGCTCCCTCCAAAGAGGCTCCCAGGGAAAAATCGTTCCTGGTCTCTCCTAGCTTCGGGTGGCTGGTGGCATTCCTTGATGTTCTGTGGCTTTTAGATGCTTAGACACATCACTCCAATCTCTGTCTCTGTCATCATATGACCTTGTCCCTGTATGTGTCTGTTTCCAAATTTTCCCCTTTTTAATTAAGATATGAGTCCTGTTGGATTAGGGCCCACTGTAAGGACTTCATCTTAACTTGATTACATCTGCAAAGACCCTATTTCCAAATAAGGTCGCATCGACGGGTCCTGGGTCAACATGACTTTTGGGGGACACAGTTCAATCCACTACGTGGAGCATCCTCATTTTGTGAACTTCACTTTCTGTGGCTCTCATGGAGAGGGTGCAAGACTAATTTAAAGGCAGGGGCAGCCTGTGGCTCCCTGCCTATGAAAACACAGCGTCTTGGGGAATTGCACCCACTAACTGAGAGGGGCCTGGGTTGGAAGCAAGGTTGAGTTCTGCAGCAGCTGGAGGAAGGAGATACATCTGGCCCCACCAGCGCCCCTGGAAGTCCAGCTTTCTGAGAAGTCCACAGGAGTCTCTACTCCTGCCTTATACTGGTTACATGTGGCAGCACCATGGAAAGGGCTGGCCACTGTCATGATCTCGCTTTCTGAGGGGGAATGTGCCAGGTCAGGGGGCACCATACCACCTCTCTGCCGCCATTGTCTTGGGCTCTTCACATTTTACCAGATCTCTTAGCTGGCAAAGTAGAACCACAGAGAGTCTAGACTTTTTCCCTCTCTCTTCATCCTGCCCGAAAGATTGGAACACAGAGTGTCTGATGGAGCCTCCTTAACTCCCAATATTGGAAGACAGAGACCTTCTTCTGTAAGGATGAGTGTCTTAGTCCATCTGTGTTGCTCCAAAGGAATACCCGAGGCTGGGTCATGGATAAAGGAAAGAGGTTTATTTGGCTCAGGCTTCTGCAGACTATACAGAAAGCATGGTGGTGGCATCTGCTCTGCTTCTGGGGAGGGCCTCGGGCTGCTTCCACTCATTGTGGAAAGTGAAGGGGAGGTGGCATGTGCAGAGGTCACAGGACAAGAAAGGAAGCAAGAGAGAGAGAAGGAGGTGCCAGGCTCTTTTTAGGAACCAGATATTCTGGGAACTAAGAGAGGGAGAGCTCACTTGCCACCATGAGGACAACCCCAAGCCCTTCATGAGGGATCCACCCCCATGAGCAAACACCTCCCACCAGGCCCCACCTCCGACATTGGAGATCAATTTCAACATGAGGTTTGGAGGGCACAAAACATCCAAACTGTAGCAGTGATCAAGCAGATGTGGCAGCTGGGATTCTGTGGGTCAAAAGAAGCAGAAAGCAACTCCACCAAGGTCAGGAAAGCATGGGACCTTCTAAAGTGAATACCAGGTTTATGGGATGCAGGGTGGTTGTCTCTCAGAAGCCCAGGACAGGACTGCAGCTGGGCCTCAGGAACAAACTGAAACCAGAGACTCAGACACCATCAGGACTTCCTCCCTCCCTGTGTCTTTCAGCCCTGTGGATCTGCTCCTTTCTTCCTTTTCTCTGAAGACAAATGTCTTCTGCACCTTTTCCCAGGATGACCGCAAGCAGCTCCCAAATTTACAGGTGTATTAGGCCATTCTTGCACTGCTATAAAGAAATGCCTGAGGCCGGGTCATTGATAAGAAAAGAGGTTGAATGGGCTCACGGTTCTGCAGGCTGTACAAGAAGCACAGCAGCATCTGTTTCTGGTGAGGCCTCAGGAAGCTTCCAATCATGGCAGAGGGCAAAGGTGGAGTTGGACCATCACATGGCCAGGGCAGGAGCAAGGGGGTGGGGAGTTGCCACATGCTATTAAATGACCAGATCTCGTGTGAACTCAGAGCGAGAGCTCGCTCATCACCAAGAGGATGGCCCAAGCCATTCTTGAGGGATCTGCTTCCATGACCCAAACACCTCCCACCAGGCCCCACCTCCAACACTGGGGATCACATTTCAACATGAGATGTGGAGGGGACAAATATCCAAACTCTATCCCCAGGTGACAGTCGAGGTGTGGAGTAACTTGAAAACCCTCCTGCTCTAAAACATCATCAGGACTCTGTCTCTGAGTCTCCCATATCCACTAAGAAGGAGCCAGAAGGGCCTTCTGGATGTGGTCTACATTGCAGTGTCGGCCGATGAGACAGATAGATAGGAGAGGATGATGGGAATATGGATGTTAGCCAGTTCGAGCAAAGCACCGGCTCATGTATATGACAATGATCTCCAGATGCAGTACCTCTGTGGAGACCTTGGTCTGTCTGGCTGCCTTCTTGCCCTTCCCCTGTGGTGTTGTCTCAGTGGTGAAAGCTAGCTCAATTACACCACCCCCTCATGCCAGGCCACCAAAAGGAGACACAAGAAGAAAGGGACATGGCATGGAAAGCCAACCTAAGGGTAAGGAAACGACTTCCTCAGGATTGACCAGCAAACATGTAGCACCTTTATTCTGCTGACTCTTTCCATGTTTCTCTCTAGCCCATGAGCTCTCCAGTCTGGGATGAGCATGTGTTGAGTGGCGGCAGCTGGGTCCCTAGTGTCCCCAGGAGTTTCTGCAATTGGGCACATCTCTAGAGCCTGGCCCCAGTGTCTGCTGCTTCATAGATGCTGAATAAATGGTGGTTGAATGAACACATATGAAAGCCAATGTGCTAATGCGGCTGTGGGGTGGAAGGATGGTGTCCTTCGGATCTGAGCGTGTATCTCCAGGAAAGGCTTTCCAAACAGGACAGACACTGAGCGTGGGTTTGGGAGAAAGGCCAAGTGTATTAGTCTGTTCTCATGCTGCTAATGAAGACATACCCAAGACTGGGTAATTTACAAAGGAAGGAGATTTAATGGACTCACAGTGCCACATGGCTGGGAGGTCTCACAATCATGGTGGAAGGCAAAGGATGCACAAAGGCACATCTTACGTGGTGGCAGTCAAGAGAGCATGTGCAGGGGAACTCCCCTTCATGAAACCGTCAGATCTCATGAGACTTATTCACTATCACGAGAACAGCATGGGAAACATCCGCCCCCATGATTCAGTTACCTCCCACCAGGTCCCTCCCATGGCACGTGGGAATTATGGGAGCCACACTTCAAGATCAGATGTGGGTGGGGACACAGCCAAACCATATCATCAAGTTTTACCAAAGCTTCCTTCAGGTTCCCTGCAGCTCAGGCTGTTCCACAGTCCTGACTTGCTCTCTGCAGCGTACAGGGTGAGACCCCAGGAAACTCCTCAATTAAAACACAGGACAAGGTGCTCAGCATACCTGCCTGTCCTTTCTCTTCCTCCAGTACTTTCTGCTCTGGCCAGAGGAGATTCCCCGGCCATCTGGACCCTCCCTTCTCTACCCTTGTCTTACATTGCTGCCAACTTGCCCTCCAATATACACCGTCATCAACAGCCTATGACAGTGTCGCTAGCCTCACATCCTTGCTGAACTGATGGGAATTATTTAAATTTTTGCCAATCAGATGGAAAAAAAAATCATTGTTTTAATTTTTCTTTAAAAACTAAAGAAGGAGGCCGGGCAGGGTGGCTCACGCCTGTAATTCCAGCATTTTAGGAGACCAAGGTGGGTGGATCATTTGACGTCAAGAGTCTGAGACCAGCCTGGCCAACATGATGAAACCCCGTCTCCACTAAAAATAAAAAACTTAGCCGGGAGTGGTGGTGCACACCTGTAATCCCAGCTACTCAAGAGGCTGAGACGGGAGAATCATTTGAACCTAGGAGGCGGAGGTTGCAGTGAGCCAAGGTTGCACCAGTGCACTCTGGCCTGGGTGACAGAGCGAGACTCTGCCTCAAGAAGAAGAAAATAAAAAGCTAAAGAAGGAAATGAAAATTATTTAAAAATTAGTGAAGCTGAGCATCTTTTCATGTGCTTATTTGCTTTTGTATTTCTTTTCATGTATTTCTTTAGTTGCCTCTGGAGTTAATGTTCTTTTACTATTTGATTCTGGATCCCCTCTTAAGATAGAGAACAAATTTGACATGGCATAAGTAGGGATGCCTAGGGTTGGCCGAATCCAATTAATATCTCCCAGCAATTTTTGAAAGTCATTTCATATTTTAATGTGTCTTTTCTCATTTCTATCTATCTTTTGAGGATTAACCTTCCTTTCCTCTACCTGCATTTCTAAATAATGAAAAGGAGCTGTTGTTTGAATTTTATCAGATGCTATTGTCAGTCCTGCGTTGGCAACCTCTGTCTGCAGAAATGTGTAACAGTCAATTAATTTGTCTCTCATTTCTGCAGCACACAAAATATCATCAACATAATGAATGATATAACAGTCTGAAAACATGTCTCTAACTGGTTGAAGAGCTTGAGCTACAAAAGTCTGACAAATAGTTGGACTATTAAGCATTCCCTGAGGCAACACTTTCCACTGAAACCTGGTGGCTGGTTCTTTATTATTTATGGCTGGTATAGCAAAAGCAAATTTTTCAAAATCCTGTTTTGCCAGAGGAATGGTAAAAAAAAAAAAAAAAAAAGCAATCCTTCAGAACAATTATAATTAAAGGCCAACCTTTGGGGATCACGGCCGGAGAGGGCAGCCTGCGTTGGAGAGCCCCCATGGGTTGAATTACGGCATTAGCGGCTCTTAAGTCGGTTAGCATGCGCCATCTGCCGGATTTTTTCTGAATTACAAACACTGGCGAATTCTAAGGAGAGACAGTGGGTGAAACATGTCCTTTTTTAAATAGTTTTTTTAACTATTTTATGTAGCGCCCCTAACTTTTCCTTAGGGAGCGGCCACTGTTTGACCCAGACAGGATGCTACAGGGCGAGTCTGAATTGCTCCTTCACCGCAGTGAACTGCCGGTTGGGCAATAATGGGCACCGCGAGCCGAGTTGCAGCCAGCCTGGTTTCAGGCTCCCTCCCCCAGCACTCACTCGACTGAGGAGGAGGTGGCCATCGTGGTTTTAGCCCTGACGGCCCCGATGGTTCTGGACCTCCTTCCCCCAGTTTTGGTGATTCAGGATATATTACCTCCTGTAATTGATTGTAGTCAACACTTTGTGTTGACCGAGCCATTACAGACTCTGCTACATTTTCACAATGTGAACTTTCCGTTCCTTTCTTGAACTCTGTCCCCGCCTCTTCTTCACAATCTATTACACAGCTTTCAGGGGCATCAGAAACCAAAACGCTATCTTCTTCTGTTTGAAACGGTTCTAAAGCTGCTTTAATAATGGCCCAATCATTGCATACTGTAAGCGGGATGATTTTGCCTTCCCTACTTGCTTGTTTTAATTCTTTGCCAATTTTTTCCCAGTCTTTTAGATCTAAAGTTCCCTGTTCTGGAAACTATGGGCAGAATTGTTCTATTGTTTGAAATAGCATAATTAGATTTTCTGTAGAAGCTCTAACTCCCCTTCTTCTTAAAAGAATTTTAATAAAGCTGAGATAAGAGGCATATTTACTTTCAGTTTGTCCCATTGTTACCCTGGGTTCCTCCGTGTGCACAAGCTTACCGCAAGGCTCACCGTGGACGTACTCGGGAATCTCTCATCGACTGTCCTCAATGCTCACGGTCTTAGCGCACCTTCACCCTAGAGAAAGGCCCCACGTTGGGCGCCAAATGAAGAGGGCCAGCCCCATCCACACCTGTGGGTATTTCTCGTCAGGTGGGACGAGAGACTGAGAAAAGAAATAAGACACAGAGACAAAGTATAGAGAAAGAACAGTGGGCCCAGGAGACTGGTGCTCAGCATACGGAGGACCCGCACTGGCACCGGTCTCTGAGTTCCCTCAGTATTTATTGATTACTATTTTTACTATCTCAGTAAGGGGAATGTGGCAGGAGAACAGGGTGATAGTGTGGAGAAGGTCAACAAGAAAACATGTGAGCAAAGGAATCTGTGTCACAAATAAGTTCAAGGGAAGGTACTATGCCTGGATGTGCACATAGGCCAGATTTATGCTTTTCTCCACCCAAACATCTCAGTGGAGTAAAGAGTAACAGAGCAGCATTGCTGCCACCAACATGTCTCGCCTCCCGCCATAGGGCGGGTTTTCTCTTATCTCAGAAGAGAACAAATGTACAATCGAGTTTTATACTGAGACATTTAGTTCCCAGGGGCAGGCAGGAGACAGAGGCCTTCCTCTTATCTCAACTGCAAGAGGCCTTCCTCCTCAGCACAGACCCTTCACGGGTGTTGGGCTGGGGGACGGTCAGGTCTTTCCCGCCCCACGAGGCCATATCTCAGGCTATCACATGGGGAGAAACCTTGGACAATACCCGGCTTTCCAGGGCAGAGGTCCCTGCGGCTTTCCGCAGTGCATTGTGCCCCTGGCTTATCGAGAATGGAGAATGGTGATGACTTTTACGAAGCATACTGCCTGTAAACATTTTGTTAACAAGGCACATACTGCACAGCCCTAGATCCCTTAAACCTTGATTCCATACAACACATGTTTCTGTGAGCTCAAGGTTGGGGCAAAGTTACAGATTAACAGCATCTCGGGGCAAAACAATCGTTCAGGGTACAGGTCAAAATGGAGTTTCTTATGTCTTCCTTTTCTACATAGACAACAGTAACAGTCTGATCTCTCTTTCTTTTCCCTACAGCTGGAAGGGTATGCACATCTTTCCCTTAATAGAAAATGCCAAATAAATGTCCAGATAGATGTTACTACCACTCCTACTGACAGCGTATGAGTCCTCGTTTCCAACTACAGCCTTGCCAAGCATTGGAGATTGTCAACTAATATTATTAATCTTACATTAAAATCTGCTGTGTTCCCACCGAGCAAATGCTAAAACAAAACTCAAAGGGATCAAGTTGTCTCCGAGCAACTTAAGAGCATCCCAGAACACAGCTCAAGCATATGTCTGTTTTGCTTTGACAAACAGCCCCTTTCCAACCTAGCTCTGCCCAAGATGGTGCCAGCGTGACCTCCCGGCAGACAAGACACCTCAGCATGTCATGCAGACCCCACAGCTGCCTGCTCCCTCCCCTGCCTACCATTCACGCCAAGTCCTCCTTTAAAAGGCCCTGCTTTCTGCCCCCAGTGGGAAGCAGCACCCTTAAAGGCAGGAGCCTGTACGTCTTCCCCTAAATCAAGCATGGCAGAAAGTCCGTTTCTTTATAGCAGACCACGCTCTTGTTAATTGGATCTCCAAGCGATGAGGGAATGAACCTGTGTTTTGGTTATATTACATGTTCACAAAGATTTTAGATTATTTGAATTACTATTATCATTATTTTAGAGGCAGGGTCTCACTCTGTCACCCAGGCTGGAGCTCAGGGGTGCATTCATAGCTCACTGCAGCATCCAGCTCCTGGACTCAACACATCCTTCCACCTCACACCTCAGCCTCCTGAGTAACTGGGACTACAGGTGCCTGCCACCACACCCACCTAATTTAAAAAAAAATTTTTTTTTTGACAGAGTCTTTTTCTGTCAACCTGGCTGGAGTGCAGTGGCATGATCTCGGCTCCCTGCACCCTCCACCTCCTGGGTTCAAGTGATTCTCCTACCTCAACCTCCCAAGTAGCTGGGATCACAGGCACACACCACCACACCCTGCTAATTTTTTCTTTTCTTTTCTTTCTTTTTTTTTTTTTTTTTTGAGACAGAGTCTTGTTCTGTTGCCCAGGCTGGGGTGCAGTGGCACCATCTCGGCTCACTGCAACCTCCACCTTCCAGGTTCACGTGATTCTCCTGCCTCAGCCTCCCAAGTAGCTGGGATCACAGGCACACACCACCACGCCTGGCTAATGTTTTTTTGTTGTTGTTTTTTTGTGTGTGTATTTTTAGTAGAGATGGAGTTTCACTATGTTGGCCAGGCTGGTCTCCAACTCCTGACCTCAGGTGATCCGCCCGCCTCGGCCTCCCAAAGTGCTGGGATTACAGGCATGAGCCACCGCACCCGGCCTTTTAATGATTTTTCTACAGACAGAATCTCGCTACATTGCCCAGGGTGGCCTCCAACTGCAGGTCTCAAGCCATCCTCCCGCTTCAAGCCTCCCACAGTGCTGGAAATACAGGTGTGGGCCACCATGCCCAACCCATATCACATGCTTAACAGTGATATGATAATGCTGGTTCTATGCATCTATTCAAGTACGTTTTCAAAGAATTTTTCCCAAGTAAAAAAGCTCATATGTTCAATGAAAACAATTTGGGAAAAAATTTAATGCTGACCTGGAAAAACATTATATATGCTACTGTCATATATTTAACATATAAATGCAAGTATATTGAGGAAAATATTCTAAAATGTCCACAGTAGTTAATGCTGAATGGCGGGACCCAGTGGCTTTTCATTTTCCCCCATTTCCCAAATTGCCTCCCGTTACCTTGTGCTACTTCAATCTGTGAATCCCAGAGCCTCCCCTGCAACCCGAGGACAAGGGCATGCAAGTCCGAAGGTGCCTTCGCTCGCCGAAAAGAGACTCAGACACGGAATCGTAGCTCAGTTTTATTTTCTACAGAAACAAACATGTAAGCCGTCCTCCTCCAGCGACAAACAATCAGGCCCCCACAATGAACTGGCCACTCGTGCTGGGACCATTCCCTAGGGGAGGAGGCATGACCTAGGAAGGGGCGCCAGGCTGGGCTTAGCGCCTCTGCCCTGAGGGAGGCTGAGCCAAAAACACGGGCAGAAAGCACTGCGTGATCCACATCAACAGGGAAAGCTGCTGGAGACAGGAGCTGATGGAGAGCTGCAGTTGGCGGTGGTCTGCAGCAGTCAGTCGGCTAAATGTGAGGGGCAGAGAACATCACGTTAAAGGCGACACCTCTGCACCCATCTCCCTGGGCTCCCTCGGGTGGCGGCGGGCCTGGTGTACCAGGTCTCTGTTCTGAGACCCTGTGCTGGGGTGTTCCCAGGTTTCTAGCAGCCTGACCGTGGGGTGTAGGCGGATCCCAGCCCCCACCCTGCCACGCTGTGACCGCCACCCACCCAGGCCCCATCCCTGTCCTGGTCCTGAACTGACATAGTCAGTATGTTGCCGGACACAGTGAACTCCTTCAGAAGCACCCCTGGCACGGGAAGCGGTGGGGCATCCTGGGCCAGGCTCCTGCGGGCCAGCTCTGCTTCCATGGGTGTCGCGAAAGGCATGGCGAGGTAGCTGGTGGGGGCCCAGTTAAGGCATCCTCTCCTAGGACTTGGCCTGTGGCTCCGGCCTGCTGCTTACCCCAGGCCAGCTTCCCCCTCCCCCACTCCCCCACCCCTCCCCCCTACCCCGGATTGCCCAGCCCATCCCCCCCAGGCTGTCTCCCCAGGCACTGGCCCAGTAGCACACCCCACCCAGCTGTCTTGGTTCCCCACTTTCCTTTGCTGCACCCCAAGCTGACTCCTCCATGCCCTTACAAGACCCCTCCCCACCCTGCCCCCTGTGGCATCACCCGGCCCCCTCCTCATCACTCGACCCTCCATCCCAACCACCTCCCGCCACCCGCTCCCATCTTGCCCCCTTCCCCCCACCTCCTGATCCCCTCCTACACCTGGGTCCCCCTATCTCCTGGCCCCTGCTCCCCTCCCCGCATGACCCGGTGCCCCTCACCCAATCACCCAGCCCCTCTCCCCCACCCCCACCCCCTCTACCTCCCAGCCCTTACCTCCTCCCCTCCTCGCAGCTGGCCTCTCATATCCCCACCTCCCAACCCCCACCCCCACCCCCACCCAACCACTTACTCGCATCTCCCCCGCCTCCTCCCCCACCTGGCCCTGCCCTCCCCATCTCCCGGCCCCCACCTCGCCACCAGAACTGTCAGAACAGAACAGAACAGAACAGAACAGAATACAACTCAAGCAGGCGGCTCTCCGGCCCCCTGGCCCCGCATCTGCAGCATCCATTCAGCCCTGAAGCCGCGCCGCCATGCGGACCCCGCGGGGCGCCTCCTCCCGGCCCCGAGGCCCTTGCTGCCCCTGCGCCCCGGGGACCTCTGCCGCCCGTGGCACCCGCCTCTCCTGGGCCGCCAGCATTGCCCCCTGGGCCATCAGGAATGCCAGGGCCTCCTGGGCCATCAGCATCGCCCGTCGAACCCCCTGTGCCCCGGCCTTCGGCCTGCATGGCTCCGGAGCCTCTGCCCGGCTCTCAGAGAGAAGGTCAGGGCCCACGAGGATGCGGAGGCAGAGAGGCTGCAGGAAGTTCCGCCCCCTGGCGTGAGATGGGCAGCCCGGGATCCTCAGGGCGCCTGCGCACAGGGGCCCTACTTCCGGCCCTGGGAGACCCCGAGTGAGCCCCGGAGCACGTGACCGGTTCTCACCAACCCCGCCCCTCCCCAAGAGAGCCCGGGCCGGAAGGTGGCCGCAATGCCAGCTTGGACCCCTCACCCCTGAGCAGCCGGCTGTCCGCCGGACCCCTGTCCCGGGAGCCCTGCAGGGAGTCAGGCACTGCGGGGCCCAGCCTGTCCCATCCCCCGGGTCTCCCTCACATCGAGGAGCAAGACGGGCCTGGGAACACGGGGCCGGGACTGTGCGGCCATCGTCCCGGACCCTGCCTGCCCTGTCCGTCCTTGGGGGAGCGCCCAGGACAGACCCCGGGGGGCAGGCCTCTAACTGGGCTCAGCAGCCTCCGTCCCTGTCCTGGTCGCCCAGCTGGTGGGGTAGCTGGAACTGCATGTCTGGTGGGCGTGGCCTCGCGCCAGCCAAGGTCTCCCAGGCGCCAGGTCCAGCCAAGGTGGACGGGAGGGCCCAGCGGGACCCGGGGCCGGATCTCACTCCTGGGTTCAACGGGTTCTGTCCCTGTCCTAGTCGCCCCGCCTGGTGGGGGAGCTGGAGCTGCGTGTGGGGTGGGTTGCGGGTGGCCTCCCACCAGCCAGGGGCTCCCGGGCTCTAGGCCTGGCCCAGGTGGACAGGCGGGACCTGCTGGACCTGAGGCTGGGTCGGGCCTGGCTCCTGGGTTCGGCAGTATCAGTCCCTGCCCTGGTCGCTCTTGCCTGGTAGGGAGCTGGGAGGTGACCCTGTGTCTGCTCAGTGGTGATCTATTTGTGTGTCTGGAAGGGGGTCAAATCCACGGGACAGGTACCTCTAGAGGCATGCAGGGGTGAGGGCGGCACGGCCCCGGGAGCTGAATGTCTGTGCCAGGCACACCTGTAGCAACAGGAGGTGACCAGACAGGGCCTAGCCCTGAGGAAGGGGGAGGTACTGAAATCCAAACCACTCTCCCCCACCTTCCAAATCCAGGAATCAGCAGCCTCTGCACCTGGGAAAAGCATATTGGCACTCATGTGGAAACTAAAAACGTTGATCTTTTGGAGGTAGAGCAGAATGATGGTTACCAGACGCTGGGAAAGGTGGGGAGGGTGGGGAGGTTAATGGGGACAAACATATAGTTGCATAGAAGGATTAAGTTCTAGTGTTTGATAGCACCGTAGAGGGACTATAGGTAATTATTTATTGTATATTTCAAAATAGCTAAAAGATAGGAAATGTTCCCCAAAAAAAGAAATGATAAATGCTTGAGGTGGTGGAGATCCTAAATACCCCGACTTGATCATTACATCGTGTGTGCGTGTGCATGTATCAGAATATCACATGTATCCCATAAATATGCAGAGTTATCATACATCAGTTAAAAATGTTTTTACTTACAGAAAAGAAAAATTCACCCAAGCTCTTGCGTGTACCTCCAGTTTATTATTTTCACTGCTGTATTTCATTACATATATTTCATTAAATGATGAATTTTAAAAACCAGAGAACACAACTTGTTAACACCTGGAATAGCTGAAAATCAGACATAACCCGGTTAGTGATTGCCATCCTTCCTGTCGTCCTCTGCTCAGTCTCCCCATTCTCAGACAGAGGCAGGCTAAAGTTCTTACCTTCAACAGGTCAGGGAAGGGAGAGTAAAGTGCATGTGACCCTGTCTTAGGAAGCAGGAAGACAGAGGGAGGGTCTCCGGGTCCCCATTATTTTCCCGGCCTATTATCCTCAGATCAAGTCAAGAAAGGAAGTCCTAACTGACTGAGAGATTCCTGGAGATACTGCCACTGTCCTGGAAGTCTCAGCCAGCCACTGGACCGGAAATCTCCATCAATATTTCAGCCAGAGCAACGTCTGCCACTAGATGGCATCAAACTCCAGCCGGGAGCAGGACAGATTTGGATGGTCCAGCGGGCTTGCCTCATTCATTTCATTAACCCCACAGTAACACATTTTCACATTGTATGCGATTGGATTTCTTGGAAACTACCTATTACATTACGGCAGAGTTTTATAGTCCTCTAATTTATCCATTCTGCTGATGATGGGCAGGCATTTGGATAGTTTCCAGCCCTTGGCTATGAACATGCTTGTACAGGTCTCTTGAAGCACATGTCCAAGTTTTTTTTTGGAATTGCTGTATCACAGCCAATACATATCTCGAAATTTACTAGATAATGCCATGTTTTCCCAAGTGGTTTGAGCCAATTTTCGCTTCCACCATAATGTGTCAGCGTACATACACATAGCTCAACATTCTCATCAATATTGACGGTACTAATCCGTTCTCGCATTGCTATAAAGGACTACCTAAGACTGAGTAATTTATAAAGAAAAGAGGTTTAATTGACTCACAGTTCTGCAGGCTCTACAGGAAGCATGGCTGGGGAGGCCTCAGGAAAGTTACAATCATAGCGGAAGGCAAAGAGGAAGGAGGCACATCTTATATGGCCAGAGAAGGAGAAAGAGAAAGTGAAGGGGGAGGTGCTATACACTTTTAAACAACCAGATCTTGTGAGAGCTCAACATCACGAGAATAGCAAGGGGGAAATCGACCCCCATGATCCAATCGCCTCCCACCAGTCCCCTCCTCCAACACTAGGGATTACAATTCAACATGAGATTTGGGTGGGGACACAAATCCAAATCATATCATTCCACCCCTGCCCCCTCCCAAATCTCATGTACTTCTCACATTGCAAAATACAATAATCTCCTCTCAACAGTCCCCCAAGTCTTAACCCATTTCAGCATTAACTCAAAAATCCACAGTCCAAAGTCTCAACTGAGACAAGGCAAGTCCCTTCTGCCTATGAGCCTGTAAAATCTAAAACAAGTTAGCTACTTCCAAGATAAAATTGAGGTACAGGCATTGGGTAAATACTCCCTTTCCAAAAGGGGGACATCGGCCAAAACAAAGGGGCTACAGGCCCCATGCAAGTCCAAAACCCAACAGGACAGTCATTAATTCTTTTTTTTTTTTTTTCCACTACAAAATAATTTATTCGAACACACAGCTACAGCGCGAGACTCCTATGTACAAGCACATTGACGCTCCTGACTACCCTCAACTAGAGGACCCTTTTCTTCCCCCTTGCCTTGCAGACCTCTTCTATCGAATCTTTCATGTACTGGATCTCCTCGGCCAGGGAATCCGCCCTCTCTTGCAGAGCCTCGTTCTTCTTTTCCACCGCTTTGCACTCACCAGTGAGGACCTCCTGCTCCACCCTCTTCTTCTGGCGATACCTAGTTCCTGCTGTTTGGTTTTGCTCCATTTTTTTTTCAGCTTCTTATCCAGTTTCTCACCCTTTACTTGTGCTGCTACCATCTTCTCTCCAGGAGGGTCATAAGGTTTGGGGCAGGCAGAGCCACAGAGGACACCTGGAGATGGCGGGCTCCTACTCGGAGAGCCCCTGGAGGTAGAGGGAGAGCCCAGATAGGACTCTGGGCTCATACAGATGCCACTATCATTATCTGAGGGGGCGTCTTCCTCCTTTGTGCAGTGAGGGATCTTGGAAATGTAAGCAGTGGAGTCTGGCTTCCTAGCTCCTTCAAAGATATCCACTTCACTGCCCAGCTCTAGACTAAAGGAATAATCTGGAGTGGAGGACTGGACCCCTGGGGAAAGGGGAAGAGGTTGCAAGAAGGTGAAGGGGGCAACCTGGTCGGGTTAAACTTTCTGGGAGATGGCAAATCGGGTTCACCATCTGGGGGGGGCTCCTTAATAGTCTCCTGGACTGGGGGGGCTCCTTAATAGTCTCCTGGACTAGGGGGGCAAAGAGATCACACGAGTCATCCAACGTGGCCAGAAGCTCGTCTGGCATGGTTTCCAGGTCATCTATACCCAACAGGGCATCAAAGTCGAACTCCTTCAGATCAGTTTTCTCCAACATCCAATCTGTCCCAAAGAAAGCATCCTCCTTGCCATCGTTGGAGGCACTGACCAACCCATCCACAGCCAGCCACTCGGAGGAGTCTGCCTTAGCCTTGTCGCTGGAGAACCCATGAGGTTTGAAGTGCTTGGCCACCTCCAGGTAGTCATCTAAGAGACCTAGGCTTTCTTCAGTCCCCAAACCTGACTGGTCAAGGGGGGACATCAAGCCCCCACCAACACCTCGCTGCTCAGGAAGCTCATCTCGGTCATGGTGCAGTGCTTTGCTGGAATCAACGAATGTGCTTAATTCGAAGGTGTCTTTGTCGGTTACAGCAATGCTGCTGCTGAATGCTGTGAGAAGTGCTACGGCTTAAGCCGCCGGTGGATGCCACTGCAGAGCCTGGTGCTGCTGCCACCGCTGCAAAGGCCAAGGCTGCCACAGGCACTGCTGCCCCTAAAACGCCATGGAGGCCATGGACCCTGCAGGCGGGGAGGAGGGAAGGTGCGCACGTGCGGAGGAAACTACATCTGTGGGCGGGCGGAGCAGAAAATCGTCATTAATTCTTAAAGCTCCAAAATAATCTCCTTTGGCTCCATGTCTTACATCCAGGCCACACTGAGGCAAGGGGTGGGCTCCTGAGGCCTTGGGCAGCTCCGCTCCTGTGGCTCTGCAGGGTACAGCCCCCTCGGCTGCTTTCCTGGGCTGGTATTGAATGTCTGCAGCTTTTCCAGGAGTATAATGCGAGTTGTCAGTGGATCTATGATTCGGGGGTCTTGAGGATGGTGGCCCCCTTCTCACAGCTCCACTAGGCAGTGCCCCAGTGGGGACTCCAACCCCAGATTTCCCTTCTGCACTACGCTAGTAGAGGTTCCCCAGGAGGGCTCCGCCCCTGCAGCAGACTTCTGCCTGGACATTCAGGCGTTTCCATACATCCTCTGAATCTAGGCAGAGGTTCCCAAGCCTCAACTTTTGCCCTCTGCATACCCGCAGGCTTAACACCACATGGAAGCCACCAAGGCTTACAGCTTGCACCCTCCAGAGCAGCAGCCGGAGGCGTATCTGGGGCCCTTGTAGCCATGGCTGGAGCTGGAGCAGCTGGGGCGCAGATAGCAGTGTCCCGAGGGTGCTCAGGCCAGCAGGGCTCTGGGCTGGGTCCAAAAAACCATTCTTCCCTCTTCAGCCTCCAGGCCTGTGAATGACCCTCAAAAAATTAAAAATAGAACTACCATATGATCCAGCTCTCCCACTTCTGGGTATAGATCTGAAGGAAATGAAATCTATTTCTTCCTGAGTCAGTTTTCATGGTTTGTACATTTCTAGGAATTTGTCCACTTCATCTAGGTTATCTAATTTGTTGGCAAACAATTGTTCACAATCTTCTCATGTAATCCTTTTTGGGGGTAGAAGAATTCAGTAACAATCAACAAAATGAAAAGGCAACCTGCAGAATATTGAGGAATAACATATTGTTCACATCTTATCAATATAATAAAATATGTGCATTTTGTGGGGGCAATAATAAATACTCTCAGTTTTTTCCTCATCAGCTATAACAGGGTTGGAGTCTACAGTGATATCTTCTCAAGTCTCCAGCATCTGTGTCGCACTCAGGTAGCACCACACAGTCCCGAGTGAGCCCCTAACAGATACTCATCTCCCTTGGGACAGAAGCAGCACATAGACTTCCATCTCTGGTCATTAGGTCCCACGGCCTAGGGACCATGTCTCAAAATTAGCTTCGATGCCATAACATATTTGATCAGAATATAGGTAATGTGATAAGCTGAAATATAAGCATTCCAACTGAACTTCAGGCATAGCAATGGCAAATTGGAAAGAGATGCAAAGAGATTTCAAGGACCTTGGAAATTCACGATGTCATTTAAGAAGAAAACACACGTCACTCCATTCCAGTAAAGAATCACAGACTCGGCCATGCATGTTGGCTCATGCCTGTAGTCCCAGTACTTTGGGAGATCCAGGTGGGAGGATCGCTTGAGCCCAGGAGTTCAAGAATCACAGACTCTTCCAGCTCCCAGTCCGGTGCTCTTAACCACTACGTGCTGCCAGTCATCAATATTCTCCCATATTTCCTTTAATGAAATAGGATCATTAAAGCTTAGGGGGAAACATTTGACAGGAAAAGATTTCACGTATTTTTCTAGATTTTCATTTCTTCTTTTTGTTGTTGTTTTTTTTGGAGACAAGGTCTCACTCTGTCACCCAGGTCAGAGTGCAGCGGTGCAATCACAGCTCACTGCAGCCTCGACTTCCCATGCTCAATCCATCTTCCCACCTCAGCCTCCTAAGTAGCTGGGACTACAGGTGCACACCTCCACGCCCGACTCATTTTTTAAAATTGTTTGTAGAGATGGCGTCTGACTATGTTGCCCGGGCTGGTCTCAAACTCCTGGACACAAGCAGTCCTCCCGCCTCAGCTTCCCAAAGTGTAGGGATTACAGGCGTGAGCCACACTGCACCAGGCCGCCTTCATTTCCTCTTTTATATAGACTCCAGTTGAATTTTTAAAAAGTAGTTGGTCGCCCGGAGGCAGAGACTGTCTTACAGTTTTTCTGTTTCCCAGAGTGCCTTGCTAAATACCCAATTGTTGACCTAATCTTTAAACTCAGAAGTACAAATTTACTGCACTGTAAAGACATAGACTCAACAGGTACAAAATCTTTGGTCTTTCAATCAACATAGGTCATGGAAACATCACTTCATTCCTAAATGCCAACGTAATGAATACAAGAGAATTGGTTTGAAACAAACATTTTGATCAGTGTTCACTTAAATTCCCAGGGGATTCCCACCTTACTCCACTCCCTCGGCTCAGCACACGTATTATAAGCCACACTAGTCCGCATCTGGTGTTACAACTTTCTGTCCAATTTCAGAACACCCTCCTTTCACCAATTCATGACCTGCAACCCTTCCACCGCCATTTCCACAAGCAAACTTCAGGTCTTTTTCAAGGTGAAGTGCCGTACTTGCTGCAGCACTTAGGTATTTTTTAACCATTTAACATGCATAGAATTGTGCTACCATTTTCATTAGGTTCCTATCTTCGTTTTTTTATGTGTCACTGACAAAGGTTTTGAGTATTGTGTCCCTAACCCCATTTTTCCTATAAGTTTTGCGATTTGTACTACACAATGATTTTGAGGTGTACACGTATGTCATGCTATAATCATAACTCATTGTATCACGGTTTGGGGAAAAAATTAACCAATAACCAATTTATTTTTTCAAAGATAACAGGTGTGCAAGCTTCCAGCAAATCTGCTTAAGCATAAGATCAAATCAGAGAACAGCTGTTTTTCCTCCAATGTTGATCCAGTGGCTAGCTAGCCCTCAAATCAGACACTAGATTTGGAACTGGGAGGACATCATTCACCTTGAAGTAGTGAACAAAAACATGGTTTTGTCAAAAAATAAAAGGGATAAAAGTCATTATAAAAACTGTCTTTCCCACCAGGCATGGTGGCTCATGCCTGTGGTCCCAGCTACTCGGGAGGCTGAGGTGGGAGGATCACTTGAGCCCAGGAGGTCGAGGCTCCAGTGAGCTGTGATTGCACTACTGCACTCCTGCCAGCCTGGGCGACAGAGCGAGACCTTGACTCTAAAAAAAGGGAAATTATCTTTTCCATCCTCAGAGCAAGCATGCAGAATATTATTGTCATCCTATTCATAGACGTGGAAGCTAAAACTAAGAGAGGCTGAGTGACTGGCCCAAAGTACCATGGCTGATAGGGGTTGTAATGAACTCAAGTGGTCTTTGTCTAGGATCAGAAATACCACCATCATATGTAATGGTGCTTGTAACTGTGACGTGTTATTTCCAATTGTCTGCAAAACACAAACATGAATAAATGAGATGAGTTGTTGGGGAAAAGTAAGAAAAAGGTGACACTGTTAAGGTTACCCATCTCTCCACGTACCTCGTAACATCAGACCCTGATTGGGGCAGAAAACCCTGGCCTGTACCACGATAAATGCCTCCTGTGCAATAATAGGATGTTCAACAGCTCTTCGGTACCAACGATGAACAAATTTTTTGCAAAAGAATATTATTGCTGCAATTGGCCGGGCATGGTGGCTTATGCCTGTAATCCCAACACTCTGGGAGACCGAGCTGGGCAGATTGCTTGAGCCCAAGAGTTTGAGAGCAGCCTGGGCAACATGGCTGTACCCACTCTCTACAAAAAATTGTAAAATTTGCCAGGCGCGGTGGCGCACGCCTGTGGTCCCAGCTACTCTGGAGGCTGACGTGGGAAGATGGCATTGAGCCCAGGAAGTCAAGGCTGCAATAAGCCATGTTCATGCCACTGCACTCCAGCTTGGGTGACAAAGTGAGACCTGGTCTCTCTCTATATATCTGTCTATCTATATCTATATCTATATCTATCTATCATCTATATCTATATCTATAGCTTAGCTATATCTGCAACAGTGAATAGAAACCCCTTTAGCAAAGTGTTCCCAAACTCTTGCTTCTAATTCTTGACCAACTCAGAAGTAAAGGAGGAGAATGAAGTAAAGGAAGTCATACGTTTCCGTGCTCTCATGCATATTTTTATTTCTGTAAGGTCAGTAGTAATGTGGCTACTTTCATTTCTGATTTTAGTCCTCGCTCTCTCTGTCTTAGTCCAGCTAAATGTGTCTCCGTTGCTCTTTAAGCACTTCCTTATTTTTCTGGGACAACAAGATGATCCAGTTAATCTTGGACTTTCTCTGCCCTAGCCCTGGAATCAGTCATTTCTCTAGTGAGCTCTGTTCTTTTTAATCAAGACGGTTGTTTAGAAATCGAGACCCAGGCACTAAGTCAACTCACTGCTATTGAGATGGTCCCAGGCCTTCTAAGTGATGGAGCTGAGAAATACCCATACACACAGCCCTATTTTACAGCTATGCTTATTTCTATACCTATCTGTATATTGAAAGCCATCAGTGTATCAGGCCACTCTTGCACCGCTATAAAGAAATACCTGAGACTGGGTAATTTATACAGAAAAGAGGTTTAATGGGCTCTTGGTTCTGCAGGCTCTGCAGGACGCCTAGTGCTGGCATCTGCCCAGCTTCTAGAGAGGCCTCGGGAAGCTTCTACTTGTGGTGGGAGGCAAAGCAAGAGCTTGTGTATCTCATGGCGAAAGCAGGAGCAAGCGAGAGAGAGAGAGAGAGAGAGAGAGAGAGAGTGTGTGTGTCGGGGCGGGGGGAATGCCACCCACTTTAAAATGACAAGATCTCTCGAGAACTCACTATCACGAAGACAGCACCAAGCCATTCATGAGGGATCCACCCCCATGACCCAAACACCCCCTACCAGGCCCCACCTCCAGCCCTGGGGATTACAAGTTAACATCAGATGTGGGTGGGGACAAACATCCAAACTAGATCAATGAATTCACACCAACAACTCCAAATCGAATCCACATTCAAGCCTTCTCTCTTTTCATATCTGCAACTCCTTTTCCAAACGGTGAGAAAGCCAGGTCCCTACATCATTCATATATTTACTGCAAAGCCAGTCAACCATCTGAGCCCATCAGGTCACCACCCAACTTGGCACACGTTCCTCTCTTGGACCCCTGACCCCTCCCCAGGACACAGTCACCCTCGCCGACTCCCTTCCTTACTCCACAAAACTTCCTTGTGCAGGACACTGCTGCGCTCAGCGGAGGATCGTGCTTCACACTGGTCCCCAGCTGCCCTCCACGCTTTCCTTGAGTGGGCCCCCAATCCCAGGGGCTTTTGGAAGAAGAGGGGGAGAAGGACAGGACCGAGGAAGAGAGGCAGGAAGGAAGACCAGCAGAGCAGCCGGCAGGAAGGGCCATTATTCCTTCTGATGCTCCATTCGTAGCCAATGGCAACTCAAATTGGTTGGCAGCAGTGTCCTCCTGACAAACGCTGTGGTCATGTCTCAGATTTACCTCCAGAGGGAGCACTTCAGTCCATAGTCTTGGTGCCAGCTGCAATGGCATTAGCATTGCTTTGAAGGCTTTTCAGGGGACAGAGAAAGCAAATGGGTATTTTTTAGAAAGAGAAAAATAAATTGAGTTCATCACGCCTGTAATCCCAGCACTTTGGCAGGCCAAGGTGGGAGGATGGCTTGAGCCCAGGAGTTCGAGAGCAGCCTGGACAACATAGCGAAACCCCATCTCCACGAAAAAATAAAAAATTAGCCGGGCGTGATGGCACGCGCCTGTAGTCCCGGCTACTCGGGAGGCTGAGGCGGGAGGATCGCTTGAGCCCGGGAGGTTGAGGCTGCAATGAGCTGTGATCGTGCCACTACACTCCAGCCTGGGTGACAGAGTGAGACCCTGTCTCAAATAAATAAACAAACAAACAAAGAAATAAAAAGTTAGACAGCTTTTACTTTTTGGATATATATATTCCCTATTCCCTGTGGATATTCACAAGCCTTTTTTTTTTTTTTTAAGTTTTTAAAGTTCAGTTGTTCTGTCATCTGTGTGGTGCTCCAGCATCTGTTTTGAGTCTCTCTCTGTCACCCAGGCTGGAGTGCAATGGTGCCATCTCGGCTCACTGCAACCTCCACCTCCCAGGTTCAAGTGATTCTCCTGCCTCAGCCTCCCGAGTAGCTGGGAGTACAGGCGCCCACTACCACGCCCGGCTAATTTTTGTATTTTTAGTAGAGACGGGGTTTCACCATATTGGCCAGGCTGGTCTAGAACTCCTGACCTTGTGATCTGCCCACCTCGGCCTCCCAAAGTGCTGGGATTACAGGTGTGAGTCACTGCACCCAGCCTCCAGCATCTGAACTCTTAGTCTCATGGTCTCTTTCCTGCCCTGGGTGTGCTTAGTTTTTATGTGCACTGCTCAGTGTCATTAAGAACTTTTTTCCCCCAGTGCTCCTAAAGTTGTTATATTAATACATCGCTCTTTTTATTTTAAGAGCTCAGGTGTACATGTGCAGGTTTGTTATATGAGTAAACTTGTGTCATGGGGGTTTGCTGTACAGATTATTTTATCACCTAGGTATTAAGCCTAGCACCCATGAGCTATTTTTCCTCATACTCTCCCTCCTCCCAACCTCCGCCCTGCAAAAGGCCCCAGTGTGTTTCATTCCCCTCTATGTATCCGTGTGTTCTCATCATTTAGCTCCCACTTATAAGTGAGAACATGTGGTATTTGGTTGTCTGTTCCTGCGTCAGTTTGCTAAGGATAATGGCCTCCAGCTCCATCCACGCTCCTGCAAAGGACATGCTCTCACTCAGGAACTTTTGTGGAGACTGCATCTCAACCCCAGGCTCCCACGAATCCACACATCCGTTGGGGTAACCGTTGTGGGTTGAATTGTGTCCCCCAAAAAGGTATGTTCAAGTCCTAACACCTGGGTGCCTGGGAATGTGACCTGATTTGGAAATAGGGTCTTTGCCGATGTAATCAAGTTAAGGTCATACTAGATTGGGGTGGGCGCTAATCAAATGTGACTAGTGTCCTCATAAGAGAGAGAGGCAGACACACTGGGAAGATGACCCCACGAAGAAGGAGGCAGAGATTGGAGCGGTGTCTCTATGAGACAGAGAGTGCCAGGGATTGCCAGAAACCACCTGGAGCTACGAGAGAGGCATGGAACAGATTCTCCCACAGAGCCTCCAGTAGGAACCAACCCTGCTGACAGCTGGATTCCAGACTTGTAGCTTCCAGAACCACGGGAGAATCCGTTTCTGTTGTTTTCGGCCACCCAGTTTGTGGCCATTTCTTACGGCAGCCCTAGAAAACTAATATGGGTACTGTCGGCCCAGGACCACCTCAGACCAAATTTAGGACTCGAGGGCCACTGAACGGCCCCACCAGGAAAACCTAGACTGCAAGTCTGCACAGAACCTGGCCCTTGGCCACAACTTTGCACAGGGGTGTTTTCCCTTTCCTTTCATCTCCTGCTTCCCCGCAATCTGCAGAGCTGGGGTGGGGTTTCCTTAATGTAGCGGGGGCTGCTATACAACTCCCCACACTTCACAAAGGCTTTGGGCCTTGCCTGCTGTCTCCCTTGCCTGGACGGCCTCCAGAACCAAAACCCAAGTTTGCCCAGGTCGGCCAGCGTCCTCGGGAAATAAGCAGCTTCAGTGGCGTACTTCTTCTTGGATTCCCACTTCCTCTCAGGTTTTGCTCTCTTGTTGGTTCTCAGCTGTTTTGAACAGTCTCAAACTGTTTCATCTATCATTTGCAGTTATTTTCAGCAGAAATATCTGTCTCAATAATACCACCCAGCATCACCAGAAACAGATGGCAGGTCTTGCAGTGCTTTCGGGGATGGACAGACAGACCACCCTGACCACCGCCCGCTAGGTGCGGGAGAAGACTTATTTCCAGCTATAGCACACATTTGTCGACTTTGGCTCTCCTAGACTGAGAAAGCAAATCTCACCCCTTCCCCTCAGGCCTGCGACACTCGGAACCAACGCGACCGATGGAATCCCTGGATCTCCCCGCTTCCTGTGACCGCTGAGTTCTGTTCCTCCAAGGGTACAATGACATCCATCAGCTGCCTGCCCCCTGCTGACACACTTTCTGTTTGAGGGTTTCCCTCTCAATGACTATAGAGAAAGCAACCTGGGCCGGGTAGAAGAGCAGCTGCTAGTCTCCTGGTTGGTACCAACCCTGGGTCTCTGAGGAAAGGACAGAGTAGGGTCACTCTGCTTCACAACACAAAGTCGCCCATTCTCCCTGCCAGTTCTCAAGCCTGTAATCCCAGCATTTGGGGAGGCCCAGGTGGGAGGATCACTTGATTTCCAGGAGTTCGAGTCCAGCCTGGGCAACACAGTGAGACCCTGTCTCTACTGTTAAAAAACGTAAGGAAGGAAGGAAGGAAGGAAGGAAGGAAGGGAGGGAGGGAGGGAGGGAGGGAGGGAGGGAGGAAGGGAGGAAAGGAAGGAATAAGGAAAAAAGGAAGGAGGGAAGGAAGGAAGGGAGGAAGGAACGAAGAAAGGAATAAGGAAGAGGGAAAGAAGGAAGGAAGGAATAAGGAAGAGGGAAAGAAGGAAGGAAGGAATAAGGAAGAGGGAAAGAAGGAAGGAAGGAATAAGGAAGAGGGAGTGAAGTAAGGAAGGAAGGAATAAGGAAGAGGAAGGAAGGAAGGAAGGATGAAAAAAAGGTCACCTGTCAAACATAGCTTTAGGAGAGGATGTAAATGTTCAATGTTGGTCTTCTTCTGTGTCTTCATTTGCATTTTCATGGGAGCTTACAGGAGGCGCCCAGGTGTCTTAGACAACATTTTTAAAATAACGACTTGAGGTTTAATTCACATGCTACACAATTCACATGTCTAAAGTGTACAATTCGATGGTTTTTAGTATATTCATAGATACGTGCAACCATCAGCATGACCAGCTTCAGGACATTCTCATCATCTCAAAAGGAAACTCTGTCTCCATCAGCAGTCACTCCCCGTTTTCCCCCAACTCCTCCAGCCCTGGGCAACAACCAATCGACTTTCCTTAGACAACGTTTTGAGCCCTTATTGGGAGGAATTATAGTCGAATGGAAAATCCAGTTTGGGACGTGGTGTAAACTGGAATTGCTTTCGTGGTTTTTCCTTGTGCCTTGGGTGGGGCACTGCCGTAAGAGCATTGCATCCATCCTTTCGTCGGTACTCTGCTGCACACGGATGGCATTTCTGCCCTTGTTACAGATGAGGAAACTGAGGCTCAGAGACATTAAGCAAGGGGCAGAGTGGGGCTTGTCCATGAGACCCCAGAGTCTGTGCTCTTGCACATACATTATCAGGCCAACATGATCTATCCATCCGAATTCCAAATAAATAAATAAAAATGCTTATAAGAAGTCCCCCCATGCTGCGGGGAGGCAGCGGCTCATGCCTGTAATCCCAACACTTAGGGAGGCACAGGTGGGAGGATTGCTTGAACCCAGGAGTTTGAGACCAGCCCAGGCAACATGACAATACCTGCATCTCTGCAAAAACGAAAAAAAAAAAAAAAAAAAAAAAAAAGACAAAAAGAAGTCCCTCCAAGTTAGTCGCCATGCTCTCTACCATGGGTTTTCTGTGTTATCCCTATCACATGCATACAGTCATTTCTACCAAGCACCATTTATGGTGACAGGGTATGGTCTACAAAAATATTGACAGAGAAATCCTGATGGAGCTCAAGACAAGCTCAGGCCACCAAGAAATGTGCACCGAGTGTAGCTGTGCCGAGCATCGTTCTAGGGCAGGGGTCCCCAACCCCCCGGCCACGGACCGATACTGGTCTGTGGCCTGTTAAGAACTGAGCCACAGAGCAGGCGGCGAGTGGTGGGCACGCGAGCGAAGCTTCATCTGTGTGTACAGCTGCTCCCCATTGCTCGCATGACCGCCTGAGCTCTGCCTCCTGTCAGATCAGCCAGCGGCCTCAGACTCTCACAGGAGCGCAAACCCTATTGTGAACTGTGTGTGCGAGGGATCTAGGTTGTGTGCTCCTTAGGAGCATCTGACTAATGCCTGATGATCTGAAGTGGAAGAGTTTCATCCCCGAACCGTCATCCCACGCCCCATCCCCGTCTGTGGAAAACTCGTCTTCCACAAAACCGGTCCCTGGTGCCAAAAAGGTTGGAGACCGCTGTTCCGGGGGATGGTGCCTGACTGAGCTGGAGGAGGCCTCTGCTCTCCCTCTGGTGGAAGGAGAGAGAAAACAAAGCAGAATAAATGAGGCCGTTTGGACTGCCAAGCTGGGAGTTAAAACAGTGCAGTGTGATTTAGGATGAGGACTTTAAGATGAAGAAGGTGATACGCTTAGAACTGTTGAAAGTTTAAACTTAGAGCTGAATGAGAAAAAGAAATCGGCCATGCAAAGATGAGGGGACAACAAGGACAAGCGCCGTGTGTTCGAGGAAGGGCCAAGAGGCCAGCGTGTGTGAGGTGCGGCCGGCATGTGGTGCGGCTGGGTGCAGCGGGCCAGCAGGAGAGGGACATAACGTGACGTCCCAGCGGCATGAGGGCTCTGCGAGCCAGGCTGAGGATGAGTTCAGGTTTCCAGGGCAACTGAAGGGCATGGCAGGGTTTCAGCAAAGGTTTACCAGATGACACTGGCTGCCATGTGGAGAGTAGATCACAGGGAGCCCACGCTCTCCAGTGTGAAAGCAGCAAGGAGGTCACTGTGATAGTGTAGGCAAAAGGTGAAGGGACTCAGGAGTTTGGATCATGAGAGGAAGAGGAATCCGTTTTGGTTTAAGCAACTGGGGATGAGGGAAAGGGCAGAGTTGGCAGGGGGTGGGGGCTAAAAGTCCATTTCTGGCTTGGACGGGCTACTGGGCTCATTTTCGTGAAGGAACAGATCAGGACTGGAAGACAGAAATCTGTCATCAGCATCAAGGCCTTGAAGATGGACGAGGTCACAAAGGGGCAGTGTCTGAGCAAGGAGAGGAAGAGAATTCGGGAGTCAGCTCGGAGACACAGGAACCAGCAAGGAGCCTGCGAAGCAGCTGCCAGGACGTGGAAGGAGAACCAAGGGGTCTGAGGAGGAGAAAATGATGGTGCTCGGAACTGCAGAACCTCTCGGCAGGCACACTGCACTCAAACCCCTGCCCGAAGACACCCGGCCACCACCTCGCGGGGCCTCTGGGAGCCTAAGGCCGCGCCCCTGGGACGCCCCAGCCCCCTTTTGAGTGAGTTCCCGTCTGGAAACGCTCAGGGCTGCCCAGAGCATGTACTGTCTGTTCCGGCCAACACCTGACCTCCCTTTCTGACAGCATTTACTACAAAGGGCTTACCCTGTCCCTTTGAGACATCTGTGTAGCACCCACAACCCAGGGGCTTTCCCGAGGGCCCCGCAGCCACTCCTTGGAAACGGAAACCTCAGGAGGCGCGGGGCCCAGTCTCCCAGTCTCCACGGGACGGAAGCATCCCAACCTTGGTAAGCACCGGCAGCTCCCACACACGGCTGGCCTCGCGGCAAGGACGCTGGCTGCCCCGTCATCTTTCACCTGAGCCTGCACTCGCCCCCTCCCGACTCCCTCCTTCTCCCTTCGCAAGGCCAGGCCGCCTCTGCTGGGGCGGGAACGGAGCTCAGCTCTCTCCCCCGCAAGCAGGGGTTTCTGAAGAAGATCTCTTTTGCCAGCTTGAACAAAGGCCCGCTTTTGTGTACCTTTGTGTATCTCCGGTGTTCTTGTCAAAAGAGGAGGACAGGCACAGAGGCCCGCGGGGACAAGGCCACAGGATGACGGAGATGGAGGCTGGAGAGGTGCAGCCGGCGGCCCCCGGCGCCGTGGAGAGGCCTGGAAGGCAGCTCCCTCGCGGCCCTGGCGGGGAGCCCACCCTGCCGACACCACCGCTAGCTCAGCCTCCAGGCCTCCAGAAGCGGGAGGCCACGCGTTTCTGTGGCTTCGGCCCCGCAGTCTGTGGTGCTTGGTCACGGCAGCCCCAGGAGACACAGTCAGCCCCTGCCCCGTGCCTTGCTGAGAGGCTGTGTCAACAGCGGGCTCTTCCCTGCCACTGGCACAGAAGAAAACCAAGCTGCGTTACCACCCGAGCGACTGTGTGGGAAGACGTATTCTCTGTGTATCAAAGGAATGCGTGCAAATGATAGGCATTTAGGAAAGGTACTAACATGTAAGGAAAACTTCTCATTACTGGCCACCCAGCTACTCACGTCCGTCCAAATGTTAGCAGGGTATGCACTCAGAGCTTTTACTTCTCTATTGGGGTCACGCTTTATCCATAAGTTTGTCACCTGGCCTGTTCACACCAACATGCTACAAGGCATGTTGCGTGTGAGGAGATGTTCAAAATGCCAGCTGTGCCGGACCACATCGTTACATACGCAGCCTCTTATCTCACCCCGACCTTTGGCAGCTACAAATGACGAAGTGAAGCACCTTCCCAATGCCAGAGTCATCGCTGAGTGCCCGACTCTCTCTTAGGGTTACGCACCAGGGCTGAGGACGCTGCCTACGGGCTTGCTCCATCCCAGCAAATGGCCCCCTCGGAAAGGGCAGCATTGCAAGGGCCGCTGTCCTGCACCTTGCCAGCAGAGCGCTCACCTAGGGCTTCATCGGTTGCCATTTTCAGATCACTTTTTGCTTGCCGTCAGACTTGCTGTTGTTTTAGTTACTGATGAGGGTGAAATGCTTTCTCACTGTGCTTACTGGTCGCCCGCACTGTTCTTGTGCATTGGTCGGCAGGAGGGGGAGCGCGCATGAACACCAGAGAACGCCACAAGCTCCGGCAGGGATGGGCTTCGTTTGTGGATCAAGGGGCCGCAGCCAATAGGGCAGGCAGGCTGGTTCCCTCCCAAGAGTAATCCAACCAGTTGTTCTGGAAGCTCAACCTAAGTAAAGCCGAAAAGGAAAACCCTGGAATGCCGTACTTCTGCGCAAATGGTATGGTTTTAAATCCTTGGTGTCTGGTGTATGGTCAACCCTACACTGTGCTACCGGAGGAGGGAGGAGGCAGCCCCACCTCCGGGCAGGGCGGTGGGTCTAGACCAATGCCTGGTGGGTCTAGACCAAGATTCTGACTCGGTTGGTCCAGGGGGCCCAAGCAGGGGTGTTTTTCCAGCTCCCAGGCACTGCTGCTGCATTTGCCCTCATCTGTGTGCACTGGAACATGTCCCCATACTGGGTTGTGTGATGGCCCTGAAGAGATACGTGCATATCTTATGGGTGTGACCTTCTTTGGGAAAAGGGTCTTTGCAGATGTAATGAATGCCGAGATGAGGAGATCATTCTGGATTATCCAGGTGGGCCCTACATCCAATGACTGGTGTCCTTTATGAGACAAAAGGGAAGACACAGACGAAGAGGAAGAGACTGTGTGATGACAGAGGCAGAGACTAGGGTGATGGCTCTATAAGCAACCAGCAGAGGCTAAGACAGAGACCTGTAAACGATTCTCTTGGCACCTGCAGAGGAAACCAGCCTTGCCGGACATAGTGGCGGGCACTTGTAATCCCAGATACTCGGGAGGCTGAGGCACAAGAATTGCTTGAACCCTGGAGGCGGAAGTTGCAGTGAACTGAGATGGCACCACTGCACTCCAGCCTGGGTGTCAGAGCAAGACTGTATCCAACAAGAAAGAAAGAGAGAAAGAGAGAGAGGAGAGAGAGAGGGAGAGAGAGAGGGAGAAAGAAAAGAAAGAAAAAAGAAAGAAAGAAAGAAAGAGAAAGAGAAAGAAAAAGAAAGAAAGAGAAAGAAAGAAAGAAAGAAAGAGAAAGAAAGAAAGAAAGAGAAAGAAAAAAGAAACCAGCCTTGCTGACAACTTGATTGCAGACTGTGGCTTCCAACACTGTGAAGGAGTTTCTGTTGTTTTAAGCCCCAAGTGTGCAGTCCTTTGTTACAGCAGCCACCGTCTACTCATACACCCTCCCTCCAAAAAAAAAATGTAAAGTGCTCTTGTAGAAAAATTGCAAGATTAGGATTTAAGTGCAGCACCCGTGAGCAGACAAGCTGTCTGTGCCTTTCACATTTTCCCAAGTAGAATCTGATGGGCACCTGGCTTGAAGAAGGGGAAAGGTCACTCCCCGCCCCCACACCCCGCCCCCAGATGCTGAGAAAGCCCTCAGGCCAGGTTAATTTTTAGAAGGCCTCATATCCCAATTCTAGCCAGCCTCACACTGTCAAATAGCAGGAAGCCCTGTGAGGAAGCCTCAGGGTGGATTCACAATATCCCGTTCCCAACCAGGGCAGCTTGGAGGAGGGCAGGAAGGAAGGCCCGGGTGCTGGGGAGTCAACTTCCAACTTTGTTTCCTTTGCTACAATTGCAGGGTTAATGCCCAGGGCTCTGACACCCCGGGAAATTTCCAGAATCTTGCAAAACAAGTAGAGTCGTCTGTTCTTCCTAATTGGGGCCAGTGTGGGAAATGGCATCACAAACTTCTGGAATATGATGAAACAGCCATCACCAGTCACACTGGGCAACAACACTCTTGGTGAAGACAAGAGCACGCTTCGGTGTTAGAAAAAGAAAAGTGCTCATGTGTGAAGCATCCCTCCCACAGACCACAAGGTGGTCACGACGACTCCAAAGTCAAAGCAGTAAAAGGGGGAAAAAATGGATAAATGTGACTACATAAAGAAAAAAAAACTTCGAGGCTGAGAAGCACCAGTAGTTTAGCAGGGTGTGGTGGCGCACGCCTGTGATCCCAGCTACTCGCAAGGCCGAGGCAGGAGGACTGCTGGAGCTCAGGAGGTCAAGGCTGCAGTGAGCTCTGATTGTGCCACTACACTCCCACCCGGGTGACAGAGACCTTATCTCAAAACAAAAAACAAAGAAACACTAGTAGCGAGGTCAAAGCAGGAAAAGATATCTGCAATTTCTATCACAGCCACAAACCCAATCCTGCTCATGGACAAAGAGTTTCTAAAAGCTGAGCAACAAAAGATAACCCAGTAGAAAAACGGATAAAAGATATGAGCAGCCCAGCGGGGCGCAGTGGCTCACACCTGTAATCCTAGCACTTTGGGAGGCCGAGGCAGGCAGATCACCTGAGGTCAGGAGTTTGAGACCAGCCTGGCCAAAGTGCTGAAACCCCCATCTCTACTAAAAATACAAAAATTGGCCAGGTACAGTGGCTCACACCTGTAATCCCAGCACTTTGGGAGGCCAAGGCAGGTGGATCACGTGAGGTCAGGAGTTCGAGACCAGCCTGGCCAACATGGTGAAACCCCATCTCTACTAAAAATACAAAAATTAGCCGAGCGTGGTGGCAGGCGCCTGTAGTCCCAGCTACTAGGGAGGCTGAGGCAGGAGAATAGGTTGAACGCAGGAGGCAGAGGTTGCAGTGAGCTGAGATCACGCCACTGCACTCCAGTCTGGGCGAGAAGAGCAAAACTCTGTCTCAAAAAAAAAAAAAAATACACACACACACACACACACACACATACATATACACAACTATACATATACATATATATATATGATATGAGCAGCCCATTCAGAAGCAGAACTAAAAAAGGTCCTTAAAGCCTCAGGAAAGATGTTTAAGCTCACTCTTAACAGAGAACTGCATGGCCTAGCGAATGACAAAAACCCAAACGGGCTTTCCCACCTCCTCCTTGGCAAGGCTAGGGAAATAGGGGGTGGGGAGAGATGGGAAACCAAGCTCCAAGGAGGAAGGGGGCTCAGGTACCATCTACGCCATCGCCCATGCTCAGTGGTGTCACTTCTCAGAATCTATGCCAAAGATACGCACGACTAATGCACAAGGATTTTTACTATGCCATTATTTATGGTAACAAAAAGATGGGAAACAACCCAAATGTCCATCAATAGTGACTGGTTAAATACACATCGGTCTGGCTGCAAAATGGAATAGCATGCAGCCCAAAAGGAGAGCACCCGTGTGCATGGTAAGAGGGCAGCACTCCCAGGGCACAGCGGCGGGCGGGTCGGTGTCCGGTGGGAGGAAGAGCGGCCACCCAGCTCTGCCAGGGGAAGCAGTTCTCCCTGAGAGCCCCAGGCCCCATTCTTGACTTCCCCAGTGCCGGGTGGAGGAAGAGGGAGGGATTAGCCCGAGGCAAGTGGTTCGAGCAGACAGAAGGGAACAAAAAGAGCAGCGAGTCAGGCCTGATCGGGGCCGCATCTACCCCAAAAGAGGGGACCAGCGGATCAACAGCTGAAGCGTAAGGTGCCGCGGCCAGCTCCTGGGTGGGGCTCCAGGTGGCATCCCAGTTGTGGCCACCCAGCCCTTCATCCTGGGCTAGGCAGGCGGGAGAGGAAAGCGCAGACTGCACGGTCCCGGGCACGTCCTCGGCAGGCAGTGGCCTTGCACTGGCCGGCCCTACTCAATGCACTCCATGACATGTATCTGCAGGGTGTCCATATCAGGGGCCTGATACTGGCACTTGGGACAGCAGAAGTCAGGTGGCTCCTCGGGGGGGCTCCTCCTCTGGCTGGGCAGGGCCAGGGGAGAGGAGAGGTAGGCTGGGAAAAGAGAAGAGTCAGAGGGAAGGGGAGGATGGAGGGGGACGGAGACTTGGCAGGACTGTCAATGGCAGGCCTGGTCTCACAGGCCACTCATGTAAGACCAGGAGCCGCCGCTACCACGGCATGCCTCCCTTAGCCTCGGGGAAGGGGGTGGGCTACCGATGGGGTGGCCTACACGAGCTCCCGCCGTCAAGTCTCCAGAGAGCAACAGGAAGGTCGAACTGTGACCTCCCGCGGCGCAGCACCTGCCCTCCCCACCCACCTCCTCCCGCAGGCCCAGTTCTCGCTCACTCACCAGGGGCGGGGGGCAAGGGGGCCTGGGAGACCTCGACATGCCGCTTCCTCATGTCCTCGATCCTTTGGAAACAGAAACCGTCCAGTCAAGCCACGCATTTCTGTAAAGCTCCTTGGCTGGACTAGTGTCAAAGCAGCTCTTGGAAGCTCAGGTGAGAGGAGAGGGACCACAGTGAGCCCTAACCCAGAACACCAGGAGCCATCCGTCTCCTGTGGTCACCACTGGCAACCCCCCAGTGTCGCACCCACTGCGGGGTCACCACTGGCGACCCCCCAGTGTCGCACCCACTGCTCACACGGGCACGCTCTCAGAGGCCCACCTGGCCGACTCCTGACAGCTGGCCTTCAGTTTGCTGTACTCCCTCTGCAGCTGCTCCAGCTGCTCCTGCAGGAGCTCCTTCTTCTCGGCCAGCTTCTCCCGGGCCTGCCTCTCAGCCTGGAAGTCCGCCTTGTAGATATCCGCCTGGCAAATCCAACAGAAAGGGATGTGCCCGCCACAAGCCAGCCACCCACCAGGCACTGCGCCAGGCACCACAGGAACAAAGCAGAACCCACTGCTGTCCTCCCAGAGCCCCCAGCGGCGCAGAGGAAACAGATACGTCGGCGAGTAATGCCAAGCTCACCGAGAGGTCTAAGGAGCAGCACAAGTGGCTCAGAAGCTTACGAAAGGCCACTACAAAATGATGCCAAAGAGGCCGGGTGCGGTGGCTCACGCCTGTAATCCCAGAACTTTGAGAGACTGCGGTGGGCAGATCACCTGAGGCCAGAAGTTCGAGACCAGCTGGGCCAACATGGTGAAACCCTGTCTCTACTAAAAATACAAAAATTAGACGGGCATGGCGGCAGGCGCCTGTAATCCCAGCTACTCAGGAGGCTGAGGCAAGAGAATTGTTTGAACCCGGGAGGCAGAGGTTGCAGTGAGCCAAGATCGTGCCACTAGTGGCACTCCAGCCTGGGCAACAAGAGCAAAACTCAATCTCAAAAAGCAAAAGCAAAAAAAAAAAAAAAGACGCCAAAGAGACTCTCCAGGTCCCAGTGCCAGGGTGGGTCAGAGAGGAGGGCCCTCACCTGGGCCTTCAGCACCGGAACGGTCTCCATCACAATCTTGTGCTGCTCGGCCTCCTCCTTCAGCTTATCGATCACCTCCTGTTTGGCCACCAGGGCCTCCTCGGCCTGCTGGAGCTGCTGTTTGAGATCTTCCAGCTGCATTCCCTAAGGACGGGCAAGGGGAGCTGACGGAGCCTCGTCAGCCCAGGGCGAGGCTGGCTGAGAAGAACTGAGAAGGATGAAAGAGTGGCCCTGGCTGACCAGGCTGGGTGATGCCAGCCCCTGATTTGAGGGCCCATTGCAGGATCTCAGCGTGCACAGGGAGATGGCTGCGTCCTGTCACGGCCCAAAACGACAGAGGAGATGCTGAGGTTTTTTTCAGGACTGAAGAGGCCGCTGAGGTCATCTGGTACAACCTCCCAGCTGGGCCGACATTCCCTTCCCAGAATCCCCAGCTCCACAGCCCTCCTCCCACCCTTCACAGGCCACAGGCCACACCCACTCACAGCCAGCCGGTCCTGTGCCCGCCATGTGCACAGCTCAGCTGAGAGCCCTCAGTCCTTCCACTCTGCCACCTGGTCAGAGGTGCACTCCTCCCACGCAGGCATCTCCAGCCCCCTGAGACACACACAGACACACCCCACCAACGCCCCCCTCCAGAGATTAAGTGGCCAGTTTTGTAGCTAACTCTTCCCCATGTGACCTGGCTTCAGGCTTTGTCCTTATAAATCTCCTCTGGGTACACTTACGATTGACGGTGTCCTGCTAAAATGTGATCACTAGCAAACTGCACCCCAGCTTAGGTCTGATGAGGACAAACTAGGAAAAGGCTCCCAGCCAACACTGGGGTGGAAATGCTGTCGGGCTTACCTTGGCTTGGGGGAAGCTGAGCCAGGTGCCAGATGGCGATGGCTGGCAAGAGGGAATGTCCATGGAGACAAGACGTCCCCAGCCCCACAGAGGGAGCACCCCAAGGCTCTGGCCCAGCCCCCCATTAAGATGGCCTGCTGACACTCCTGAGAGCAACATCCTGGGGTTGCCATCTCCCCACAGCTTCCCTGAGCTGTCGCAGCTGCAGCCTGACACAGGTCTAAGGCAAGTCTAAGGCAGGTCTACCCATTCTCAAGGTTCAGGGCCACGGGGAGAGGAAGAGGCAAGGCCAGCCCTAGAGCCCCAGTGGTCGCACTCACTCGCTTCCGCTCACTGCCCACCACGCTGCTCTTGATGTGGTTGTCGTATTCTTGGAAGAGCTGGTGATAGGCCACCTGCAACTGGGCCAGCTTCCTCCTGAGGAAAGGGAGCTTTTGCTGGAGAAACCACCTCATGCCAGTCCAGCCACGGTGCTGCCTGCTTCCAACTCTACCCCCTTCCTTCCCTCCCTCGCATCACAGGCCTGGAATGGGGTCTTCCAAGGCTGTGTGAGGACTCCTGAGGCCGTCAACTCTAAAGCAGGCTTTGGTGGGCTGGTCACCAGGCAGTTAATATCGTTTTCCTAAAAGCTAGTATTTTTAATGTTTATAATAAAATCGCGGCCAGACGCGGTGGCTCACGCCCATAATCCCAACACTTTGAGAAGCCAAGGCAGGAGGATCGCTTGAGCTCAGGAGTTCAAGACCAGCCCGGGCAACATAGGAAAACGCCACCTCTACCAAAAATGCAAAAATTAGCCAGGTGTGCTGGCCTGCGCCTATAGTCCCAGCTACCTGGGAGGATCGCTTGAGACCAAGAGGCGGAAGGTACAGTAAGCCGAGATTATGCCACTGCACTCCAGCCTGGACGGTAGAGCAAGACCCTGTCTTGAAAATAATAGTAATAATACAATGGAACTACCCTGCACTGTTCAAAACTGTGAACTTCACAAACAGCTCAGAAAGGCAGGGGAACTGTTCTAGATTAAAGGAGACTGAAAAGGCACGCCAAGGACAGGAACCTGAGGTCCCAGATTGGATGCTGGTAGACGGGGGGGTTTGGGGGTATTTTTGTTGTCTTTCTGTTGCCCAGGCTGGTCTTGGAACTCCCGGGCTTAAGCCATCTACCCACTTTGGCCTCCCAAAGTGTTGGGATTACAGGCGTGAGCCACAGCACCTGGCCTAGAAGGGGTTTTAAAGGACAAGTCCCCTGATGACCTAGTGGCTAGGAAAAAAAAACTACAAAAAAGGCCACGTGTGGACACGCAGTGAAACGTGGTCTGGAGAGCAGATGGCATGACTGTATCAAAGACAAACCGGGTGTCATCATGGTCGCCTCTACCGTTAGCAAGGCTAAGGGACAGAATGGGCCCACAGCCACAGGCAGAATCTGAAGGAGTCCTCAGAAGGCAGAAAGAACCATGGACCCGACACTTCTCAGCCTTTCGGCTAAGATCAAGTGTAGAACCACAGACCCTGCGGTGCGGCCCCGCCCCCGCTGACTCACTTCTCCTCCGAGGCGGCCTGGCGCTCCATGCGGAGCGCGGCCTCCACGCTCTGGCCCTGCATGCGCAGCTGGTCCACCTGCACGCTGTGCTGCTGCTGCAGCGCCTCGCGCTCACTCTCCAGCTGCCGCGCCTGCTCGCTGGCCGCCCGGGCCCTGGCACGGGGAAAGAGCAGACTCAGGGAGGACGAACGGGGGGACGGCAGGGGCTATGCGCAGGGCGTGGGCGGGGGGTGGGGGTCGGCTCTGAACACCCTGTGACTGCGAGCTGATGCCAGGCGGCAGGGTGGAGGCACCGTCAACAGACACGAGGACAACTGCAGGGGGCCAGGTGGGAGCAGCAGGTGAGGAGCTTTGCTTAAGACGTGTTTGCTTCAATGCAGGGGCCCAGCAGGTGACCAAGTACAGATGGCAAGGAGACCTGGAAGCCAGGGGAAGGGGGTGGTCCGAGAAAAGGATGGGGTCGCCTGCATCCCGCAGTGCTGGGGCCAGGTGAGAGGAGCCCTCGGAACTGCCCGTGGAGTTCCACTGGGGGACTGCTGGGGGCCCCAGCAAAAGCAGTCTCAGTGGAGGGGGTCAGGAGAGACTGCTGTTCCAAAAATGAGAGACTGCCCACCTGGGCGTGCAAGCACTGAGCTCAATGCAGACCGGGCCTCGGCCCCATCCCTGCTGCTGCCCAGAGCTCTGCTGGAGTCCCAGACGACCTGCTCGGATGCTCAGTTCCCACACCTGCCCCCCTACAGCTCCCTTAACCTCCAGTTTCCAGGGTCTGGCCTCATCCCACCACACCAAGCCCTTCCACAGCCTCACTGCAGGGACAATGGTGGGTGCATCTGTCCAGGTCCTGGGTGGCCTCTGGCCACAGGCAGACACGGCCCTTCTCCAGTCACCCCAACTCTGCCTGGCAGGCCTGGCTGCTTGGCTCTCCCCTCCGCGCCTGCCTGCATACTGCCCCCACACCCTGCACGGGTTCCCTCTGCCCATCAGAGCCTGGGTCAAGCTCCCCTCCCCTCTGCCCTGCTGGCTGCCCCAAGTGCACCTTGACCGCCTACTGTGCTGGGATGGCTGGGGCCCCCCTGGCAGCTGATCCATCTGTCTGGAGGGCAGAAGCAGGACCGAATGAGAACCACAGAAACCTCCCTGCCCTTTGACCCAATGGTCCCACTCACAAGAACCAAGACCCCTTTGCAAAAGAGAGTAACCAGCAGGCCTGAGGCCACCGGCTGGCAAGGTTGGCCCTTGGCTGGTGAAGTTCCCTTGCCACAGTGACACTTTCTCTAGTGGTCAGGTCGGTCCCTGCACCTAGGCCATTTGTAGGAAGAACGTGGTTGACGTGAGCACCCGCTCTGCTGCTGGGAGTCGGGGATTTAGGTACCTGCCTGGCAGAGGGCGCTGACAGGACCTGCCCCCAGTAAACACCCAGGGCGCTGAGTCTCTAGCGGGCATCCCTGGGCAGGAACACGGCCCGTGTGGGAGGCGCTTCTCACTGTGCCGCTCGCAGGGCAGCGGGAGGCTGGGACAGGGCTTCTCCAACTCCCCCCACGGCTCCTGCCCTGGCGGCTCCTGCCCTGTGCCTTTTTCCCTGTCATCAACCTCAGCCACGAGGGCGACTGTGCGCCGGTCCCAGAAGTCCTTCCAGAGAACTAGACACTGTGGGTGTGGGCTCGGGGCCCCCAGAATGCCTCCTAAGGAAATAATCCAAACTCCATCAAAGGGTCACAGAGTGCGGAGAGCCGGCTGGGACCCAGGTCCCGGATGCCTGGCCCAGACCTCTCCCGACGTCTGCCCCGACGTCTTTACGCAGCCTGCCCCGGTCTATCCTCATCAAGGAGCACCCTGGAGGCCCCTAAACCCACCTCATTGCTTTTGGAAACCCTGGAAGGGGTCTCCGGAGCCGGCTCCCCCGACTCACCGACCCTCCAGAGCCTGGCATTCCTTAGTGGCAGCCTCCAAGCGACTCTGGCTCTCCTGCAGCTCCCCGAGCAAGGACGTCACCTGGGCTTTCACAGAGGCCTTGTCCTCAGCCATCTGCTGCAGGATAAAAAGCCACTTCCTGTCAGCACTGCTTTCTCCCCAGCGGCCCACTCCTGCCATCCGCAAGCCCGGGGCAACCCGCAAGCGGCTGAGGCCTGCGCGCCATGAGGCCTTTTTTCCTGCCCTCGGCACCCCCAAACCTGGGTGCCCTAGGGCCTCATGAGCCCAAGGGCCACCCAACCCTCCCCAGCTGCCCACCTTAACCCTCTGCCACAGGGTGACACACAGATGGGGCAAAAAGAGATCCCCAAAGAGACGAAGGAGCACAAAGCTGCCTTGAGGTTGTCAACGGCTTAGTCACTGCCCCGGCAAGCAGGCCTCGAGGGCTGAACCCGGTGGCCTTGCAGCTACAGCCCCAGCAGGGGATCTCTCTCCGTCTCTCTGAGACTTGGGACAAAAGGAGGCCAGACACGAATAGGGCAAAGTAAACACAGGCCCCAGTCCACACCCGGGGCCGCCAGGATGGGAGAGTTTGTGCAGATCAAGAGTGGACACTGAATTTTGTTAAACACTGGGAACTGCAGAACCTCTCGGCAGGCACACTGCACTCAAACCCCTGCCCGAAGACACCCGGCCACCACCTCGCGGGGCCTCTGGGAGCCTAAGGCCGCGCCCCTGGGACGCCCCAGCCCCCTTTTGAGTGAGTTCCCGTCTGGAAACGCTCAGGGCTGCCCAGAGCATGTACTGTCTGTTCCGGCCAACACCTGACCTCCCTTTCTGACAGCATTTACTACAAAGGGCTTACCCTGTCCCTTTGAGACATCTGTGTAGCACCCACAACCCAGGGGCTTTCCCGAGGGCCCCGCAGCCACTCCTTGGAAACGGAAACCTCAGGAGGCGCGGGGCCCAGTCTCCCAGTCTCCACGGGACGGAAGCATCCCAACCTTGGTAAGCACCGGCAGCTCCCACACACGGCTGGCCTCGCGGCAAGGACGCTGGCTGCCCCGTCATCTTTCACCTGAGCCTGCACTCGCCCCCTCCCGACTCCCTCCTTCTCCCTTCGCAAGGCCAGGCCGCCTCTGCTGGGGCGGGAACGGAGCTCAGCTCTCTCCCCCGCAAGCAGGGGTTTCTGAAGAAGATCTCTTTTGCCAGCTTGAACAAAGGCCCGCTTTTGTGTACCTTTGTGTATCTCCGGTGTTCTTGTCAAAAGAGGAGGACAGGCACAGAGGCCCGCGGGGACAAGGCCACAGGATGACGGAGATGGAGGCTGGAGAGGTGCAGCCGGCGGCCCCCGGCGCCGTGGAGAGGCCTGGAAGGCAGCTCCCTCGCGGCCCTGGCGGGGAGCCCACCCTGCCGACACCACCGCTAGCTCAGCCTCCAGGCCTCCAGAAGCGGGAGGCCACGCGTTTCTGTGGCTTCGGCCCCGCAGTCTGTGGTGCTTGGTCACGGCAGCTGTAGAAAACTCATCCACTTCCCACACAGGAAATCAACGCCTTAAGCCAGGCGCTCTAAGCCCTGAGTGGAGCGGCGTGCACAGCCCACCATCCACGCCTTTCCCCAGGGGAGTGGAGCCTGGCTGTGGCAAGTGCCAGGTACCCGCCAGCAAGTCTCCTCTCCAGCACTTCTCTCCACCTTGCCCCTCAAAGGGAGCACGGCCCCTTCCTGACTACCATCGCCAGGATCCTGCGATCAGCCAAGCCCACACACAAAGACCCTGAAACCAGGCGGTCTGTGCTAATGACACGATTTATGGGGGGAGCCTTGGGCCACACAGCTGGACCTCTGGTGGCTACAGCCGAGTGACCAGGGTTGGCCACGCAGGCGCTCGGTGCCCACGCGGCCCACCCCCCGTGAAAACCCCGGCCGCCACGGCTGGGGTGAGCTTCCCGGTTGTGACTCCGTGCTCGCTGTCCCACACTGTTGCCGAAAGAAACAGGTGCCGTCTGCACAACTCCCCTGGGCGAGGAGCCGCTGAAGCTCACGCCTGGTCTCTCCTGGAGCCCGCCCTGTGCGCCCTGAGCCTTCGCTCACCGTAACCTGTGTCCTTTCCTTGTAATAAACCGGAACTGGGAGTGTGACGGCTTTTCTGAGTTCCGAGCCCTCCCGGCACAGCACTGAGCCCCAGGGTGCTTTGGGGGACCCCGACCACGGGTTCCCTTGTGGAACACTGGCGTCACCGCGGGTTTTCAGAACCTGGCCCTGCCCCGACTACCTGCTGGCATCTCTTCAGGTGCTCCACCTCCCGCAGAGCCTGCTCCTTCTGCCTCTTCAGATCGAGCTTCTCCAGGCCGAGTCTCTCCACCAGTTTCCTGGCCTCCTGGAACTTGCACATGAGGAACTCCTTCTCCTCCCTCTGGCTGGCTTGGAAATGCAGAAGCTCCTCGCAGCGCTCCCGCAGAATCTGGTTGCTCTGCCGGATGGCATCTGGTGGCAGAGGGGACAGTGGAGGGGAGCTGGGCAGCCCGGCCTGCCGGGCCCTGCCTGGGCCCACATGGGCCTGAGGCTCAGGAAGTCAGAGGCCAGAAGTGGGGCCACCCATCCTGGTGCCCCCACCCGCCATAATACCACGCAGCTTCTCTCAGGGGTGGATGGCGTCTCAACACTCCCTTTTGTTTCTTTAAACACTTCCAAAATCCTTTACACTAATGCCCCTCACTTTCTGCAAGAAAATAACACCAAACACATCAGCTTCACTTAAAAGTACGTGTTGGCCAGGCACTGTGGCTCATGCCTGTAATCCCAGCACTTTGGGAGGCCAAGGTGGGTGGATCACCTGAGGTCAGGAGCTCCAGACCAGCTTGGCCAACATGGTGAAACCCCGTCTCTAATAAAAATACAAAAATTAGCCCGGTGTGGTGGCACACGCCTGTAATCCCAGCTACTTGGGAGGCTAAGGCAGGAGAAGCACTTGAACCTGGGAGGTGGAGGTTGCAGTGAGCCGAGATCACACCATTGCACTCCAGCCTGGGGGACAGAGCAAAACTCTGTCTCAAAAAAAAGAAAAAAAGTATGTGTTAAATGCCACTTTTTTGAATTTTTATTTTTGTAGAGACAAGGTCTTGCTATGTTGCCCAGGCTGGTCTCACATCGTTGGCCTCAAGCAATCCTCCCACCTCGGCCTCCGAAAGTGCTGGGATTATAGGCATGGGCCACTGTGCCTGGCCTTATGCCACTTTGTTTGTAAGTGACTCGAATTCATTTGTATTCTGGTCAGTCTGAGGTGTGCCTGCCCTCAGATGCTCGGTATTGGTCCTCCCTGGCCTACATCTCTGCTGTCTTCTAGATCGGGGGTCCTAACACGCCTGCAGACTCCTAGGGTCAGCCTCCCAGGCAAACTTCACTGCAGCATTGCTGGCTGCAGCCTGAGAGGCCCAAAAGGCTTGGACCAGGCAAGTTAGTGGCGTCTCTGAGCCTCAAAGTCCTCATCTGCATAGTGAACAGAGACAAGAACATTCATCTTACAAGACGAGGAGGGTTAAACGAGGAAGCAGAAAACAAACGGGAAAAACCGCTGGTCCTCCCCTCACCAGAGCATGTGTGCCAGTGCCAGGCAGTCAGCAGAGGCCACAGGAAGGAGAGCCCCACACCCAGGAGACACCCCAAGTAGTGAAGAAGCCATCTGAGGTGACAAAACTGATAAGTGATGTGCCAAGGTTCTAGCAACTCTATAGCAACTACAGAGCTGGATAAAATGGGGCAGGCAGTAGCTACCCCGTGATCAAAACCCTCAACCAACTAACTATTGCCTGCTGACGAGCGCAACATCCACCCCCCATCAGAATCCCGCTTGCTCTGCCCAAAGCTCAGCTCATCTGCAACTTGTCTTTTTTTTTGAGACAGACTCTCGCTCTGTCGCCCAGGCTGGAGTGCAGTGGCGCGATCTCAGCTCACTGCAACCTCCACCTCCTGGGTTCAAGCAATTCTCCCTGCCTCAGCCTCCCAAGTAGCTGGGATTATAGGTGCCCGCCACCACGTCTGTAGCTAATTTTTGTAGTAGAGATGGGGTTTCACCATGTTGGCCAAGCTGGTCTCAAACTCCTGACCTCAGGTGATCCCCCCGCCTGGGCCTCCCAAAGTGCTCGGATTACAGGCATGAGCCACTGCACCTGGCTGGCAACTTGTCTTTTAAAAAATGTTCTGAACTGAGGTAAAATTCACATGACATCAAATTCACTATTTTAACTAATTCAGCAGTTTTCGGTGTATCCATCAGGTTGTGCAACCATCCGCACTATCTAATTCCAGAACAGTTCCGGGACCCCATAAGCAGTCGCTCCCCCAGCACCCTCCTCATCTGCATCTGCCTCTGCAGATTGGCCACTTCTGGACATGTCTCACACTAGTGGAGTCACACACTAGAGACATGCAACTTCTTCGTGAATCTCTCCCTCAACATTCTAAGTACAGCCTCCTCCATGGACATAAGCATGTACATCTTGGGGGACAGACATCTTCTGGGCCCTTAGGGGCTTGGCCCAGGGCCTGACACATGGAGCTACCAAGTTTCACCTGCCACCCACAAAGCTCAGGTCAGGCGGAGCAGGGGGAGTCAATACAGCCTTGAGGCCTCCTTGTGTCCCTGGAGCCCGAGGGAAGCTGCTGCACTGAACACACAGCCTGGAAGGGAAGCAAGGGCGCCATACGCTGTGCCAGGGTCCCTGCACAGCTGGCCTGCAACACTCACCCTCAAGTCCCCCTCAATAGAGCACTCTCCTGGGGATGAGCAGAAGCCCCCAGTCTAACTGTCACCTCTCTGTGCACCAGTGCTTTGAAGATCCCAATACAGTGGGTCTCACCAGGGACAACTGTATCCCCCAGGGGTCATTTGGCAATAAATATCTGGGGATATTGTTAGTTGTCACAACAGGACAGGTGCTACTGGCATCTAGCAGGTACAGGCCAGGGACTCTGCTCCACACCCTACAACGTACAAGAGAATTCTCCAGCCCCAGGTGCCGATGGCACTGAGGTGGGGGACCCTGTCCTGGAACAGGCAGGTCATGTTGGGTCTCCATGCTCCAGCAGGGCCTCTCCAATTCAGCCTCACCGTCGAGGAGACCAAGCAGCCCCCTGACAGCAAGCTGACTGCACTGACCCCTTCCTCCATGGAAGGAAAGGTGATTTGCCTTGACAGTAAGAGGAGACACATCGCAGGCATGGGTCTTGTCTCTGCCCACGGGGTGTCAGCCAGAGCCACTCTCTGAAGCCTACAGACTATGTGACTTGTCAGCACAGAGCCCCACATAACATCTCGGACCACAGTCCAGCAAAGAAGGCGGGGGAGTGGGCCCATGACAGCGATCTCTAGTAGTCACGGCACATGCCACCTCGCCCAGGAGCTGCCAGCCAGCCAGGACACGGAGAGCCAATTGAAGCTGCCAGCTCAGGGATGACTCCTGCAAGGAAGGGGTGTTGTCCTCCACGATGGGGTGGACACTTAGGCCTGAGTCCCCAGCAGGAACCAAAGGATGAAACAAAAAGGGCTACAGGCCCCACCACACCCAGTGAGCCATGTGGGGAGTCTATGCCGCCCCTCCCTGCAGCTCTGGGACCCGAGGCTTAGAAGGCCCCCGCAGCAGAAAGGCAAGAGTATATGGCGGGTGCCACCTGGCCCCGCCAGGCTAACCCAGGGCAATGCAGAGCAGTGGCAGGGAGAGGGGGTGAGGGGGAAGAATGGCAGGGGCTGGGGGTGCCATCACGCCCAGGGCGCGGGCAGGAGCGTGCAGCTGAGCCCTGAACCCATGACGACCTGGAGCTGAGCAGCAAGAGGGTGAGGGGCGCCCGGATGGCAGTCTAGGAAAGAACTCCCCAGTCCCAGCCACTGGGTGTGGGAAGTCAGCCTTCACCTCCGCTGAGGTGTGCGCCGGGATTGCCCCAGAGGAATGTTGCCTGTGGGGGCCACGCACCTTCCTTCCCAAGACAGACCACGCCCCTCTACCAGGGCATGCCCCGCCCATTTCCAGGACAGGCCCCACCCCCTCTCTGGGCAGACCACGCCTCTTCCCAGCGCCGACTCTGCCCTGTCCCAGGATGGACAGCACTTCATGAGTGCTCAGTGCAGGGACACAGAGGCCTGGACATGTTGGTCCAACCTGGAAGGTTCATTCCAGCTCCAGAGCTCCCTGTAAGATCCAGCAAGGCTGTCCTGGAGCCTACCCGGCAGCGTGCTTCTCCCTCTGCCCTCCCTGGCTTCTTCCCCTGTCCCTCCTTTCCCTTCCCAGTACTGGTCCTGAGAGCATGCTAAACTTCCTCCCCGCTAATCTGCATCTCAGAGTCTACTTCCTGAAACCAAGAGGGAGGGCAGCACATCCCCACCCCAGGCCCAGGAAACGCAGAGGTGCAGGTGGGGAGAAGACGCCTTCCCCTCAGCAGGGCTGGATCCCCTGACTCTTTCCTCACCTCGGAGCTCTTGATTCTCCTCCAGGCAGCGCTGGAGGGTCTCAGGAGCGCCCTGTTCTGAAGGCAGGTGCAGCATGGCTGGCTTCCCCAGAGGAGACTCTTCGCCCAGTACGTCCTGATCTGCTGCCGGGCCACCACTGGGCTGCACCATCTCACACAGTTGGCTCTTCCAGAGGTGCCTATTCATCCAACAGGGCAAGGGCTGAAAGAGAAAGGCAGCAGGGGAGTCACAGGAGACCCACATCCTTACCCAGCAGAAAAAGCCTATGAGTTCTGGGGCTACATTTTAAACAGAATGCTGATAATTCACCTAGTGTATCAGGATGCTAAAGTGGGTTTTCAGTCTAAGGGGTAGCAGATACTCCCATTCCAAAGGGAGGTGCTGGACCACCCATGTGGGACTTGAAAAGGCCTAGCTCCAGGCTGGAAATAGAAGAATTTCACCAGAGATGGGAGAGTCGGGACAAGACTGTTTGTGGAGGGAGATGTCAGTATGCTGGGAATCCTGATCCCCTACACACCTCCAAGCAGGAGAAGTGGAGGGTACCGGCCCCTCATCCAGTGTAGTGGGCTGAATGGTAGCCCCCCGAAAAGATATGCCCATGTTCTAACCCCTGAAACATATGTGATTCGGGAAAAGGGTCTTTGCAGATGTAGGATCTCAAGATGAGATCATTCTGGGTGACGTGGGTGGGCCCTAAATCCAACAACGTGTCTTTATGAGAGACAGAAGAGAGAAGCCAGAGGGAGACGCAAGGGGAGGAGGCCATGTCGGGACTGCCTCGGAGACTGGAGTGAGGCAGCCACAAGCCCAGGAATAAATGGGGCAGAAGCTTGGGAGAGGCAAGGGAGGATTGCCCTCTTAGAGCCTTTGAGGGTGTGTGCTTGCTAACCCTTTGGTTTTGGACTTCTAGTCTCCAGAACTGTGAGATTAAAATGTCTGGCCGGGCGCAGTGGCTCACACCTGTAATCCCAGCACTTTGGGAGGCCGAGGCGGGCCAATCATGAGGTCAGGAGATCGAGACCAGCCTGGCTAACACGGTGAAACCCTGCCTCTACTAAAAAAAAAAAAAAAAATTGCCGGTCACGGTGGCTCACGCCTGTAATCCCAGCACTTTGGGAGGCCGACACGGGTGGATCATGAGGTCAGGAGATTGAGACCATCCTGGCTAACACAGTGAAACCCTGTCTCTACTAAAAATACAAAAAATTAGCCAGGCATGGTAGCGGGCGCCTGTAGCCCCAGCTACCCAGGAGGCTGAGGCAGGAGAATGGCGTGAACCCGGGAGGCAGGAGAATGGCGTGAACCCGGGATCGCGCCACTGCACTCCAGCCTGGGCAACAGAGCGAGACTCCATCTCAAAAAAAAAAAATACAAAAAATTAGCAGAGTGTGGTGACACGCGCCTGTAGTCCCAGCTACTCGGGAGGCCGAAGCAAGAGAATCGCTTGAACCCAGGAGGCGGACGTTGCAGTGAGCTGAGATTGTGCCACTGCACTCCACCCTTGGCTTTCAGAACAGCCCCTTCTCCTGGTTTCCTCCCTATCTTGCTGGCTACTCCTGCCCAGGCACTCTCACTGGGTTCCCATCCTTCATGTTGGGCTGCCCCAGGGCTCTGTCCTAGGACATCTTCTTCTCTGTAACTTCATTCACTCCCACAGGAATTCTGTCCAGTCTCATGCCTTGAACTCCAATCTTGATGCTTAATTAGACCTCTTTTCTAAACTCCACATTCATTTATCAAACTCGACATTTCTACTTGGTTATCTAGTAGCCTTCTCAAAACGAACCTCTCTAAGACCTCCGACAGTCCCCAAAACCCAGATCTACCCAAGGCCTTCTTTGTTATCAGCTGATGGCGAATCCATCCTCCAGCTGTCAAAAGTCTTTTTTGATTCTCTCTCTCTCTCTCACACACACACACACACATACACACACACACACACACACACACAAGAGCACATCTAATCCATCAAGAAATCCTGTTAAAATGTATCCCCCAACCGATCTGATCACACTGAGCAATTAACATTAACTATTTTAGGTGTCATAATGATATTGTGGTTGTTTTTCAGAGTCCTGTCTTAGAGAGAGGCACACTTAAATGTTTAAAGATGATGTCTGAATTCACCTCCAAATAATGGGAAAACTCCTAGGTATATACCGGAGAGAAATGAAAACACATGTGTCCACATGAATGCTTGTAGCAGCATTACTCATAGCAGCCAGAGAGTGGAAACAACCCAAATGTCCATCAACTATGAATAAACAAAATCTAGTACATCCACATGCTATAACATGAACAAATCTTGAAAATATGCTGAGAAATAAACAAGTCACAAAAGATTAAACATTGTATGAGTCTATTTATATAAGATGTCTACAACAGGCAAATCCACAGAGACATAAAGTGGATTAAAGATTGCTGGGGAGTGCCACTTAGGGCTGAGGGGAAGATAAGCTGAGCTAAAGGGTATGGGGTTTCTTTGAGGGGTGACGAAAATGTCCTGTGAATATACATACAACAAACCATTGAATTGTACACTTTAAATGGATGAACTGTGTGACATGCTAATGATATCTCAAGCTGTTATTGAAAATAATAGTGGTGGCCAGGCATGGTGGTTCACACCTGTAATCCCAGCACTTTGGGAGGTCATGGCAAGTGGATCACTTGAGGTCAGGAATTCAAGACCAGCCTGGCCAACATGACAAAACCCTGTATTTACCAAAAATACAAAAAAAAAAAAAATAGCTGGGAGTGATGGTGCATGCCTGTAATCCCAGCTATTTGGGAAGCTGAGGCAGGAGAATCGCTCAAACCTGGGAGATGGAGGTTGCGGTGAGCCAAGATCGTGCCACTGCACTCCATTCTGGGCGACAGAGTGAGACTGGGTCTCAAAAAAAGAGGCCGGGCGCGGTGGCTCATGCCTGTAATCCCAGCACTTTGGGAGGCCGAGGCGGGCGGATGACAAGGTCAAGAGATCAAGACCATCCTGGCCAACATGATGAAACCCCATCTCTACTAAAAATACAAAAATTAGCTGGGCGTGGTGGTGCACAACTGTAGTCCCAGCGGCTGAGGCAGAAGAATCGCTTGAATCCAGGAGGCGGAAGTTGCAGTGGGTGGAGATCACACCACTGCACTCCAGCCTGGTGACAGAGCGAGATTCTGTCTCAAAAAAAAAAAAAAAAGAAAGAAAGAAAGAAAAAGAAATAAAATAATAATGGGAGAGGATTGCGAGGGATATAAACAAAATTAGTCAGAAGTTGATACCTTCAATTGTTGAAGTTGGTAGCTGTGAATGTAAGATTTACTATACTGGCCGAGCGCAGTGGCTCACACCTGTAATCCCAGCACTTTGGGAGTCTGAGGCAGGCAGATCACCTGAGGTCAGGAGTTCAAGACCAGACTGGCCAACATATAGTGAAACCCCGTCTCTACTAAAAATACAAAAATTAGCTGGGCGTAGTGGCGCACGCCTGCAGTCCCAGCTACCTGGGAAGCTGAGGCAGGAGAATCGCTTGAACCCAGGAGGAGGAGGTTAGAGTGAGCTGAGATCATGCCACTGCACTCCAGCCTGGGCGACAGAGCGAGACTCCATCTCTCAAAAACAAACAAACCAAAAAGATTTACTATACTCATTTTTCTACTTTCGTACATTTTTGAAATTTCCAATAATAAAATGCTCAAAGCACTGTCTCTGAGCTGGATTACTGCAATTACCTCTTACCACGCCACCCTTCTTTTACCCTTGCCCACTATGGTCTGTTCTCCCCACCACTGCTAGAACGATCAGTGTAAGACGTAATTCCGATCACATTCCTCCTCTACTGAGAACCCTACCATGGATCCCCGTTGCCTTCTGCGTAAAAGCCAATCTCCCTACAACGGCCTACAAGGCCCTGTACCATCGGGTTCCCCATCCCTTCCTCTCCAACTGTGCTCCCCTCCCTCACTCTGCTCCAGCTATAGTGACCTCCGTGCTATTCCTCTAATGTGCCAGGAGAGCCCATTCATTCTCAGATCACAGAAACAGTATGACGATAGGCAGATGTTGTCTTGCAAAACGAGCAAACAGGCATATGAAATCAGATACCTAGCTGCCAAACTATATGTGAGGCATTTCCGAAGAATTTAACGACCTCGATAGAGCGCAGTCAAGTTTGGTGAACAGAATATGTCTCTGAACTAGAGGAGTCCTCACACAAGGAGTAGGGTCAGACCCCGCAGTGGAGGAGGAGGGAGGAGTAGAAACAGTCCAGCTCGCCGCCCAAGTAACCTGGGTCCTGAATCGGCCCGCCTTGGCCAGTGCTCCAGAAGCGCGGAGCAGGAACGGGCTGGGGCCCAAAAAAGAGGGGGGAGCCTGAACGTCCGGGGGAAGTTTCGGAGGCGGCGGAACGCCCACGGATGGAACCCTGTCTTTGGGGAAAAGGACCACACCTGTCAGCAGAGTCCGTCAGACGTGAGAAGGGTGGGAGCGGCGGACTGTGAACGCTGGTAGGGCCCCGGCGCTCCGAGAAAGTCCCAGTTTCGCGGTCGCCCTTCCCTACCACGCTTCCGGCTTCCGGTGTCATAGCTGTGGGATCCGGAAGTAAAAACACAAGCCCCGCCCCCGAGAACTCGGGAAGCCGGCGAGAAGTGTGAGGCCGCGGTAGGGCCGCATCCCGCTCCGGAGAGAAGTCTGAGTCCGCCAGGCTCTGCAGGCCCGCGGAAGCTCGGTAATGATAAGCACGCCGGCCACTTTGCAGGGCGTCACCGCCTACACGCCCCCTCGTCTCTCGGACGGCGGCGTCTAGCCTCGGGGCGCTCGGCCGCCCCGCCCTCTCCGGGGGAGGAATCAAGAAGAGACTGCCCAATAGGGCCGGCTTGACCCGCGAACAGGCGAGGGTTCCCGGGGGAGTGGCGCGGCAGAAGGCCCCGCCCAGGAGCCGAGGGACAGCCCAGAGGAGGCGTGGCCACGCTGCCGGCGGAAGTGGAGCCCTCCGCGAGCGCGCGAGGCCGCCGGGGCAGGCGGGGAAACCGGACAGTAGGGGCGGGGCCGGGCCGGCGATGGGGATGCGGGAGCACTACGCGGAGCTGCACCCGTGCCCGCCGGAATTGGGGATGCAGAGCAGCGGCAGCGGGTATGGCAGGCAGCCGGCGGGCCGGCCTCCAGCGCAGGTGCCCGAGAGGCAGGGGCTGGCCTGGGATGCGCGCGCACCTGCCCTCGCCCCGCCCCGCCCGCACGAGGGGTGGTGGCCGAGGCCCCGCCCCGCACGCCTCGCCTGAGGCGGGTCCGCTCAGCCCAGGCGCCCGCCCCCGCCCCCGCCGATTAAATGGGCCGGCGGGGCTCAGCCCCCGGAAACGGTCGTACACTTCGGGGCTGCGAGCGCGGAGGGCGACGACGACGAAGCGCAGGTAACCGGCCGGGCGGGCGCCGCGCAGGCGGAGGAGCGTACTGTCCCGCGCTGCGCCGCGCGGCGGTAAAATACACGCTGTTTGTTGTGCTTGAGAACCGAGCAGAATCGAGAGGGTCTTAACCAATCCCTTTATACCCCGCACCTCCTCTCTTGAGCCCCTGAGACCCCGAGAGCGAAGGGGACTTGCCGACCGGGGTCACCCAGCTTGGCAAGGGGAGGGCTGGAGCTGAACTCCAGCATCTGCACCATCTCCCATGCTCCAGGTCATTGTGGAGTTCCCGCTACAGTCGGGAATGAGATGGTCCTGGGCACGCAGTTCCATGCCCCACAAGGATTTTACTCGGTTGTCCAGAATTGATGCTGTAGTCGGAATACACCAATGCTTTGAGTAATTTTGTAATGTACACCCTGAATGAAGGCTGCCTAGGAGAGAGTGGCTGGAGCCCAGAGCCAGCAGTTTCTAACCCATCAACCACTCCCCAATGCCCAGCCGTTCACAAGGAGTGATTTGGGCAATCAGGTGTCACCCTGGTGTGAGACCCCAGAGGAACTCTCAAGAAAGGGGCTAACTTCTCAATGCTCTCCTGTTCTTCTGCCTTGTTAACGAGCCTTTCTTCCACCAGACAGCGTCATGGCAGAGCAGGTGGCCCTGAGCCGGACCCAGGTGTGCGGGATCCTGCGGGAAGAGCTTTTCCAGGGCGATGCCTTCCATCAGTCGGATACACACATATTCATCATCATGGGTGCATCGGTGAGTATCTCCCAGGCCCCAATCTTAAAAGCCAGGAAGTGCCTGCTCCATGCCTCAGCTTTTCCAACTAATTGTTGCAGGGCCCCACAGGCTCTGCTAAGTTGAGCTCCTCCTCCCGCTCCTGCTAGTGCGCCAGGATCATCCCGGCTCTACCTGGTGTGCATATGCACTTGCAAGACTTTTTTTTTTTTTTTTTTTTGGAGACGGAGTTTTGCTCTGGTCGCCCAGGATGGGGTGCAGTGGCGCCATCTTGGCTCACTGCAACCTCGGCCTCCTGGGTTCAAGCGATTCTCCTGCCTCAGCCCCCCAAGTAGCTGAGATTACAGGCATGCACCACCACACCCGGCTAATTTTTGTATTGTTAGTAGAGACGGAGTTTCACCATGTTGACCAGGCTGGTCTCAAACTCCTGACCTCAAGTGATCCGCCCGCCTCGGCCTCCCAAAGTGCTGGGATGACAGGCATGAGCCACCACGCCCGGCTGCAGGACGTTTCTGAACCCTGTGCCTAGCCGCTGAATGTAGCCCTTAATCCTGGAGTTGCAGGCTCTTTAGGGACTGTCTAGATGGACTTCTTGGGGAAAACAGGGAATGCTATTCATTCTGTAGTTTTTTCAGACCTGTTCATGCCTTAACAAATGAGTTCCAAAGGCAGGATCTGAGGCCTGATCTCTGCCTCTTCACTAACACTTCAAGTTCCGTCGATACAAACACTTAGCTTTTCTTTGAACACTGTCTCTTTGCCTCAATTTCGAAAGCCTACCAAGGAGCTCTGCCTCACCCCACCTGGCCCCAATTGTCCAGCTTGTAGAACCGCCATTCTGCACTCATAGGAAAGACAAAAGAATAGTATAGCATGAGGATTTCCATGGGAGGGGAGGGAGGGGTGGTCCTAGGACAGCCATCGCCCGAGACTAGAGCACCCTCCCCTGTGTCCCATGGGGCAGTGAGACTGTGCAGGGGCTGGTGGAACAAGGGCTTCATCTCAAATTACACGTGGTCTCAGTTTTCACTTTTAACCCTGGATGCACTCAAGAATCTCTCTGCTCATTACTGTATGACCATCTTTGCCATTAACTTACCTTGTAACCTTGAGCAGGAGCTCTATCAAAACTAGTTAGTTCTTCCACATCGTGCGCCCCTCAGTGCTGGCTGAGCTCAGTGGTTCTTTGTTCACATAGAACAACGCGCTGTCACACTTTGTCAAACCTACTCCTTGACACCTTTGTACTTCTGATCAGAACTTAGAAAAGGAGAGCCAAAAGGGAATGAGGAGGCAGCCGAGGGAGAAGGGCTCTGCCAGTGGCAGAGTAAGGAGGGGCCATTGTCCTCTGACTCCCCATAAGCCTGAGACCCAGGAGAGGTACCAGGTGGAGCCCACAGTAGATTGGGCTTGGCCTCAGCCCCAGCCCCAGCCTGGTCCCCTCAGAAGAGCCATACCTGGCCGGGCACGGTGGCTCACGCCTGTATTCCCAGCACTTTGGGAGGCCGAGGCAGGTGGATCGCCTGAGGTCAGGAGTTTGACACCAGCCTGGCCAACATGGCGAAACCCAGTCTCTACTTAAAATACAAAAATTGGCTGGGCGCAGTGGCTCACATCTGTAATCCCAGCACTTTGGGGGGCCAAGGTGGGCAGATCACAAGGTCAAGAGATCGAGACCATCCTGGCCAACATGGTGAAACCCCATCTCTACTAAAAATACAAAAATTAGCTGGGCGTGGTGGTGCGTGCCTGTAGTCCCAGCTACTCAGTAGGCTGAGGCAGTAGAATCGCTTGAATCAGGGAGTCAGAGGTTGCAGTGAGCTGAGATCGCGCCACTGCACTCCAGCCTGGCGACAGAGCGAGACTCTGTCTCAAAACAAAACAAAACAAAAAGGCCGGGCGCAGTGGCTCACGTCTGTAATCCCAGCACTTTGGGAGGCTGAAGCGGGTGGATCATGAGGTCAGGAGATTGAGACCATCCTGGCTAACATGGTGAAATCCCGTCTCTACTAAATAAAAAATTAGCCAGGCCTGGTGTGGGCACCTGTAGTCCAGCTACTCAGGAGGCTGAGGCAGGAGAAAGGCGTGAACTCGGGAGGCGGAGCTTGCAGTGAGCAGAAATCGCAACACTGCATTCCAGCCTGGGTGACAGAGTGAGACTCCATCTCAAAAAAAAAAAAAAAATAACAAAAATTAGTTAGGTGTAGTGGCACCCATCTGTAATCCCAGCTACTTGGGAGGCTGAGGCAGGAAAATCGCTTGAACCCAGGAGGTGGAGGTTGCAGTGAGCTGAGATGGCACCATTGCACTCCATCCTGGGTGACGGAGTGAGTGAGACTCCATCTCAAAAAAATAAAAATAAAAAGAGCCATACCTGCATCAGCCACAAACCTTAACAGCCAGGACTCTGACCGTTAAACCCTTAGTCCAAGAAGCAGACTGGAGGAGAAGGTAACTGAGGTTGCTTTCTCCATCCCCACCCCATGCTGTCACAAGGCACTGCAACAGAGCAACCCAGGCCACAATGATAGCTTATGACTCCTGGCCTTCAGCTCTTATTAGACACCTCATTGAGAGCATCCAAGCTTGCTGTGTGAGTTGGAGCAAGTGTCTTCCTTTTCCTGAACCTCAGCATTTCGTGTAGCAAATGACAGCTTTTGAAACGAGGGCCCAGGGTCCTTAGGCTTTTCCAAGCTGATTTTGTCATTTCACTGCCTCCGCCTGTGGCCAGCTTCGGGTTGGGCAACTTTGTTTTGTTGAAATCAGTAGGGTTCCCCTTTGCTCTCCTCTGTTCTGAGAGTGACAACCTGAGGCTTTCAAAGCAGAAATAGGAAGTGCCAGCTCCAGCACTGTGGGTAGGGGACAAGGGGTCCTCTCTCTGAAGAGCCTCGTGGTTTGTTTTTTCCTCTTCCTGCTGTGGGGGAGATGGGAGGTGGCGTGCTCAGGCAGCACCTGGAACAGCTCCGGCTCCCAGGCTTCTTCCACGCCTGATGCCTCACTCGGTGCGGGAGGTAGGCAGGGTGGCACTTGAGGGCACGTGATCCTAGAATCTGCTGTTCCAGGAAAGCAGCCCATTCTCCGTTCATTGAGCAGACAGCGATTGGGTACTTCTGGGCCACAGCAGCCAGTCCCTGCCCTCCTCATGGGACCTATGTGCTATTGCGGCCAGGGAACCACGGCAAGTAAGCAGACCAGCAAGAGTTCAGGCTGACGTGTGTTTCAGAAGATACACATGGGCCCTGTGTCCCCAGTCCCCCAAAGCGCATAGATCCCACAAAGAGGGCCGGGAGAGCACAAACACAGAAGGAAGAGCAAATGCCCGGAGCCCCGAGTTGGGAACAAGCTCAGCATGACCTAGAAACTGAAAGCAGGCAAGTGGCTGGCAGACCCACAGCCTGGGCAAGCAGGACACCCTGGGGCAGGCTGGACCCACGTGGCCTTCCTCTGTCCCTTCCTCCTCCCTGGCCAGCTTACCTCACACTTGCCCACACACCCAGCTTCCTTCCTGGGGGCCCTGATGGCACCTCAGAGTTACCAAGTGGGCCACTTCCTGCCTTCTCAGGACTCCCACCCCTACCAGAAAGGGAGCCGAGGTACTTACTGCCCCCTTCCAGAAAGCTCTGGCCTTGTAGACTAGTGTGCGCCTGGAACAGCATCTTTCCCCACCTGATGGGACCTCGATGATGCTGGAGAGCTTCACAGGGAGTGAGGGGAAGAGACTGGGATTGATAGTCTGCGGGGTCCTCACTTCTCTGGGCCTTAGTTTCCCCACCTGGATCACAAGGGCCATGGGCTTGATGGGCGTTCAGGACGCATCCCAATGATGGGCCTGTGGGAGGGATGACCCAGCGGCCCCCGCCTCCCCTTTCCTCAGAACATTTCTGGGCTGACTTCCCCATTGGTCTGATAAGATTCTTGCTGTGTCATGATGATGTTGGCACTCCCCCAAAGCCCCGGTGACTCATGAGCCCCCGGGTATAGCAGGGAGGCCCTTTTGTTGGTTTTTCAGCTGAACTAACTCAGCAGCCCCCAGGTTCTCTGGCCCCAGTGGCCAGGAACCAGCTGGGCCCCTGCCAAGGCCCAGGGCTCCACCCAGGGAGTCTGGGCAGGTCCTTAACCCCAGTGACCCTTGGGGATGGGATGGCCCACCCCCGCTGGCCCTCCAGCAGGCATCGTGCTCTACCATGAAACCCTCATGCCAAGACAAGGGCTGCAGCGATTTCGGTTTATAAAACAGACAGGTCATGGCCCAGGTCCCTTTGCCCTGGCCTAGCCAGATGTTGGTGGCTAGAGATCTTCATCATGCCCTGCTTCTACTAAGTCACCTTGTGTCCTTGGGCAGATCCCTCCCCTGCTGTGGTCCTCAGGAAAGAGGAGGGCGTGGGGAAGATGAGAAGCTCCCAACTGCTTTTCACTAAGGACCCCTTGAATTGCCCCCACCCACATGGCACGAGTAGACTCTTGACCAAGCTGTCAGGTTTCCCGATGTCTTCCCATGTTTGTTCCTCCAGAAAGTCCCACTAGAGCATCGCAGCCAGCTGGGAGGGCAGGGCTACCCCTGAGTCCTGAGGAGAGCAGCTCAGTCCGGCTCAGCTCAGCTTAGCTCCCTGTCACCATGGGAGAGAGCGGCCTGCCTTACCCCACCCCTACTGTCCGTCTTACCTCACCTCGCCTCTCAGGTGACTTGGAGCCCAGCAGACGGTCGGTCGGTTGCAGGGCCTGAGCTGAAACAAGGTGAGCCGGTTCAATCTCTAGTTAATCCCAAAGGGAGCAGCAGGAACAAACGGCCTGGAGCGTGGGGTTGCTGTGACTCAGCAGACCAGTCCCCTGCCACCAGTACCTTTCTGGAGTCTGTCCCGATGCCTCCCAGTCTTCCGGAATTTGGTCATGAGCAAACATGACCTGCTTTGAGTGAGGCTTAGAGGTATTTGCAGGCTGTGGTTCTTTCCGTTTATTTCAGGGTCCAGTTAGTTCCCAGTAAGCTGACCCTTTCTGTGTGGGGCCAGCCGTGAGTTGATGTGACATGGGCAACGTTCCCCTCCCCAGCCCCACTGATGGCAGGTGCTGTGAGGAGCTGAGTAGAGGAGCTCCTACCCCAGGGCGAGGGGTTGTCTGCTGGACTTTGAAGGGTGCAGCAGTGAGAGGTCCGTGTCGCTGTAGTCCTGGCACCGAGCTCACCTGAGGAGCATCAGAAGTGGAGCAGGGCCCCTGAAGAGCGCAAGCACACAAGGCACCCACACCATAGCAGTTGCCCTCCTGGAAGCCCTGTGGTGGCTTCCTAACTGCCTGGCTCTGGGTGAGGGCGTTTGACCTGGTGGCATGGCCCCCATTCTGTAATGGTTTGTAGAAATGGACCCATCCATGGTTGCAGTGCCTGATTGCTTCGAAGAGCATGTGTTTTTTTTTTTTTTTTTTCGTGACATGGAGTCTTGCTGTCACCCAGGCTGGAGTTTGGTGGCGCAATCTTGGCTCACTGCAACCTCCGTCTCCTGGATTCAAGTGATTCTCCTGCCTTAGCCTCCTGAGTAGCTGGGATTCCAGGTGCCTGCCACCACATCCAGCTAATTTTTGTTTTTTCTTTTTTTTGAGATGGAGTCTTGCTCTTTCACCAGGCTGGAGTACAGTGGCGCAATCTTGGCTCACTGCAATCTCCACCTGCGAGGTTCAAGCAATTCCCCTGCCTCAGCCTCCCGAGTAGCTGGGACTACAGGCGCGCACCACCACATCCAGCTAATTTTTTGTATTTTAGTAGAAACGGGGTCTCACCATGTTGGCCAGGATGGTCTCAATCTCCTGACCTCGTGATCCACCCACCTCAACCTCCCAAAGTGCTAGGATTACAGGCATGAGCCACCGCGCCTGGCCTGTATTTTTAGTAGAGACGGGGTTTCACCATGTTTGCCAGGCTGGTCTCGAACTCCTGACCTCAGGTGATCCACCCTCCTCAGCCTCCCAAAGTGCTGGGGTTACAGGCATGAGCCACCACGCCCAGACTATTAGTTTTTACCATGTTTTATTGAAATATATGTCATGGGCCGGCCACGGTGGCTCACGCCTGTAATGCCAGCACTTTGGGAGGCCACGGCAGGTGGATCACAAGGTCAGGAGTTTGAGGCCAGCCTGGCCAACATGGCGAAACCCCATCTCTAGTAAAAATACAAAAATTAGCCGGGCGTGGTGGCAGGTGCCTGGAGTCCCAGCTACTCAGGAGGCTGAGGCAGGAGAATGGCTTGAACCCAGGAGGTGGAGATTTCAGTGAGCCAAGATCACGCCACTGCACTCCAGCCTGGCCGACAGAGTGAGACTCCGTCTCAAAAAAAAAAAGAAATACATGTCATGAAGAACACAGATGGTGCAGGTCTAGCTTGTTGATGACTTTTCACAAACTCAGCACAGCCACAGAAACTGCTCCTAGATCAAGAAACAGAATATGCTCTGCACCCAGGAAGCCCCCTCACCTGGGGCTCTCACAGTCACTGGCCCTCAAAGGGTCATTTCTGACCCACTCCCCACCCTCCGCTCCATTGTTGGTTTTCTCGCCGTCTTTTGTTGGTGCGCAAATCTTAACTGTACAATTGGCTGTACACCCTCATCACAATAAAGGCCATCGTCATCTCCCCAGAAAGTTCCTGGGTACCCATTCCCAGCCAATCTGCCCTGCTCCAGGCAACCGCTGATCTGATTTCTGTCACAATGGGTTGCATCTCTGATGCTGAGATTTCCCAGTGTTGCTGAGTAGTATCCGTTGTATGAATGCACAGTTTGCCGGGTCACATGTTAATTCAAGTGTTTGACTTGTTTCCAGTTTGGGGCCGCTATGAACCAAGGCTGCTGTGACCATTCGTGTGCAGGTCTTTGTGTGGACTTGCACTTTCATTTCTCTTGGGGTGGAACGGCCAGGTCACAGGATAGGTGTGTGTTTCACTTGATCAGAGGGAGCACCCGCACCACCTCACAGCTCAACTTCAGCCATTTTCATTTTCTTGCCTTACTGCACTTTTCTTGTTCCTGATTGCTTAAAGGGATGATTAATATTTCAGCATTTCCTATAAGTGTGATATTTGTAGTATTTGTAAGGATGATGGTTTGGGGGTTTTTTTGTTCTTTGTTTTTTGGTGGTGGTTTTTTTTTTTGAGACGACGTCTAGCTCTGTTGCTCAGGCTACAGTGGTGTGATCTCGGCTCACTCCAGTCTCTCCCTCCTGGTTCAAGCGATTCTCCTGCCTCAGTCTCCTGAATAGCTGGGATTACAGGCATACACCACCATGTTCAGCTAAGTTTTGTATTTTTAGTAGAAATGGGGTTTCACCATGTTGGTCAGGCTGGTCTCAAACTCCTGACCTCAAGCGATTCCCCGCCTCGGCCTCCCAAAGTGCTGGGATTACAGGCTTGAGCCACCACGCCCAGCCAGAATGGTGTTTTATAGATGCCCTTTATCAAGTTAGTGAAGTTCCCTTGCATTCCCCCTCTGCTAAGAGTTTTAGCGTGAATAGGTGATTTCTGAAACACTTGATCTACATCTGTTGGGTTGAGCAAGATTGCTAGATTTAAAAAATCAAAACATAGCAGTAGGCAGAGAGTTCTTAGAGGTTTTTTTTAATCTCTTAATATGGTGAATTTCAATGATTTTTTTCTGTTAATATCAAACCAACTTTTTATTTACAGATGTATTTATTCTGTAAATAAAAAACCTACCGTTTTTAACATTGCAGGATTTGGTTTGCTGATGTTTTCTTCTTTTTTTTTAAAGAGACAGGGTCAGTGGGTCGTCGTGGCTCACGCCTGTAATCCCAACACTTTGGGAGGCTGAGGCGGGCAGATCACTTGAGCCCAGGAGTTCAAGAGCAGCCTGGACAACATGGGGAAACCCTGTCTCTACAAAAAATACAAAAAATTAGCTGGGTGTGTTGGCATGTACCTGTAGTCCCAGCTACTCCAGAGGCTGAGGTGGGAGGATTGCTTGAGCCCAGAGGCAGAGGTTGCAGTGAACTGAGATCGTGCCACTGCACTCCAGCCTAGGTGACAGAGTGAGACCATGTCTTTAAAAAAAAAAAAAAAAAAAAACCTCCTGATTTCAAGCAATCTTCCTCCCACCTTGGTCTCCCAAAGTGCTGGGGTGTGTGAGTTGTGCCCGGCCTGCTGATATTTCGTGTGGGATTTCTGCATCTGCATGTGTGTGTGAATGAGGCGTATGGGTTTTCCCATGTGCCTTTCTCATCAGGTTTCCGTACCAAGGCTCTGTAGGCCCCATAAGGTGGCTTGGGAAGTGTTCCCCTTTCTTCCTTCTGCAGGAAGAGTTTGCTTCAGGCTGGAATTCTCTTGTGCTTGCATTTTGGTAGAACCCACTGGCAACACTCTCTATGCCAGGGGGTTGTTTCTGTAGGAAGATTTGTGGCCACTGTCCCCTCTCAGGTCCATTGCTCTGTTTTTTGTTTGTTTGAGACGGAGTTTCGCTTTTGTAGCCCAGGCTGGAGTGCAGTGGCTTGATCTTGGCTCACTGCAACCTCCGCCTCCCAGGTTCAAGCGATTCTCCTGCCTCAGCCTCCTGAGTAGCTGGGATTACAGGCATGGGCCACCATGCCCAGCCAATTTTGTATTTTTAGTAGAAACGGTTTCTCCATGTTGGTCAGGCTGGTCTTGAACTCCCGAACTCAGGTAATCCATCCGCCTCGGCCTTCCAAAGTGCTGGGATTATAGGCTTGAGCCACCGCGTCCAGCTGTTTAGTTGTTTTTTTGTTTTTTGTTTTTTGAGACGGAGTTTCACTCTTGTCGCCCAGGCTGGGGTGCAATGGTGCAATCTTGGCTCACTGCAACCTCCATCTCCCGGGTTCAAGTGATTCTCCTACCTCAGCCTTCCGAGTAGCTGGGACTACAGACACCCGCCACCACGCCTGGCTAATTTTTTGTATTTTTGGTAGAGGCGGGGTTTCACCGTGTCAGCCAGGATGGTCTCGATCTCCTGACCTCTTGATCCGCCTGCCTCGGCCTCTCAAAGTGCTGGGATTACAGGAGTAAGCCACTGTGCCCGGCCTATGCCCTTTTAAAAAAGCAACCATGCCAGGGGGTTGTCTGTTTCTATTCGTCTTTTTCAAACACCAATTTCCAGCTTTGTTCATCTTTTCTTTGGGTTAGCTTTTAATTTTATTAATTTTACTTGTCATTATTTCCTATTTTCTTCCTGGTAATTTGGCTTGCAGTTCTATCTTTTTCTCACTTTTTTTTTGGAGATGAAGTCTCACTCTTGTCACCCAGGCTGGAGTGCAGTGGCACGATCTCGGCTCACTGCAACCTCTGCCTCCCGGATTCAAGTGATTCTCCTGCCTCAGCCTCCTGAGTAACTGGGATTACAGGTGCCTGCCACCACACCTGGCTAATTTTTGTATTTTTAATAGAGATGGGGTTTTGCCACATTGGCTGGTCTTGAACTCCTGACTTCAGGTGATCTGCCTGCCTCAGCCTCCCAAAGTGCTGGGATTACAGGTGTGAGCCACCGCATCTGGCCCTTTTTCTCACTTCTTAAGTGGAATGCTTAGCTCCTTATTTTTGAACCACTCTTTTTTGCTAATGTAAGCACTTGAGGTCACGTCTCACAAATGTGGCTACATGGTACTTCTGTCGTCCCTTGGTTCTACTGAATTGAATTTTCAGGTTTTCTCCTGGAACGCAGGAGATGCGTTTATGTCTTCTGGGTCAGGGATGGAGGGCTGGCACAGGCTTGAATCTCGGGGCTCTTCTGTCTGTATATCAGGCAAGACAGACATGCTTGTGGCCCAGTAGTGATCCTGAGTAGTGCCCAGATCACCAAGGGTGGAGGATGATGTATGTAGGTCGTGTCCCCAGCCACTTCTAACCACACACCTGTTCCCTCTGCCACAGGGTGACCTGGCCAAGAAGAAGATCTACCCCACCATCTGGTAAGTGTGTCCCACCACTGCCCCTGTGACCTCCCGCCAGGGACAGGCCTGGTCCTGCCCTGCCCGCACTGGTTACAGCTGTGCCCTGCCCTCAGGTGGCTGTTCCGGGATGGCCTTCTGCCCGAAAACACCTTCATCGTGGGCTATGCCCGTTCCCGCCTCACAGTGGCTGACATCCGCAAACAGAGTGAGCCCTTCTTCAAGGTGGGTGGTGTCAGGGCCTCCCCCAGCCTGGTTCTGCCCTCTCTACCAGCCCCCAGCATGGCCAGCTTCGGGGACCTCCCCCCATCCCATCCCGGGATGCTCTCCTCCTCTCCTGCCCCGCCCCGCCTGCTCTCGTACTTCCTTGAGACCCCCATTACCAGCCCCCGTGACCAGGACCCACAGGTCCCCTCCTGCTGTGCTCTGCTGCGTTTTCTCCGCCAATCATAGTTGGGTGTCATGATTTTGGAGAGAGAGCTTTCTCCAGTGTATTTCTCCCAGGTCAAAATATCCTGAAATCTGGCCTCTGTCCTAAGGCACAGGGGTCCCAGCCTGGGGCAGTGTCTGTGCTGCCTGCTTTGGCCTCCCTCCCTCTGGATGTGCAGAGCTGCTAAGATGGGGCTGAACCCAGTGTGGGACGGGGACACTGACTTCTGAGGGCACCCTCCCTGGACCTCCAGGGAAGACCCTCCACTCCCCTGGGGCAGAACACACACGGACTCAAAGAGAGGGGCTGACATCTGTCTGTGTGTCTGTCTGTCCGTGTCTCCCAGGCCACCCCAGAGGAGAAGCTCAAGCTGGAGGACTTCTTTGCCCGCAACTCCTATGTGGCTGGCCAGTACGATGATGCAGCCTCCTACCAGCGCCTCAACAGCCACATGAATGCCCTCCACCTGGGGTCACAGGCCAACCGCCTCTTCTACCTGGCCTTGCCCCCGACCGTCTACGAGGCCGTCACCAAGAACATTCACGAGTCCTGCATGAGCCAGATGTAAGGCTTGCCGTTGCCCTCCCTTCCCGCCTGCCAGGCTGGCCCAGGCAGTGCTCCCACCACTCTATGAGCGTGTCCGGGGCCGGGGATCTGGGCAGCATCCATGGTGCCGGGGCCATCCCCAGCGGGACCACAAGGTGGCAGCGTTGCTCCACGAAACACCGCCTTTCCGCTCTGCTTCCCCAAAGGCCCGGCCAGGCCGCAGGGTGGCAGCCTTGCTCTGCGAATGCAGCATGGCCCGCGCTGGGTGGTTTCCCAACCCAGCCAGAGGCTCTTGTCCTCTGGCTGGTTTTGAATGCGGGGGTAGTAAAGCAAAGGTCCTCTTCTCATTTTCAAAACCAATGAGGAAGCCATGGCTTGGATGCCTCCTCCCCCTGCTCCCCTACAGGCCTTCAGGCCACTCAGACCCACCGGGGACCCAGCATGAGGCAGGAGGGGAACGGGCCCCCGGCAGCATGCCAGCAATGCCACCCTGGCACCCAGGGTGGGAAGGCTTCCCGGAAGGTGTTGAGCCAGAGGGTCATCTGGGAACACAAGGCACGGGAGGTGGCCACGGGGGCGAGGAGGTTCTGGCCTCTACTCCCCTGGGAGGGCGTCTGAATGATGCAGCTCTGATCCTCACTCCCCGAAGAGGGGTTCAAGGGGGTAACGCAGCTCCGGGCTCCCAGCAGAGGCTGGAACCGCATCATCGTGGAGAAGCCCTTCGGGAGGGACCTGCAGAGCTCTGACCGGCTGTCCAACCACATCTCCTCCCTGTTCCGTGAGGACCAGATCTACCGCATCGACCACTACCTGGGCAAGGAGATGGTGCAGAACCTCATGGTGCTGAGGTGGGGCCAAGCCTGGGCCGGGGGACCAGGGTGGGGGTGGTACTCAGGAGCCTCACCTGGCCCACTGCCTCCCCGAGGACGAATTCCTCCAGAACTCAGACAAGGGTGACCCCTCACATGTGGCCCCTGCACCACAGAGGCCCAAGGTCAGTTCCTCCACCTTGCCCCTCCCTGCAGATTTGCCAACAGGATCTTCGGCCCCATCTGGAACCGGGACAACATCGCCTGCGTTATCCTCACCTTCAAGGAGCCCTTTGGCACTGAGGGTCGCGGGGGCTATTTCGATGAATTTGGGATCATCCGGTGAGAGCTCTTCCTCTCTCCTGGGAGGCTGGCACAGGGTGGCAGAGCCAGTCACCCTGCAGGGCTACTCTTCCCTATCTTGGGGGAGCTCCTCCTCACCCTGCAGTTCAAAACCTAAGTGTCTGAGCTATCAGACCGGGCTGGAAAGGGCTGGACCCCTACACAGCCAAGCACCCCACGGTTTTATGATTCAGTGATAGCATCACCATGTCCTTCCTTGATTTAAGGGGACCTGGAAGACAAGGGGGATCAGGAAGTGAGTCTTGCAGCTTGTCACTAGGAAGCCTTGTTTGGGGTCCCCATGCCCTTGAACCAGGTGAACAGGGCGGGGAGCTAAGGCGAGCTCTGGCCTCTTCCGTCCCCAGGGACGTGATGCAGAACCACCTACTGCAGATGCTGTGTCTGGTGGCCATGGAGAAGCCCGCCTCCACCAACTCAGATGACGTCCGTGATGAGAAGGTAGGGGGTGCACCCCAGTCCCCAGGAGCATGCCCTGTCGCAGGCCCATCTGTGACGAGGCACTGAGCTGGGGTGTGCATGCAGAGCAGGTGTCCTCAACCCCGGAGAAGTCACCACCTCTGAGCACAGCGTGGCCTCCCGGAGGTGACCTGGACTGGCAGTCATGAAGCCCAAGTTGTCATGTCCCAGGCCTGACAGTCACTATGTGACCAGGGAAGGCCATTGCCTCTCTGGGCCTCAGCTTGTTCATCAGAATAGACTCGAGATGGACCAGGGTGGTCCTGGAGGGTCCTCAGGGAGGGGCCCTGAGCTGGGCCTCTGGCAGGGTGAGCAGAGCCAAGCAGGGGCCTCCTCCTGCCCTGAGGGCTGCACATCTGTGGCCACAGTCATCCCTGCACCCCAACTCAACACCCAAGGAGCCCATTCTCTCCCTTGGCTTTCTCTCAGGTCAAGGTGTTGAAATGCATCTCAGAGGTGCAGGCCAACAATGTGGTCCTGGGCCAGTACGTGGGGAACCCCGATGGAGAGGGCGAGGCCACCAAAGGGTACCTGGACGACCCCACGGTGCCCCGCGGGTCCACCACCGCCACTTTTGCAGCCGTCGTCCTCTATGTGGAGAATGAGAGGTGGGATGGTAGGTGATGCCTTCGAGGCCCAGCAAGGCAGAACTGGGCATGCCCTGTGTGCGGGCACTGGAGCTCCCACTGAGACACTCACGCACTGGTCCACACCCTGAGAGAGCTGGTGCTGAGGCTGCCCTTTCCGCCACGTAGGGGTGCCCTTCATCCTGCGCTGCGGCAAGGCCCTGAACGAGCGCAAGGCCGAGGTGAGGCTGCAGTTCCATGATGTGGCCGGCGACATCTTCCACCAGCAGTGCAAGCGCAACGAGCTGGTGATCCGCGTGCAGCCCAACGAGGCCGTGTACACCAAGATGATGACCAAGAAGCCGGGCATGTTCTTCAACCCCGAGGAGTCGGAGCTGGACCTGACCTACGGCAACAGATACAAGGTGCCCTACAGAGAAGGAGCAGTGTGGAGGGTGGGCGGCCTGGGCCCGGGGGACTCCACATGGTGGCAGGCAGTGGCATCAGCAAGACACTCTCTCCCTCACAGAACGTGAAGCTCCCTGACGCCTATGAGCGCCTCATCCTGGACGTCTTCTGCGGGAGCCAGATGCACTTCGTGCGCAGGTGAGGCCCAGCTGCCGGCCCCTGCATACCTGTGGGCTATGGGGTGGCCTTTGCCCTCCCTCCCTGTGTGCCACCGGCCTCCCAAGCCATACCATGTCCCCTCAGCGACGAGCTCCGTGAGGCCTGGCGTATTTTCACCCCACTGCTGCACCAGATTGAGCTGGAGAAGCCCAAGCCCATCCCCTATATTTATGGCAGGTGAGGAAAGGGTGGGGGCTGGGGACAGAGCCCAGCGGGCAGGGGCGGGGTGAGGGTGGAGCTACCTCATGCCTCTCCTCCACCCGTCACTCTCCAGCCGAGGCCCCACGGAGGCAGACGAGCTGATGAAGAGAGTGGGTTTCCAGTATGAGGGCACCTACAAGTGGGTGAACCCCCACAAGCTCTGAGCCCTGGGCACCCACCTCCACCCCCGCCACGGCCACCCTCCTTCCCGCCGCCCGACCCCGAGTCGGGAGGACTCCGGGACCATTGACCTCAGCTGCACATTCCTGGCCCCGGGCTCTGGCCACCCTGGCCCGCCCCTCGCTGCTGCTACTACCCGAGCCCAGCTACATTCCTCAGCTGCCAAGCACTCGAGACCATCCTGGCCCCTCCAGACCCTGCCTGAGCCCAGGAGCTGAGTCACCTCCTCCACTCACTCCAGCCCAACAGAAGGAAGGAGGAGGGCGCCCATTCGTCTGTCCCAGAGCTTATTGGCCACTGGGTCTCACTCCTGAGTGGGGCCAGGGTGGGAGGGAGGGACGAGGGGGAGGAAAGGGGCGAGCACCCACGTGAGAGAATCTGCCTGTGGCCTTGCCCGCCAGCCTCAGTGCCACTTGACATTCCTTGTCACCAGCAACATCTCGAGCCCCCTGGATGTCCCCTGTCCCACCAACTCTGCACTCCATGGCCACCCCGTGCCACCCGTAGGCAGCCTCTCTGCTATAAGAAAAGCAGACGCAGCAGCTGGGACCCCTCCCAACCTCAATGCCCTGCCATTAAATCCGCAAACAGCCCCTCCTGTCCCCTTGTCATTTGCTTCCCTGAGGACCCACTTCCTTGTCCCACTCCCCAAGTCACCCGGGTGCTTCCTCTGTGGCCACTGAGGAGCCTCCTCACTTCTGGTTCTGACCCCATGTCCAGCCATGACCATGTTTGGTGTCAGAGACACCTCCTGAGTCCTCCTCCGCTCCACGCATATTGTCATTGTGAGACCAGCTTGAGGTGCAAGGATGTGGGGTCACCTTCCGCTCTTACTGTCCATGTCCCTGCCCCACCCAAGATGACTTCCAGCAACACTGCCAGTCCACAGAAGTATTTAGGAAGGAGAGGGGATGGGTTTTGTGACTGATGTCAGAGGCCAAGGGAGAGGGGACAGTCCACAGTGATGCACAGCCAGGCCCAGCCACCCCTTCCAGGCAGAAGGGCCACACACTGGGCAGCTCTCAACATAGGCTGATTCTCCCAGTTCTGGAGGCCAGAGTCCAAGATCCAGCACTCCCGCCAGAGGCCCAAGGGGAGGGTCCTTCCTGCCCTCTCCAGCTCCTGGGGAACCAGGCATCTTGGGCTGGTGGTCACCTCACTCCACTCACTCTGCCTGTCTTCTCGTGGCCTCCCCATGGTGTGACTTCTATGTCCTAACTCAGCGACATCTGCAGACCTCCTATTTCCAAATAAGGCCACATCAGGAACTCCCAGGAGACATGTATTTGGGGGCCGCTGTTCAGCCCCTGCACTGCTCCCCACACAGCCCCTGGGTGTTTCAGTGCAGCATGTGTCCTGCCAGGGAGATGGCGAAACCAGACACTATGGTCCCTGCACTTGTGGCCCGGGTTCTAGGAGGTGAGGCCGGCAGGGAACAAAATAACCAGGTGGTGCTGGGATTTGTCCTTTGCGGAGAGCAAACCAGTGGCCTGGAAAGTGGCCAGGGAGGAGTGTTCCACCCGCAGCACAGGTGAGGACGCGCACCCTGGGCGCTGCAGGTAGCAGGGCCCGATGTCGTAGAATGAAGGAGGCCTCTGGTGAGACCTGTGGCAACAGGGACACATGCTGCATCCCGGTGTTCAATTCTTGCTCTTCCTGTGCCCTGAATGGGGAGTGGCACCTCTTGAGTTTTCAGAGGGAGGAAGTATGCCAAGTTCACCTGGACCCTAGATAGGGAAAGGAGCTTGATGGGGGCCAAGGACAGGTCACAGGCTCAGTGGGCTCTGTGTGCACAGGATTGGGGGCCAGGCTTCGGCCACAGGGGCAGTGGTTTTAGTCCTCTTGTCCTGGTTCCTGTGGCCTCCAGAAGGGGCTGTGGCAAGGCTGAGAGTCGGGTTGGGCTGGGGGCTGATGGGGTGTGGTAAGGCTAAGCAGGGTAGGTTCCAGGGCAGGGAACAACACCCAAGTAAGGCCAGGCGCAGTGGCTCAAGCGTGTAATCTCAGCACTTTAGGAAGCCAAGATGGGCAGATCACTTGAGGCCAGAAGTTCAAGACCAGCCTGACCAACATGACGAAAACATGTCCCTACCAAAAAAAATACAAAAATTTGCCAGGCGTGGTGGCGGGCACCTGTGGTCCCAGCTACTCAGGAGGCTGAGGCAGGACAATCGCTTGAACCCGGGAGGTGGAAGACCATCCACTGGCACCTGAACCCATCAGGCAACTGTCCCTTCAGCTCTGGGCGCCTACTTGGGTGGAGGCAGGAGGTCCCAGGTGAGGACAGCACTGGGTCCACAATGGGAGAGAATGAGAGATCAGGTCAGGGCATTCCACTGTCACCTCAGTTGCGGGTGTCCACACTGAGACATGGACATAAGCCCGAGAAAACAACACGAGCTGTACCCTGAACAAGAAGGCAGTCCTCCCCAGCCCCTTGGAGCTCACAGGAGCACTGAGGCCCTTGCCTGTGAGCCCAGATCCACCCTGGCCCATTCCATAGGGTGACTCACTCAGCCTCCCTGACCCCTGCTGACCGGTTCAAGGCTGGAGCCCTGTTTTCACCCCTTCTCTGCCTGCAATGCCAAAGAATTCAGCCACAATTTGCTTTTTTTTTTTTTTTTTTTTTTTTTTTTGAGACTGGATCTCACTCTGTTGCCCAGGTTGGAGTGCAGTGACGCAATCACAACTCACTGCAGCTTCCACCTCCCAGGTTCAAGCATCCTCCTACCTCAGCCTCCTGAGTAGCTGGGTCTACAGGCGTGAGCCACCACGCTTGGCCTGCAATGTACTCTTTTTTTTTTTTTTTTTTTTTTTTTTTTTTTTGAGATGGAGTTTTGCTCTGTCGCCCAGTCTGGACTACACTGGCGTGATCTCGGCTCACTGCAACCTCCACCTCCTGGGTTCAAGTGATTCTCCTGCCTCAGCCTCTCAAGTAGCTGAGGCTACAGGTGTACGCCACCACGCCTGGCTAATTTTTGTATTTTTAGTAGAGACGGGGTTTCATCATGTTGGGCAGGTTGGTCTCGAACTCTTAACCTTAGGTGATCCCCCAGCCTTGGCGGCCCAAAGTGCTGGGATTACAGGCGTGAGCCACTGCACTCGGCCCCGCAATTTACCGGGTTTTTTGTTTGTTTTTGTTTTTGTTTTTTGAGACAGAGTGTGGCTCTGGCACTCAGGCTGGAGTGCAGTGGCACGATCTCTGCTCGCTGCAACCTCTACCTCCCAGGTTCAAGCAATTCTTCTGTCTCAGCATCCTGAGTAGCTGGTATTACAGGCGCCCGCTACCATGCCCAGCTAATTTTTATTTTTAGTAGAGATGGGGTTTCCCCATGCTGGCCAGGCTGATCTTGAACTCCCGTGATCCGCCCGCCTCAGCCTCCCAAAGTGCTGGGATTACAGGCATGGGCCACCGCACCTGGCCACAATTTACTCTTTTTTTTTTTCTTTTTTTCTTTTTTTTCTTTTTTTTTTTTTGAGACAGACTCTTGCTCTTTCGCCAGGCTGGCGTGCAGGAGTGCAGTGGCGTGATCTCAGTTCACTGCAACCTCCACCACCTGGGGTCAAGTGATTCTCCTGCCTCAGCCTCCCAAGTAGCTGGGACTACAGGCACCCGCCAGCACACACAGCTAATTTTTGTATTTTTAGTAGAGATGGGGTTTCACCATGTTGGTCAGGATGGTCTCTATCTCTTGACCCCGTGATCCACCCGCCTAGGCTTCTCAAAGTGCTGGGATTACAGGCATGGGCCACCGCACCTGGCCACAATTTACTCTTTTTTTTTTTCTTTTTTTCTTTTTCTTTTTTTTTTTTTTTGAGACAGACTCTTGCTCTTTCGCCAGGCTGGCGTGCAGGAGTGCAGTGGCGCGATCTCAGTTCACTGCAACCTCCACCACCTGGGGTCAAGTGATTCTCCTGCCTCAGCCTCCCAAGTAGCTGGGACTACAGGCACCCGCCAGCACACACAGCTAATTTTTGTATTTTTAGTAGAGATGGGGTTTCACCATGTTGGTCAGGATGGTCTCTATCTCTTGACCCCGTGATCCACCCGCCTAGGCTTCTCAAAGTGCTGGGATTACAGGCAAGAGCCACCGCACCCAGCCCACAATTTACTGTTAAGTGCACTCTACCTCGTGGGTCTTCAGAGGCCCTGGATTGGTGTCTCATCTCTCAAGGTTTCACCCCACGCGGGAGTGGGTAGGAGCTGGAAAGAGCCCCCCTGCCGGACCCCTGACACTCGCAGTGTACTCAGAGCTTTACCTCCCAGCCCAGACCTGCAAATTATTAAGCCGGAAGAGAATTTCAAACCTAGCCTGATCCCTTCACACTGAGTCCCAGGTGCCACAGCAGCACAGACCCAAATGCCTTAGCTTCCTTCTCTGCTGCCGGTGTCTGACATCACATCAATTTGCGTCCAGCAACCACTGAAGCCAGCAATGTGAGAAGCCCAGAGAGTACTTAAAACTCTCTCCAGCTCCTCTCCCTCCCTCCATCCGAACCTGGCCCACTGCCGGGTGGCTGAGCCAGAAAGGGATGGGAGTGGAGAAGGGGTCTTCAGGCTGAGCTGGGCGGGGGCGACTGTTGCATTGTCTGCTCTGCGAAGCAGAAAAGGAGAGGAGGGAGAGGCACAAATGGGGCGGGGCTGGCTTCGGGCCTTTATTTTCTAGGCTCACCACTGCCCTCTCCCTGTGAGAAGCAGTCGGAAGGGATTGTCCTTCCTGTACTGCAGGAGGAGAAGCTGAGAAACTCAGCTGTGAGACGTGATCAGACTAGTCCAGGACGACACCCAGACATACAGGCCAAAGCTGGGGTCCCTGAGAAGGCCTCTTGCCTCCTAGAGCTTCACTGCTCGCCTCCACTAGAACACTTCGAGGAAGCTTTGAGGGAACAAGAAGCAGACTGAATTCTGGCTTTCTGTAAGGACAGTGAGACTCTATGGCTGGACACAGTGTCTCACTCCTGTAATCCCAGCACTTTGGGCATTTTGCTTGAGCCCAAGAGTTCCAGACCAGCAGAGCAACATGATGAAACCCTGTTTCTACAATAATACAAAAATTAGCCGGGCATGTTGGCACATGCCTGTAGTCCTAGCTACTCAGGAGACTGAGGTGGGAGGTTCACTTGGGCCATGATCACACCATTGCACTCCAGCCTGGGCCACACAGCAAGACCCTGTCTCAAATATATATATAAATATATATATATATACACACACACACTCATACACACACACACACACACACACACATTTGCAAGGCCAAATTTTCAGAGAAAACTAGGACCCCATGATACAAATTAACCCCCAAGTTGCCTTTGCCCACCCAGGAACTTTTCCTTGACAGCCCTATAAAGCGAAGAGGACAGAAATCAAATCTTGAGGCCCCCAACTTGCTGCCCCATCATACTGAGAGGAAACCCAGAATTGCAACTGAGCCAGGGTGCAAATTCCCAGGGTTCAAATTCCCAGGGTTCAAATTCCCAGGGTTCAAGTTCCCAGGGTTCAAATTCCCAGGGTTGACCATGGAACCTTAAGCCTTTCACTTGGCTTAAGGGGTCCTGGATGGGCAGTTCCCCAATGCAGATGGTTCTGCCTGTCTGACAGAACCCAGAGCAAACCCTCTCAGGAGAGACTCCTTCCTCCTACAGGTACTTTTTAAAGCATGAGGGCAAGCACATCATCAGAGATAACCGGGCGCACCAGGAAACAACATTGCAAGAGAAACAATGAGCAATAGCGACAGATCGTGAGGTCTTCAGGCGCTGGAATTGTTAGCCAGACATAAAATAACCGTACTTAACCAGATCTAATGAAATAATAAGTCGTGGTGGGACAGCTGGGTGCAGTGGCTCATGCCTGTAATCCCAGCACTTTGGGAGGGATCAAGCAGACAGATTGCTTGAGCCCAGGGGTTCTAGGCCAGCCTGGGCAACATGGTGAGACCCCACGTCTACAAAAAATACAAAAACTAGCCAGGTGTGGTGACGAGTGCCTGTAGTCCCATCTACTCAGGAAGCTGAGATGGGAGGGTCGCTTGAGGCCAGGAAGTGGAGGTTGCAGTGAGCCAAGATCAAGCCACTGCACTCCAGCCTGGGCGACATAGTGAGACCCTGTCTCAAAAAAGGTAAAATGTGAGCTAGTAAGTTTAAAAGTAGATGGACTGGTTTAGTGGCAAATTACGCAACATCAAAGAGAGAATGCGGGAACCAAAAACTGGCTCAGAAGAATGTATTCAGAATACAACCCAGAAAGACAAGTTCAGGGAAGACACTAAAGACAGAGGAAGAAGCCGCAAGGAGAATGAGAAGGTGTTCCATACATTTAACTGATTTCACAGAAACAGAAGACAGCAAGTATGGCAGAAGCAAAACTTGAAGATATAATGATGGCTGGCTGGGCATGATGGTCGCTGGCCAGGCGTGGTGGCTCACACCTGTGATCCCAGCACTTTGGGAGGCCGAGGTGGCCGGATCACCTGAGGTCAGGAGTTCCAGACCAGCCTAGACAACATGGTGAAACCCCGTCTGTAATAAAAATACAAATATTAGCCAGGCATGGTGGCGCTTGCCTGTAATCCCAGCTGCGTGGGAGGCTGAAGCAGAATCACTTGAACCCGGGAGGCAGAGGTTGTAGTGAGCCTAGATTGTGCCACTGCACTCCAGCCTGGGCAAAAGAGCGAGACTCCGACTTAAAAAAAAAAAAATCTTTCAAGTATGATGGTGAAGTGCAAACAAAAGCAAAGAATTTGCCACCAACATTTTCTCACCAAAAAGTGTGTGCCTCAAGCAGAAGAAACCCAGTACTAGATGGAACAATCTGAGATGCAAGAAGGAATAACGAGCTAAAGAGGTCAATGTGCAGCTCACCTAAGTAGACATTGGGTGTTTGTAAATACAGTTTTATGGGAACCCAGCCACACCCATTTGCTTACATGCTGTTTGTAGTGGCAGAGTTGAGTGGAGTCTTCCCTTGGTATCCACGGGGATTGGTTCCAGGACCCCCAGGGGTATCAAAATCCACAGATGCTCAAGTCCCTGATATAAAATGGCACAGCATATAACCTACGCACATCCTCCTGTATACTTCTTTTTTTTTTTTTTTTTGAGACAGAGTCTTGTCTGTCACCCAGGCTTGAGTGCAGTGGCACAATCTCGGCTCACTGCAACCTTCGTCTCCCAGATTAAAGCGATTCTCCTCCCTCAGCCTCCCGAGTCACTGGGATTACAGGTATATGCCACCACGCCCAGCTAATTTTTTTATTTTTAGTAGAGGTGGGGTTTCACTATATTGGCCAGTCTGGTCTCGAACTCCTGACCTCGTGATCCGCCCACCTCGGCCTCCCAAAGTGCTTATAGGCGTGAGCCACCGTGCCCGGCCCCTCCTGTGTACTTTTTAAATTTGTATTTTTTTTTTAATAGAGTTGGGATCTTGCCATGTTGCCAAGGCTGCTCTTGAACTCCTGGGCTGAAGCAATCCTCCTGCCTCAGCCTCCCAAAGTGCAGAACTCCCCAGTCCTCCCATACACTTGAAATAATCTAATCATCTCTAGATAACTTATAGTATCTAATACAATATAAGTACTACGTAAATAGTTGTTTCACTGTCTTGCTGCTTTTTTTTTTTTTTTTTTTTTTTTTTTGAGACACAGTCCAACTCTGTAGCCCAGGTTGGAGTGCAGTGGCCACAATCTCGGCTCACTGCAACCTTCACCTCATTGGTTCAAGCGATTCTTGTGCCTCAGCCACCTGAAAAGCTGGAATTAACAGGCACGCACTACCACCTGGCTAATCTTTGTATTTTTAGTAGAGACAGAATTTTGCCATGTTGACCGAGCTGGTCTTGAACTCTTGACCTCAGGTGATCCGCCCTCATTGGCCTTTCAAAGTGCTGGGATTACAAGCATGAGCCACCACACCCACCCAGTGCTGTTATTTTTTAGTGGTGGTGGTGGTGGTTTTTTTTTTTTTTCCCAAACATTTTCTGCTTAAACAATATGATCCTGAATGACCAGTGAGTCAGTGAAGAGATTAAGAAGGAAATTGAACATTTTCTTCAAATAATTCTGGGTAGCGCTGTACACAGCAAATGTCTGGGGTCGTCTTTCTGAGTTCTTTTTTCAGATGTTCAGCCTCAGGGAGCTTTCTGGCAGGAAAATGAGACAAGATCTACCTTTTGGCCAGGCACGGTGGCTCACACCTGTAATCCCAGGACTTTGGGAGGATGAGGCAGGCGGATCACTTGAGGTCAGGAGTTCAAGACCAGCCTGGCCAACATGGTGAAACCCTGTCTCTACTAAAAATACAAAAATTAGCCAGGCTTGGTGGTGGGTGCCTGTAATCCCAGCTACTCGGGAGGCTGAGGCAGGAGAATCACTTGGACCCGGGAGGCGGAGGTTGCAGTGAGGCGAGGTCACACCATTGCACTCCAGCCTGGGCAACGGAGTGAAACGCCGTCTCAAAAAAAAAAAAAAAAATCTATCTTTCTCCAAAGCCAGCAATACAGTGATGTTCCAGCATCTCATGACCCAATGACCCATCACATGGGGTTTGACTGCTTCCCAGGGTGAATGCAGGCAGTCCTGAGGCTGACAGTACATTTATCCAGCTGACCAAGCAGCTCATTCCCATATACCATTGAAAAGCCAGCCGGGTGCCGTGGCTCACACCTATATATCTCAGCACTTTGGGAGGCTGAGGCAGGCAGATCACCTGAGGTCAGGAGTTCAAGATCAGCCTGGCCAACATAGTGAAACCTCGTCTCTACTAAAAATACAAAAATTAGCCAGGTGTGGTGGCGGGCGCCTGTAATTTCAGCTACTGGGGAGGCTGAGGCAGGAGAATTGCTTGAACCCGGGAGGCGGAGGTTGCCAGTGCTCATTTATTTTTACATAAACACACTCTTTGAGGCTGAAGTAAATCTGACTGATTTTCAATGTGAAAATAATATATAAAAACTGTACTTGGAGTTATTTCTAAACAGAACTAACATCAGAATCATCTATTTTGGAAAAATCTGATTCATCAGATGAATCTTCGGCTAACAACATTTTCTACGATTTGACATTTTCGGCAATTCAGAATTACTATTTTTTTGTCAATGGAAATACCACTACTAAGAAAGGAATGCTCTAAATAGAGTGATGTCTTTTGTTTCCAAAGTCGATATACTAGAGCGATGAAAAAATAATAAAAGGAAGATACTTCATGGCAAAGTTATCTCGGGGTAAACACTGCAGCCACAAGCACCACCAGCGTATTCTCAGGGCAAAGGTACCAGTAACCTGCTTGTTGGTTCAAAGGTCCAGCATCTTCGCTCTGAAGCCCAAGAATGACTTGAAGACAAGGAAGCCATGTTTCTGCTCAACTCCAGGCTGAAGTTACAGGTCTGAGGAAAGAACAAGGTGCATATAAATGGAACCCATGTCTTGGAGGACATCAGAAAGGGAACTGTCAAGTCCTTTCTTGTACAACCTAACTGTTCAAGTTAGCACACCATCATTTTAGTATTTTAGTCTTCCTAGTGGAGCTGCTTTTTTTTTTTTTTTGGTGAGATGAAGTCTCACCCTTATTGCCCAGGCTGCTGGAGTACAGTGGCATGATCTCGGCTCGCCACAACCTCCACCTCCTGGGTTCAAGCAATTATCCTGCCTCAGCCTCCCCAGTAGCTGAGATTACAGGCACCCGCCACCATGCCTGGCTAATTTTTGTATTTTTAGTAGAGACGGGGGTTTCACCATATTGGCCAGGCTGGTCTCTTGGCCAGGCTGGTCTCGAACTCCTGACCTCATGATCCGCCTGCCTTGGCCCCTTGGTGAAGGGGTGGCCTGCCCCTCCATATCTGTGGGTATTTCTAGTTGGGTGGGACGAGAGACTGAGAAAAGAACTAAGACACAGAGACAAAGTATAGAGAAACAATAGTGGGCCCAGGGGACCGGCGCTCAGCACACCAAGGACCTGCACTGGCCTCTGAGTTCCCTCAGTTTTTATTGATTATTATTTTCATTATTTCAGCAAAAAGGAATGCAGTAGGAGAGCAGGGTGATAATAAGGAGAAGGTCAGCAAAAAACGTGAGCAAAAGAATCTATGTCATAATTAAGTTCAAGGGAAGGTACTATGCCTGGATGTGCACGTAGGCCAGATTTATGTTTCTCTCCGCCCAAACATCTCAGTGGAGTAAAGAATAACAAGGCAGCATTGCTGCCAACATGTCTCGCCTCCCGCCATAGGGCGGTTCTTCTCCGATCTCAGAATTGAACAAATGTACAATCAGGTTTTATACCGAGACATTCAGTTCCCAGGGGCAGGCAGGAGACAGTGGCCTTCCTCTATCTCAACTGCAAGAGGCTTTCCTCTTTTACTAATCCACCTCAGCACAGACCCTTTACGGGTGTTGGGCTGGGGGACGGTCAGGTCTTTCTCATCCCACGAGGCCATATTTCAGACTATCACATGGGGAGAAACCTTGGACAATACCCGGCTTTCCAGGGCAGAGGTCCCTGCGGCTTTCCGCAGTGCATTGTGCCCCTGGTTTATTGAGACTAGAGAATGGCGATGACTTTTACCAAGCATACTGCCTGTAAGCATTTTGTTAACAAGGCACGTCCTGCACAGCCCTAGGTCCCTTTTAAACCTTGATTTTATACAACACATGTTTTTGTGAGCTCCAGATTGGATCAAAGTGGTTGGGTCAAAGTGGCTGGGGCAAAGCTACAAATTAACAACATCTCAGCAAAGCAATTGTTTAAAGTACAGGTCTTTTTCAAAATGGAGTCTCTTATGTCTTCCCTTTCTACGTAGACACAGTGACAGTCTGATCTCTCTTTTCCCTACACTTGGCCTCCCAAAGTGCTGGGATTACAGGCGTGAGCCACCGCACCCAGCCTTATTTATTTATTTATTTATTTTATTTATTTATTTAGAGACAGAGTCTCGCTCTGTCACCCAGGCTGCAGTGCAGTGGCACAATCTCGGCTCACTGCAACCTCCACCTCCCAGGTTAAAGCGATTCTCCTGCCTCAGCCTCCCGAGTATCTGGTATTACAGGCGTGTACCACCATGCCCAGCTAATTTTTGTATTTTTAGTAGAGACGAGGTTTCACCATGTTGGCCAGGCTGGTCCTGAACTCCTGACCTCAGGTGATTCACCTGCCTCAGCCTCCCAAAGTGCTGAGATTACAGGCGTGAGCCACCGTGCCTGGCCCCTATTTTATTTTTTTGAGACAGGGCCTTGCTCTGCTGCCCAGGCTGGAGTGCAGTGGTGTGATCATAGCTCACTGCAGCCTTGACCTCCTGGGCTCAAGTGATCCTCCCACCTCAGCCTCCCAAGTATCTGGGACCACAGGTGTGCACCACCACATGCTGCTAATTTTTGTATTTTTGGTAGAGATAAGGTCTTCCTGTGTTGTCCAGGCTGGTCTCGAACTCCTGGGCTCAAGTGATACTCCCGCCTGGGCCTTCCAAATTACTGGGATTACAGGTGTGAGCCACTGAGCCCAGCCTGGGTGATGTTTTAGCTGTACCTTAAACAACTTTAGCAGATGTGGATTAAGACACTAGGAGCCAATGAGACTTGGCAATTAATGGCTGGGCGTGGTGACTCACGCCTGTAATCCCAGCACTTTAGGAGGCCGAGGCAGGTGGATCATTTGAGGCCAGGAGTTCAAGACCAGCCTGGCCAACATGGTGAAACCCCGTCTCTACTAAAAATACAGAAATTAGCCGGCCAGTAGTGGCACATGCCTGTAATCCCAGCTGCTGAGGAGGCTGAGGCAGGAGAATCGCTTGAGCCTGGGAGGCAGAGGTTGCAGTGAGCTGTGACTGCGCCACTGCACTCCAGCCTGGGCAACACAATGAGACCCTCTCTCCAAAAAGAAAGAAAAAAATCGTGAAAAATGAGGCAATGCAGTTATGTGTTGGCTGTGTCAGGTCAGGTTTCTGCATTTTATCACCCCCTTCCTGCACAGGAATCTTCAACATGGTTTCTGTGGAGTCTAGCTGCCCTTTATTTATTTGTGTAAATATATATATATATATATATATATATATATATATATATGCAGGGTCTCACTTTGTTGCCCAGGCTGGTCTCAAGTTCCTGGCTTCAAGCAATCCTCCCACCTCAGCCTCCCAAAGTCCTAGGATTACAGGCGTGATTCACTATGCCCACCTCAGCCTCCCAAAGTCCTAGGATTACAGGCGTGATTCACTATGCCCACCTCAGCCTCCCAAAGTCCTAGGATTACAGGCGTGATTCACTATGCCCACCTTAGCTGCCCTTTCTTGGACGATCAGGCCCAGAGCTGAACCTCAGAGGCACCGCGCATCAATCCCCAGTTGAGTAGCCTGTAGCTGCCCCGCTTGTTGCCAGTTGTTGAGCATGAACTCCCTGCGACTGCTGATAAGTCCCCTTTATCTGCGCTCCTCTCTATACACAGCCACCTTTTGTTCCCATAACAAGCCTTCAGGTCTCCACATTTGCACATCTCAAATTCTGTGTTCCACGTAGGTGGCTCATTCAGGGCCCTTCTCAAGCCACTTTCTAAAAGTGTCAACCAGTCACTGTTAACTGATGCTTCTGTATTGGTGGAAATGAAATATCTATTGATTTCCGTGCATGGTGGCACATGCCTGTAATCCTAGCACTTTGGGAGGCCGAGGCAGGCGGATCACCTGAGGTCAGGAGTTCGAGACCAGCCTAGCCAACTAGTGAAACCCCATCTCTACTAAAAATACAAAAAAATTAGCCGGGTATGGTGACAGACGCCTGTAGTTCCAGCTTCTCGGGAGGCTGATGCAGGAGAATCACTTGAACCCGGGAAGCAGGAGTTGCAGTGAGCCGAGATCACGCAACTGCACTCCAGCCTGGGCAACAGAGTGAGATTCTGACTCAAAAAAAAAAAAAAAAAGAAAAGAAAAGAGAAAAAGAAATATCTATTGATAGAATTTTTAAAAGAACTCTATATTTCTATGGACATATATATGAGCCCATAAAAGTAATACATGGCCGGGCACAGTAGCTCACGCCTGTAATCCCAGCACTTTGGGAGGCCAAGGCCGGCAGAACACGAGCTCAGGAGTTTGAAACGAGCCTGGCCAGCATGTTGAAACCCCGTCTCTACTAAAAATATAAAAATTAGCTGGGTATGATGGCAGGCACCTGTAATCCCAGCTACTTAGGAGACTGAGGCAGGAGAATTGCTTGAACCTGGTAGGCAGAGGTTGCAATGAGCCAAGATTGAGCCACTGCACTCCAGCCTGGAGACAGAGCAAGACTCTGTCTCGGGGGAAAAAAAAAAAAAAGTAATATACACACACACAAAAAGATAGTAGTGATGGTTGTACAACATTGTGAATGTAACTGATGCCACAGGATCGTATACTTAAAATGATTTGGATGGCAAATGTTATGTTATATATGTCTTACCCCAATACAAAAGTACATCTATAAATATATAGTATTATTTTGGGTGTGCTCCTCTCTGTATAGAGGTTATCCCGTGGTGTGTGTCTGTAACTTGATTTTTTCCAATTCTGCCCTCAGTTTCCTGCTCTTTCCGGGCCTCAGGAGGCTTGACATCCCTTTGACCACAGCACTGAAAGGTGTTCTCTTTGCTGAGAACTCAGTGTCTTCTGCCTGGCAGAGGCTTCGGCCCTCTATTTTTGTTTCTATCCCTTATGCATTCTCCCCGGCAGGTGCCCCTCCCAGCTTTAAGTGTATGTATACTCTGGATTTTTCCGTCTTCAGAACAGTGCTCAAAAATACCTGGGGTGTCCTTCTAACAGAAAGTGCAGAGACGTCTGCTGCAGGATTGCCCACCCCCATTTTGTAACATCTGCTATTTGAGAACTGCTGAAGCTGCCCTGATCTATGAGGGCTGACCTGGAAGAACAGATGACTGTGAGTGTACCCCAGGACGTTGGCCTGGATGGTGACAGACCATGTGCTCTAGTCACCGTGCTGGCCAGACCCCCACAGGAATCCAAACCATCCCAGAGAAAATAAGGGACTTTTGCAAGGCTGCCCCAGGAAGCACGGAAGACGTGGAACTGAATCCCAGGCCTCTGGCCCATCACCCACGTGGTGTCCCCAAGGAAGGGAGAGTTGTCTCGGAATGCTCAGGGGGACTCATTAAAGCAACACTTTCATAAATGCCTGCTCTGAACAACATGTAAATATTGTCTTTGAAAAACACCGGCTGGCAGCTCAAGGGTGTGAGTAACCTGGAGCTTCTTCGACTGGGCCCCCCTGAGGAGGGCATGGAGCCCAAGATTCGTTACCATAATTACTTGAGAGGCTGTCAAATTCCATGACAAAACGCAAATGCAAAGCCCTGGCCCCAGCAGCAGGCAGCTGAAAGGGACCTTGACCCTGTTGAGTACTCCAGTATAGAAGCTGCTGGATTCTAACCAGGGCTCTCCCATGCCCGGCTCTATAAACTTTCTCTATATTTTGCATTGTTTCCCTAAGGGTAGGAGATTCCCGTAAGTTGGGTCAAAGGGCAGGGAGGTTTCCGTGGTTCTCATTGGGCCCTGCTGCTGCTCTCCAGACAGATGATGGATCAGCTGTCAGGGTGGCCCCGGCCATGCCAGCGCAGTAGGTGGTCAGGGCGCACTTGGGGCAGCCGGCAGGGCAGAAGGGACGGGAGCTTGACCCGTGTTCTCATGGGCAGAGGGAGCCCGGGCAGTGTTGGGGGCAGCGTGCGGGCAGGCGCGGAGGGGAGATAGCCAGGCAGTCAGGGAGAATTGGGGTGACTGGAGAAAGGCCGAAGGGCCGCGTCTGCCTGCGGCCGGAGACCACCCCAGGTCCATACAGCCAGCTGGGTGCCGGGCACCATTTGGAGCCGCTGGGAAAGCCAAGCACCGCTCTTTCTGGAGCCTTCTTTTTTCCTATTGTTAGGGAATTCACGACGTCACACTTGTTTTCAAGTGAAAATAAGAGTTGTGTAGGACGCGAAAGTCACGTGACTTGAAAGCTGAACCTGAGAGGCCTCAAAATAAATTCTGGTTTGCTGTGAAAGCCTCGGGTTATAGCGCTAAACTCCCCCCTCCACTGCCCCCGAAAGTTGTATTCTCCTCTGCTTTTAGGGTGGGGTGTGGCGTAAACAACACAGCTTGAGCAGCTCTGAGGAGGAGGGTGTTAGAGACCAGGCAGGCGGAGCAGGCAAGAGTTTTCAAGGATGTCGAAATAGTTTGAGACGCCCCGTCCCATTATAAAAGTGATAACGAGAGACAGCAGGAACGCGCTTCTGGACAGAAAACAGACCCTAAGGAAAGGCAGCCAGAGGCTCACGCTGGATCCTGCGGTCTTCCCTATCTGCGCCTCTGTACCTCCCTTGCCTTTACAAAGCGCATGGATCAACTTTGGAACAGGTTCTAATTCTGCCCCAGATCCATCTGCGTCTTCCCACGACTCACAAATCTGACCTCAGGGTGCAAGCGCAGCCCCAGCCCTCTAAGCCTGGGTAGGCAGGGCTCTCCCACCCGAGAAAGGGCCGAGGGGAGACTTCCGGGGCGGGACCGACGTGGGCCCCTCCCACTCGGCGGCCGGTGGGTTCAGCCTGAACGCACTGCGGAGGTGGGGCCGACGAGGGATCCAGGGGCGGGACAGGTTCGGGGCGGGACAGGTTCAGGCCCCTCCCATGCGGCGGCCAGCGCGAGCGGTAGAGGCGGGTCTGGAGGCGGGGCCTGCGTGGAGCCAGACGGCGCAGCTGCTGCCGGGGGCGGGGCCGGCGGGCTGTGGCCCCGCCCTTAGCCGCCATTGCCGGGCCTGCCTGGCCACCCTGCGCAGCGGCCTTGCGTCCTCTCCCGGGGCGGAGCGGGTCGGCGGGCCTGACAGGGAACCTCCCTGACCGAGCCCACGTCTCCCCACGGCCAGAGAAATCTCCGGCCCGGCCCGCATCGCCAGCCCCCAGGCCCGGAGGAACGGCCCGAGCCCAGGAGAACCACATCTTCGTCCCAGCCCCGGAGGCTCCTGTGGGCAAGATCGTGAGCCAACGGGTTCCTGAGGCCCCTCCTGGCCAGGCAGGGTTTCCCCGCGCGTTTCCGAGGAGCCCTGCCTGGCCGGGCGGCTGGACAAACAGGTCGTAGCACCGATCGCGCCCGCCCCCAGCAGGGGTCCCGCACAGGCTTGCCCCTGACCCCCACCCAAACCTGTCCTTCCGCTTTGCCCCCAAACAGTGCACTTGCCGGCGGTCCCAACCCAGCAGGAGAAGTGGACATGAGGTTGGCAGGTGGGTGGCTTCCACAGCGAACGGGAGGGAGTTGAAAAGGGCACCTGGCTGGAGGCCCAGCGTCGCGACATCTGTGTCTGGAGAGGCCCGGGTGAACCACTGGGTTTGGTTTTGGAAATGGAGGACTCTGCACAAACACTCGTTCCTTGACCTTAACCAAATCCTTTCACCTCTGAGGACGTCAGCTCCCCGAGCTATGACATGAGGATTAGTATAGTCAGTATCTCCCAACGCAGGTAGCAGACCAGCTGCTTTTTGGAAAATGAGTGGTGAGAGAGAGGAGGTGGGCAGTCCAGGTGGAGAGGCGTGGTCTTAGAGGGGAAGTGACAAAAGTGGCTGTGGGCTTCGACATGAACCCGATGACAGCCCTACTGTCACCTGGACAAGTAAGATGAAGATCCTTGGGGAGGGATAGGTTGGGGCTGGGTGGAGAGTAGAAACAACTCGGGAATTGGACTTCAGACTTGCTAAGGTGGTAACTTTGTGGACATATCCAGGTGGAGCTGGCCACTGAGGAACCAGCTGGCAGGGAGTGGTTTCAAGAGAGGCCACGGCTGGAACTAGAAAATAGAAAGTCATTGACACATGGTGCTTAATTAAAGAGCTAGGAGTAGATGACATCATCTAAAAACACACTACAGGCCGGGCGCGGTGGCTCACGCCTGTAATCCTAGCACTTTGGGAGGCCGAGGTGGGAGGATCACTTGAAGTCAGGAGTTCGAGACCAGCCTGGCCAACATGGTGAATCCTCATCTCTACTAAAAAAATACAAAAAAATGAGCCTGGCGTGGTGGCGGGTGCCTGTAATCCCAGCTACCCGGGAGGCTGAGGTTGCAGTGAGCCGAGATTGCGCCACCGCATAACTCCAGCCTGGGCGACAGAGCGAGACTCCGTCTCAAAAAAGTAAAGACAGCTGGGCGCAGTGGCTCACGCCTGTAATCTCAACACTTTGGGAGGCCAAGGCGGGTGGATCACCTGAGGTCAAGAGTTCGAGACCAGTCTGGCCAAGATGGTGAAACCCCGTCTCTACTAAAAATACAAAAATTAGCCAGGCATGGCCGGGTGCGGTGGCTCACACCTGTAATCCCAGCACTTTGGGAGGCCGAGGCGGGCGGATCACGAGGTCTGGAGATCAAGACCATCCTGGCTAACATGGTGAAACCCCGTCTTTACTAAAAATACAAAAAAATTAGCCGGGCGTGGTGGCGGGCGCCTGTAGTCCCAGCTACCAGGGAGGCTGAGGCAGGAGAATGGCGTGTAACCGGGAGGCGGAGCTTGCAGTGAGCCAAGATCACGCCACTGCACTTCAGTCTGGGCAACAGAGCAAGACTCTGTCTCAAAAAAAAAAATTAGCCAGGCACGGTGGTGCGCGCCTGTAATCCCAGCTACTTGGGAGGCTGAGGCAGGAGAATCGCTTGAACCCAGGAGGCGGAGGTTGCAGTGAGCCGACATCGCGCCATTGCACTCCAGCCTGGGGGGCAAGAGCAAGACTCCGTCTCAAAAATAAAAAAAATAAAAAGACACTACAGGTAGGGACCAGAAGGCAGCCTGAGATGGGAGCCTGGGAAAGTCCAGCTTTTAAGGGGAGGGTAGAGGAGACGATCTAACTAAGGAGAATGAGGAGTGTCCAGAGAGATTGGGTCAGGAGAGTGTGCTGTCCGGAAAGCCAGCAGAGAAGTTAGTGCTTCTGTCAGGTGGACATGGGCAGCCCACTGAGAGGTCAAGGAAGATCAAGGCTGACAGGTCACCAGGGGTGGTGACACCACAAAGGTCATCAGTGGCCTTGGCAACAAGCTGATTTGGTGAGGTGGTGGAAGCCAGGCCAGACTGGAGTAGGGTGGGAGGGAGTAGGAGGTGAGATGATGGAATGAGTATAGATGACTTTTGAGGGGGTTGACAGGGAAAAGAAAGGTTAGGGGAAAGAGGATGGGGATGTGGTTTTGAAGAAGAGTGTTTTCTTTGCTTCCTTAACATTGGAGATGTTGAAAATACAGGAGAAAGAGCGAACTAGAGAGAGTGATCACTATTACAAGAAATCAGAGAAGGCTGGGGAGCTTGCAATCCAGGTCCCAGCAGATGACGGGACTGTTGTTGTTTTGGTTTTGTTTTGTTTTGTTTTTGTTTTTGTTTTGAGGCAGAGTCTCACTCTGTCGCCAGGCTGGAGTGCAGTGGCATGGTCTCAGCTAACTGCAACCTCCGCCACCCAGGTTCAACTGATTCTCCTGCTTCAGCCTCCTGAGTAGCTGGGATTACAGGTGCGCGCCACCATGCCCGGCTAATTTTTGTATTTTCTGTAGAGGCAGGGTTTCACCATCTTTGTCAGGCTGGTCTCGAACACCTGACCTCATGATCTACCCGCCTCGGCCTCCTAAAGTTCTGGGATTACAGGCGTGAGCCACTGCGCCCGGCCGGGACTGGTCTTAAAAGGGAGTAGGGACCCTTCTCCCTCAGAACAGGAGGAAAGCAGGGGCAGGTGGATGCCCAAATATATTGGTGGTTTCAGAGGCAGGAAGTTGAGGGGGTTCTTGGAAAGAGGGCTGGAGCCCTTCTCGAGCAGAGAGTTCTGGAAGGCCCCCTCCCAGACCCGCCAGGGAAAACCAAACCCAGCAGCCTTGGGATTTGAACTCAATTTCCTCCTTCCACCTGCCAGGGAGCTCAAGTCTCCCTTTCAGCCCTGGTAGAAGGCAACAGGTCTCCACCTCCTTGTCCTCCAGCCACTTCTTCCCAAGTGGCAGGGGAGATCCAGTCATGCAAGGCTATGGGGTCATTCTGGGGTTCGCTGGTATCTGAGGTGACCCCACCCTGTGTCTATCCTGCCTCCAGGCCCTCTCCGCATTGTGGTCCTAGTCGTCAGTGTGGGTGTCACATGGATCGTGGTCAGCATCCTCCTGGGTGGGCCTGGCAGTGGCTTTCCTCGCATCCAGCAACTCTTCACCAGTGAGTGTGGGACCCCGCCTTATCCTTCTCTGGAGGCCACCAAGGTGGCCACCTGGGCCTGTGGTTGAGGCTCTGGGTTGGGAGTTGACTTGGGTTTTCTATCTCCTCCCTGGCAGGCTACCTTTGGCTGTCCCCAGTCTGTCTCCTGGCATCAGGCGCAGCCTCCCCCAACACCCAGTTGCTTCATCTAGGAAAGCCAATACCTGATCACTAGAATTATATGCCCAACTGGAGTCAGTAGGGCCAGAGTAAGGGGTAGGGAGCTTCCACTGAACATGGGGAGTGATGCCCCGGTTGCTCCCTGCAGGCTCTGAGATGGAGAGGGGACTCTCCACCTTGTTGACTGGTAATAGGTCACCTGAGTACTTTTTTGTTTGTTTGTTTGAGACAGTGTCTCACTTTGTCTCCCAGGCTGGAGTGCAGTGGTGCAATCTCGGTTCACTGCAACCTCTACCTCCTGGGTTCAAGCGATTCTAGTGCCCCAGCCTCCCGAGTAGCTGAGACTACAGGTGCGCACCACCAAACCCGGCTTCTTCTTCTTCTTCTTCTTCTTCTTATTATTATTATTATTATTATTATTATTATTATTATTATTGTATTTTTAGTAGAGATGGGGTTTCACCATGTTGCCCAGGCTGGTCTCAAACTCCTGGGCTCAAGCAATCTACCCGCCTCAGCCTCCCAAAGTGCTACAGGCATGAGCCACTATGCCCGGCCAGGTCATCTAAGTAGTTTTTCTAATTCCATTTCCCCCTGTTCCTAGAGTAGGGAGTTTTTCATCTGAACATGACTTACACTTGAGCAGGAAGCATGCCAAGGTCGGCCTGGCTTAGCCCCCGGCCCCTGAGCCTGACTGCCTGTGTCTACACTTCGCGGTGTAAGGAGGGCCAGGCTGCCCTGCCGCAGGCCCCGGGAGGCTCCACACTAACAGAAACCACTCTGTATCCACAGGTCCAGAGAGCTCGGTGACTGCAGGTAAGGCCCCTGTCACCTCCCTGCTCCTCCCCTTTGTGACATCCCTGCCTGCCCCCGGTCCCGTAGGGCTTCGGTTTTCCATTTATTCCTCCCCAAACCAGCTGTGGTGGTCCACGGGGGCTGCTTGCCACTGTCAACCTACAAAACAAGTTACTTCCTGCCAAGTTACTTCCTGCCAGAATATGACGGTGGGGCAGGCCTAGGATAGATACTCCCACTGCAAAAGGGCAACTTGGAAGGAAAAAAGAGGTCACCCGTCCCAAGCAAGTCCAAAGCCCAGCAGGGCAAAATTCATTTGGTTTCAAGGCCTGAGGGGAATCCTCTGTGGCCTGAGATTCTTTCTTCTGGGCCTGCTGGAATGACCCATGCTCTGAAACGAGACAGCCCCACCTTCGGGGCCACCCTTCCTTCCCTTTATCTCATCTCTGCCCCCTTCACTCCAGGCCGGCAGTGTTTCTGCTGGTGTCAGATTCTCAAGAGCCTTGTTGGTCTCTTTTGCAAGTTATAGAGGCCCAAGCTATAAAATCAGAGAGTTTTCCCACAGACGCTTCCTAGATAACCCCATCTTCATTGTAGATTTCTGCTGAAAGGGTTGAGTGGACCCACGAGTCACATACCTCAGCTCTGGGGCAAACGCTTGAACAGCCTTGCTGTTCTGTCCAGGGGACACTTTTGCAGTTTTTGTAATATGATTAGGCCAAGAATTTTCCACATCTTCGCTTTCTGGCTCCTTTGTGCTCAACAGTTTCTTCCTTATGTCTCTCACATTTTACTATAAGCAGCAAGGAGAAGTCAGGCTACGCTCTCAACACTGCTTGGAAATCTCCTCAGCTGAATATCCAAGTTCAGCACCCAGCACTTACACATTCTCCTTTCGACAAAACACTAGAACACAATTCAACCAAGTTTTTTTTTTTTTTTGAGACGGAGTCTTGCTCTGTCACCCAGGCTGGAGTGCAGTGGAGCCATCTTGGCTCACTGCAACCTCCGCCTCCCGGGTTCAAGCGATTCTCCCACCTCAGCCTCCTGATTAGCTGGGATTACAGGCACCTGCCACCATACCCAACTAATTTTCATATTTAGTAGAGATGGGGTTTCACCGTGTTGGTCAGGCTGGTCTCGAATTCCTGACCTCAAGTGATCCTCCCGCCTTGGCCCCGCAAAGTGCTGGGATTATAGGCGTGAGCCACCACACCTGGGCCAAGTTCCTTTATAACAAGGATCAGCTTTCCTCCAGCGCCCAATAACTCAATAACATGTCCCTCATTTTCCTCTGAGGCTTAACCAAAAGCACCTTTTTTTTTTTTTTTTTTTTTTGGTAGAGACAGAGGTCTTACTCTGTTGCTCAGGCTGGAGTTCAGTGGTATCATCCCCGTGCACTGTAAGCTCAAACTCCTGGGCTCAAGCGATCCTCTCACCTCAGTCTCCCAAGTAGCTGCGACTACAGGCATGTGCCACCACACCCAGCTAATGTTTTATTTTTTATTATTTATTTTTTGAATGTATTGAGACAGGGTCTTGCTCTCTCACCCAGGCTGGAGGGCAGTGGCGCAATCATAGCTCAAGTGATTCTCCTGCCTCAGCCTCCTGAGTAGCTGGGATTACAGGCATGTACCACCACACCCAGCTTATTTTGTATTTTTTGTAGAGACGGGGTCTCACTATGTTGCCCAGGCTGGTCTTGATCACCTGGCCTCAAGTGATGCTCCTGCCTTGGCCTCCCAAGGTGCTGGGATCACATGCGTGAATCACCACACCCAACCCAAAAGCACCTTTAACATTCATGTTTCTAGCAACGTTCTGTTCTTGATGATATTTGTATTCTCTAAGACCACAGAGGCTGTCTCTATTGCTCTCCCCTCCTCTCACCAGAATTACCTTTAACATCCATACTCCTACCAACAGTCTCTTAAAGGCAATCCAGACCTTTTCTAACATGTACCTCAAACTTCTATAGCCTTGATATGGTTTAAATGTCATCTCTAAAACTCATGTTGAAATTTGTCAATGTATTGGTATTGAGAGGAGGGCCTTTTTGAGGTAGTTACGTCATGAGGGCTCTGCCCTCATGAATGGATGAATGCCACTATTATGGGTGAGTTAGTTACCTTGAAGTTCAGCCCCCTTTTTTCCTGCGTCTCATATGCTTGCTTCCACCTTCCACCTTTCTGCCACGGGATGACCCTCACCAGATGCCGGCGCCATGCTTTTGGACTTCCCAGCCTCCAGAACCATGAGCCAAATGAATCTGTTGTCTTTATAAATTACCCAGTCTGTGGTATTCTGTTATGGCAGCAGCAAATGGACTAAGACAAGCCTCTACTGACTACCCAGTTCCAAAGCCATTTCCACATTTTTAGGTATTTGTTACCTAAGCACCACACTTCCTGGTGCCAAAACCTGTATCCATTTCCTGGAACTGCCATTTCAACTGGGTGGCTTAAACAACAGAAATGGATTCTCTCCCCATTCTGAAAGCCAGAAGTCTGAAATCAAAGTGTCAGCAGGGCGTTACTCACCCTGAAAGTTCTACAGGAGGGTCCTTCCTGACCTCCCCAGGTTCCAGTGGCCCCAGGCATACCTTGGCCTCTGGCTGTGTCACTCCTGTCTCTTCCTCCACTGTACCATGGCTGTCTTCCCTCTGTGTGTCTTTGTCACTTCTGTTCTTATAAGGACATCAGTCATGTTGCATTAAGGACCCAACCTACTCCAGTATGACCCCATCTGAACTGCAAAGGCCCTATTTGCAAACATCACATTCTGAAGTACCACAGATTAGAACTTCAGCATACCTTGAGGGGACAGAATTCAACCCATAATAGAAGCCATCCTGCTCCAGTCCTCCCAACCAACCCCCATCAAAATCGGGAGACAGGCTGCACCCCCTGCCACACTACCCCCTGCCACACTGCCTTTGCTCAGGTTGGCCTCATCCATGCAGCTAGACCCCCAGCCTGACTTACTTCACCCCTGCTTTGTTCCTGGCTGTGCAGTGGCCCAGGCCAGCCCTCAGCATCCTTTCTTTTCTCCCACCAGTAACAGAAAATCCTTCTGTCTTGGGTCCCTGTGGCCTCACCAGTAGGACACAGAGTATGGAAGTGTCCCCAGCCTCGGCCTGAGCCACATCCCCCTACTTGTGTCCTGCTCTGCGGTCACTTGTTCTACCATGTGTGCTGGTCCTGACCTCCCCTTCAGATCTCAGGTGACCTCAGGGCCAGGCCCATGGATAACACCTGCTATCCCTGCCCAGCGCCACGGGCCAGGAAGTACAAGTGTGGCCTGCCCCAGCCGTGTCCTGAGGAGCACCTGGCCTTCCGCGTGGTCAGCGGGGCCGCCAACGTCATTGGGCCCAAGATCTGCCTCGAGGACAAGATGTGAGCTCCCTGGGGTGACTGGGGATCAGGGAGGGAGTGGGGGATCCAGGGCCGGGTCTGCAAGGGAGAGTGGAGCAGACGTGCCCATGTGGGATCTCCCCGTCCCCCCCACCCCCCCCCAACTAGGCTGATGAGCAGCGTCAAGGACAACGTGGGCCGCGGGCTGAACATCGCCCTGGTGAACGGTGAGGCCCCTGGCTGAGCGTGGCCTGCCGCCCTCCTTCCCTGCTCCCTCCCCAGGAGGCCTCTGGGTGTTTGCCCTCCCTTCCCCTCCCATTCAAGATCTCCCAGGGAGGCCTGGGAAGGAGTCTGTGCAAGCGCAAGGCTCCACAGAGGAGTGACCCAATGAACAAAAAAGCATGATGGCAATAAAGAACTAGGGAAGGTTCTGGGAGGTTGAGGGTGCTTCATGGAGAGCCCCCGGAGGGCCTCAAATGCCAGACAGAGGCACCACGGCTTGGGGTGGGATGCAGCTGCCTGAACAAATGGATGAATATTGGGGGACTGTTTGAAAGCTTCCAGAAGGGCTGCCCCCCACCCCCGGTGCTACCCGCCTGCCGTGCCCTGAGGCTGGCCTGGCTTACCCAGCAGGGCCCCTCCCTCCTGACACAGGGGTCAGCGGCGAGCTCATCGAGGCCCGGGCCTTTGACATGTGGGCCGGAGGTGAGTTGCAGCGCAGCGTCTTGCATTTTGACTGCAGCAAAATGACCTGGGCAGCTTCCCCTGAGACACTGCTCTCTCTGTCTGTACTTGGAGCTTCTCAGTCACCTCCGTGGGTTCAGAAAGGACAGGGGCATCGCCAGCTTGGTCTGGAGGCTGTGGGAGGTCACGGGGATGCCTCAGCTTCCTACACCAGCCTGTCCCTTGGCGGGGCATGTCCCAGGCCCAATCCCTACTTCTGTTTCCTTGTTTGGAGAACGGGCTTGTGGGAGGGTGCTCAGTGGTGCCTGATGACCCCTGTTCCGTGGCACCTGCCCCCCCAGATGTCAACGACCTGTTGAAGTTTATTCGGCCACTGCACGAAGGCACCCTGGTGTTCGTGGCATCCTACGACGACCCAGCCACCAAGTAGGTGCTTGGGGAGGCCAGCCTCAGCCTTGCCCTTCTGCAGCAACAGCTGACACCCCTTCCTCCCATGCTGCAGGATGAATGAAGAGACCAGAAAGCTCTTCAGTGAGCTGGGCAGCAGGAACGCCAAGGAGCTGGCCTTCCGGGACAGCTGGGTGTTTGTCGGGGCCAAGGGTGTGCAGAACAAGAGCCCCTTTGAGCAGGTATGGGGGGTGCCTGGCATCACCCCCACCGGGGCAGCCTGTCGCCCCTTCTGCCTGCATGCGACGAGCCTCCCCAGCTGCTCACGCCCCAGCAGGGGACCGTCCCCAGTCCAGCTATGAGGGGTGGGCCAGTGCAGCTGATGCCATGTTTCCCTGGGATGGGTGGAGGGGCCAAGTGCCCTGAGAGTACACCGTTGGCCAACACAGCACAGTTGACTGACAGCCTGGGTCCTGGTCCACTCCTGTCCCCTGTCCCTGAGGGCCAAAGTCATGACTTTCTGCTCCCCTCCCCACAGCACGTGAAGAACAGTAAGCACAGCAACAAGTACGAAGGCTGGCCCGAGGCGCTGGAGATGGAAGGCTGTATCCCGCGGAGAAGCACGGCCAGCTAGCACGGCCAGTGCCAGGACCGGGCCGAGGGAGGCCAGACCAAGGGAGGCACGCGCGCTGCCGGGCGGACAGAGGCTGAGGCTCACACCCCACACCCGGGCAGGAGCGCTCCCTGGCCCCAACACATCGGGGCTCCGAGGCAGTGACCAGAACGTGGTCTCAAGGTGGTGGGGGCTATGGGGGCTGCAGGGGGTAGCCCTGCCGCACTTTGTCACGGGAGCCCAGGGTACCCGCCTCCTTTTCGTAACACTGTTCCCCCCGGTCAGCCCATCTAGCCCTGTCCTCCATTCCTCACGCCATCTCCATCCCCATCTTGAGTCCTGGAACGGCCCTGGGTGCCTGCCCCTCACTGTGCATCTCTGGGAGCAGCCCGGCAGGTTGGGGCGTCTTCCAGAACCTCTCCCTTCTGGAGCCACTCTGCACTGCGGGCTAAACATGTTTCCAGTGTGATTCCTTCCAGTGAGCCAAACCCGGTGGCTGCTTCATGAGCCTGACTGCCTCTCGCCTGCTCTCAGCAGGAAGGGACCCCTGGAGCAGGCTGGCCCGGGGTGGTGAAGTAGCTGGAGCCCGATCACAGTCCCGCGGTTTGTCAGGGGGCCCACCTTCTAGATGACCCCTTAATAAAGTGATGGCCCCACAGAAGAAATGCCTTCAGATGCTGTTGTCAGTGCGGAGTCAGAGGTGGCGGTGTCCTCTGGGGTGCGGGAGGACAGATTCCAGAGTCTTAACCAACCTGCTCCCACAGCCCGAGCAGACAGCCTTTTGTCTCCAGGGCTCCTGCCACCAACAGGCCCCGCTGCGACTGAGATGTGACTCAAGCAGTCAACAGAGCAGTGGGACTCTTTTCGTCTGGCAGAGAAGATTGCACACTCGGGCTGCAGGAAGCTGACTCAACAACTCCCTCTGACCCAGTGCAGGCCTGTACGGACAGGGACAGGGATTGGGATTAACACCAGCCCAGGCCCCCACCACACCCCATCATCATCCAGGAGCACATGTCGCCCACAGACTTCGGCTGCCTTTGAAGTCAGGGTTGTGAGGGGTCGAGTCACTTGGGCTTTTTGCGTCTCTCCCAGGTTACGGTTAATACCTCCCTTTGCTAAGCGAGAGCCAGCAAATTAGAAGCAATTTTGCTGGAATATCAACTCCAGAGGCCCAGAAGCAGTCTGAGTTCAGCGAAAGGAGAGAAGGCAGTTCCTAGATGGGAGGCACTGTGGTGTCCTTCATGGGGCGACGTTAGGGGCGATGGACTTAGGAGCCAATCCCAGGAAGAGTACAGAGCGCAGACAGAGCCTCAGAAGACAAAAGTGCTTCTGGAGCAGGCACATGTGGGGTTGGAGGCACAGGGGTGCCCTGGAGGAGCGGCTCACCAGGGAGGAAACGATGGTGATGCCAGTCCTGCCTCTGCACCAGGAACTTTCTACGTGTATTCCATTCCTTTTTTGTTTTTGTAAACTTTCCTTCTTAGAGCCATTTTAGGTTCACAGCAAAACTGAGTGAAAAGGTCAGAGTTCCTGTGTGCCCCCTGCCAGCCCCCAGCTTCCCATCTGTTGCTGTCAATGAACCAGTATCGGTGCTCACATGAGGCTTCAGTTTGCTGTTGGACGTTCAGTGGGTTTGGACAAAAATGTGTAATGATGGATCCACTGCAGGATCATACACACTTCACTCTTTAGACTTGCTATGGAAAATTGCAAACATCTCCAGGAGACAGACTAGCATACAATCGGCCCTTCATATCCATGGGGGTTCCATGTCCACAGATTCAACCAACCACAGATTGGAAATACTTGGAAAAAATAAAAATACAAGAATAAAAAATAGTACAAGTAAAAAACAATACAGTGGCCGGGCGTGGTGGCTCACGCCTATAATCCCAGCACTTTGGGAGGCCAAGGCAGGTGGATCACGAGGTCAGGAGATCGAGACCATCCTGGCTAACATGGTGAAACCTCGTCTCTACTAAGAAATACAAAAAATTAGCCGGGCGTGGTGGCGGGCGCCTGTAGTCCCAGCTACTCGGGAGGCTGAGGCAGGAGAATGGCGTGAACCCGGGAGGCGGAGCTTGCAGTGAGCTGAGATCACATGACTGCACTCCAGCCTGGGTGACAGAGCGTGACTCCCGTCTCAAAAAAAAAAAAAATTAGCCAGGCGTGGTGGCGGGCGCCTATAATCCCAGCTACTTGGGAGGCCGAGGCAGGAGAATCACTTGAACTCAGGAGGCAGAAGTTGCAGTGAGCCAAGATTGTGCCATTGCACTCCAGCCTGGGCAACAAAAGCAAAACTTCGTCTTAAAAAAAAAAAAAAAAATACAGTGTAGGCTGGCACGGTGGCTCATGCCCTATAACCCAGCCTTCGGGAGGCCAAAGTGGGCAGATCACTTGAGCCCAAGCATTCAAGACCAGCCTAGGCAAAATAGCGAGACCCCATCTCTACAAAAAAATAAAATTAGCCAGTCGTGGTGACACACATCTGTAGTCCCAGCTACTTGAGAGACTGAGACAGGATTACTTGAGCCCAGGAGGTCAAGGATGCAGTGAGCCAAGATCACACCACTGCACTTCAGCCTGGGCAACAGAGTGAGATCCTATCAAAAAAAAAACACACACACACAATACAGTGTAATTGTTATTTGCAGAGCATTTACATTGTATTAAGCATGATAAATAATCTCAAGATGGTTTAGATTCTATGGGACCAGGCTTGGTGGCTCATGTCTGTAATCCCAGCACTTACGGAGGTTGAAGCAGGCAGATTGCTGCAGTCCAGGAGGTTGAGGCTGCAGTGAGCCGTGATTGTGCCACTGCACTCCAGCCAGGGTGACAGAGCGAGACTTTGTCTCAAAAAAAAAAAAAAAAAAAAATCAGGCCGCGCACGGTGGCTCACACCTGTAATCCCAGCACTTTGGGAGACCGAGGTGGGCAGATAATCTGAAGTCGGGAGTTTCAGACCAGCCTAGCCAACATGGTAAAACCCTGTCTCTACTAAAAACACAAAAATTAGCCAGGCGTGCTGGCGCATGCCTGTGATCCCAGCTACTCGGGAGGCTGAGGCAGAATCACTTGAACCTGGGAGGTGGAGGTTGCAGTGAGCCGAGATCACGCCACTGCACTCCAGCCTGGACGACAGAGTGACACACCGTCTCAAAAAAAAAGAAAAAAGGGCTGGGCGCACAGTGGCTCACGCCTGTAATCCCAGCACTTTGAGAGGCCGAGGTGGGCGGATCACAAGGTCAGGAGATCAAGAGGTCAGGAGATCAAGACCATCCTGGCTAACACGGTGAAACCCCGTCTCTACTAAAAATACGAAAAATTAGCTGAGCATGGTGGCGGGCGCCTGTAGTCCCAGTTACTCGGGAGGCTGAAGCAGGAGAATCGCTTGAACCCGGGAGGCGGAGCTTACAGTGAGCTGAGATTGCACCACTGCCCTCCAGCCTGGGTGACAGAGCGAGACTCCATCTCAAAAGAAAAAAAAATCTATGGGAATAAATATGTATAACTATAATGTATCCATTTTATATCAGGGACTTGAGCATCCCTGGACTTTGGCAGCTATAGGGTGCCCTGGAACAAATACCTATCGGATACCAACAGATGACTGTCATCAACTCTGATGTGCTCATCCCTCTAGTGATCGACATGTGACCAGTGCTGTCTCATCTGTACCCACATGGTCCCATATGTTGATACAAATCTCAACTTCCTTCTTGCATCAATACCTCAGTTATACCATAGGTAACACCTCACCACAACCCTAGCCAGTAAGTGTGGCCATTGTCCCCACTGTACAAAAAAGTAAAGGTCCCTAGTGGGGATAGGAGAGTTCCCGGTGTAGCAAGACTACAAGCCAGATAAGTACAATTCCACGAGGTTACTAGCTTGCCCCTAAATGAAACGGAAACTCACGGAGTGTCTATACTGCCAGGCTGGGAGGGGCTTGGGCTCCCCGACACTTCTCCAGCAACTGCTGTGATTGCCCAGCCTTCCTCCATTTGTTCCTTCAGCTCATTTGTTCACTAAACATTCACCAAGTGCCTGAACTGGTCCAGGAACACCGTAGTGAGCCACAGTGACAGCCTCTACCTCTTCATGGGGCTGCACCCTCACTGGGGTCACCAGTGTCACAGCCCAACACAGGCTAGGAAGCTGATGGCATGGAGCACAGCCTGCCTGACTTCCCAAAGAGGAGGTAAGCTTGACATATCCCACGGTCCTGTTTTGCCAGGGGTATCGCCCCCTGGGCCTGCCCTTTAGGAGTTAGGATGTCCTCACTTACAATGCCAGAATTCAAACTCAAACTGGCATAAGCAAAAAAAAAAAAAAAAAAAAAGGGAGGATGGCAGAATGCATTGTTCCTGTAATGGACCCCGAAGCCCAAGGGACTTGGGCTCTCTCCACCTCTTGGCTTTGTTTTTCTCTCTGTATTGGCTTCATTTTCCAACATGGCAGCCTTCCTTGCCATGACAGTTGTCAGAATCAAAATGGAGTCACTTGTGTTAAAAAACAAAAAACAGAGCTGGGGAAGGCTGCAAATGCAGAAACCACAGCTTTCCACAGAAAAAAAATACTGCAAGGACATCTGCCCAGCAACTTTTTGAGACGGAGTTTCGCTCTTGTTACCCAGGCTGAAGCGCAGTGGCGCAATCTCGGCTCACTGCAACCTCCGCCTCCTGGGTTCAAGCGATTCTGCCTCAGCCTCCCAAGTAGCTGGGATTGCAGGTGTGCACCACCACACCCAGCTAATTTTTGTATTTTTAGTAGAGACACGGTTTCACCATGTTGGCCAGGCTGGTCTTGAACTCCTGACTTCAAGTGATCCACCTGCCTCAGCCTCCCAAAGTGCTGGGATTAAAGGCGTGAGCTACCGTGCCCGGCTGACTTTTTTTTTTTTTTTTTTCTGAAACGGAGTCTGGATCAGTCACCCAGGCTGGAGTATAGTGGCACAATCTTGGCTCACCACAACCTCCGCCTCCTAGGTTCAAGCGATTCTCCTGCCTCAGCCTCCTGAGTAGCTGGGATCACAGGCATGCGCTACCACGCCTGGCTCATTTTTGTGTTTTTAGTAGAGACAGGGTTTTACCTTGTTGGCCAGGCTGCTCTTGAACTCCTGACCTCAGGTGATCCACCCGCCTCAGCCTCCCAAAGTGCTAGGATTATAGGCGTGAGTCACCGCACCCAGCTGAGCAACTTAACCCTAACCCTGTCCAACCTCATACTGAGGTCACCCTTGTTATCGATCCTTGTAGCCAAGGAGAATTCTCTCAAAACAATTAGGTGATCCTCTTCACTTTTCCTTGAAAAACCTTTGCCTTCTTTTGCCTCCCTGTATATGCACACAGTTTACCATACAGTTTACCATGGCACATGCATTCCCACTGCAACGCATTCCAGAATAAATATCATTTTCTCTCAGAGAGCCTGTTATTTAGGATGACATAACTAGAGTCAGAAGTGGGACCTACAGCTGGGCGTGGTGGCTCACACCTGTCATCCCAGCACTTGAGAGTCCAAGGCAGGAGGATCACTTGAGCCCAGGAATTTGACACCATCCTGGGCAACACAGCAAGACCCTGTCTCTAAAAAAAAAAAAAAAAATTAATTAGCCAGGTGTGGTGGTGCACACCTGTAGTCCCAGCTACTAGGGAGGCTGAGGTGGGAGGATGGCTTGAGCCCAGGGGTCAAGGCTGTCTCAGAAAAAAAAAAAAGAAAGAAAGAAAGAAAAAAGAAAAGAAAAGAAAAAAAAAATAAGTGAGACCCGAAACAAAATCACCTTTAAAAGGAATTGGGGCTGGGCACGGTGGCTCATGCCTGTTATCCCAGCACTTTTGGAGGCCAAGACAGGAGGATTATTTGAGCCCAGGAATTCAAGGCCAGCCTGGGAAACAGAGTGAGACCCTGTTTCAAAAAAATAAAATTAAAATAAAAAATAAAATTAAATAAATAAAACTAAAACACTGGTATGTAGAGGCGCCTAACTTCTCTATCTGCTTTTCTTTTCTTCCTCCTCTCTGCTGACTCTGTTGGCTTTTTCTTCTTCTTCTTCTTTTTTTTTTTTTTGAGGCGGAGTCTTGCTCTGTCACCAGGCTGGCACGATCTCGGCAACCTCTGCCTCCCGGGTTCAAGGAATTCCACTGCCTTAGCGTCCCGAGTAGCTGGGACTACAGGCATGCGCCACCATGCCTGGCTAATTTTTTGTATTTTATCATGTTGGCCAGGATGGTCTCGATCTCCTGACCTCATGATCTGCCTGCCTCGGCCTCCCAAAGTGCTGGGATTACAGGTGTGAACCACCGCACCTGGCCTTTTTCTTCTTTTTTTTTTTTTTTTTTTTTGAGACAGGGTCTCACTCTGCCACCCAGGCTGGAGTGCAGTGGTGCAGTCTCAGCTCACTGCAGCCTCAACCTCCTGGGCTCAAGCGATCCTCCCACCTCAGCCTCCCAAGGAGTTGGGAACACAGGCACCTGCCACCACGCCTGGCTAATTTTTGTAGAGATGGGGTTTCATCATGTTGTTCAGGCTGGTCTCTATCTCCTGAGCTCACATGATCCACTCATCTTGGCCTCTCAAAGTGCTAGAATTACAGGCGTGGCCACCGTGCCCAGCCAGCTTCTTCACTTGTATTAAGATAATTGTATTAAGATAATTTCACCCTGGGCAACCTGATCAGACCCCAACCCTACATTAAAAATACAAAAAGGTAGCTAGCGTGGAGGCACACACCTGTGGTCCCAGCTATTCAGGAGGCTGAGGTGGGAGGATCACTTGAGCCTGGAAGTTCAAGGCTGCGTTGAGCCGTGACACACTACTGCACTCTAGCCTGGGCGATGGAGTGAGATCTTGTCTCAAAAAAATAAGAATAAAAAAAGATAATCTAACATTGGTGATTTCAAAAGCTGTTTATAACTTTTCCTTAGGGCATTTCAGCCAAGAAAAAGAAAAGAAAAAAGGGTGCTTTCAAATTACAACAGCTCCATGGCAACCAAAAACCTAGCCTTGTACACTTAGGAGTCATTCCTTTCAGAAACATGTATGGAGGTTTGCCTAGCTGACAATTGCTTAGGGTGACGGAACAGTTAATTAAAAGATTGATAGTCTAAAAAGGAAAGAACTAGATCAATGTTTGTGAAAGTTAGGTTCTCAGATCAAACAGGTCAAACTCTTGAGCACACAGCAATCACATAAGGTATCTCTGTCCAGCATAAAAATTTGGCTTTGTCTGTCATGTACAATCCAGAAAAAGCTGAGGAAAAAAAACAACTGTAAATATCTTTTTGAAAAGTGCCTCTCCACCTGTGCTGACTAATCAAGCAAACCAGATTGGCCACTGGAAATTCTGTTTTTCTCATACAATTCAGCTAGTCCTAACTGAAATGTGAACATTTGAATATTTAACCTCTAAACTCATTTGATATGGAATAAAAGGATTTTAAAAAGATATTTTAAATCAAACTGCTGTAGACGCTGCTTTACCCAAAATTTTGATCTTCAGCCTTCATAAGATTACCTATGGGGTCAAATAATGCTCAGCCACACGAACGGGTCTCATTTTGTCAGAAATTGGATCCAACTGTCCTTTTATAAACTGGCAAGCGTATATTACTATATTGTACTGTCTCATGACAAAAATTTCAAAATGAAAGCTAGGGAATCTGTTTCTATGTAATCATGTGTCCGTACGTTTTCACATTCTGTGTAATATTTTCTACCAAAATATATGAAAAATATCTAATTAATTAAAGGGAAAAATTAAAAGCATTAATTATTTTATCAAAAATATAGTAATTAGGTGGGCATAGTGAGTCACGCCTGTAATCTCAGCACTTTAGAAGGCTGAGACAGGTGATGACTTAAGCCCAGGAGTTCTAAAACTAGCCTGGGCAGGCGGGGCGCGGTGCTTCACGCCTGTAATCCCAGCACTTTGGGAGGCCAAGGCGGGCGGATCACGAGGTCAGGAGTTTGAGACCAGCCTGCCCAACATGGTGAAACCCCATCTCTACTAAAAATACAAAAATTAGTCTCTACTAAAAATACAAAAGGTACAAAAGTTAAAAAAAAAAAAAAAACTAGCCTGGGCAACATAAGGAGACCCCCATCTCTACAAAAAAAAAAAAAAAAAAAAAAAAATAGCCAGTGTGGTAGTGCGCACCTGTATGCCCAGCTACTCAGGGAGCTCAGGTAGGAGGAGAGGATTGCTTGAGCCCAGGAGGTTGAGACTGTAGTGAGCCATGATGGCACCACTGCACTCCAGCCTGGGCAACAGAGTGAGACCCTGTCTCAAAAACAGTGGCTCATGCTTGTAATCCCAGCTACTTGGGAGGTGGAAGCATGAGAATTGCTTCAACCTGGGAGGTGGGGGTTGCAGTGAGCTGAGATTGCACCACTGCACTCCAGCCTGGGCAACAGAGCGAGACTCTGTCTCAAAAAAAATCTGTAGCTGGGACTACAGGTGCGCGCCACCACGCCTGGCTATTTTTTTTTTTTTTTTTTTTGTATTTTTAGTAGAGACGGGGTTTCACCGTGTTAGCCAGGATGGTCTCGATCTCCTGACCTCGTGATCCGCCCGTCTTGGCCTCCCAGAAAAAGTTGTTTCTAAAGGAAAAACACTAAAATATGCCTGCTATTAGATTGCAGCCCTTTGCATTGTTTCTTATCTACATGAAGACGGGACTAGACCCCAAATCCTCCTAATTTCCTCTAATATTTGGCTAAAACTCTCCAACTAAGAAAAAAACCTGTTATGTTGCTAAAGGCCTTGAAGCTGAAGCTGGAAAACTTGGTATAAATATCCAGGGACAAGTCTCATGCCTGATGTATGGGTCACACAGGAAGTTCTCCAAACCACCTGATGCCATAACCAGAGACATTCAAACTGCAAACCAGAACAAGAAGTTGAGCGCTTCAGCTGGGCTCGGTGGCTTCAGGCCTGTCATCCCAGCACTTTGGGAGGCCGAGGCGGGCGGATCACTTGGGGTCAGGAGTTCAAGACCAGTCTGGCCAACATGGTGAAACCCCATCTCTACCAAAAATATTTTTTAAAAATTAGCTGGCTGTGGTGGCACGCACCTGTAATCCCAGCTACTCGGGAGGCTGAGGCAGGAGAATTGCTTGAACCTGGGAGTTGGAGGTTGCAGTAAGCCAAGATCATGCTGCTGCACTCCAGCCTGGGCGACAGAGCGAGACTCCATCTCAAAAAAAAAAGAAGTTGAGAGCTTCACCCATCAAAATGAAAATCTTGTCACTCTTAATTTTTCCTTTCTTATGTCTGCCTTTTCGTTGACAGGATAATGGTGTAATTGAAATTGCACAATCAATAGCTTCTGTCAGTAACCTCACAGAACCTGACCTAAGAGATCCTTCAGCATCTATTGGTTAAATCAGGAAATATCTGTTCTATTGCTAATAGCACATGCTGAACCTGGATAAATTCCCCTGGGGAACTTGAGGCCCCATATACACGAAATTACAAAACATAGGTTATAACAGGTCACATAGGTTATAATGGGTCTCACCTAATTCCCCATGGTCATTTGATTTATTCACTTGATTGCCTTTAAGCCTAGGTTCATAGCTCAAAACTATTATGAAAACTGGGGGTATCATATTACTACTAATATTAATTTGTATTTTCCTTTTAACAATTTGTACTTGTTACTTGTGAAACTTCTGCAGAAGTACAGCTGCTAACAGAGTATGCTGGCACGGGGCTTCCAGATGATGGCCAAAAGACCACAGAACAGAAAAAATAGAATTTAACGATGGACTTCAGGTAGACTTAGTCTGAGTGCAACTCTCTCCAAATTTCCATTGTTGCTCAGATGTGCCTAAAGGGGTTTTGACACTGACTCTTAGTTGTCAATCACTCCCTCTTATCTGGAACCAGACCAACAACCCAGGACAGGTCCATCCCAGCACTGAGGGACAATCCAAACCTACTGCTTTTGAAGAAAGATCACGATCAAAAAGGGGAAATGTGAAAGTTGCCAGAAGCAAAATGGAGTCACCTGTATTAAAAACAAAACAGGTGCAGTGGCTCACGCCTATAATCCCAGCACTTTGGGAGGCTGAGGTGGGTGGATCACTTGAGGTCAGGAGTTTGAGACCATCCTGGCCAACATGGTAAAACCCTGTCTCTAGTAAAAATACAAAAATTAGCCAGGCATGGTGATGCAGGCCTGTAGTCCCAGCTACTCAGGAGGTTGAGGTGGGAGAATTGCTGGAACCTGGGAGACGGAGGTTGCAGTGAGCCAAGATCGCACCACTGCACTCCAGCCTGGGTGACAAAGTGAGACTCTGTCTCATTAAAAAAAAAAAAAAAAAAAAAAAAAAAACAAAAAAAAAAAACCCTGCCAGGTGTGGTGGCACATGCCTGTAGTCCTAGCTACTCAGGAGGCTGCAGCAGGAGAATTGTTTGAGCCCAGGAGTTCTGGGCTGTAGTATGCCAGGCCGATCAGGTGTCCACAAAAAGCTCAGCATCAGTATCCTGGGAATGGAGGACCACTAGGTTGTCTAGGGAGGAATGAACCAGCCCAGGCTGGAAATGGAGCAGGTTAAAACTTCCATGCTAGCCAGGTGCGGTGGCTCACCCCTGTAGTCTAGCACTTTGGGAGGCTGTCATGGGAGGATCCCTTGAGCCTAGGAGTTCGAGATGAGCCTGAGCAACATAGGGAGACCCTGTCTCTACGAAAAATTTTTAAAAATTAGCCAGGCATGGTAGTACACACCTGTATTCCTAGCTACTGGGGAGGCTGAGGCAGGAGGACCACTTGAGCCCAGGATTTCTGGGCTGTGGTATGCTATTCTGATCTGGTGTCTTCACTAAACTCAGCATCAATATGGTAATCTCCTGGGAGCAGGAGACCACCAGGTTTCCTAAGGAAGAGTGAACCAGCCCAGCTCAGAAACAGAGCAAATAAAAACTCCCATGCTGATCAGTAGTAGGATCGCTCCGTGAAAAGCCACTGCACTTCCAGCCAGGGTCACATAGCAAGACCCCACCTTAAAAAAAAAAAACAAACCCGAAAACCGGAGCTGGGGAAGGCCATGAAGGGAAGGTTCTCATGTGTGATGCCTGATAGCAAAACCCATCATGAGACTGCAAAAACTATAACCCTGTACAACGGCTATCATCACCAGAGTGATATAGTTTTTGCAGTCTCATCACCTTACACACAGAAAATACTTCTGTGAACACATCTACCCAGCAGCTGCTTGTCCAAATTTGGACTGATGCCACCTTTGTTATTAATCCTTGTAGCCAAGAATAATTACCTGAAAACAATTATGTAATTCTCATTTTTTCTTTAAAAACTTTTCTCAGCCGGGCACAGTGGTTCACACCTGTAATCCCAGCACTTTGGGAGGCTGAGGAAGGCGGATCACCTGAGGTCGGGAGTTCAAGACCAGTCTGACCAACATAGTGAAACCCCGTCTCTACTAAAAATACAAAATCAGCCGGGCGTGGTGGCGGGTGCCCGTAATCCCAGCCACTCAGGAGGCTGAGGCAGGAGAATCGCTTGAATCCAGGAGGCGGAGGGTGCAGTGAGCTGAGATCGCGCCATTGCACTCCAGCCTGGGCAACAAGAGCCAAACTCCATCTCAAAAACAAACAAACAGACAAACAAACAAACAAACAAACAAAAAACACCTTTGTCAGCCTGCTGCAATGGCTCATGTTTGTAATCCCAGCACTTTGGAAGGCCGAGACAGGAGAATTGCTTAAGCCCAGGAGTTTGGGACCAGTGTAAGGCAACATGGTTAAACCCCATCTCTACAAAAAATGCAAAAAAATTAGCCAGGCATGGTGGCACATGCCTGTAGTCCCAGCTACTCGAGGGGGCTGAAGTGGAAGGGTCACCCGAGTCCAGGAGGTGAAGGCTGCAGTTAGCCAGTATCACACCACTGCACTCCACCCTGGGCAACAGAGTGAGACCCTACCTTAAAAAACAACAACAACAAAACCCTTTTTCTCCCTTCGCCTCCCTGAATATACACAGTTTACTATGGCACACACATTCCCATTGCAGTACCCATTCCAAATAAATACCATTTTCTTTTAGTCTCCCTCTCTGTGACTTAGGATGGCATTCCCAATACTTCAGTACAAGTTCCTGGGGACTAACCCTCACTGGTCCAGACTGGATTATGGCATGATGTCTGCCCACTCTGAGTGGCTGGCTGGTTATACCTGGTTATGTGCCCACTCCAGGGCCCAGCGTTGGGGTCATCCACATGCAAACCATGTGTACTGAGAGTGGAGGAGGGATGGTTCCCCCAGAGAAAACTAAGGTGCTGCAACCTGATGCTGGGCAGGCAAAAGTGACAGGTGTCATTACACTTCCCTGTGGATACTCAATGTACCTCATACTTACACTAGCATATGCCTTCCATGCCTTTTTAAATTTTTTTAAAAATCTGTTTATGTAGAAATAGGGTCTTCCCATGATGCCCGGGCTGGTCTCAAACTCCTGGGCTCAAGCAATCTTCCCTCCTCAGCCTCCCAAAATGCTGGGATTACAGGTATGAGCCACCTCACCTGGCCTCTTTATTTATCAAATACTGTTTCTGGGCCAGGCACGGTGGCTTATGCCTGTAATCCCAGCACTTTGGGAGGTCGAGGTGGGTGGATCACCTGAGGTCAGGAGTTTGAGACCAGCCTGGCCAACATGGTGAAACCCCACCTCTACTAAAAATACAAAAATTAGCTGGGTGTGGTGGTACATACCTGTAATCCCAGCTACTTGGGAGGCTGAGGTAGGAGAATCACTTGAACCCGGGAGGCAGAGGTTGCAGTGAGCCAAGACTGTGCCACTGCACTCCAGCCCGGGCGATAGAGTGAGACTCTGTCTCAAAAAAAAAAAAAAAAAATCCTGTTTCTAGAGGCCCCTGCCTCAAGAGCAGAGGTAGGCATGCCTCTCAGGGTCACCACTGTGACCTTATTACATAATACCTGGCAGGCCTCCCATCTGAAATGTGTTGATGTTGTTTCAGCTGTTGCTATCATTTGTTCCATCTGTTTGTTCGGTCCAGATGACTTCTCTTTGGGCACTAGATATCCTCACCTCTTCCTCCTTCTCTTCTAGGGTAAATTATTATTATTATTACTATTATTATTATTATTATTTTGAGTCAAGGTCTCACTTTGTTGCCCAGGCTGGAGTGCAGTGGTGCCATCTCAGCTCACTGCAGCCTCCATCTCCCGGGGTTCAAGCGACCCTCCCACGTCAGCCTTCCGAGTAGCTGGGAGTACAGGCGCATGCCACCACGCCAGGCTAATTTTTGTATTTTTTGTAGAGATGGGGTTTTGCCATGTTGCCCAGGCTGGTCTTGAACTCCTGAGCTCAAGTGATCCACCCGCCTCGGTCTCCCAAAGTGCTGAGATAACAGGCGTGAGCCACCCGCACCCTGGGGTAAATTACTGATTCCCTAAACCAACTAGGAACATTGTCTTGCCTTTAATTTTGCTATTCCCTTTTCCTGCAGACAAAGCCACCAAATTCTTCATGTCAGATATCCCACCTGCCCACTTGGGCTTTTCAGGGAAGGCTGAAGTGATTGACAATAACAGACAGCAGTCTTCTGACTGCATTTGCTCTCCTTGACACCTGGCAAAAACAAGAATTGGTGGCTGCCAAGTGGCTAGTTCCAGGTGAATTTTACTGACAGTGTCAGGCAGGCCCAACAGCACAGGCAAGTGGAATACAAAAATTCCCTTTTCCTTCAAGAAGGACACAACTTTTTGGGTTTTCCTTCTTTGGCTTTTCCAGCTGACTCCTTTCTCCCTCTGGCCAATTTTACCCCATCCTCAGACAATCCCTACCCTCACTGCCGTTTTCCAAATTGCAATCTTCAGCCCCAGCATGTGCCTAGTCCAGCCCTTTCACCTGTCCTAGTCTAAATACTGTCTACTTCCATCAGGACCCTTCAACCCCATTTGAAAGGGACAGAACAACCTTTCCAGAACACCAAGTACAAACACACAAATCGCTTCTGCCTTAGTGATCCCTGGAGGCTAAACAATGGCTGAGAGCTATGGCTGCAAATGTTTTTGATCATCCACACATCAAACCCTTGTAACAACCCTCAGCATATGTATATTTGCTCATATTATACGCACATACTAACTTGAACTTTGTAAAACACACACAAAAATCAATTTTTTTTTTTTTGAGATGGGAGTCTCACTCTGTTGCCCAGGCTGGAGGAGAGTGGCGCGATCTCGGCTCACTGCAACCTCCCCCCACCCGGGGTTCAAGAGATTGTCCTGCCTCAGCCTCCCAAATAGCTGGGACTACAGGCGCCCACCACCACGCCCGGCTAATTTGTTTGTATTTTTAGTAGAGACGGGGTCTCACCGTGTTAGCCAGGATGGTCTCAATCTCCTGACCTCGTGATCCGCCCGCCTCGGCCTCCCAAAGTGCTAGGATTACAGGCATTAGCCACCGCACCCGGCCAAAAAAACTTTTTAAGCTGGGCATGGTGGCATGCTCCTGTAGTCCCAGCTACTTGGGATACTGAGGTGGGAAGATCGCTTGAGCCCAGGGGTTCGAGGCTGCAGTGATTATGATGGCACTACTGCATTCCAGCCTGGGTAACAGAGCGAGACCCTGTCTCTAAATAAATAAATAAAGTTTTAAAATAAATTTAAATGTCAATAAATTTATTAAAAGTATATTATTTGGCTGGGCACGGTGGCTCACACCTGTAATCCCAGCACTTAGGGAGGCTGAGGCGGGTGGATCGTTTGAGGTCACGAATTTGAGACCAGCCTGGCCAACATGGCAAACCCTGTCTCTACTAAAAAATATAAAAATTAGCCGGGTGGTAGTGGCGCACGCCTGTAATCCCAGCTACTCAGGAGGCTGAGGCAGGAGAATCGCTTGAATCCGGGAGGCGGAGGTTGCAGTCAGCCGAGCTTGTGCCACTGCACTCCAGCCTAGGCGACAGAGCGAGACCCTGTCTCAAAAATAAATAAATAAGTAATAAAAACAAATGTATATCATTCATTTGAAACATTAGAGACGTGGGTGGTTTTGTTCTGTTCTGTTTCCACATCTGCAACCATGCGTCTTGTGCACCTACCCGGGGCAAATACCTCCGACTCCATCACAGTCTTGACAAGAGGTTGAAGTGTGCAGATTGATTCCAGTTGCACCAATAAGCTTTGGGAACATATGATCCCCCCCCCCCCAACTCTGTACTGTCTTCTGTACTGCCTTCCGACCTTCTTTCTACACATTCCCATCATATTTTTCCCCAACTTTCTGCCTTCTTTCTCTTCCTTTACCACAAAGCCTCTGCACCTTGCTAGTGGCGCCAAAGTTTGGAAAAGCAGACAAGTCCACTTAATGTTCCACAGTATAGAAACTGGCCTACGCCGGGCGCAGTGGCTCACGCCTGTAATCCCAGAACTTTGCGAGGCCGAGGCGGGTGGCTCACGAGGTCAGGAGTTCGAGACCTACCTGGCCAACATGGTGAAACCCCGTCTCTACTAAAAATACAAAAATTAGCCGGGCGCGGGGGCGGACGCCTGTAATCTTAGCTACGCGGGAGGCTTAGAGAGGAGAATGGATTGAACCCGGGAGGCGGAGGTTGCAGGGAGGCGGAGGTTGCAGTGAGCCGAGATCGCGCCACTGCACTCCGGGCTGGGTGACAGAGCAAGACTCAGTCTCAGAAAATAAATACATAAAATAGAAATAGGCGCTCGGTCAATACTTGAACGAAAGGAGGAACTCCGCACAGAGCCTGGCGTCCAGGTCGGTCAAACTCAACCCTGGGGCCCCAGGGCTGGGCACCTTGAGCGGCAACGTGGCCAAAACCCTAACCCCGGGCACCCAGCCCTGCTAACGTCTAACCCTCTGTCCCATTGCCTTTAGAGGTCGCAGCGTAATCGGGAATGCCTGGGGCTCCCTCCCAGAGCGGGTCGCCCCAGCGATCACAACAGCTTCAGATGCGCTGCCAAGCGATTGGTCCAGGCAGCGCCAAGCGCCGACCAGCTCACCCGCACCGCGCCCGCGCCGGCGCGTCACTCCCAGAGACGTCACAACCGGTCGGAGCCCAGCGAGCAGCCGGAGTTGAGCTGGACGCTGAGGGGGGGGCGGGGCCCTGACGCGCGGGGCGGGGAAGGGAGGGGCTTCGGTGGGGCGGGGCCCTGACAGGCCGAGCTCGCGGGCGACTGCCGGCCAGGCAGACGCTGCAGCTAAGCTGCGCGGTGGCTGTGGCAGGTGAGAGCCTCCGGAAGGGAGGCGGCCTCTGGCCCCGACCCTGCTCCGCGATCGCCCACTCGGGCGCCCGGCCGGGCCTGGCAGGGAAGGGCCGCCGCCGCCGCCGCGCGTTTGCGAGGCCTGGCGGGGCCGCGGGGCCCAGGAATGGCGTAAGGGGCCCCCCCAGACTCCGAGACGGCCCGAGCGGGTCGCCGGCTGTGGGACGGCGGCGTGCCCTTCCTTTCCTCCCTCCCAGGTTCGCGCCCGAGCTCTGCTAGCCACCCGTCCGACAACTTCCGGACTCCCAGGTAGGGAGGAGCCCCTGTTAGCACTGCCAGTTACCCCGAACACTTGGCCGTTTTGGAAGGGCCGGGACTCCCTCCCCTGCCTTGTGGGTGCATCTGCTCAAACTCTGTCGGCCCCTCAAGCAGAAATGGTGTGGGATCTGGGCCAAACCCCTCTTGGAGTGACTCAGAGCCGCCAGCCCTACTGGAGGGATGGGGCATGGGGTGGATGGCCCCTAGCCTTTCCCTTCTGAGCTGGTTTGTATCACCCCGGTGGCTTCAGTCCTGGTGCCTTCATCTTAGCTCCTGTACTTTGCCTCTCCCACCCCACTGGTTTTCCTGCCTCCCTCTTCAGAGGTAAGACACATGGCTGGACCAAGGCCTCCAGGGTAAGTGACCCGAACTTCAAGCCAGCAGAGGCCATGTCATCCTAAGCTAGGGATAGGGGAGGCTCGCCGGGATGAGCCTTTGGCTTAACCTAACCTCTGCTCCCTACTTCTGCCTCACCCCAGTCTCAGATGACGGGAGGCCAATGCCAAAGACGGATAGGATCTATAGAGGCAGTCCTCTTCTAGGACTGGGACACAACAGTGCATGAGGCAACTGACAGGGGTGATGTAAAGCTGTTGTGTCTCCATCCTGGTTGCCCCAGTTCTAGCAGGTGATGTGACACTACGGTGGTCGCTGCCCAGATTGAGAAGTGGAAGGGGGTGTTGCTGGCCGCTAGAAACACTCATAATTCCACTGAGTTTGAGGCTCTGGTAGGGGCGCATGTGGGCATGGGAAGGAGCCCTGCACTCTGAGCACAGCCTCTCAGATGTAACGCAGTGGCTCTGGGAGGTCAAAGTCTCAGCCCAGTGGGAGCTCTGACAAAAGGAGGAGAAACCCCCCCAGTAGACATGTGGCTCTGTCTGATCCACTCCTGCCGCCCCTTCTGGCAACTTCCCTGGGGAGGGAGGACCTGCTTCCCAGCAGGACCTTCATCGAGTCACTGTAGGGGCAGGTAGAGTGGGCCAGGGAGCCACAGCTGAATGGCACTCAAGGGCCATCACTAGGCATTGCCTCTCCATTCCTGAGTGTGGGGCAAGGGTCCCTGCTGAGTTTTACTCTTAGCAGTGGGCTTCCAGATCCCCATGCTCCTGGGTTCTTGACTGCCTCCCTCTTCAGAGGTAAGACACATGGCTGGACCAAGGCCTCCAGGGTAAGTGACCCTCACCAGCTGCCTCTCTGTGTCCCTTACCTCCTCAGGGACAGCCCTGCCATCAAGGAAGACAGCACAGGACTGGGACCCACCCATGAACCCTTCTCAGGACAACCCAACAGCACCAGTGGGGATGTTCTCCTAAGCCGCAGAGGGCCTGGGCACGCCATCCGTCCTCCAGGAAGAGCCATGGTGTTAATGCAGGACAAGGGCAGCTCTCAGCAGTGGCCTGGTCTGGGGGGCGAGGGTGGTGGCACAGGTCCCTTAAGCATGCTCAGAGCTGCCCTGCTGCTCATCAGCCTGCCATGGGGGGCCCAAGGGACAGCCAGCACCAGCCTCAGCACTGCTGGGGGTCACACCGTGCCACCGACTGGGGGCCGCTACTTGAGCATTGGAGATGGCTCTGTGATGGAGTTTGAGTTTCCTGAGGACAGTGAGGGCATCATCGTGATCTCCAGCCAGTACCCAGGCCAGGCCAACAGGACGGCGCCTGGCCCCATGCTCAGGGTCACCTCCCTGGACACAGAGGTGCTGACCATCAAGAACGTGAGTGCTATAACCTGGGGAGGCGGGGGTGGCTTTGTGGTGAGCATCCACTCAGGCCTGGCTGGGCTGGCCCCACTCCACATCCAGCTCGTGGACGCCCATGAGGCCCCGCCCACACTGATTGAGGAGCGGAGAGACTTCTGCATCAAGGTCTCACCTGCTGAAGACACGCCTGCCACCCTCAGCGCCGACCTGGCCCACTTCTCGGAAAACCCAATCCTCTACCTGCTCCTGCCTCTTATCTTTGTCAACAAGTGTTCGTTTGGGTGCAAAGTGGAACTCGAGGTTCTGAAGGGGCTCATGCAGAGCCCCCAGCCCATGCTGCTGGGCCTCCTGGGCCAGTTTCTGGTCATGCCCTTGTACGCTTTCCTCATGGCCAAGGTCTTCATGCTGCCCAAGGCCCTGGCTCTGGGCCTCATCATCACCTGCTCGTCGCCTGGCGGCGGGGGGAGCTACCTCTTCAGCCTCCTTCTTGGAGGGGACGTCACCCTGGCCATCTCCATGACTTTCCTCTCTACGGTGGCTGCCACTGGCTTCTTGCCTCTGTCTTCGGCCATCTACAGCCGCCTGCTCAGCATCCATGAGACGCTCCACGTGCCCATCTCCAAGATCCTGGGGACCCTGCTGTTCATTGCCATCCCCATAGCCGTGGGCGTGCTGATCAAGTCCAAGCTCCCCAAGTTCTCCCAGCTGCTGCTGCAGGTCGTCAAGCCCTTCAGCTTTGTGCTCCTCCTGGGCGGCCTCTTCCTGGCCTATCGCATGGGGGTCTTCATCCTGGCAGGCATCCGGCTACCCATCGTACTGGTGGGTATCACGGTGCCCCTGGTTGGCCTGTTGGTGGGCTACTGCCTAGCCACGTGTCTGAAGCTGCCAGTGGCCCAGCGGCGGACGGTCAGCATTGAGGTAGGGGTGCAGAACAGCCTGCTGGCCTTGGCCATGCTGCAGCTATCCCTCCGCCGCCTTCAAGCTGACTATGCCTCCCAGGCCCCCTTCATTGTGGCGCTGAGCGGCACCTCCGAGATGCTGGCCTTGGTCATTGGCCACTTCATCTACAGCAGCCTGTTCCCAGTTCCCTGAGGCCTCTGGGTCAAGCTTTCATCAGCCCCAGCCCCCACACTCCACCAAAGTTCTCATGCACTATGCACTCAGAAAAATCCAGGCTTATTTTTTTTACTGATTTTTTATTCTCCAGCTTTCAGTGCCAAAGAGGCCATGCTGAGTTAGGTAGGTGGGCGCTGCCCAGAAAATATATTTCAATAAAAGAGAGAAGCAAGCTTGGGTCCCTTCTACTCTTTGCCCTTTGGGGCCTGGGCGTGGGGGTAGAAAGAGTGTGCTGGGTAAGTGTGGACCAGGGTGGAGGGCCAGCTTGGGTGACACGGTGACCCCTGCATAGGCTTTCCCTATCAGCCCTCCCCGGGGGTGTCCCCACTCTGGGAGAGGTGGGAGGATGAGGGCAGAGGCGTAGCCCCCCTGCCCCCTCTCAAGCTCAGTGGAGCGTTTCGCAGCCAGACCAGAAAGGAGGAGGTAGGAAGCCACCAGACAGGGAGCGGGGGCGGGCCGTCTGTGGGTATGCAGGGCCAGGCGCCGCCAGCAGTCCTGGCGCGTGAGGTGGGCCAGGCAGTCCGCGGGGGCGAGCGTACCTTCTGGCCCTCCCTTCTCCATGTCCCAGCTCCCAGATGACGCCAACCTGGCCCGACTGGTTCCTGCTCCCAACTCCCCCGCGTCGTTGCTTTGGGAGGGGTCCGCCGGCCAGGGCGGTCGATGCGCGCATGCTAGGCGGGACCCCGGGGGGACTCCTCCCGGGGCGCAATTGGGCCGGGGGGCGGGGCCGGGGCGCGGACGGGGCAGGAGGGCGGGGCCGGGAAGCGCGGGCGGCGGGCGCGCCCCTCTCGCTGCTTCCGGCGGCGGCGGGCGGTTCCAGCGCGCGCCCGGGGCGGCGGCGCGCGGCGGGGGGTGGTTGGGGTGCGCGCCGGCCCGAGTGGACGCCGTCGCGACCGCCATGCAGCTGACGGTGAAGGCGCTGCAGGGCCGCGAGTGCAGCCTGCAGGTAGGGTCCCCGGGCCGGGCCGCCGGGTCCGGCGCGCTCTCTCGCCCGCTCCTGGCAGGGGGACCGGCAGGGCCGAGGGCGGGCACGGGGCGGCCGGGCCGAGGGCCGGGAGCCGGGAGAGCTGCCCTCGGGGGCGGACGCGTGGGCTTCGCCGTCTGGGGGCCGCGGGCTCAACCCTTGCCTCCCACCCTCCGCGCGGCCAGGTGCCAGAGGACGAGCTGGTGTCCACGCTGAAGCAGCTGGTCTCCGAGAAGCTGAACGTCCCAGTGCGCCAGCAGCGGCTGCTGTTCAAGGGCAAGGCCCTGGCAGGTACCCAGGGAGAGGAGACGCCCGGGGAGCCCCGCAGGAAGCGGGACCGGGGTGCGCGGGCCGAGGCCAGCAGCCGTGTGTCGGGTCGGGGTGCGGGCGCCAAGCGCCACATGACCCCAAGGGAGGCGGCCGCATGCCTCACAGCCGGATGCCGCAGCGCTCCGCTCCCGCCGCCCGAGGCGGCCTCGCGCCCCGGGCCACCCCCACGGCGGTGGAGGAGGAGGAACCCATCGATCTGTCTTTGGCAGATGGGAAACGACTCTCGGATTATAGCATCGGGCCCAACTCCAAGCTCAACCTAGTGGTCAAACCCCTGGAGAAGGTGCTACTAGAAGAAGGCGAGGCCCAGAGGCTGGCCGACTCCCCACCCCCGCAGGTCTGGCAGCTGATCTCCAAAGTCTTGGCCCGCCACTTCAGTGCGGCAGATGCCAGCAGGGTCCTGGAACAGCTACAGAGGGTGAGAAGGGTAACCCTGGGCATCCTCTTCAGGCCCAGTTGCTCCCAGCCCCTACCTCTGTTGCAGTGTATGCCCCCCCACCACTGGCAGCCCCTGAATCTTCCTGCCCTTCTCTCCCCAGGATTACGAGAGGTCCCTGAGTCGCCTGACGCTGGACGACATCGAACGGTTGGCCAGCCGCTTCCTGCACCCTGAAGTGACTGAGACAATGGAGAAGGGCTTCTCCAAATAGAATTCTCGGAGCATGGGGAGGTGCCCAACGCCAGGCTACCGCTGCATGTCGCACTAAGTGTGTTCTCCTGTTGCAGTTGGGCTCATCATCATCATAGCTGGCATGTACCTGGCTCTGGCCAGGTGCTAGGCACTCCTCACAGCTTGACCTGGGTTTGCTTCCACACCCTCAGAAGAGGAGAGCCGGCACAGCAGAGGCACCGGCGATGAAGTGGCACAGCCCCAGTCGGAATCCAGCGGCTTCTGAAAGTGCCTTGGTGTGAGAAGGAGGAAGGGGCCGCTTGGAGAGCTGGGCTCTCGCATGTCATGTTTAGCCCACTGAGAATATACCCTCAGGTGACTCCCTCCCGATCCTGAAAGGGAAAGCAGCTGTCACCTGACTTCTGGCGGGTCCAACATAGCCCTCAGCTTACCTCTGCAGGAGGCCAAGTGACAGCCAGCCCTGGAACCCCCCGACCCCCGCAGCTGCTGCAGCCAGTGTGCCAGTGTGCGTTCGACAAATGGAAAAGCAGATTGGGGCCAGGGAGTCAGCAAGGCACCCCAGCTCTGTGATGTGACTTTGGGCGAGTCTCAGTGCCACTTGGTCCCCAGCCATGGACTCTATACAGTGAGGGCCACTCACCGACCTGAGTCAGTGTCCTCTGTCTCACAGGGCCCCTCTCCCTTCTGTTCAGTAAACAAACTGAAGCCAAAAATGAAGCCGTGGCCAAGTGTGACCCAGAGATGGGGTGTCCTGGCCCTTAGTGACACAGCTCCTCTCTGGGGCACCCTATCTGCTTGTCTCGTCCAGGAAGCGTTAGGGCTGATGGGTGACTCAGCAAGGCAGTGTCAGAGCTGGGACTGGGCGTAGGCCTTTGTCCTCATCCCCAGCACTGGCCTCCCTGTGGAAGATGAACATATCCCAGCCACCTGTGTACAGGGGCTCACTTTGTGTGCTCCTTGTTGCCTGAGAAGAAACCTTGGGGTGCCAGGGTGGGGGCAGAAGCATGGACTGGGTTCCGGTTCATCCTCCTCCACCCTGCCGTGTGTGTGGGCACAAGAGGACATCTAACCACCTGCTCCTTGGAGGAGGCCCCCAGGGGTGGTAGAGGCTGGAAGGAAGCCACATCAGGAGGACGCCACTCCGGCCCTTCACCCTTGCCAAGTGAGCTGCTCACAGTGTGGTCAGGGCTGCGCGTGCTGGAGGCCCTCCTGCCTGGGCCTTGTGGGGCAAATATTGGGTCCCCAGGCTGGAAAGATGGACAGAGGCCCAATGGGTGAAGGCTTTGAAGAGCACACAGAAGCCCCTGGCCCCCCACGAGAGCTGGAGAGCCATGTATATGGCTTCAAAGCCACCTACGGCAGGGACACACTCGTGAGCATGTGTGGCCTGCAGTTCAGGTGATACATTTACCAGTGTTCTTGTTTGTGTGGTGCCAGGAAATTGATTTTGGAAAAAGTGAAATAACATTAAAGGTGAATGTGAGGCTTCTACTTTTATCCAAAAGGAGCTATATTAGCTAGGCTGTTTCTGATATCCAATCATTGGTTTAACAATAAAGGCAATTTGTTTAATCAGTTAACGGAAATTTCTTGGCTTATGAAAGTGAAAAGTCCAGTGGTATTGGCATTGGCAGCAGGTGAGCAATTTCACCCAGTGTCTTCTGCCTCCCTCTGCGTTGGTATCTGCTACATCCCAGGCCACCACCTCCGAGGATGAAAAGATGGCTGCCTGCAGCTTCCACGGAATCCCTCCCTCACTGCCAGAGCAGCATCTTCTCTGTGTACCACCTCTGCTGTCTCAGATGCCCCCAGCAAATAAACACTCTTCTCGTTGGTCAGAACTGGATTGTGCGTCCAATCATTTTGGCTGGGGTAGGGGGTAATTCTCCGTCAGGGCTGGCTCCCTGGAGCTAGGCATGGGGCCACTTCCCTGGACACACATGGGCTATGCAAGGGACAGAAGGCTCTGGGGGAGGGCTGGATGAATGGATATCCTCAATGGTGGCCGCAAATGGCAGCTGTCCACTACAGGGGCCATGCATGTGTCAGATCAGGGCCACCTCGCAGGTAGTGGAGGAGAGGGCTGGAGGCGTCAAGATCACACAGGGAAAGCGTTTTCTGAGGCTTGGGTTAGGGAAAGCACCAGAGAGAGGAAACACTGCAGGGATGGGAGACAGGAAGTGGGGGGATCGTTAGAGGACACTGGGGATTCTGCATGAAGATGGAGCAGCCACAGGCTGCAGCCCCCCCAATGCTGAGATCCTTTAACAGGGGTCAGAATGTTTACTGCAGGTGCTGCGCCCCTCTGAGCCAATTGTCCGCCCTGAGAGGTAGCACCGAGTCATCCACTGCCCCCTGCCCGGTGAAGGGCCCTGAGACCCACCACCTGCCCCTCAGGGAGGGGCCTCGGGACAGTATCTGAGTCCTGCGGCCATGGTGTGACTACAATGACATCAGGAGATAGCAGCATGAGTGAAGGGCCCAGCTGGGATGAGGTGCTTTTGGTGTCGTTTCCCAAGGGCCCACGGGAGGAAGAGCGGCCTCAGAGGACAGCAGCATTTGCCTTGGGGTGGGGAGGTTCCCTGGCAATGGATCAGCTGGTGTCCCATGTGAGCCTCACCAGCTCCAATAGATCTGCCCGGGCCTGGTACTCCCAGGAGTAGATGCAGCAGAGGTGGCCAGCCTTGAGCCTCCCAGCCCTGAAAAGCCTTCAGGAGAGATGAGAGACACACAGCAACTGCCCTGTCCTCCTCCAGGGCCCAGCTGGAGCGGCCTGCATACACCTTCAGGGCCCCACTGAATGGCCGGCAGTCCTCATTCCTCACCCTCTTCTGCCTTTGCTCTCCCGCTGTTTCCACCACTTGCTCCTACTCAGGCTCTCTTGCTGGTTCTTCACACACACCCCACCCCTCAATGTTGGTGCCCCAGGGCTCTGTCCCTGAGCCCCTTCTCTTCCCTCTGTATCACTCCTCGGGGAGCTCATCCAGCTTGCTTTCTATTTCTGTGCCTCACTGCCATGTCTATGTCTCATCCCGGCCCTCTCTCCTGAGCTCCAGCCCATGTCTTCCAGACAGCGCCTGACTTTGCTGCAGACGACACCCTGCTCATCACTGAGTGCCCCCTTGTGTCCCAGGTGCTGGCAACCCTGAGACTGGAAGACACAGTCCCTTCCCTCTTGGCACTCACGTCCAGCACTGGCCGGCTCCTCAGCACACACGTGTTCTCCACGGCCCGGCTGGAGGACTGGCAATGCCACTCAGCCAGGCTTCTGAGGGAGCAGGAGGCCATCTTTGCCTCTCCCAACTAGCCATTCTCCATAGGCAATCAGGCAAGAATATTTTTGGAAGCATCCAGGGCAGCTGCTACTGTATCCTTTCCTCCTCTGACCACACTCACCCCCAGCCCCTCATCAGGCAGCTGGCAGGGTCAGGCTGCCCCACTGTTGAGGACGCTCAGTTTGATCACGTGATCCAGGTGGCTGCTGCCAGATCTCTCCCCTGTAAAGACGCAGTTTCCCTTCCTGATTCACAAGTAATTTGGGGTAATATTTGGGGACTTTGTGAATATCCTGTCCCCAACAACCTTTCAGCTAATGCTTTTGCCATCCAGCGACAATTCCTTGCCTGAATCGATTTTTTTTTTTTTTTGTGAGACGGAGCCTCACTCTGTCACCCAGGCTGGAGTGCAATGGCGTGGTCTCGGCTCACTGCAATCTCTGCCTCCTGGGTTCAAGAGATTCTCCCGCCTCAGCCTCCTGAGTAGCTGAGACTACAGATGCATGCCACCACAGCCGGCTAATTTTTTTTGTACTTTTAGTAGAGATGGGATTTCACTGTGTTGGCCAGGCTGGTCTCAAACTCCTGACCTCGCAATCCACTCGCCTCGGCCTCCCAAAGTGCTGGAATTACAGGCGTGAGCCACTACACCTGGCCATCCTGAATCAATTATTAAGTTAATAACAATTAATTATTACATTGGTGGTTGCAAAGATGGTAATTTTCTGATAGTTTTTTCTACAGCTATTACTTGCCATTTCCCTATAAAAACCTTTCCTTTATCTCTGCTTTCTTTCCTGAATATCATGGACTTTTTTGTTTGTTTGTTTGATTGAGACAGAGTCTCAGTCTGTTACTTGTGCAGAGTGCAGTGGCTAGATCATAGCTCACTGTAGCCTTGACTTCCTGGGCTCAAGCAATCCTCCTGCGTCAGCCTCTCTGGTAGCTGGGACCGCAGGCACACACTGTCACAGCCGGCTAATTTTTTTTTTTTTTTTTTTGAGACAGAGTTTTGCTCTTGTTGCCCAGGCTGGAGTGCAATGGTGCGATCTGGGCTCACCACAACCTCCACCTCCCGGGTTCAAGCCATTCTCCTGTCTCAGCCTCCCAAATAGCTGGGATAACAAGCTCCTGCCACCACAACTGGCTAATTTTTGTATTTTTAGTAGAGATGGGGTTTCACCATGTTGGTCAGGCTGGTCTGGAACTCCTGACCTCAAGTGATCTGCCTGCCTTGGCCTCCCAAAGTGCTGGGATTACAGGCATGAGCCACTGCGCCCAGCCCCATGCAATTTAAATTAGAAATTAAAAAGTCATTCTGCGGTGTGGTGAATAGGTTGTAGAGGGGAAAGTGTAAAAGAGAATCAGCCAGGAAGCTGTTGAGGGAGGTCAAGGAAAGATGCTGGCTTCCACAGCAGACTAGCAGTGGAGAGCGAGAAGTGGGCTGATGTGGAACCTATTTCAGAGGGAAACCCAACAGGATTTGCTGATATAGTTCAGTGTTTAATCCTTCCTTATGACTGCAAAGGAGGAAAATAGGTTGTCCAAACATGACAAACACTGTTGGAAATTTTATGTCACTTTATTTATTCATTTTTTATTTTTATTATTTTTCTTTTTGAGACAGTCTCCCTCTGTCGCCCAGGCTGGAGTGCAGTGGCGTGATGTCGGCTCACCACAACCTCCACCTCCCGGGTTCAAGTGATTCTTCTGTCCCAGCCTCCCGAATAGCTGGGACTACAGGCGCACACCACGACACGCAGCTAATTTTTGTTATTTTTAGTAGGGCCGGGGGTTTCACCATGTTGGCCAGGATGGTGTTGAACTCCTGACTTCAAGTGATCCACCCGCCTCGGCCTCCCAAAGTACTGGGATTATAGGCGTGAGCCACCGTGCCCGGACTGATGTCACTTTAAATACTTTTTTTTTTATTGTAAATGTCATAAAAGACCACTTCGGAAAAATTGGAGGGAAAACACAAAAAGGAAATTAAAGTCACCCACCATACTATTAGCAGAGATCATGAGGATTTACCTGACGCTGTATTGTTCTAGGATTTCTCTACATATGTACAGTAAGAGACTAAGTTGGCATTTTCTTTTATTTTTTGAGGCGGGGTCTGGCTCTATCAACCAGGCTGGAGTGCGGTGGGGCGATCACGGCTAACTGCAGCCTCTGCCTCCCGGGCTCAGGCTGTCCTCCCATCTCAGCCTCCCTAGTAGCTGGGACCACAGGTGTGCACCATCACACCCAGCTAATTTTTGTATTTTTTGTAGAGGCAGGGTTTCACTATGTTGCCCAGGCTGGTGTCGAACTCCCGGGCTCAAGCAATCAACCCTCCTCAGCCTCCAAGAAGCTATGACTACAGGCACGCTCCACCACTCCCAGCTAACTTTTAAAATTTATTTTTGTATTTTTTGTAGAGACGGGGTCTCACTATGTTGCCTGTGTTTGTCTTGAACTCCTGGGCTCAAGTGATCCTCCTCCCTTGGCCTTCCAAAGTGCTGGGATTCCAAGCGGGGGCCACTTTGCCTGGCCTAAACTGGCATTTTCATACTCATAGTTGTGCAGTCTGATTTTTCACGTTATATTAGACCTAGACCCACCGCCAGTACTTTCATTCAAGGCCCTGTCATTTTTCGCCTCCGTGCAGGCCTCCTGCTGACAGGCTCCCCCGCTCTGCACAGCCCACCCGCTCTAAAATGCTTCCTCTAAAATGCACATCCGATGCTTCACAGTCCATGGTGAAGCCCCGTTGGTTGGGCACTGGGGTTGAGGGCAAGAGCAGTATCCTTGGGGGTTACCCGACCCGGCCACCCTCCCTCTGCGAATCGCAACATGGACGTTGTGCCACATCTCCTGGGGCTCTTGGGTCCAGGTAAGAAACGGGGCGGGAAGCCGTCCAGGCACCGCAGGGCCTCACTGGGGCCTCCAGGGACAAGGGGGAAGGCCCCGCCAGCGCAGGCGCGCTAAGGTCACAAGGCGCGCTTAGGGGCGGAGCCTCGCGGGGTGCGCCTCTGGGATAGGCGACCACGGTGTCTTCAAAAGCCCCGTCAGGGTTGGCTTCCTGGGGCCGGACCGACTGTGGGTCAGTTTGCACCAGCGCTCTGGAATCGAGTTACGCGCGAAAGGGCAGAGTTTCTGGAGGAAACCGCAGCCTCTCAACCGCTGACCGGGTCTCAGAAGGCCCCCGGCAGGGCCGCTTGGCGGGAACTGACCACGCGCCAGTCAGGCTCTCCAGGGACCTGCGCAGGCGCGTGTGGGCGGAGTCGTGCGCAGGGGGCGGGGCTTCGGGAAGGAGCCACAGAGAGGGCGGGGCGTAGGACCTGCGCTTCGGGGGTGGAGTCGGAGCGGCGCGGCGGCGGTCATGCGGGACGCGGATGCAGACGCAGGCGGAGGCGCTGACGGCGGGGATGGCCGGGGTGGCCACAGCTGCCGCGGGGGCGTGGACACAGCCGCAGCTCCGGCCGGTGGAGCTCCCCCAGCGCACGCGCCAGGTCCGGGCAGAGACGCCGCGTCTGCGGCCAGGGGGTCACGAATGCGGCCGCACATATTGTATCCTTTCCGAGCTGGGGGCTGCTTGCGGCGGAGCGAGGGCTGGACTCGGGGAGAAGGAAAGGAGGGCGGGCGGGGGGCCGACGGAAAGGGTAGCAGGGGGGGACCGGGGCTGGCGTATACGGTCAGAGGTGGTCGGAGGAGGGGAAGACATTGAAATGGAGGGAGAAGCTCTGCTAACGGTGGCCTGGGCGAGGTAAGGAGTGAAGGGGGTGACACTAGGCAGGGTGACCTGAGAGGGGGCTTCAGAGGAGCAAGAAGGCCTGAGACATAGGCAAGATCGTATCAGATGGCACCTTAACCGAATGACCCCCAGCACCCTCAGCGTGCCTTTCCCGACCCCCTTGGAGGCGGAAATCGCCCATGGGTCCCTGGCACCAGATGCCGAGCCCCACCAAAGGGTGGTTGGGAAGGATCTCACAGTGAGTGGCAGGATCCTGGTCGTGTAAGTTCTGAAAGGGACGGGGTTGGGGGAGGCGGCCCATGGAGACATGGGGGACATCCAAGGATGAGCCCTAAGGAGCGCCAGGTGCGCTGGGCCGGTCTCTGCCTGAGGGGCTGTGTAATGGCAGGGCTCCCAAGGGTTTGCTATATTGGGTGCCTGAGGGGCAGAGCGAGGGACCAGGAGTTGCCACCTCCAATTTGATTTTCTTTTCCCCTCACTTTTAGCCGCTGGAAAGCTGAAGACTGTCGCCTGCTCCGAATTTCCGTCATCAACTTTCTTGACCAGCTTTCCCTGGTGGTGCGGACCATGCAGCGCTTTGGGCCCCCCGTTTCCCGCTAAGCCTGGCCTGGGCAAATGGAGCGAGGTCCCACTTTGCGTCTCCTTGTAGGCAGTGCGTCCATCCTTCCCTAGGGCAGGAATTCCCACAGTTGCTACTTTCCTGGGAGGGCCTCATGTTTTATCTGGTTCTTAAATGTTTGTTACTACAGAAAATAAAACTGCGCTACTATTCCAAGTCTGAGTTTATTTGCAGCTGGGGCACCTCCCAATATTCTTGTTGTGCTTGGGTTGCTGGGGGGGGGGTTCTAGAATTCAGATATTCAAGGAGTACAAGGAAATTGAAGACAATTTAGGAAATGGAAGAAAATGAAAATCAATTGGGTTCTGTCATTCAGGATTAACTACTGTCAACATTTTGGAATACTTCCTCAGTTTTACAGTTGCACTTACATAGTAAATGTGTAACTGTAATATACACCACATAATATTTGCAAGTTTAGTGTTAAATTTTTTTCCTGATTTTTAAATCTAACATGAGCTTTTTTCCTCTAACGATCAGTGAAGAAAGTGCTGGGGCAATTGACTAGTGTCTGGGGCAAGGAGTTGGCTCCCTGGAAAATACAGTGTCTCCAGCCTTAGGGCTCTTTTATAGATTCTATCAGATTTTCTGAGAGTGAAAAGGAAGAGGTACAACTGCTTTTATTCTCAGAAAACAAGGAAATGGTTTGATCCTTTTGAGTCTTGCTTTGAAGATGTGCTGTGTGGGACCAGAGCAGCTCTTAACTGTAGGCTTGTTTCCCTCTATGGAGGCAACAAACACCATTCTGGGCACCCTGGCCAGTGCTGCCTAGGTGAACATGAGCTTCTCTATCCTGGTGGGTGGGGACAGCTGCTAGTCCCTGTCCTGCTTGCACACTGGAGTTACCGTTCATCCTCTCCTGCTGGGGTGATGGCCTTCCCTGGTCTTGGGTAGCTTCCTCACACGCCTGTGCTCACCAGTAGTCGTAGTCCGCTGCACACTGGAACGGGAGCCTCTGTGGATATCCAGGGTTCTTTCCCTGTGCAGCTCTCTTCTCTCTGGTTCTCCGCCCTGCAAACTCCAGCTGCTGGGACGCTCTGAATCAGTTTCAACTCCTAAAGTCCGGGTGTCTGCCAGGCTCCACCAGGAAACTCCACACAGGACACTGGGCCAGTCGCATGGCTTACCTTGTTTCCCAGCTCCCACACGTCGCTGTCCCTCACTGGCCCACAGCCAGTTTTTTAATACTCTGCATTCCATATATTTTGTCTGGTTTGGCGTGTTCTTTCATTTGGCATGACATATCCAGTCCCTATTACTCCATATGGAGGAACAGTTTCCCTTTGTAGAATCTGGGGAGCTCTGCCAGTGGTGACGGTGGCACTGGCCTTCAGCTTATGAAGATGACACTTTCCTCTCTCCCTCTCTTTTGCTCTCATTCCTTTCTTCCTTTCTTAATATTTTTTAGACATTAATTATTGACGAATAGTTGACAATTTAGATCTTTCACTTTTTTTTTTTTTTTTTGAGACAGTGTTTCACTCTTGTTGCCCAGGCTGGAGTGCAATGGTGCGATCTTGGCTCACCGCAACCTCCACTTCCCGGGTTCAAGTGAATTCTCCTGCCTCAGCCTCCCAAGTAGCTAGAATTACAGGCATGCACCACCACGCCCAGCTAATTTTGTATTTTTAGTAGACACAGGGTTTCTCCATGTTGGTGAGGCTGGTCTCGAACTCCCGACCTCAGGTGGTCCACCCACCTCAGCCTCCCAAAGTGCTGGGATTACAGGCATGAGCCACCGCGCCCAGCCGATCTTTTGTTTTTTAATTATTATTATTTTTTTTGATACAGGGTCTGGCTCTGTCACCTAGGCTGGCACAATCACAGCTCACTGCAGCCTTGTTCCCCAGCACCTCAGCCTCCTGAGTAACTGGGACCACAGGCATGCACCACCATGCCTGGCTAGTTTTTTATTTTTTGTAGAGAGGGGATCTCGCTTTGTTGCCCAGGCTGGTCCTGAACTCCTGGGCTCCAGTGATCTTCCCGCCTGGGCCTCCAAAAGTGCTGGGATGACAAGTGCGAGCCACCACACCTGGCCCCAATTTAGCTCTGTTTCCCTTCCTCTTCCTCTCATGATGCTTCTGGTAGATTCCATCCATTTCTGAGGGATTTCCCCTGAGGTTAAAACTGCCTTGTTTTCCTGTGGCTTAGTTGTCATTATCATATGATGGTAGTATTTTCAACCATCTCCCTTATCCTCTGTCCTCTGTCCAGATGGTTCTGTCTGGGCCGACGGCACAGCTGTCATCCCGCAACTTCTCTTTATCCTGGGCTACAATCCAGTCCTGCCTCACACGTCCTTCTCTTTATTATTTTAC